>NC_000005.10:45803374-46435900 GCF_000001405.40 Homo sapiens
TTTGGTAAGATGCATTTTTCCAGGAATTCTCCATTTTATTTATATTTTTAACTTTAAGAGAATAAGTACATAATATATTTTAGAAGTTTTAAAAATGTCCATAAAATTTATAATGTCTACTTTTTCCACTCCCAATATTAGTTATTTATTGGCTTTTTATTGCTCTTTTCAGATAATTTTGTATTTTATTGATATTTCAATGAACAAAATTTTGGCTTTGTTGAAACACTGTATTTTAATTAGTTGTCTATAACTTTGATTATTTCTAATTTTTAATATTTCATGCTTCTGCATTCTTTGGGTTTGACTTTTTCTGTTTCTTAGCTTTGAAATGAATATTTAGATTATTGATTTTTCTCTACTAGTATTTTTTAATATAAACATTTCAGAATGTATCTATCTGACTAACCATGGTTTTAACTACATCTCACATGGTTAAAATTGTTTTATACTCTTTTTTATATTTTGTTTTTAAATGACACATAATAATTGCACATATTTATGGGGTACAGTGTGATGTTTCAATACATGCATACATTGTGTTATCAAATTAGGTTATTGAAAATATACATTGCCTCATATATTTATCATTTATTTATGGTAAGAACACTCAAAATCCTCCCTTCTAGTTATTTTGAAATATACAATACAATGTTGTTAACCATAGTGCACCCTACTGTGTAATAGAACACCAGAACTTACTCCTCCTGTCTAACTGTAACTATACCTGTTGACCAATCTTTCTCCATGTTGTCTCCTCCCTACCTTCCCCAGCCTCTGGTAACCTTATTCTAGTCTCTACTTTTATGAGATCAATCTTTTTAGATTTCATATATGAGTGATATGCTGTGACTTTTGCCTTTCTTTGTCTGGCTTATTACACTTAAAATAATGTCTTCTAGGTTCATCCATGTGGCTGCAAATGACAGCATGACATTCTTCTGTATGACAGACAGCATTTTATTATTTATATAGACCATTTTTTCTTTATCCATTCATTTGGTGATGGACACTTAAGTTGATTCTATATCATCACGGTGTGGATAGTGCTGCAAAAACATGGGAGTGCAGGTATCTTTTTAACATACTGATTTTATTTTCTGTGGATATATATGCCCAGTAGTGGGATTTCTGGATCACATGGTAGTCCTATTTTTAATTTTATGAGGAACTTCTGTACTGTTTTTCACAATGGCTGTGCTAATATACAGTCCCACTAACAGTATATGAATTCCTCTCTTTACATTTACGCACTAACATTTGTTATCTTTTGTCTTTATGATAATAGCCATTCTAATTGGGGTGAGGTGAAATTTCATTGTGGTTTTGTTTTTCATTTCCTTTATGATTAGTGATGTCGAGCTTTTTTTTATATGCATCGGCTATTTGTATGTCTTCTTTTGAGAAATGTCCATTCAGATCTTTTGCCTATTTTTTATTTTTTTTTTTAACTTTTAACTTTTATTTTAAGTTCAGGGGTACATGTGCAGGTTTGTTAAATAGGTAAACTTGCTTCATGGGGGTTTGTTATACAGACTATTTCATCACCCAGGTATTAAGCCTAGTACCCATTAGTTATTATTCCCGATCCTCTCCCTCCTCCCACCCCCCGACCCTCCAATAAGTCCCAGCGTGTGTTGTTCCCTTCTATTGTGTCCATGTGTTCTTATCATTTGCTTCCACTTGCAAGTGACAACATGTGATATTTGGTTTTCTTTTCCTGTGTTAATTTGCTACAGATAATGGCCTCCAGCTCCATTCATGTTCCTACGAAGGACATGATCTCATTCTTTTTTATGTGCCCATTTTTAATTAAATTATTTGCTTTTTAAAATTGAGTTATTTGAGCTTCTTATGTATTCTGTATGTTAACTCCTTGTCAGATACATAGTTTGCAAATATTTTCTTCCATTATGCATGTTGTATGTTCACTCTGTTGACTGTTTCCTTTGCTGTGCAGAAGTTTTTTAGTGTGATGTAATTTTATTTGTCTATTTTTTCTTTCGTTGACTGTGAGTTTGTGATCTTATTCAAAAACTTCTTGCCCAGATCCTAATGTCATGAAGCGTTTTCTCTGTTTTTTTTTTTTTTTTTTTTTTGGTAGTTTTATTGCTTCAGGTCTGACATTTAAGTCTTTAATCCATCTTGCTTGTGTTGATTTTTATATATGGTAAGAGATAGGGATGTAGTTTCATTCTTCCACATATATCCAGTTTTCCCAGCATCATTTACTGAAGCAACTCTCCTTTCTTCAATATGTGTTCTTGGTACTTTTATCAAAAATCTGTTGGCTGTAATGCATGGACTCATTTCTTTGTTTTCCATTGTGTTCTATTAATCAATGTGTCTATTTTTATGGTAGTACCATTCTGTTTTGGTTACTATAGCTTTGTAGTAACATATTGTAAATCTCGGCTTTGTTCTACTTGCTCAAAATTGCTTTGGTTATTTGGGATCTTTTGTGATTCCATACAAATTTTAGGATTACTTTTTCCATTTATGAGAAGAAAGTCATTAGTATTTTTACAAGCAATTCGTC
The DNA here is from genome assembly GCF_000001405.40 of Homo sapiens. Classification (NCBI taxonomy): domain Eukaryota; kingdom Metazoa; phylum Chordata; class Mammalia; order Primates; family Hominidae; genus Homo; species Homo sapiens. The sequence goes on from NC_000005.10 coordinate 45,805,914, forward strand.
GAATCTATAGATCATTTTGGATACTATGAGCATTTTAACAATGTTAATTCTTCAAATCCATAAACACAGGATATTTCTCCATTAATATGTGTCCTCTTCAATTTCCTTCATCAGTTTTATAGTTTTAATTGTAGAGCTCTTTCACCTCCTTGATTAAACTTATTCCTAGCATCTTAATTTTTTATACCTATTGTAAATGAGATTTTTTTTTCAGATTGTTTACTACTGTATATAGAAATGCTATTAATTTTGCATGTTGACTTTGTATCCTGCAACTTCACTGAATTTGTTTGTTAATTCTAATCAGAGTCTCTAGGACTTTTAGGAGTCCTTTGAGTTTTTTATGTATAAGATCATGTGGTGGGCAAGCAGGAAAAATTTAACTTTATTCTTTTCAATTTGCATGTCCTTTATCTCTTTCTTTTGTCTAATTTCTCTTGTCTCATTACTCTGGCAGGAATTCCAGTACTATTTTGAATAAATAGTGACAGTGGACATCCTTTAAGTTTGGTCTGATAATTCCAAGGCTTGTTCAATCTCTTCAAACTGTGTTTATTGCATTTCAGTATGCTTGGTAGTTTTTTGTTTTTGAAAGGCAGAAATAATATACTGTGTAAAACGAACTACAGTATATAGGTCTTTATTAATACAGAGTTAAGAAGTTGTGGGGAGAGATAAAACATTCTATCATCCTATATTAGGACTCAGGCTTTTGGTGAGCCTGTGCACTTGGACTGTGAACTTAACAAGGACTTGAATATTTTCCACCCCTAGGTGATGCAGCATGAGTGGAGGGAGTTGGAGGTGAGTACTTCCTAACTCCTGAGGAGATTAGGCTCTGATGTAGCCCCAGCAAGTTAGGCTCTAGCAAAATAGTGTCTCCTAAGAGCAGGCTTTTTAAAGAAGAGCACGATGGTGTGCTGTATTTCAAACCGCAGATTCAGGAAACAAAAGAACATGAAGCAGGATAAACGCAAAAAAAAAAAAAAAAATTAAAAAAACTACACCTAGGCATAATATATTCAAATTTCAGAAAATCAAAGCTGAAGGAAAAATATTGAAAAGAGCCAGAGGGAAAAAAATGCCTTCCCTGTAATGGAGTAAGGATAATAATTAAATCTGACTTGTCAAAGCATACAATGAAGAGAAGAGTGGAGTGAAATATTTAAAATGTAGAGAGAGACCAAAACAACAACAAAAAAATCACACACACATACACATAAAAAAAAAAACTAACAGAATTTGTATCTTGAAAAATTATCCTTCAAAAGTGATGTGTGTGTGTGTGTGTGTGTGTGTGTGTGTGTATATATATATATATATATATATATATATATATATATATATATATTTTTTTTTTTTTTTTTTTGTGAGAGAGATTCTCACTCTTTTGCCCAGGCTGGAATGCAGAGGCATGATTATACATCATCATACTCTCAAATTCCTGGGCACAAATGATCCTTCTGCCTCAGCTTCCTGAGTAGCTAGGACTACAGGCACATACCACCACACCCAGCTAATTTGTTTTTTGGTAGAGACAGGGTCTTGCTATGTTGCCCAGGCTGCTCTTGGACACCTGGCCTCAACCAATTCTCCTGCCTTGGCATCCCAAAGTGCTTGTATAACAGGCATAAGCCCACCATACCTGGCCTCAATAATGTGTATATACTTAATATATGTAAGTATAGTATATACATATGTGTATGTGCACACTTAAATATAAGTGAAAAGAATAACAGAAATGATACAAGTGGCAGGAGGAAAGAACTAGGAATATCTTATTATTATAAGATACTTGCACTAGATGTTAAATGGTATAGTGTGATTTGAAAGTGGAAGTGAATTGGTTGAATATGTATATTGCAAATTCCAGGAATACCACTGAATAAAAGTAATTTAAAAAGAGTGTAGTTGATATATGATAGAATAGGAAATTGGAACATTAAAAATGCTCAATTAGGCTGGGTGTGGTGGCTCATGCCTGTAATGCCAGCACTTTGGGAGGCCAAGGCGGGTGGATCACTTGAGGTCAGGAGTTCGAGACCAACCTGGCCAACATGGCAAAACCCTGTCTCTGCTAAAAATACAAGAATTAGCCTGGCATGGTGGCATGCACCTGTGATCCCAGCTACTCCGGAAGGTGAGGCAGGAGACTCACTTGAACCCGGGAGTCAGAGGTTGCCGTGAGTGGAGATCTCGCCACTGCACTCCAGCCTGGGCAACAGAGCAAGACTCTATCAAAGAAAAAAAAAAGCTCAACTAAAACTAATAAGTACAGAAAAAAATGTGAAAGAACAAAAAAGGCAACAAACAAAAAACAATAACAAATACAGTAGATATTATAATATTTATGCCACAATACCAATAATTACCTTAAACATCAATTTTACTTTTTTTTTTTTTTTTTTGAGATGGAGTCTTGCTCTGTCACCCAGGCTGGAGCACAATGGTGCGATCTTGGCTCACTGCAAGCTCCACCTCCTTGGTTCACACCATTCTCCTGCCTCAGCCTCCCGAGTAGCTGGGACTACAGATGCCTGCCACCACGCCTGGCTAATTTATTGTATTTTTAGTAGAGATGGGGTTTCACCGTGTTGGCCAGGATGGTCTCGATCTCTTGACCCCGTGATTCACCCACCTCGGCCTCACAAAGTGCTGAGATTACAGGCTTGAGCCACCCTGCCCGGCCAACATCAATGTTTTAAATCCACCAATTAAAAGCTAGGGATTGTCAAAGTTCATCAAAAAACGATAACCAATTATGTGATATTTATGAGAAATCCACTTTAAATATAAATACATGTATAGTTTAAAAGTAAAGGAGTGGAAATGAATTAGGTTGGTGCAAATGTAATTGCGATTTTTGCCATTCAAAATAATGCCATTACTTTTGCCATTGCCATTACTTTTAATGGCAAAAATCGCAATTACTTTTGCACCATCATAATAATATGTTAACATTAAACAAAACAGTAGAAGTGGCTATATTAATTTCAGACAGAACTGACTCAAGAGCAAGGGAAGCTATTAGGGCTAAAGAAGGGCATTACACAATAACAAAGGGGAAAATACTCCAAGAAGACATAACAATCCTTTATACGTATGTTCCCAGCAGAAGGGCATCATGTAAAGCAAAAACTTATAGAACGACAGGTAGAAATAGATAAATTAATGATAGCACTTGGACACCTTAACACTCCTCTATGAGAAATAGATCCCACAGGCAGAAAATCAATTAGGACATAGGAGAACTCAATAGCACTATCAATAAACTGGCTATAATGGACATCTATAGACTATTTATACAAAAACAGTGGATTACACATTTTTCTTAAGCTTACATGAAACATTTACCAGGATAGACCTCATTTGGGGCCATGAAACTCACCCTAACAAATTTAAAAGAATAAAAATCATACAATGTGTGCTCTCAGGCTACAATGGAATTAAACTAGAAATTAATATCAAGAAGACAATTGTAACCCCTCAAATACTTACATATTAAAAAACACATGTCTAAAAACACATTGGTACATTTTAAGTGAAAACAGAAACTCAACATGTCAAAATTTGTGGGATGCAGGGAAAGCAGTGTTTAATGGGAAATTTATACTATTGAATGTATACATTAGTAAAGAAGATCTAAAATCAATAATCTAAGCTCTCACCTTAGAAAAACTAGAAAATTAAAGCAAATTAAATCCAAAGTAAGGAAAAGAATAGGTAATAATAAAAATTAGAGTAGAAATCAATAAAGTAGAAACAGGAAATGACAGAAAATCAATAAAACCAAAAGCTGGTTCTTTGAAAAAATCAATAAAATTGAAGAGAATCTAGCCAAGCTCATGAAGAATAAAAACAGAAGACACAAATTACTAGTATCAGAAATAAAAGAGAGAGCATCACTACAGATCTTATGGACATTAACATGATAATAAATGAATATTATGAACAATTCTATGCCCACAAATTTCATAACCTAGACAAAATGGACAAATTCCTTGAAAGACACAATCTGCCAAAACCGATGCAAGAAATAGACAATCTGAATAGGCTTATACTTAAAAATTGAATCAACAATTGATTATCTTCCAAAGCAGGAAGTAGTAGGCCCAACTGGGTTGGCTGGTAAATTCTACCAAAAACATGTGAAGAAGAAATTATACAAATTCTCTACAATTATTTTGCAGAAGATAGAATCAGAGGGGCTACTTTCTCACTCATTCTATGAGGACAGCATTACCCTGATACCAAAATCAGACAGCCATTAGAAGAAAAGAAAAGTATAATTCAATAACTCTCATGAACATTGATAGAAAAATCTTCAACAAAACATTAGCGAATATAATACAACAATGTATTAAAATAATTATACCCCAACTGGGATGTATATCAGATATATAAAACTGATTGAATTTTTTAAAATCAATTAATTTAGTCATCACATTAGTGGGCTAAATGAGAAAAATAAAACTCAACAATAAGAAATTTAACAACCTGATTGAAAAATGGGCAAAAGACCTGAATAGACACCTCACTAAAGATATGTAAATGGCAAATTATCATTAAGAAAAGACATTCAACATTACATATCATTTGGAATTTCAAATTAAAACTATAATGAGATACCATTACATACCTATACAAATGACCAAAATCCAAAATACTGACAACACCAAATACCAGTGAGGATATGTGGCAGCAGGAGCTCTTGTTTATGGCTGGTGAGAATGTAAAATGGTACAGCCACTTTAGAAGATACATGGTAGTGTTTTACAAAACCATACTGTTACCATATAATCCAGCAATTGCACTTTTTCGTATTAAGTCAAATGAATTGAAAATTTGGTATTTTCCCAAATGAATCCAAATAAATTGAAAAATCTGTATTTAAAGTAGCTGTACACATAGTTGCCAAAGCTTGGAAGGAAACAAAATATCCTCCAGTGGCCAAGTAGATAAATTATGGTACATCTAGACAATGGAATATTATTTAGTGCTGAAAAGAAATGAGCTATCAAGCCATGTAAAGACATGGAGGGAACATGAAGGCATATTACTATGTGAAAGAAGCCAATCTGAAAAGGAAACATACAGTATGATATCAACTATATGACATTCTGGAGAAGGTAAAACTATGAAGACCGTAAAGAAATCAGTGGTTGCAGGGATTAGGGGGAGGAAGGAATGAATAGGTAGGCAGAGCATAGAGGATTTTTAGAGCAGTGAAGCTGTTCTGCACATACTGCAAAGATGGATACATGTAATTATACATATTTCAAATCCCATTCAATGTACACCAAGAATGAATCCTAACATAAACTATTGACTTTAGATGACAATAACTTGTCAATGTATATTCATCAATCATAAAAATGTACCCCTCTGATGTAGGATGTTGGTAATGGGAAAGGTCATGAATGGGTGGGTACAGGATATATGAAAACACTCTGTGCTTTTTGCTGAATTTTGCTGTAACCTAATATTACTCTAAAACATAAAGTTTATTAGTTAAAAAAATTAACAGTCACTTCATTGCTTTGTTTTTACTATCTCAACCATATTGCTTTTAAATGGTTGAATTTAAAAATATTCAGTTGATTCAATTAACTCATTAATCAGATATTTTCCTCTCCACTTTCTTCCCTTTCTTTCATATGCATGATATTTAGTTTTATAGACTTACAAAAGGATACATATTCAACTATTTGTTGACATTTTCTCCTATTACTTCACCAAGATAAAGATATACTTGTTTATACTTCCTCATCTGGTCTTTTCAAATAATTTATTTTTATTGTCTGTACTGACAGATACCTTCAAGTTCGTTATAACATGGTAAGGAGGGGCCTTTTTAACCAAGTGAGGAATCTTAACCCTTACCTTTGTGCTTCCTACTAGAAACAGCCTAGAAGGTGCTGAAATGCAGACTCACAGCTATAAACTGGCAACCATATTTTATCACTGAAGTGACTAGATTTTGTCATTCTAAAGTTACTCACCAGTACCAGTAGAGATAAATTTGAAAGGTTATGTGTCCTACATGTAGGTTACATTAAAAAACAGATTTTGGAATCAAAAATAGACTTCAGAATCAAATTAAGTGTCTATCACACACTAAATGTGTGACATAAGCAAATTACTTAACATGTATAACTTCCCCATTTGTGGATGAAAATAGCCCTAAAGAGTTCACTTATATTTGGTACATAGACAGTGTATGTAAAACTCTTTCCATTAAAAAATAGCACCTTATAAGTACCTGATAAATTGTAACCATATCTCCCTAGATAAAAGAAATAGACCCTTCAAATCCTTTTGTTAGAGGTAGGAATTGCACCAGAATTGGGGTGAATTTCTGTTGTGTTTATTAAAAGTAAATCCTGGTATAATTGCCGTATAAATGGTTTGACTTTAAAAATATTCAGTTGATTCAAATCCTTAAAAAGAAAAGAAGGTAAAGTCCATAAATAGGTTGAGAGGGTATCACTCTATGTTACACACAATAATCTCTTGAGTGAACTTCTGAGATAGCATAAGATAACAAACACTAAATGGAAGCATCCATTTCTACTCCAAGGTAATGTCTCATTTGACAGCAGTGCTAGAGATTGGGACTTTGGCAGAACAGCTGTGAATCTTGAGGTGAAATCCCAAGAGCCCTCTTTCTATACAGGATGCTCAGGGTAACACATGTTCTACATGGATGAGAGATTAGCATGCCACAAACCACCCCATGAAAAACAATACCAGCAGAGCACACAGTCAGTACTAAGCAGTTATCAATGTAACCACAACACGAAAGCAGACCTGGATAGCTCAACTGTTAGACAGCACCCACAAATTACTACAACAGATTTCAAGAAGAGGCTCCGAAAACTCAACTATAGAAACAATCATCAAAGGATTGGAAATTTTCCTTGCAGAGGGACACTGGGAGTCTGTGGCACATGTGGGGTTTCGATTCACTGTAATTTTCCTGTTCCAGGGAACAATTATATATTGAATATTTTTAATAATGTTGTGCTGTGTTATTGTGAATATATTTGTAAGCTGAGATTCAGGATGCTGCCATACTATAAGGCTGTCAAGTGGTGAGACTAGACCAAGTTTCTGGGTAAGGAAGTAATCTGAGATAGTCACCTTTTAAAAATAATCTAGTTTTGTTTTTTTCTTTCTTGTTTGTTGTTTTTAGTTTTTGTAATAACATATTTCATAAAGAGGATTCGTAAGTATGACTGTAGTTCTCTCAAAATATGAATCCCTTTTAATAAACGATTTTAGCTATACTAGCAGACTAGTTACAATTTATATTATACTCTGTATCCAAATTCATTTTGACAGTGCCCAACAAATTGCTCAGTTATCTGACTTCCTACCCAAGGAAAACATATTAATCTAAAAAGTTGAAATCCATTTCCAAAATGGCTAAAATAATTTGGGAGTGGGCTGGCATTAGAATAATTTGTCTAAAGAGATTTAATTTATGCTATATTTTTCATTGTCTGTTTATAAACCTGATTTATGAGAAACATCATCTAGAAAACACTATTAGCCTTCCCATTTTACAGATATAAAACTGGAATTGTGAGGAATAAGATGTTTTGTCATAATTCATCTTGCAAAATGATGACAAAATTGAATAGCAAATGTAGATGTCCAAATTCTATTTTAATTTTCATTGTGCCAGGCTCCCTTTTTGCTTGTATATTACAATAAATATCTCAGAACTGCTAGCTTAGGGAAGCTATTGCAGAAACTTAATATCCTCAAAGAAAATTAATATTGCTATCCTACTAAAAGGATTTGAAAGTGAAAAGACTTAGCAGACATGTATTGAGCTAAACACTTAAAGACTAAATAAAAAATAATAGAAGTGATTATGTGGGACATATATTTATTCATTCAACATAATCAATTTAAAATTTTTATAAGAACTCAAACTGTCTTCACAGAAACTGACTTTGTCATGAAACATTTGTTTCCTTTATAAATAAATCGTTATTTTATCAAAAGAACTGTCAATATAGTTTATGTAAATGGAATATTTATAAGAATGAAAGTTGCATTTTCTAAACTGTGAACTAGGCAAAAGTGATCTTCTGGAGTGACCTTGTGTATTAGCTCCGATTCCCATCTTTCTTAAAGAGAGACTTTCGTGTGATTGGCTGTAGGTTTCTTGAGGGCTTATAGGCAGCTCTGTGATATAGAAGTAGAAAATAAATACTGTACTTGTCCACACAAAGTTGTTCAGCAAAATCGGATTTAAAATAGATGAAATAAGGTTAAAAAGATGAGAGGACATACAATTGGATGATAAATATAACATGAAAAAAGACGAAAAGAAAAAGCTTTTGCATTAGTTATCTTTCCTGATCCTCTCCTAATGCAAAAGCTTTTTCTTTTCTTCTCTTTTCATTCATTTCTCCTCCAATCTTACCTCTGCTCATCCTTTTATCTTTATTTCATTTTACATTCATTATTGCTAAACAGATTTGTGTGGACAAGTATGGCATTTATTTTCTACTTCTATGTCACAGAGCTACCCATAAAGTAGGCTTAATACCTGGGTGATGAAATAATCTGTACAACAAATCCCCATGACACATGTTTACCTATGTAACAAACCTGCACATCCTGCACATGTACCCCTGAACTTAAAAGTTAAAAAAAAAAAAGAAAAAGCCCTTGCCATATGTCTAATATAATATGAAGTGGCAAAAAGAAGGCAAAATATATTAGTGGGACACTGAGTTAAATAGATTGGGGAAAATATAGAACCTTTTCAATAAAATGCATTTTAATTTATGTAACTAATAAAAAAATGGAAGCCCCAGGACAGTTTAATGCATTTTTCCCATAAAGAATTTCAACTTACAGCTACTGAGGGTCCAAGTTTCTGTTTAGAATTTTAATTATAAGTTTTTATACATGATATTTTCAAACATAACACACATTGTTAAATCTGATTATTAAAAAAATCAATACATCTGAAATTCATAAAATATTAAACCTAAAAATATTATATTTTTAAAACATTTCACATCAAATTTAAAGTATTCACTGAGGACATTAGACTTTAAGGTAGTGTGCCCAGTCGCTAAAAAGAAAAAATATCTTTTTCCATTCTCAACACCGATTAAAAATTTCAGTTTATAAAAGGAGGTTGAGCGCAAAAGCAAAAACAAAAAATTATAAAACCAGGAGAAGGAAAATTTTTTAAAAATCCAACAGTACAAGAAAGGTTCATAATTTGTAAGAGGAGTTTGACAAAAAGAGAACAGTAGGAAGACAGGAATAGAAGATGGAAAAAACAAGAACAAATGTGGAGAACCAAGGGATACCAATATATAGATTGAGAAGCATTCTGAGTGTCCAGAAAAAAAATTGTTAAAAAATTATCTGCATTTATAAGATAAAAAGTTAATATAAAACATCAATGGCTTTTCTATATGTCATCAATGAACAATTAGAATTTGAAATAAAAATACTATTTACATTACCGCCAAAAATGCAATAGGTATAAATAATCTAGGAAAATGTATATACTATCTATATATAGAAAACTATAAGATTTTGGTAAAATACATAAAATAAAATGTAAATAAGTACACACATATTTGATGTTAAGATGTCAGTTGTGCCCAACTTGCTCTATGGTTTCCACACAACTCCAATAAAAATCCCTAACACATATGTCTTAAATGCTTCAATAATTTATATGAGAAGGCAAAATAACTAGAACAATGAACAGAATACTAAAGAGGAAGAACAAAGTTGGTGAACTTGCATGACACAATTTTAAAACTTACTATAATGTTGTAATCAAGACAACAAGGTATTGGTGAAAGCATGGGCACATAGATTAACAGACCAGAATAGAGAGCCCAGAAATAGACCCATGTAAGGGGATTCAATAGATCTTTGCCCAAGAAGCAAAGGCAATTCAGTAGAGTAAAGGATAGTTTCTTCAACAAATAATGCAGAAGCAATTGGACATTCTATGCAAAAAATAAACATGTATCTTATACTTTTAACAAAAATAAAATGGATTATGGGCTTAAATGTATAATAAAAAGCTTCTAGAACCTTGATTTGGAGATGAGTTCATAAATACATCAGAAGCATAATACCATAAAAAGATAAGTTGGACTTCATTAAAATTAAAAATTTCTGTTCTGCCAAAGACACTGTAATAAAATGAAAAGACGAGCCACAGACTTGGAAAAAAATTTGCAAAATACATATCTAATATACTGGATTGTATCCAAAATATACAAAGAACTTTCAAAACTCAATAGTAAGGAAACCAGTCAATTAAAAAGTGTAAAAAGACCTGAACGTATACCTTACAAAAGAAGATATACAGATGGCAAGTAATTGTACAAAAATATATCCCACATCATTTGTCACTAGTGAATTGCAAAGTAAAACAATGAGATACCATTTGATATGGTTTGGCTGCATCCCCACCAAAAATCTCATTTTGAATTGTAATCCCCATAATCCCCAAGTGTCAAGGGCAGGACCAGGTGGAAGTAATTGGGTCATGGAGGTGGCTTCCCTCATGCTGTTCTCGTGATAGTGAGTGAGTTCTCATGAGAGCTGATGGTTTTATAAATGTCTGGCATTTCCCCTCCTGGCACTCACTCTCTCCTGCCACCTGTGAAAAGGTGACTTATACAAAGATTGTAAGTTTCCTGAGGCTGCCCCAGCAACGCAAAACTGTGAGTCAATTAAACCTCTTTTCTTTATAAATTATCAAGTCTCAGATATTTCCTTATAGCAATGTGAGAATGGACGAATACACCATTACATACATGCTAGAGTGGCTAAAACCGAAAAATCTGGCTGGGCGCAGTGGCTCATGCCTGTAGTCCCAGCACTTTGGGAGGCCGAGGCAGGCGGATCATGAGGTCAGGAGATCAAGACCATCCTGGCTAACATGGTGAAACCCCATCTCTACTAAAAATACAAAAAATTAGCCGGGCATGGTGGTGGGCACCTGTAGTCCCAGCTACTCAGGAGGCTGAGGCGGGAGAATGGTGTGAACCCGGGAGGCGGAGCAATGGTGTGAACCCGGGAGGCGGAGCTTGCAGTGCGCTGAGATAGCACCACTGCACTCCAGCCTGGGTGACAGAGCGAGACTCCATCTCAAAAAAAAAAAAATAAAAACAAAATCTGACAATGCTAGATGCTGGCAAGGCTATAGAGCAACAGGATCTCTCGTTCATTGCCAGTGGAAAGTCAAAATAGTATAGTTACTTTGGAAGACTGTTTTCAGATTCTTACAATGCTGAACAGAGTCTTATGGTTTGCTAATAGGTTTTATCCAACTGATTTAAACAGTTATCTTCACACAAACACTTGCATACAGATGTTTATAGGAGCTTTATTCATAATCACCAAAAACTTAGAGCAACCAAGATGTCCTTTAATAGGTGACTGAATAAGCAAAACGTACATCCACATAATTAAATATTACTAAGCAATAAAATATATGAGTTATCAAGCTACAAAAAGGCATGAATGAATTTTATATACACAATGCTAAACAAAAGATAACAGTCTGAAAAGGCTATACGTTATATTATTCCAATTACATGACATTCTGGGAAAGGCAAAACTATATGGATAGTAAAAAGAAGATGCTTGCAATGGGTTAGAGTAAGAAGATTGAACGGGTAAAGCACAAGGCATTTTTTTAGAAGGTTTAGTTATTCTGTATAATATTGTAATGGTGGATATGTGATACTATGTATTTGTCAGAACTCACAGAAGTTTATAGCACAAAGGAGGAATTATATGCAGACTTTGAAAAAATAATTTAGAAGGTTGGAGGATCCCAATATGTAATGCACAAAATAATATAACAGTCTAACTATATTACAAAAATATGAAAAAAGTCATGAGAATGGGGAGGGTAAAGCTACTGATCTAAGTAACTTTAGAAATGAGTTGCATATGGAAGACTAAAGGCAAAATAAATTGTATTTGAGTACTATACTCTAGTTAGTAAAGTTGTGTTCCATGAGACTATAGGTTAACAGTTCTGATATCACTATACTTTTTTTAATTAAATAATTAAGCAAATGAGTGGAATACAGTGGGAGCCAGGTTTCTAATTGTTGGAGTGGGAAGTTGCAGATAAAGAAGTGGAGGAAGCTAGAACTATCTACGTGGTAATGCATTAGAGTCAGAGACATCCGTTGATACAAACTCATGTTTAGCTTAACGTAAACATGGTTTCAAGTAGAAAAAATCTACATATGGGTATATACATGAGTTAGTATATGCGTATATGACAAACAATATCACCCCAGTAGCACTGAGCACACCTAGTACCCACACCTTGATTTCAATAAATCAAGCCACTCTCAATAAAAGGAATAAGGCTGCCTGAAGAAATGACTAATTATTGAACTAGAAAAGAAAATATACCCAAATGTCCATCAATGATAGACTGGATTAAGAAAATGTGGCACATATACACCATGGAATACTATGCAGCCATAAAAAAGGATGAATTCATGTCCTTTGTAGGGACATGGATGAAGCTGGAAACCATCATTCTCAGTAAACTATCACAAGGACAGAAAACCAAACACTGCATATTCTCACTTATAGGTGGGAATTGAACAATGAGAACACTTGGACACAGGGTGGGGAACATCACAAACTGAGGCCTGTCATGGGGTAGGGGGAAGGGGGAGGGAGAGCATTAGGAGATATACCTAATATAAATGGTGAGTTAACGGGTGCGGCACACCAACATGGCACATGTATACATATATAACAAAGCTGCACGTTGTGCACATGTACCCTAGAACTTAAAGTATAATAAAAAAAAGAAAATGTACAAGATGAGCCTGGAACATCTTATAGTGTCAGAAAGTAATAAAGTGCTCCAAAAAATCCATAATTATAAGGTATGTGAAAATGACACAAGAGTCAACTAAAATGTTTCCAATAACAAATGGTTTAAAAAAAGTGGGGAGGGGAGCAATAAAATAAATACTGTAGTATTTAATTATAAGCTAAAGCATAACATAAATATTTATTAGTACATAATGATTTAAATAAATGAACAATTCAACAAATACATGGGAGACAGGAAACAAATTTCCCATGTATATTAACTCCAAACAATTTTTGTCAATACTCTGTCCTCAAGTAAGGGGAGCATAACTCTCCACTCCTTAAGTGTGGAATGTGCATAGTGACTTCCTTCTAAAGGGTACAGCATGAAACGCTAAAAAAGAATGACTTTATAGCAGATAAACCTGACAAGCACTACCTCAGCCACATCAAGAGTGATAAGTCATATTAATAGTATGTTCCCTTGATATGATTTGATTTAAAACACTGCATAGTGCTGCAATAAACATATGTGTGCATGTGTCTTTATAGTAAAATGATTTATAATCTTTCGAGTATATATCCAGTAATGGGATTGCTGGGTCAAATGGTATTTCTGGTTCTAGATCCTTGAGAAATTTCCACAATGTCTTCACAATGGTTGAACTAATTTACACTCCCACCAACAGTGTAAAAGTGGTCCTATTTCTCCACATCCTCTACAGCATCTGTGGTTTCCTGACTTTTTAATGATCTCCATTCTAACTGGCATGAGATGAGCTGGATAAAGAAAATGTGGCACAAATACACCATGGAATACTATGCAGCCATAGAAAAGAATGAGTTCATGTCCTTTGCAGGGACATGGATGAAGCTGGAAACCATCATTCTCAGCAAACTAACACAGGGACAGAAAACCAAACACTGCCTGTTCTCACTCATAAGTGGGAGTTGAACAATGAGCACCCATGGAAACTGGGAGGGGAACATCACACACTGGGGTCTGTTGGGGTATAGGGGGCAAGAGGGGGGAGAGCATTAGGGCAAATACCTAATGCACGCAGGGTTTTAAACCTAGATGATGGGTTGATGGGTGCGGCCATCCACCATGCCTCATGTATACCTATGTAACAAACCTGCACGTTCTGCACGTGTATCCCAGAACTTAAAGTAAAATTGTGTATACATATATATAGATATATATATAATCAGAATGGATTCATTACTTGTAACAAATGTAACATACAGTACCAATATAAAATGTTAATAATGGAGGGCTTAAAAGTGAAGTATATGAGAAATCTCTCCGCTATCATCAAACTTCTTTGTAAATGTAAAACAGTTTTAAAATAAAGTTTATTTTCTAAGTAATGAAAAGCCACCTGCATCTCATTATATTACAGTGACATTTTAGAATTTTGGGTACAATTAGATGATACACTAGGATCTTCCAGAATGAAAAAAAAAGTCAATAGACATTGAAACAATAAAGAGGCAGAATGGCAATGGATTTCTCTACCTGCAACATTAGGAATTAGAATCAATGAAACAATGCTTCCACAATTCTGAAGTAAAAGGATTCCCAAACCAGAATTACATAAATAACTATACTGTCATTTACTTATAAGCATAGAATGAGTATTTTATTAGACGTGCAAGTTCTCAAAAAGTTATTTCCCCCAAGTCCTTTGTCAGGAATCATGATCAAAACAAGGAAGAAACTTCATTTAGTGCAAGGCATTAGCTCCAGGATACAAGGGCTCTGATCCATGAGAAAGATGAAGGAAATTCTAGGTTGGCAATTGTGCAGCAAGCTCAAAGATCATTTATACTAGACCAAACCAAGAGGACAGAGGGCTTTGGAAGGAATGTCCTTGAGAAAAAAAAAATGATGTGTTATATTAATTTCCAAATTCGTTGTTATATTTTAAGAGGGGATATATACTATTGCAGATAATTTGGTGACTAATTAGTGATATAGAGAACTGAGCAGATGAAAAAGAGGCAATTATTAACTCCTGGAATACCAAAGGGTTGCAAGAAATGAAATGAAACTATCACACACTATAATTCAACCATGAATAATATTTACACAGTCTTAATAAGGTAAATTTAGACTTGAGATCTAACAATGATTATGATATAAAACTCAAGGGAAAAAAATATTAAAAAAGAAAATGTGTTTGGGGTGGTTGAAGTTGTGGTATAAAAGAACTACATGCACATCTCCAATACTGAGAAGCCAAAATAATGGGTACCATTTTGAGCTGTAAAAAATCAAAATACCTTTATAAACATGTGATTTTGAAATGTAGGGTATGTATTTAAAGAAAGAGATAGGTGGAAAGTATTTTTCAATGAATAGTTACATTTAGAATGGGAGTAATGGAGTAGGAACCTGCATTTAGGGCTGTATTTTTTTTTTCAGAGCTACTTAATTTCTGACACAAGAAACATGAGATTTTCATTAAGAAGTCTAAATAAAGATGGGTATGTTGAGATTCAATGACCTAGAATTGTGTCAGTCTTTAGAGAACAGATTGAAATTGGGACAAAGATGTTTAATGTAATTAGGAAACTAGTTTATTATATTTATCAGTAAGATATAAAAAATTAAAAAGAATGATATATATTTATTACTTCATATAACTAAGGAAAATATTGGGTGAGTGGCATTTTATTATTGAGTAGTCAGGGAACAATTACTTAAGTGATGAGAACTCTGTTTAGCATCAAGTCTTGATGAAACAGATTGTGAAAAACCTCCCATAATTAGAGAGGAGATATAGATCACAAGATATGCAGCATATAATTCTAAATAGTGATAAGTGATCTTTTTCCTCTAAATTGAAAGAGTAGAGGAGAAGAGCAAGGAAAATGGCAACTGAAGATTTTATTTATTGCTTTTGTTTCTCCCACCTCTGAGAACGGTAAGCTGTGTGAGTTCTGACCTCACAATATAACAAAATCACCTATTAAAAGTTCCCTTTGTCTCCTCAAACCTCATGCAGAAATTTCAGCCTACTTGCATTTCCATTATCCTCCAACACAATATACAATAACTAGAGACAAGTGCTATTTAAGATAATTATATTTGAAAGCTAAGGAGGAGGTAGAAGTAAGTAATCAGAAATTCAAGGAACCATGAAGATATGTGAGCCAGCAAAATATCCGGAGAGAGATGATGTTTACTATGATGTAACCTATGTATATGCATACATTACCTTTTGGAAAATTGTATATTCTCTGCATCCCCTTTTGGAATCATGAAACTACTTCTTAGGAAGTATCCTTGCATACTTCATTACTCTAAAATTTGTCACATTACTTCTTGCACAATTGAAAACATAAGTTATACTAGACAATTCTTATTTCATAATGGATAAACGTATCTTTTCTTTTTAAATCTCCAGGATTTAAATTTTGTTTTGGAAAGTATCACTAAGTACGTGCAATTTTATTATGCATTATCGAACTGGAGTAGTTAAACTGTTTTGACATTTATGGCACAATTATGGCCCAGATGTTTTCTATTCTGTCTCTGAACTGTCTCAAATACCACTTTTCTAAAATTCAATCCTTTTTATATTATATCAATATAATGGAAATGAAATTTCTGATACATGATCTGTCTTCTTTTCATGATAGATTCCTCTTCTTAAATATAAATATCCAGAAGCAGAAAAGGAGACAGAGCACAAGTCAAAAGTCTCATGCTACTAAGTATTTATGGTTGAGTCAGAGGACTCCACATTCACAGAAACAAATAGGTTTCAGTATGTTTTTCCCTGGAATATCCTTCTCATCCACCCACTTTACTGTTACTGACCACTTCATTACTTGACAAGTCTTTTTTATGACCCTACTCCTGGGTCTTTTCCTTGTCTTTTCTCAATATTTTATTAATATCTTTGTAATATACACTTCTGTATCTAACGAAGTGACAGTGTATTCCTCAAGAAAAAGAAACTCATTATAGCCACCTCCATGCCCACAGTGCCGACCATATTACTCAATAAAATATTTGTCAATAGAATGAAAAATTAAGTAAAGAGAACACAAACATTATAGGTGTCTATTCATGTCGTTTTCTCACTTTATCTGTGGGTTATTGGTGTTCTTATTGTTTGTATGAGCTCATATTAAAGTGCTACTGTTAGTCGGAAGGATTTGTTGTAACTATTTCCCAGATAGCAGTATATTAATTTCCCAGGTAGTAGTATACTAACTCTATTTATGAAGTTTTAATGTGTATTTATGACTTGTGAGAGTTTATACTTTATTACTTTTGTTACCAAATTGAATTTCAAACAGCAAAATGTGTAGTATTTGTTTCCTGGGCTATTGGTCCTGTAAATTGGTAAACAAATCATAGTATCTAGCAAGTTAACTCTTCTAATCATTGCTCTCTGATCTTCATGGTCTTCCCCTTTTGGTCTTTCCTTTCTTCTTCCCTGTTTTTCCTCTGTCTTGTATTAATAACATCTGTCATCGTTTCCTATCTCTATTGTTGGTAGTCATGGCTAACACCATCGGGTACAATTAGAAGGTGGCAGTATTAAATCATAAAATAGTATTAGAGGAAGATGTAATGAACTGTAGCAAGAATATAGAGTACACTTTTAGATGCCTAATGGGAAAACTTATTTTGACATGTTCAATTTCATTCTAAGCTCAATTCCTTTTGAATGAACTACATGAGCCTCTTATATTTGAATACATTGAATACCCTGCATTTATTCAGGAGAATTTATATTTTGTGAAAACTTAAAGGCTGATGCAGGAGAATGGCATGAACCCAGAAGGCGGAGCTTGCAGTGAGCCGAGATCGCGCCACTGCACTCCAGCCTGGGCGACAGAGCGAGACTCCATCTCAAAACAAAAACAAAAACAAAAACAAAAACAAACAAACAAAACCAAATAAGCAAAACAGATATCCACTCGTTTTCTTCTCTTACATAGAAAATAAAAACCCTCTGTGCAATGGTATATTGAATTATATTATCTTAAATTTATTTTAAAAACTATTTTAAATAATGCTGTAACAATTTTAGCCACTTCTACATAAGGAAAATCAATCCAAATTGTATACAAATATGCTCCAACTCTCATCACTACTCCATTTAATCTTCCTGTAGGGATCCAATGAGTTGTAAAGAAAGTAAACAAATGGGATTAAGATAATTGCTTTCTCTAGTTCACTAATGATTTCTTCGCTGTAACTTTACACAGTTTCTGGCTCCACTGTTATTTTGGGCTGTGGCATGGAGTGTTTTTTATATGCTTGAGGTTCGACAAAATGTTTTCTTTTCAGAGACATACATATGTGTTAACTCACAGTTAAAAGATACTAAGATCTTATATTTTACTATGACTGGAAAGAGACTGTCACCATAGCTTACTGTTCATATAGTCTGTCTTGTCTTTGTCAACTCTAATAGCAGGGAAATTTATGTAAACACACAATACAGAATGGGAATCAGAACTAATTGGGCCACTCACTGGCCATTTAGTTCTATTACAAAGTCAACAATTACTAAAAATGAAGTCAACAATGACTAAAAACCAATACATCTTTGCTCTCTTAAACAGCCAATTGGTCATTTTCCTTACCATTTGCATTGTGAAGCTAACAGGCTCCGTTAAACATCAAAGATGTTTAGTAGATCCCTGTGGGTGTAATGCTCATGAAAGAAGCAAGATTCATTCTTCACAGGCAATATGCTGTGACTTTAAATGTCCCCTACCTGCAGGCTGCCTTTTGGTTCTTCTATCTTCCCTTGCTCTTCTGATCTCGGGGCTGGGCTGGAGTAATATTTAAGAGTGGCCTCAGAGTACCTAATTTAGAATATTGAGAGTGGCCACTTCCATACTCAACCCACACTCAGCACTTCCTTTCACACCTGCCTTTTCATGATTTGTGCATACATCTGTGATGCCCCCTCCCCCACTACAGTATAAGCTCCTTTTAAAGAGATTATTCATCTTTTCTTCACCAGAGCCTTGAAAAATCATTCATATATAATATACACTGAAACTATATATGTATATATTCCAAGCAATTTTAATTGATCCTAGATTCCCCGAAAGTAATTATCTCTTTTAAAGTATTTCCCCACTTAATTTTATACTTCCCTTAGCATATCTTTGCTTTGAACATCATGTCATAATTATGATGTTCTTTAAAGTGTTGTTAATATTTCCTGTATTAATTCTGTCTTGTTAGCTATGTTGGCAAAAGCTACCTGTTTTCCTGTGATTCTTTTAAATGAGCACAGAGGCTAAAATGTAATTGGCAGATTCAATAAAATGCTTAAATATTGTTAACTTGTGTTTCCATGGCACAAAGAAAGGGGTCCTCTTTTGGGATTTCCTGCTCACATGTACAGCTTCCTCACATGTCATTTCTTATGTTTCAAAATATTAATGCACCCCTAAACTAAAATTGATTTGTAAATTCAATTCATATTAAAAATATCAGGAAGTGAAAGCCAAGGCACAGAATTAGGGAGGCAGATGTAATAGAAATATAAAATATAAGAAATTTTGTTCTTGTCATCCTGATCTTCACACTTTTTATCTACGTTTATCTCATTATTTCAGTTAAGCACATTTGAAAATAACTTAAGCAACAGAGAAGGATTTTATGCTAAGAAATCATAAAAGCAAGAAGTGGAGACATGACAACTAAATGTAATATAGCCTGGTTGGGATCCTGGAATAGAAAAAGAACAATGGGTTAAAAACTAAGGAAAACTGAAAAATGTATAGTCTGTAAAACGTTCGTAAATGAAGATGAGAACTTCCTGAATCAAACATTCTAACTCATCTTACAATTCTGCATTATAGAGCACTAGGATGTTATTAAACACCACTTCAGTTTTTAGTAAAAGTTATGCCAATGACTTAGTGAAAATAGGAGAGCAGTGCTTTCTCTTGTAGATGCAGGAAAATGTTATAAAAAGATTTATTCCTATATTATATACAGCCTCCTTTTCCACTTTCATGAACATTAACCTATGGTCCCAGTTAAGTTACAGTGTGGACTTTATGGTATAAATAATTTCCTTGCTTATTATCTACAATCACTAGGAAATAAGACATTGCTTTCAATACTTGTCAAAACCCTGCCATGTATGGAACATACATTTCCCATCCAAGAGCAATATTAAATTGTGTATTTTATGCTTCTTTGTGTTACCACTTCTATAATATGCAATTCTTTATTTTCCTTTTGAAAGGTTTGGTTTGTCTATTCAGCCCTAAATCCTATTCTTCATTCACAGTATCTCTAGACTTGAGATTTTCAATCTACAAGAAGATTGAAAATATACTTTCCGGCGGAAACATGTTTGGAATCTGAACAGATTATGCTTTTGTATTAAGAGACAAGGCAGGACTGTAGATTTATTCTTGTCATCTCTCTGAAACATTTACTTCCTCTATTCCCTGCAGTGTCAGCACTTTCAGCACCTTTATTCTCAGTTTCCTTAAGGTTAACTGAACATCTCCATCAAAGACAGTGTGCAGGCAACATGAACCTTGATCAGTGGGGCAAAAGATCTGGCTTCTAATCAAAACTAGACTTGAATTGGCTATTTATTTTGGGGCCAGTGCTGTTCCCTAGATAGCACATTCATCACCACTGAGTTGAACTAGGTTCCTCTTAAGTCTGACAGTCTATGAATCTGAGGTGCTGGAAGTAAATAGAAATATGACCTCAGGAGAAGCAGAGTAGAACAAGAAGGGTGGATCACCTTGTTTGTCTCTACAGATGGTTGGGTTAGTCACAACCACCTCAAAAGGCCTCTGTTTGTACACTCCTCAGCACAACTACCAAGAAAGCCTTTCTTCATGCCCCCAATAATAAATAAGCTTTCCCTTCTGATTTTACGTAGTATACTGTATCCCCTTATAGACACTTAATAAGTCCCATATTTGATTATAATTATTTATGAATATCTCACATTAAAGTATGTATCAAATGAGTAAAAAAAACTTAATATGTGAAAAAAGTACTATGTTAATCTTATTTATGCATAGGATGTAAATCAAAATTAGAATGCATCTGACTGTCTTCCATGCCTGAGAAAATTAAAAGGTTGAACAAATTGTTTGAGAGGCATTAAAAAATGTTTTCGTAAAACATAGAAGAAAACATTAGTATCTAAGCAATCCAGATAAAGTGCTTTTTAGTCAGGAGAGCTTCAAAGCAAAAAAAAAAAAATAAAGAAAGAAAGAATAAAGATGGATATGTCCTTTAAGAAAAAATTACTGGTAATTATACTCCACATTAAAATAGGCAAAATCAAATTCTCAGAGCCCTCAGTCTGTTACTCAAACTCTTATTGAAGTGTTGGGAAAGAGTTACACTGTATAAAACAAAGCCTCTCCATTTTGTCTAAGGCATTTCTTCTTAACTAATAAAGAAGCTAAAACTGTATAAAAATAATTATTTGCATAAGGCTGAAGGGCAAATCAAGTTGCATAGTAGCTCAACTCAAAGTACAGAGAATGCCATTTCAGTGTAAAGCCTGTAACTACAGCTGGGGCAGGGCATCAAGAAGGACTTCCTAAAAAGAGAGGCAACTTGAATTCTACGTTGAGTAAATGATACTCAGGACTTGACTGAAGCAAGAAAAGTGGTGTGTGTGTGTGTGTGTGTGTACATGCTTTCTTGCTTGTTTTGCTAGATATATTCTGCGTGCCCCTTAGGATCTAGGCTTAACTCGCTTTAGCTTTTGGGAAGTGACCTGAATAGGCCACAGCTGATGATTCTCTCATGCTTCACGCTGACCTCCACCGGCCAATGGGGAGACCATGCAGGAAGTCAAAGCGTCTGAGCGGGAAGACAGGGGATTTATTCTAATAGACCCCAGACTGAGTGATTGTCTCAGCATGGAAGTGTTCTGGGACCAAAGCCATAGATATTTTTGAGTATTATATCTATGATCTGAACCCAGGTATTTTGCCTGGGTTCAGGTTATTTAGTTAAATGACCCTTAATTGATCCTTTGATCAATTAAGATTGTTTCCACGCAACTCTTCTACTGCCAAACTAATAATTACTCCACCCTTTCACTCCCCCAAGATCCAAGGTTAGTAATAGCTCACTGTTACTAACCCTTAGATACTGCACTATTCTTTGTGGATTTTCTATACTCTGTCCAAAACTTTTTAAGAGGGTCCGGTAAGATACTTCTTGAGTTTTCCTAATGTGAGCATGCCACTGGTTTCTTCCTGGAACACTGAATGACTCATATGTCTTTGATGATTGGAGGAGACACGGGGAAATGTGGACACACAATAGAATAATCAGAATACAGAAATTCTAGACATTGGGAAAATCAAAATACCTTCAGTTTGAGAAACTAAAAGATTATGAGCAGCTTATCCCCCAAAATTTTAAGACAGAATGTGCAGAGACACCCTTGAACACAAATGACCATGAGACTCAAGCTTTGGTGCCCTCCTACCACTTTCTACAGCTCCTCTCCTTCCTAAGCTCCAGCTTCCTCACAGCTGTGCACCATATGGCTAAGCCTCCTCAAGCATTTGTGTCCCACTTATCCTATTCTAAGATGTCCATACTTGAAGGGTTTTATAAAATGGGGTTATTAATCTTGGGAGACATGAAAGAGGTCATGAAATTAATTGAAACCACGTGTGAATAATATGTATATACGTGAATTTTCCTGGGAGGGGAAATCATTGGCTTTCATTAGATTTTCAACTGAGTTTATAATCTCCAACCCCCCAACACACACACACAAACACACACTGTTTTAATGTGAATTATTTGTTAATTTCTGATAAAAGGTGCATGAAGGTATATAGAAGTGCATTGAACATAGTGTGTACATAGGACACATATTTTATAGCATTGGTTCACAATGTAATAGATTCTATTATGGTGTTCTTGAATCAAAATACTTAGGTTTGAATCAGGTTCTAATTAACTGGTTGACATGGAACATTTTCTTAATATTTTTGATCCTAGACATTTACATGTTACAAACAAGAACAATAAAAATGCCTATATCAGAGGGTTATTATAGGAATAGCGGAGATATTACTCATGAAAACTCCTTGTAAACTAATATCTCATCCAAGAGTATTTTTATTTTAAACAAGACCCTTACCCTTTAACCCAGGATGGTCAATATTCAATGGTGGGCCCTGGTATCATGGTTTTATATATTTTAATATATTTGCTTGCATTATACCAAAAAAGTTTTTGCTAGCTTAAACCAATCCTGTAACTAAAGATATTTGAAATTCTTCTCATGACAATTTCTACATAATTAAATGTAGTTATCTCATGTTATTTCATTTGGAGAGATTTTAAAAATGGATTTAATGTCTCTGAAAACGTTTTGTCAGGAGTGATATGTATTAGGTCATATATTATCGCTTTCTCACCTATTATATGAAAGTTTTGAGGTATTTAAAAAACCACATTTATTTTAGAGCCTGGAATCAATGTGTTTTTGGGAATTAGATATACCATTATCATTGTTAAGAATTTAAAAATTATTGATATTTGACCTCTGACCTTTATTAGTGTGTGAATTTTTAAAAAATCGCTAAACTTTTTTTAGTTTATTCACTTAATTTAATTGCCTAAATCACATATGTGATTACCTTCCTCCCTGCAAACAGCTTTTTGAGAGAAAGGGATATGTGGATTAGTATCTTGACCAACTAGATGCTTAATGTCATGCCCTTGGTAATCTTCATAGAAACTCTCTAACATCTGGTGAATCCAACACAATCTTAAAATTCAAGTGACTCTTTCTCTTTAAATTAATATATTTATAGCTTTGCCTACAGAGTAATCAGATAATCCAACTTTGGGAACATTTCTGTGCAGAAAACAAAACCACAAAAGTATCTTTATGTAATTAAAGACACAAGATAAAGTATTATTGGAGGGTTGAATAAAAGAACCATGTATTAGGACTCCTCAGTTCTCTTCCAACTATTGACTTCATATGCTCTGAGGCCTATTACTTAATCTAATTTGCCCATTATTTTACAAGTTGAACTCTGCCCTTTGTTTCAAAGGATAAATGCATTTCAATTAAATACATTTGCAAATTACATTGTTCTGAAGAACTGCAAGTTGTATCTGATTTATTGTATTAATTCTGATAAGGAATGTTGAAACTTGAATTATATGGGGTTTACTTTGGGTTCACAGCAAGGGGCTTGTGCCATAAGTGCTTTATTTGATATTTTCTTATATATTAATAGTTCAGCAGTGAGAACAATTGAAAACTTCTACTATCAAGCATTTCCCTATCTGACCTCTCAGTTATATAATTTGCACCCCAATGAAATACGCCAAATAGAAGGAGTTTTTGAATTACATAAACGATGGTCAAAGTTAGACTAGAAACATCCATTGCCTTGTAATAATTTAAATATGCATCATGACATTGATAAAGTATATTTAAGTTTGTAAGACTCAAATTTTCTCTTCCCTATGTTATGCCAAGTTCAAAAAAGGCCGGCGGTGGGAGTAAGATTTCTGAAACTTGTAACAGATTTCACTTATTTCCTTCCTTTACAAATATGTCTTTATTTTGCTATCATTAATGCATTATCAAAACTTTAATTGTTCTATGACCTGCATTTTTATTGATTGCCTTGACATTTAAAAAGGCACATAAGTTCTTACTATATTCCTCAAAGAAGCTGCAACTCCAAATATATTGACGTGTCACTGTGTCCGTACTGGGATGGAGTTCCAATATTTTCTTTTTTGCTTTTTGCTGTTTTTGTCTTTTATTCGTTTTGTTACATTTGTATTTTAGTGAAAGAAACTACTAAAGATTGCTATGAGATATAAAAAGAAATTACATAGGAAACCAAGAAGTAGCCTATGAGAAAAGGAATGAAATTAAACATCAGACTATTGCATCTTAAAATGGAATAGGGAATATCTCTGATCAATTGAAGTGACCAAATCTAAGGTCAGGGGCAGAAGAAACTAGGAGCTACAGAAGTTCCTAGTATCTTCACGAGTGAGGGGATTCTGAACAAGTGACTCACACTCAAAAGCAGGACCTACTTTGTCCCTAGAAGCCTGGTTAACACCAATACAAATTCCTCCTGTTGCAGCCACGCTAGCACTCTGGGGATATTGCCTGGGTCTATAAATGAAATAATTGTTTAAGAAAAGTGCTTAGATATAGAGTCCAGGTCTGCAGTGTCGGAGTGGCATGAATGGTCATAGCTGATCATGGCAATAAGAAAGGTTTTCCTTCTCACCTGCAAATTAAGCTGAAATTGGATCAGCAATTAGAGCTCATGACTTTGTCACCAAATAACATTTTTTAGAATATGACAGCACTAGGTTACCAAATTGATTTGAGGAAGGAGGGAAAAATGTTATTTCCGAAGAGATGGGTTGGTGGAGTTCACAGTTTCACAGTTACTTAATTTACTAAGATAGATGTGATTTTACTTTTATACCCCAACCTGATAAAGGAGACGCATACATTACATTAGTGAGAACAGTGTATACTTAAGTTACATGTGAGGCATTGGACTAGGAGCCTGAAGTCTTGGGTTTGAGTTTGAGCACTACACTAAGAGCCCAGTTGTACCATAGTTCAGACACACTTGCTGCCCTGCCATCAATGCCTAAGGACAAAAACTCATAAAAGCAAAGAAGAGGTCTGTTCCATCCTTTATACCGGCTTTTCCACTATTAGGATTGCCAAATGAAAATTAGACAAGCTGAAAATGTTAAGGAAACTCACAGAATGGGGGTAAGGGGATGGTTATACATAAAATCTGAGCTAATCCAAATTAAAATGCCTGCAATATTCTTTTAATGACAAATTTAAGATTTCTCTGTACTTTATATCAGTTATTACTCCAAAAATAATTATTTGCATTGTTCCACAGAGGAAAACTCAATTTACAATAATTTTGTTATTTGAATTATTCAGTCAAGGAAATGTAGACAGTCAGCTAATGGAGTTACGTCTTAAACCAGGTTAAGAGCAGTAACAAATTTGTGTAACAAGAAACTTCTTTATTATAGAAGAAAATGAAGTTTAATAGTAGTTATGACCTATGCAACTCGCCAATAGTTTCCAGCTTGCCTTAAGAGAATTCCATTTTTAATGGCCTCATGCTCCACTGAATGGCAACATTTCAAAGGTTACTTCTAGCTGGTATAATCAGCCCAACAGATCAAGCATATAGCTTTCACAACAGCAAAGCTAGGAAAGCTACTGTGTCCTGAAAACATGGAGTCAGCAGAAATAAAGGTTACATATTCAAAGTAGTAAATTAAAGGATGTTTCTACATGTTCATAATGAAACAAATCTTAAGAAAAATTCAACAAAAATAGCCAGGTTTTTCATGTCTGTGTGCTAATAACTATCTATTTGGACTAAACAGCACACATTACAGTACATAATGTTCTCAGTAGTCTCTTGGCTCTTTACTCTCTCCTTTAAAACATGTTTGGGACTCTCTTGACCTAGAAATTTCCAGCCATGGGGGAGATAGCCAATTATGTCTCTCCTTGATTGAGCTGTGAATGCCTTGAAGATATGAGCTTTCTTTTATTTATTCAATGCTTAGCAGAGTACCTGACAGCCAGGCAATGTTTCAATAACTCGATGAACTCAAAGGCTTTACCTCTCCTCTTACCTTTTTCTTTTCCTACAATTTTAATTATACACACTTCTGAAGATTCTAACTTAACACTCTATTTCTCTCATATATGATGTCTTTTATCAATGTCATTCATAACTATGGATCAAATTTGAAATGCCATTTATTCTAAGAGATCTTTCTGTATCTTCCTTAATTAGATGATTTTTTCTCTCTCTCTCTTCTTTAACACACATTATTTTGCACCACAATCATGCCACTTAGTTTACTTGGCCCTTGATACTAGTTACTGAGGGATTTGACACATATTTAAGTCAAGAGTGACTGCTATCAGAAATTAGAACAAAAGTTATCTATTGATCCAAAATAACATAAGACACACTGTTTCCTGAATCTCAAAAGAAAATCCAATTTTTTTTTATTTTTTTCCTTTTTTTATTTTTATTTTTATTTTTTTATTATTATACTTTAAGTTTTAGGGTACATGTGCACATTGTACAGGTTAGTTACATATGCTGGTGCGCTGCACCCACTAACTCGTCATCTAGCATTAGATATATCTCCCAATGCTATCCCTCCCCCATCCTCCCCCCCACAACAGTCCCCAGAGTGTGATGTTCCCCTTCTTGTGTCCATGTGTTCTCATTGTTCAATTCCCACCTATGAGGGAGAATATGCGGTGTTTGGTGTTTTGTTCTTGCAATAGTTTACTGAGAATGATGATTTCCAATTTCATCCATGTCCCTACAAAGACATGAACTCATCATTTTGTATGGCTGCATAGTATTCCATGGTGTATATGTGCCACATTTTCTTAATCCAGTCTATCATTGTTGGACATTTGGGTTGGTTCCAAGTCTTTGCTATTGTGAATAATGCCACAATAAACATACGTGTGCATGTGTCTTTATAGCAGCATGATTTATAGTCATTTGGGTATATACCCAGTAATGGGATGGCTGGGTCAAATGGTATTTCTAGTTCTAGATCCCTGAGGAATCGCCACACTGACTTCCACAATGGTTGAACCAGTTTACAGTCCCATCAACAGTGTAAAAGTGTTCCTATTTCTCCACATCCTCTCCAGCACCTGTTGTTTCCTGACTTTTGAATGATTGCCATTCTAACTGGTGTGAGATGGTATCTCATTGTGGTTTTGATTTGCATTTCTCTGATGGCCAGTGACGGTGAGCATTTTTTCATGTGTTTTTTGGCTGCATAAATGTCTTCTTTTGAGAAGTGTCTGTTCATGTCCTTTGCCCACTTTTTGATGGGGTTGTTTTTTTTTTCTTGTAAATTTGTTTGAGTTCATTGTAGATTCTGGATATTAGCCCTTTGTCAGATGAGTAGGTTGCGAAAATTTTCTCCCATTTTGTAGGTTGCCTGTTCACTCTGATGGTGGTTTCTTTTGCTGTGCAGAAGCTCTATAGTTTGATGAGATCCCATTTGTCAATTTTGTCTTTTGTTGCCATTGCTTTTGGTGTTTTAGACATGAAGTCCTTGCCCATGCCTATGTCCTGAATGGTAATGCCTAGGTTTTCTTCTAGGGTTTTTATGGGTTTAGGTCTAACGTTTAAGTCTTTAATCCATCTTGAATTGATTTTTGTATAAGGTGTAAGGAAGGGATCCAGTTTCAGCTTTCTACACATGGCTAGCCAGGTTTCCCAGCACCATTTATTAAATAGGGAATCATTTCCCCATTGCTTGTTTTTGTCAGGTTTGTCAAAGATCAGATAGTTGTAGATATGCGGCGTTATTTCTGAGGGCTCTGTTCTGTTCCATTGATCTATATCTCTGTTTTGGTACCAGTACCATGCTGTTTTGGTTACTGTAGCCTTGTAGTATAGTTTGAAGTCAGGTAGTGTGATGTCTCCAGCTTTGTTCTTTTGGCTTAGGATTGACTTGGCGATGTGGGCTCTTTTTAGGTTCCATATGAACTTTAAAGTAGTTTTTTCCAATTCTGTGAAGAAAGGCATTGGTAGCTTGATGAGGATGGCATTGAATCTGTAAATTACCTTGGGCAGTATGGCCATTTTTGCGATATTGATTCTTCCTACCCATGAGCATGGAATGTTCTTTCATTTGTTTGTATCCTCTTTTATTTCCTTGAGGAACGGTTTGTAGCTCTCCTTGAAGAGGTCCTTTACATCCCTTGTAAGTTGGATTCCTAGGTATTTTATTCTCTTTGAAGCAATTGTGAATGGGAGTTCACTCATGATTTGGCTCTCTGTTTGTCTGTTGTTGGTGTATAGGAATGCTTGTGATTTTTGCACATTGATTTTGTATCCTGAGACTTTGCTGAAGTTGCTTATCAGCTTAAGGAGATTTTGGGCTGAGACAATGGGGTTTTCTAGATATACAATCATGTCACCTGCAAACAGGGACAATTTGACTTCCTCTTTTCCTAAATGAATACCCTTTATTTCCTTCTCCTGCCGAATTGCCCTGGTCAGAACTTCCAACACTATGTTGAATAGGAGTGGTGAGAGAGGGCATCCCTGTCTTGTGCCAGTTTTCAAAGGGAATGCTTCCAGTTTTTGCCCATTCAGTATGATATTGGCTGTGGGTTTGTCATAGATAGTTCTTATTATTTGGAAATACATCCCATCAATACCTAATTTATTGAGAGTTTTTAGCATGAAGGGTTGTTGAATTTTGTCAAAGGCCTTTTCTGCATCTATTGAGATAATCATGTGGTTTTTGTCTTTGGCTCTGTTTATATGCTGGGTTACATTTATTGATTTGCGTATATTGAACCAGCCTTGTATCCCAGGGATGAAGCCCACTTGATCATGGTGGATAAGCTTTTTGATGTGCTGCTGGATTTGGTTTGCCAGTATTTTATTGAGGATTTTTGCATCAATGTTCATCAAGGATATTGGTTTAAAATTCTCTTTTTTGATTGTGTCTCTGCCCGGCTTTGGTATCAGAATGATGCTGACCTCATAAAATAAGTTAGGGAGGATTCCCTCTTTTTCTATTGATTGGAATAGTTTCAGAAGGAATGGTACCAGTTCCTCCTTGTACCTCTGGTAGAATTCAGCTGTGAATCCATCTGCTCCTGGACTCTTTGGTTGGTAAGCTATTGATTATTGCCACAATTTCAGAGCCTGTTATTGGTCTATTCAGAGATTCAACTTCTTCCTGATTTAGTCTTGGGAGAGTGTATGTGTCAAGGAATTTATCCATTTCTTCTAGGTTTTCTAGTTTCTTTGCGTAGAGGTGTTTGTAGTATTCTCTGATGGTAGTTTGTATTTCTGTGGGATCAGTGGTGATATCCCCTTTACCATTTTTTATTGCATCTATTTGAATCTTCTCTCTTTTTTTCTTTATTAGTCTTGCTAGCGGTCTATCAGTTCTGTTGATCCTTTCAAAAAACCAGCTCCTGGATTCATTAATTTTTTGAAGGGTTTTTTGTGTCTCTATTTCCTTCAGTTCTGCTCTGATCTTAGTTATTTCTTGCCTTCTGCTAGCTTTTGAATGTGTTTGCTCTTGCTTTTCAAGTTCTTTTAATTGTGATGTTAGGGTGTCAATTTTGGATCTTTCCTGCTTTCTCTTGTGGGCATTTAGTGCTATAAATTTCCCTCTACACACTGCTTTGAATGCATCCCAGAGATTCTGGTATGTTGTGTCTTTGTTCTCATTGGTTTCAAAGAACATCTTTATTTCTGCCTTCATTTCGTTATGTATCCAGTAGTCATTCAGGAGCAGGTTGTTCAGTTTCCATGTAGTTGAGCGGTTTTGAGTGAGATTCTTAATCCTGAGTTCTAGTTTGATTGCACTGTGGTCTGAGAGATAGTTTGTTATAATTTCTGTTCTTTTACATTTGCTGAGGAGTGCTTTACTTCCAACTATGTGGTCAATTTTGGAATAGGTGTGGTGTGGTGCTGAAAGAAATGTGTATTCTGTTGATTTGGGGTGGAGAGTTCTGTAGATGTCTATTAGGTCCACTTGGTGCAGAGCTGAGTTCAATTCCTGGGTATCCTTGTTGACTTTCTGTCTCATTGATCTGTCTAATGTTGACAGTGGGGTGTTAAAATCTCCCAGTATTATTGTGTGGGAGTCTAAGTCTCTTTGTAGGTCACTCAGGATTTGCTATTGGGTGCATATATATTTAGGATAGTTAGCTCTTCTTGTTGAATTGATCACTTTACCATTATGTAATGGCCTTCTTTGTCTCTTTTGATCTTTGTTGGTTTAAAGTCTGTTTTATCACAGACTAGGATTGCAACTCCTGCCTTTTTTTGTTTTCCATTTGCTTGGTAGATCTTCCTCCATCCTTTTATTTTGAGCCTATGTGTGTCTCTGCATGTGAGATGGGTTTCCTGAATACAGCACACTGACGGGTCTTGACTTTTTATCCAATTTGCCAGTCTGTGTCTTTTAATTGGAGCATTTAGTCCATGTACATTTAAAGTTAATAGTGTTATGTGTGAATTTGATCCTGTTATTATGATGTTAGCTGGTTATTTTGCTCATTAGTTGATGCAGTTTCTTCCTAGTCTCGATGGTCTTTACATTTTGGCATGATTTTGCAGCGGCTGGTGCCGGTTGTTCCTTTCCATGTTTAGCGCTTCCTTCAGGAGCTTTTTTAGGGCAGGCCTGGTGGTGACAAAATCTCTCAGCATTTGCTTGTCTGTAAAGTATTTTATTTCTGCTTCACTTATGAAGCTTAGTTTGGCTGGATATGAAATTCTGTGTTGAAAATTCTTTTCTTTAAGAATGTTGAATATTGGCCCCCACTCTCTTCTGGCTTGTAGGGTTTCTGCCGAGAGATCCGCTGTTAGTCTGATGGGCTTTCCTTTGAGGGTAACCCGACCTTTCTCTCTGGCTGCCCTTAACATTTTTTCCTTCATTTCATCTTTGGTGAATCTGACAATTATGTGTCTTGGAGTTGCTCTTGTCGAGGAGTATCTTTGTGGCGTTCTCTGTATTTCCTGAATCTGAACGTTGGCCTGCCTTGCTAGATTGGGGAAGTTCTCCTGGATAATATCCTGCAGAGTGTTTTCCAACTTGGTTCCATTCTCCACATCACTTTCAGGTACACCAATCAGACGTTGATTTGGTCTTTTCACATATTCCCATATTTCTTGGAGGCTTTGCTCATCTCTTTTTATTCTTTTTTCTCTAATCTTCCCTTCTCGCTTCATTTCATTTATTTCATCTTCCATTGCTGATACCCTTTCTTCCAGTTGATTGCATCGGTTCCTGAGGCTTCTGCATTCTTCACGTAGTTCTCGAGCCTTGGTTTTCAGCTCCATCAGCTCCTTTAAGCACTTCTCTGTATTGGTTATTCTAGTTATACATTCTTCTAAATTTTTTCCAAAGTTTTCAACTTCTTTGCCTTTGGTTTGAATGTTCTCCTGTAGCTCAGAGTAATTTGATAATCTGAATCCTTCTTCTCTCAGATCATCAAAGTCATTCTTCGTCTAGCTTTGTTCCGTTGCTGGTGAGGAGCTGCGTTCCTTTGGAGGAGGAGAGGCGCTCTCCTTTTTAGAGTTTCCAGTTTTTCTGTTCTGTTTTTTCCCCATCTTTGTGGTTTTATCTACTTTTGCTCTTTGATGATGGTGATGTACAGATGGGTTTTTGGTGTGGATGTCCTTTCTGTTTGTTAGTTTTCCTTCTAACAGACAGGACCCTCAACTGCAGGTCTGTTGGAGTACCCTGCAGTGTGAGGTGTCCGTGTGCCCCTGCTGGAGGGTGCCTCCCAGTTATGCTGCCCGGGGGTCAGGGGTCAGGGACCCACTGGAGGAGGCAGTCTGCCCTTTCTCAGATCTCCAGCTGCATGCTGGGAGAACCACTGCTCTCTTCAGTGCTGTCAGACAGGGATATTTAAGTCTGCAGAGGTTACTGCTGTCTTTTTGTTTGTCTGTGCCCTGCCCCCAGAGGTGGAGCCTACAGAGGCATGCAGGCCTCCTTGAGCTGTGGTGGGCTCCACCCAGTTCGAGCTTCCTGGCTGCTTTATTTACCTAAGCAAGCCTGGGCAATGGTGGGCGCCCCTCCCCCAGCCTCACTGCCGCCTTGCAGTTTGATCTCAGACTGCTGTGCTGGCAATCAGTGAGACTCCGTGGGGTAGGACCCTCCGAGCCAGGTGCGGGATATAATCTCGTGGTGCGCCGTTTTTTTAAGCTCGTCAGAAAAGTGCAGCATTCGGGTGGGAGTGACCCGATTTTCCAGGTGCCATCTGTCACCCCTTTCTTTGATTAGGAAAGGGAACTCCCTGACCCTTTGCACTTCCCGAGTGAGGCAATGCCTCACCCTGCTTCAGCTCATGCATGGTGTGCGCACCCACTGACCTGCACCTACTGTCTGGCACTCCGTAGTGAGATGAACCCGGTACCTCAGATGGAAATGCAGAAATCACCTGTCTTCTGCGTTGCTCAGGCTGGGAGCTGTAGACTGGAGCTGTTCCTATTTGGCCATCTTGGCTCCTCCTGAAAATCCAATTTTTTTAACTAAGGAATCATTTCAAATCAGAATAAAACTTATATAGTCCTAATCATTGAATAAGAACAAAATAGGAATGGAAAATCACTCTCTGCAAGTAGACATTTAATTTTATTTGATTACCAGCTTCCTAAAGTTTCCATATTCCAATCTCTCTTCCTTCTTCTCAATCCCAGGTGACAACATTTTTTCCCATTTGACTGAGAAAACAAAAGCAATCAACAAAGAATTTCCACAGGATGACCTGACCAAGCCTACCAAACAATCTGCCTTGGTGCACTTTACTGTCTTTACTCAAGTTATTATTGAAAAGTTCTCAGTGTTCCTGTCAGGAACCAGCTCCTCTACTGTCCTGCTTGACCTTATCTCCTTTTATCTATTCAGAGACATTACTTTAGTAGTTGTCCACACTTCCTCCTGAATTACCAGTTCCTCACTCTCTAATACATTCTTCTCATCACAAACAGATAAGCTGAACTACCTGTTATAAAAAAGAAAGAAGGAAAGAAGGAAGGGAGGAAAATTCGACAGTATTTCATGTGTTTTTGTATTAGTGTTCTCCAAAGAAACAATACCAATGGGACACATAAACATGTGTAAGAGGAGATTTATTATGAGAATTGACTCACATGATTATGGAGGCCAAGAAGCCCCAGGATATGCTGCCTGAAACTGGAGGATCAGGAAAGCTGGTGGTGTAATTCAATCTTAGTCTGGTGGCCAAGAACCAGGGGAGCTGATGATGTAACTCCCCATCCAAGACTGAAGGCCTGAGAACCAGTAGGTAGAGGGTAAGGGGTGAGGAGGTGGTGGGGTGAAGTTTGTGTTAGTCCTGGAGTCTGAGGCCAGCGAACCAGGAACTCTGATGTCCAAGGCCAGGAGAAGGTGGATATCTCAGCTCAAGAAGAGAGAGGGCACACTTGCTCTTCTTCCATCTTTTAGTTCTATTCAGATCCTCATGGATTGGATGATGTCTGCTCACATTGATGAGGGCGTTCTTCTTTACTCAGTCTTTTGATTCAAATGCTAAACTCTCCTGATGGACAACTCACAGTTACACCCTCAGAGACATACCCAGAAATATGCACAATGTATTATCAGCTATCTAAGAATCTCTTATCCTAGTTGACACATAAAATTAACCATTACAGCACTTTCACAAATAAATTCCTCCAAATAGTTTCTCTACTGTTTTTTTCCACTTCTTGTCCCTCCATCCTCTCCAACTGGCTTCAACCAGCTTTGACTTCACTACTTCACTGAAATAGCTCATTTTGAGGTGACAAATGACCTCATATTGTTAAATTCCATAATTATTCTCAGTCCTTTTTTTTTTAATTTATAGACTACATTTGACACAGTTGAAACACTTTCTTTAACCAGGTTTCAGATCTCAGCATAGATTTGTATAAGTCTAGTCATTTGATGACTTGTCTTTTTGGGAGGAAGATGGCCTCCTGCAAAATGTCCAATGAAATGTACTGTAGCCAAGTGTTTAACACTGTCAATTCAGACGCTCCTTCAGGTGTTAATTTGAGGGAGCAGAACAGACTGTAGGCTAAGGTTCTACCATATCATACAATTGCAACAATAAGTATGAACTCCAGCTTCACCTTCTGATTGTGCTGAGGGAGGTTAGCGCTCTCTTATTATACAACTTGAAAGCCCCACACTCTGTTCCAGGATTCTTCTCACCAAACCTAATATCTACCTACTAGGTCCTTATGCCCTCCTGAGAGGGATATTTTTTTCAATTTTTTTAAATTTTCTTTCCAATGTCTATTTTAGATTAAAGGAGTAATATGCAGGTTTTCTACATGGCTAAATTGCATGTTATGGGGGTTTAGTGTACAGATAATTTTGTCAACCAGGTGATCGGCATAATGTCCAATAGGTAGTTTTTCAATCCTCACCCTCCTCCCACTCTCTACCTTCAAGTAGGTCCAGGAATCTGTTTTTCTCTTTGTGTCCATATGTATTCAATGTTTAGCTCCCACTGAGAACATGCAATATTTAGTTTTTTGTTCCTGCATTAATTTGTTTAGGATTAATTTGCCTCTAATTTCATCCATGTTGCTACAAAAAGAGGATTTCCTTTTTTATGGCTGTGTAGTAGTCCAGTGTGTAGGTACCACATTTTCTTTATCCAGTCCACTGTTGGTGGGCACCTAGGTTTATTCTATGTAATTGCTAGTGTGAATAGTGCTGCAATGAACATCCGTGTGCATGTGTCCACATGGTTAAATAATTTATATTCCTTTGGATATATATCCAGTAATGGGATTGCTGAGTGGAATGCTAGTACTATTTTACATTCTTTAAGAAAGCTCCAGAGTGATATCCACAGTGGCTTAACTAATTTACATTCTCACCAACAGTGTGTAAGTGCTCCTTTGCTTTTTGACTTTTTAATAATAGCCATTCTGACTAGTGTGAGATGTTATCTCATTGTTGTTTTGATTTGTGTTCCCCTAATTAATGATTAGTGATACTGAGCATTTATTTTCATATTCTTGTTGAAAATGTGTGTGTCTTCTTTTGAGAAGTGTTTGTTCATGTCTTTTTTCATTTTTAATGGGGTTGTTTGTTTTCTGCTTGTTGATTTAAGTTCCTTGTAGATGCTGGATATTAGACTTTTGTTGGATGCATAGTTTGCAAATATTTGCTCCCATTCCTTAGGTCATCTTTTCACTCTGTTGATAGTTTCTTCTACTGTGCAGAAGCTCTTTAGTTAATTGGTGCCACTTGTCAATTTTTGTTTGTGTTGAAATTGCTCTTGGAGTCATCATGAAGTCTTTGCCAGGGTCCTTTTCCAGAATGGCATTTCCTAGGTTTTCTTCTAACATTTTTATAGTTTTACGTTTTGAGTTTAAGTCTTTAATTCATCTTCAGATGATTTTTGTATATGGTGAAAGTTAGGCATCAAGTTTCAATCTTCTGCATATGGCTAGCCAGTTGTCCCAGTACCATTTATTGAACGCAGAGTCCCTTCCCCATTGATTGTTATTGTCAGTTTTGTCAAAGATCAGATGGCTGTAGTTGTGTGACTTTATTTCTGTGTTTCTAACCTGTTCCATTGGTCTATGTGTCTGTTTTGTGCCCGTGTCATGCTGTTTTAATTCCTGTAGCCTTGTCGTATAATTTGAAGTCAGGTAGTGTGATGCCTTCAGCTTTGTTCTCTCTGCTTAGAATTTCTTTGGCTACTCAGGCTCTTTTTGGTTCCATATGAATTTTTAAAAAGTTTTTTCTAATTCTGTAAAAAATGACATTGATAGTTTGATAGGAATAGCATTGAATCTGTAAATTGCTTTGGGTAGTATGATCATTTTAACAATATTGATTCTGCAGATCCATGAGCATGGAATGCTTTTCCATCTGTGTCATCTCTAATTTCTTTCAGCAGTGTTTTGTAATTCTCATTGTAGAGATCTTTCACATCCTTGGTTAGCTGCATTCCTAGGTATTTTATTCTTTCGGTGGCTATTGTAAATGAGATTGAGTACTTGATTTGTCTCTCTGCTTGGGTGTTACTGGTGTATGGAAATGCTACTAATTTTTGTACATTGATTTTGTGTCCTGAAATTTTGCTGAAGTTGTTATCAGATCTAGGAGCCTTTGGGCAGAGACTACAAGGATTTCTAGGTATAGAGTCATATTGACTGCAAAGAGAGATAGTTTGACTTCCTCTCTTCCTATTTGGATGCCTTTTATTTATTTCTCTTGCTTTTTCAATTTTATTTGATAAGCTTTTATGTAAATGTTGTGTCTATATTCCAGGGAACTGGTATATGGTTTTAAAAATATTTTGTATTGCTTTATCATGTTTTGATAGAAGATAAGTTGGCAAGATAAAATCTATTATGGAGCTTACTATCATTTTTGTCAGGGATGAATGAGAATTGGTATTGATGATTTGGTAGTTATTTTCCCAGAACTCTGCGTAAAAATTCTAATAATGTTAATACTTACTCAAAACCATGTTCTTTATTATAATCAGAAGTTTTCTCAAGGCAAAACTATTCTTTAGAATGTTATGTTGTTCCTTAATAAGCCCAAACTCTTGCTCTCATCTTTCATGTCTTTTTAATGAGTAACTAGTACAAATTATATTTCATTAATATTTCCTACTTTAAAATCCTTATAGCTGTGAAAATGTCCTGAGAATAAAGAGGTTTAAATTATTATTTTCCTTGTCTAGTTAGTATAGCTTTCTGTCTTTGGTACTTTTGGTGTCTGCCAAATATTTCACCTAATACTTTGTAACTGTTTATCAGTGTATATTTTGGACTCAAGAAAGGAGAACCCAATTCCATCTTTAGGTATTGTATTTACCCTGGTGAAAAGAAGCAACACGAGTAGTTGGTTGATACATTTGCACTGCCAAATTAAAACCATGAATACTACTTTTCCTTTCAATAAAAGAGTTTTGCTCTTAATAGCACAAAAATATTTGTCACTGTCCCTAAGTGGAAAATTATTATATAAAAATTATTTTCATTTAATGTTTTTATTCCAACTGCAACACACTTTAAAATTTATAATAACCAAATGTTCACAAAATAATTTAAAAAGAATTTTTGTGTAATTTAAGAAAAAGCACTTTCCCTGTATTCTTGCCTATGCATTTTCCTTCAGAAAGTTGAGATTTCAAGAGAGAAGAAATTGTAGATTTAATTTTCTGTGCAAATAAAATATAGTGTATCAATTTTGGGACACTTTAAGTTGCTCTAATAAGACTTCTTGAATCATTGAATTCAATCTCAGCATAATTTACTTTAGGAAATGCTAAGCAAATGTTATTAATCACTCAGTATATTATGTCATGTGCCTTCAATCATGTTTTTATTTTATTTAAAATGTTTGGAATAAAATTGCATTATGAGCTCATTCAAGACTTGGGGGAAAACATGAATTTCTCAAAAATACTATGAGCCAAATTTAAATACGTATTAATGCAAATATTCTTTCGCTGTTATTGAGTGAAATGCAAAGTCATTGCTTTCCTATACTTATTGAGATGACAACCAGGCCAGCTGTAAGTTTTGATTACATATTTAGAATAAAGTTATTTGATAATTAATACTAGATTAATTTACTCATCAAGATGAAATAGGAATGTTTACTCTTAATGGGGTAATATTGTTTTGTCTTGATTTAAGTTAGACTTTTCTCAGTATTATGGGAAATCTCATAATGGGACACACAAATATAATGGGAAATGGGAGTTACCCGATCTTACTTCCTGTGGAGATGAGAGCAGAGAACAGAAGTTAACAATGTTCCACGAATGACAACAAAATCAAAAAGAGGAAGATAATGAGCTAAGTAGGGGAGTGAGAGGCAAAAGTGAATCTGGAAAATGAGGCCAATGGATCAGTAGTACAACAACAAGAATGACACGAAGCATACACTGTGATGGAACCATGAGATCAGAAGAATGATGGAAAATCCTAGCATATAAGATAAAACTATAGTTTTAGGAATTTAAGAGACTGTTGAGTCTCTTAAATATAGCCACCTAAGGTGGGCTATATTGGTCTCTATTAAGTTGTGTGAATGACTCAGATGTATTTACAGGTTATGGCATAGGAAAAGGCAAAAACAACTTTTCTACCATTAAGATTCACTGACACCAATGGTGATTAGGCACACTGACGAATTGCCATTTTATTAACAGTAACTCTCTGCATATCTTGCACACAGCACAGCCTAAAACTGTTGAAAATTTTATATCCCAGGGAATGCTCTCAATCATAGATTGACCCTAATGACAGATAAATACTGTAGCATAACTGCAGGTTGGGGGCCAAGTCTAAGGTCAATTCTACATAGTTCTTTAAATAGTTCCCAAAAAGATGAAATCCTTGTTCAATAACTAAGCTGCTTATCAATGTGCTCTTGAAGGCTTTCCTCCATTTCCTCTCTAACTTTCCCATTGCCTCACTTGTGCTTCCAATGACCACCTTCCAAATAAACACAAATCTTTGAGTTCCTGTATGTTTTAGGAGTATTTAAGCTATGTACTGACAAATAAAAGACAAAGTAAAAATGTCAAAACTAATTAATTTTTTATTAATTCCAGTATTTAATATAATTATTACTATAAGATAAAGAGTGATTGGCTTTGACCATTTTACCTTTAGAAAATGAATTCAGATCACTTGCCTTGATCTAGTTTCTTTTTAGTATATCCAAATACAAAAAAAAAATCTTTTTTTTTGCTACAACTATTAGAATGGGAAAAAAATACATATTCTTTTAGGTTTCCATTATTTCGAGGAGAAGGGATTCCTCTGCATTCAAAAAATAAGGTTGCTCTTGGTTTTACATAGCATCAACAAAATGTCAATGGTAGCTTCATATAGAATCAATGAAACATTAGCAAGGCCTCCAAAAAGTAGGTTAGTCTGAAAGCATACTCTCAATAGCTGTATAAATATGACACCAGGTTAGAGAAAAATGATCAAAATATTTTTAAGTTAAACATTTTTAAAGTGTTA
Organism: Homo sapiens; assembly: GCF_000001405.40. NCBI lineage: Eukaryota > Metazoa > Chordata > Mammalia > Primates > Hominidae > Homo > Homo sapiens. Next base: position 45,845,358 of record NC_000005.10, read on the forward strand.
AAAATGATACAAAGGAAAGTTTAAATTACAAATGATGAGTCTTAAGTAACATTATTAGATATTTAATTTTCTTCTAAAAGTATATGCCTATGAAATAGATAATGTCAATATTATACTCATTGAAAGTCTTCAAACATAATTTTTTATTTGCTTTTTTCTTTTCACTTGAAAATTTTTACTTATGAGAACTATAATTTGTTGCTCTTTTTAAGATTATAACTAAAGTTATTTCCTAGCCACATAGCCTGTCCAACAGTAGGCTTAAATCTCTTCCAGGCATTGTTGGTATAAACTGTTTGCCTACAGAAACCCAATCATTGTCGAAAAAAACCTCCAATACATCTATAATCTTATCTTGAATAGTGTCGTTCATATTTCCTTTATCAAGTATAGTTTACCTGATATAACGTAACTATTGAACTTTTAAATCATAGATAATCCTTTCACACTCACACTCTTTCAAAAAATTCTAAGGTTTTCTTGTGAATTAAGGAAAATAAAGTATAGGAACTCATTGGCAACAGTAGTCTATTAATGTATTACAAAGCTGCAAATTAATGAAATTTGAATCATCTTCATTTTACATGCAACCAACTCATTGAATCTTTTTTGGAAGTTAAGAATCAAGATGTGGGAGATTGTAATGTTTCAAATGCAATTATGAAATGTTTGTTTTAAACCCACTAATTAATTAATGAGCCTATCCTTTGATGTTTATGAGCATTATTTTGTAAATCAATTTTTGACTATTTTTCCTTGCAAGTTGTTTCATTTGTTATAAGCCAAGTCATAATTTATTGTTAACGCACTTTGCAAAAAGCAGGAAAGAATTTGTTCCCATTTGAAATCAACTTAAAATAAGTAACAACAGTCTATAATTAAAGATGAGGTAAGAATACATATTTGGAAATTTTAAAAAAATAATAGATAAAATAAAGATTCCAATTGAGATGGTGCAAGAATCAGAAATGGTTACAATAATACAATATTTTGATCTTCCAAAATAATGATTTTTTATTGCCAATGCCATTTTACAAAGAGGCAACATCATTAGGCAGCTATTTTTGCATATGTGAGATGAAACATTATGCCTTTTCTTTTCTTCAAAACTTTATTTTCAAAAGAATGCTTTATATGTTGAAAAGGGTAGTGTTGCAAAGCGTGGTGAAGAAAAACACTTTTTGTTTCCTAATTTACAAATGAAAGTATGGAGTTTTAATCAGAAGTTTAATATCTCCTATGCAAGCTAAACACATAATTTTTATATTCCATTATATAAGTTTGTATTTCTGTTTCAAAGACTAAAGTTATCAGCATGAAAATATGTTCTCAATAGTCGTAATAAGTCATTCTTTTACTCAAGAAATTTGAGTACTTATATAATGCCAGACATTTTTCAAAGTACTGGGGATACTGCAAATAAAACTAAGTGAACACTATCTCTGCATTCTGGAATTTATACTGTAGTTAAAAGAGACATACAATAAACAAATATATGATATCAGATGGAGATGAGAGTTACAGATTGAAATAAAGTAAAATAATGGGCATAAGGCATGCTGGGCATAAAGGAGGCTGCTACAAGATCTGTAAGGTGACAAAAAAAGACTCCATTAATGCCACAAAAATGTTCCCATTCATATTCATTCTAGTAATTTAATTTTTATACCCTTTACTAGCTTTAATTATTTTAATTTACCTTTGCTAATGAAATAAAAGTTTATTTCCCAAAGAGCTGTTACTCAACACCGTACATTGAATAAGCTATCTTTTCTGTATTTATATCAATTACTGACTTCACCACAGGCTAAATCTCAAAAGTACATAGAGATGCACTTTTGATTTTTTTTCAGTATCTACTTGTCTATTTTTGTGCCAAAACCATACTCTTTCAATAACTCTAACTTTATAATATAAATTGATTTCTTGTAGGATAACACTAACCAAATTTATAAACATTGAATACTATTTTTCTTTCAAATGAACCTGAGAATCAGATTTTCAAATTTTGTAAACTGCCTTGTTAGAATTAGAATTGAAATTGTACTATATTTACATAGTAATTAGAGGAAAAACTGTGTAAAAATGATATGATACTATTTCCTAAGTTTTTTTAACTCACACTTAGAATTCTGGTAACAGGGTGGCTGGCAAGATGGCCAAATAGGGACAGCTCCAGTCTGCAGCTCCCAGCAAGATTAACGCAGAAGGTGGGTAATGTCTGCATTTCCAACTGAGGCACCCAGCTTATCTCACTGGGACTGGTTAGACAATGGGTGCAGCCCACAGAGGGAGAACAGAAGCAGGGTGGGGTGTTGCCTCACCATGAAAGCACAAGTGATCAGGGAACTCCCTCCCCTAGCCAAAGGAAGCCATGAGGGACTGTGCCATGAGGAATGGTGCACTCCAGCCCAGATACTATGCTTTTCCCATGGTCTTTGCAACCTGCAGACCAGGAGATTCTCTAAGGTATGTACACCACCAGGGCCCTGGATTTCAAGCACAAAGCTTGGCGGCCATATGGGCAGACACCGAGCTAGCTGCAGTTTTTTTTTTCCATACCCTAAGGGCGCCTGGAACACCAGTGAGACAGAACCATTCACTCTCCTGGGAAGTGGGCTGAAGTCAGGGAGCCAAGGGGCCTAGCTCAGCAGATCCCACCCTGACGGAGCCCAGCAAGCTAAAATCCACTGGTTTGAAATTCTCACTGCCAGCACAGCAGTCTGAAGTCAAGCTAGGATACTGGAGCTAGGTGGGGGGAGGGGCTTGAGTAGGCTGTTTTCCCCTCACAGTGTAAACAAAGCAGCCAGGAAGTTCTTACTGTGCAGAGCCCACTGCAGCACCACAAATCCTCTGTAGTCAGACTGCCTCTAGATTCCTCCTCTCTGAGCAGGGTATCTCTGAAAGAAAGGCAGCAACCCTAGTCAGGGGCTTATAGATAAAACTCCCATCTCCCTGGGACAGAGCATCTGGGGGAAGGGGTGGCTGTGGGTGCGGGTTCAGCAGACTTAGATGTTCCTGCCTGCCAGCTCTATGGATCTCCCAGCACAATGCTTGATCTCTGCTAAGGGACAGACTGCCTCCTCAAGTGGGTCCCTGAATCCTGTGTCTCCTGACTGGGAGACACCTCCCAGCAGGGGTCAACAGACACCTTATACAGGAGAGCTCCAGCCAGCATCTTGTGGGTGCCTCTCTGGGACAAAGACTCCAGAGGAAGGAACAGGCCGCAATCTTTGCTGTTCTGCAGCCTCCACTGGTGATACAGGAAAACATGGTCTGGAGTGGACCTCCAGCAAACTCCAGCAGACATGCAGCAGAGAGGCCTGTTAGAAGGAAAACTAATAAACAGAAAGAAATAACAGCAATATCAACCAAAAGGACATCCACACAAAAACTCCATCCAAAGCTCACCAACATCAAAAACCAAAGGTAGATAAATCCATGAAAATGAGAAAAAACCAGCGCAAAAGAGTTGAAAATTCCAAAAACCCGAATGTCTCTTCTCCTCCAATGGATCACAACTCCATGCCAGCAAGGGAACAAAACTGGACAGAGAATGAGTTTGACGAATTGACAGAAGTAGGCTTCAGAAGGTGGGTAATAACAAACTCCTCTGAGCTAAAGCAGCACGTTCTAACTCAATGCAAGGAAGCTAAGAACCTTGAAAAAAGGTTAGAGAATTGCTAACTAAAATAACCAGTTTAGAGAAGAACATAAATGACCTGATGGAGCTGAAAAGCACAGCACAACAACTTTCTGAAGTATACACAAGTATCAATAGCTGAATCAATCAAGTGGAAGAAAGGATATCAGAGATTGAAGATCAACTTAACGAAATAAAGGGTGAAGACAAAATTAGAGAAAAAAGAATAAAAAGGAACAAACAAAGCCTCCAAGAAATATGGGACTATGTGAAAAGGCCAAATCTACATTTTATTGGTGCACCTGAAAGTGATGGGAAAAATGGAAACAATTTTGAAAACAGTTGTCAGGGTATTATTCAGGGGAACTTCCACAACCTCACAAGGCAAGCCAACATTCAAATTCAGGACATACAGAGAACACCACAAAGAAACTCCTCGAGAAGAGCAACCCTAAAACACATAATTATCAGATTCACCAAGGTTGAAATGAAGGAAAAAATGTTAAGGGCAGCCAGAGACAAAGGTCTGGTTACCCACAAAGGGAAGCCCATCAGACTAACAGCTAATCTCTCTGCTGAAACCATAAAAGCCAGAAGAGATTGAAGGCCAATGTTCAAAATTATTAAAGAAAAGATTTTCAACCCAGAATTTCATATCCAGTCAAACTAAGCTTCATAATTGAAGAAGAAATAAAATCCTTTACAAACAAGCAAATACTGAGAGATTCTGTCACCACTAGGCCTGCCTTACAAGAGCTCCTGAAGGAAGCACTAAATATGGAAAGGAAAAAGGGGTACCAGCCGCCACAAAAACATACCAAATTGCAAAGTCCATTGACACTATGAAGAAACTGCATCAACTAATGGGCAAAATAACCACTAGAATCATAATGATAGGATCAAATTCACACATAACAATATTAAGCCTAAATGTAAGCAGGCTAAATGCCCCAATTAAAAGACACAGACTGGCAAATTGGATAAAGAGTCAAGACTCATCGGTGTGCTGTATTCAGGAGACCTGCTTTATCTGCAAAGACAAACATAGGCTCAAAATAAAGGGATGGGAGAATATTTAACAAGCAAATGGAAAGCAAAAAAAGCAAGGTTTGTAATCCTAGTCTCTGATGAAATGGACTTTAAACCAGCAAAGACCAAAACAGACAAAGAAGGACATTACATAATGGTAAAGGGATCAATGCAACAAGAAGAGCTAGCTATCCTAAATATATATGCACCCAATACAGAAGCACCCCCATTCATAAAGCAAGTTCTTAGAGACCTACAAAAAGGCTTAGACTCCCATACAATAATAGTGGGAGACTTTAACACCCCACTGTCAATACTAGACAGATCAATGAGACAGAAAGTTAACAAGGATATTTAGGATTTGAACTCAGCGCCAGAACAAGTGGACCTAATAGACATCTACAGAATTCTCCACCCCAAATCAACAGAATATACATTCTTCTCAACACCACATCACACTTATTCTAAAATTGACCACATAATTGGAAGTAAAACACTTGTCAGCAAATGCAAAAGAACAGAAATCATAACAGTCTCTCAGACCACAGTGCAATCAAATTAGAACTCAGGATTAAGAAACTCACTAAAAATCACACAACTACATGGAAACTGAACAACCTGTTCCTGAATGACTACTGGGTAAATAACGAAAATAAGGCAGAAATAAATAATTTCTTTGAAACCAATGAGAACAAAGACACAAAGTACCAGAATCTCAGGGACCCAGCTAAAGCAGTGTTTAGAGGGAAATTTATGGCACTAAATGCCCACAGGAGAAAGTGAGAAGGATCTAAAATTGACACCCTAACATCACAATGAAAAGAACTAGAGAAGCAAGAGCAAACACATTCAAAAGCTAGCAGAATACAAGAAATAACTAAGATCAGAACAGAACTGAAGGAGATAGAGACACGAGAAACCACTCAAAAAATCAATGAATCCAGGAGCTGTTTTTTTGAAAAGATTAACAAAATAGATAGACAGTTAACTAGACTAATAAAGAAGAAAAGAGAGAAGAATCAAACAGACACAATAAAAATTGATAAAGGGAATATCACCTCCAATCCCACAGAAATACAAACTACCATCAGAGAATACTATAAGCTCCTCTATGCAAATAAAGAAGAAAATCTAGAAGAAATGGATAAATTCCTGGACACATACACCCTCCCAAGACTAAACCAGGAAGAATTCGAATCCCTGAAGAGGTCAATTACAAGTTCTGAAATTGAGGCAGTAATTAATAGCCTACCAACCAAGAAAAGCCCAGGACTGGATGAATTTTCAGCCAAATTCTACCAGAGGTACAAAGAGGAACTTGTACCATTCCTTCTGGAACTACTCCAAACAATAGAAAAACAGAGACTCCTCCCAAACTTATTTTATGAAGTCAGCATCATCCTGACACCAAAACCTGGCAGAGACACACACACAAAATGCAAAATTTCAGGCCAATATCCCTGATAAGCATCGGTGCAAAAATCCTTGATAAAATACTGGCAAACTGAATCCAGCAGCACATCGAAAAGCTTATCCATCACGATCGAGTTGGCGCCTTCCCTGGGATGCAAGGCTGGTTCAACAAACACAAATCAATAAATGTAATCCATCACATAAACAGAACCAAAGACAAAAACCACGTGATCATCCCAATATATGCCGAAAAGGCCTTTGACAAAATTCAACTGCCCTTCATTCTAAAAACTCTCAATAAACTAGGTATTGATGGGACATATTTCAAAATAATAAGAGCTATTTATGACAAACCCACAGCCAATATCATACTGAATGGGCAATATCATACTGAATAATAAAAGATTATTTTATTATCTCAAAATAATAAGAGCTATTTATGACAAACCCACAGCCGATATCATACTGGATGGGCAAAACTAGAAGCACTCCCTTTGAAAACCAGCACAAGATGAGAATGCCCTCTCTCACCGCTCCTATTCAGCATAATATTGGAAATTCTGGACAGGGCAATCAGACAAGAGAAAGAAATAAAAGGTATTCAAATAGGAAGACAATAAGTCAAATTGTCTCTGTTTGCAGATGACATGATTGTATATTTAGAAAATTCCATTGTCTCAGCCCAAAATCTCCTTAAGCTGATAAGCAACTTCGGCAAAATCTCAGGATACAAAATCAATGGGCAAAAAATCACAAGCATTCCTATACAGCAAGAATAGACAAACAGAGAGCCAAACCATGAGTGAACTCCCATGCACAATTGCTACAAAGAAAATAAAATACCTAGGAATCCAGCTCACAAGGGGTGTGAAGGGCCTCTTCCAGGAGAACTACAAACCACTGCTTGAGTAAATAAGAGAGGACATAAACAAATGGAGAAACCTTCCATGGTCATGAATAGGAAGAATCAATATCGTGAAAACGGCCATACTGCCCAAAGTAATTTATGGATTCAATACTATGCCCATCAAGATACCATTGACTTTCTTCACAGAATTAGAAAAAACTACTTTAAATTTCATATGGAACCAAAAAAGAGCCCATATATCCAAGACAATCCTGAGCAAAAAGAGCAAAGCTGGAGGCATCACACTACCTGACTCCAAACTATACTACAAGGCTACAGTAACCAAAACAGCATGGCACTGGTACCAAAACAGATATATAGACCAATGGAACAGAACAGATGCCTCAGAAATAATGCCACACACATCTACAGTCATCTGATCTTTGACAAACCTCACAAAAACAAGCAATGGGGAAAGGATTCCCTATTTAATAAAGAGTGTTGGGAGAACTGGCTAGCCATATGCAGAAAACTGAAACTGGACCCTGTCCTTACACCTTATACAAAAATTAATTCAAGATGTATTAAAGACTTAAATGTAAGACTGAAAACCATAAAAACCCTAGAAGAAAACCTAGGCATTACCATTCAGGACATAGGCATGAGCAAAGACATCATGACTAAAACACCAAAAGCAATGGCAACAAAAGCCAGAATTGACAAATGGGATTTAATTAAAGGAAAGAGCTTCTGCACAGCAAAAGAAACTATCATCCCAGTGAACTGGCAAACTACAGAATAGGAGAAAATTTTTGCAATCTATCCATTTGACAAAGGGCTAATATCCAGAATTTACAAAGAACTTAAACAAATTTACAAGAAAGAAACAAACAACCTCATCAAAAAGTGGGCAAAGGATATGAACAGACACTTCTCAAAAGAAGACATTTTTGCAGCCAACAAACATGAAAAAATGTTCATCATCACTGGTCATTAGAGAAATGCAAATCAAAACCACAATGAGATACTATCTCATGACAGTTAGAATGGTGATTATTAAAAAGTCAGGAAACAACAGATGCTGGAGAGGATGTGGAGAAATAGGAACACTTTTACACTGTTGGTGGGAGTGTAAATTAGTTCAACCATTGTGGAAGACAGTGTGACAATTCCTTAAGGATCTAGAACCAGAAATACCATTTAACCCAGCAATCCCATTGCTGGGTATATACCCAAAGGATTATAAAACTTTCTACTATAAAGACACATGCACATATATGTTTATTGCAGCACTGTTCACAATAGCAAAGACTTGGAACCAACCCTAATGCCCATCAATGATAGCCTGGATAAAGAAAATGTGGCACATACGCACTATGGAATATTATGCAGCCACAAAAAAGGATGAGTTCATGTCCTTTGCATGGATGAAACTGGAAACCATCATTCTCAGTAAACTATCACAGGAACAGAAAACCAAACACCACATGTTGTCACTCATAAATGGAAATTGAACAATGAGAACACATGGACGCAGTGAGGGGAGCTTCACATACCAGGGCCTGCCTGGGGGTAGGGGGCTAGGCGAGGGAGAGCATTAGGAGAAAGACCTAATGTAGATGACAGGTTAATGTGTGCAGCAAACCACCATTGCATGTGTATACCTATGTAACAAACCGGCACGTTCTGCACATGTATCCCAGAACTTAAAAGTATAATAATAATAATAATAATAATAATAATAATAATAATTCTGGTAACATCTCTTCTTTCCAAAATCAGCTGGTATTGATGAAAAACAGATAGATGTGTCTTTCATATAAATAAATAATTAAATAAGTGAATAAATATATGCATATGTAGATACACACACAACTGGTATAACATCAGAAAAAAACTGTGAAAAATACCTAACATGTCATTTTAAATGCTTTATTTGTTCATTTTCCTTTATTAAATTTTTAACTCTGTAGGATTGCTTTTTGTTTGCTTTTTACTTAGGAGTCATTTTGTGTGTCCTGTGAATTTGAAGTTTCATATCTTTTTCTGCTCTGGATTATTTTGTTTTCTTCTTCCCCTTCTCTCTCTTCCTCCTTTGCATTTTCTGGGTCCTTTCTTTTTATAATTTTTATTAGACATACATTAGAATATTACCTCTGTGTCGATTAACTTTTTTTCACATTTTTAATCTTTGTTCATTTTCAGTGCTCTCTAAGGCAATTCCTTGGCTCCCTCTTCCAGTTCACTCTTTTTATCTTCAGCTGTATCTCTTCTACTAATTAGTTCTTCCATTGAGATTCATTTAATTATAATCAACCTATGTTTCTAAAGCAACATTTATTAATTTTTTTGAATAATTATTTAAATATGATATCTTCTCAAATATCTCAATGGATGGTAAATAGATACATACAACTTTTTTATTTTTCTTTATTCTTTTATTCTGTTTTGGTTTTTGTTTGTTTGTTTGTTTGGTTTAGTTTGGTGTTCTTTTTCATTGTGTTTTACTTCCTAAAAGCATTCTTGATTCTTGTTTGCCTGTTCATATTTGAGACTTAAAGCCTAGATTAAGTATTGGTATCTGGAATTTATTTCCCCTTCCTATTTGGGAATTCTTGGAACTTGGATATATTGTCTTATGTCTCAGGAAGGGTCTGGTACCAATTCTGGGAACACATGATATCAAGAACATTTACTTTAGAGGGAAATATTTTTATATTTATCTTACAGGCAAACTCCACTGTCAGTCAAGGACTGTTTCTCCCCTACTTCATATCATCCCCAGCCCACACCATTATTTGCAATTAATTTAGGCTCTGATATACTTCTCTATGGCCCAAAAGTCACACTTGAAGTATTAAGATAATGTTTTCATATTGTTTAGAACTTAATATCAGGTCTTTATTACAGATTACATAGGCCAAAAGCTTAATAGCTACAGGCCAGTGCTAATTATTTATCTATGAATCTATGCGTGTATGTACGTATGTATCTATCTATCTATCTATCATCTATCTGTCATCTATCTATCTATCATCTATCTATCTATCTATCTATCTATCTATCTATCTATCTATCTATCTATCTATCTATCATCTATCTATAACCCAATAGTTACATAGTCCAGTACTCTAAATACAAATTTTTTTTAATTTTATTATTATTATACTTTAAGTTTTAGGGTACATGTGCATAATGTGCATGTTTGCTACATATGTATACATGTGCCATGTTAATTCACTACTTCTGACGAGCAGTAGAGACTCTTTCTGCTATTTGTATTTGTTGACTCTGATCAGGTAGTTTTTCTGAGGTTTTTAAAAAGATCAATTTTCCCTCTCTCATCTAGTCTGATGTTAGTAACTTTCCTATCTATGCCTGTTTTTTCAGTAATAGCATATATCACACAACGTGATGCACTCAGTAAACATTGTTTTAAAAGTGAAAACCTGAACCTTAACCCATTTTTAATCCATTTTATTTTCACATGTGCTCTTTCTAGTGTTTCAAGGCTTCTTGCCACCTGACACTCATTTTTACTCTCTGACTCTTATTGATGCCATATTATTTTCATTCATGTTTTTATATTTTACAATGTATTTACATATCTATAAGTGATATATGCCACTTTCATGTGTTCTTGCATTTTACCTAAATTGTATCATACCAAACTTAATGTTTCTACTAAAATTTTGAAAAATTTTCCATGAGGATACATTTATACCTAGTTCACTCAATTCAACTATGTGATAACTTGTTCTCAACTATTCTACTGAGCATTCAAATGTTTCCTATTTCCCCCAATATAACTAAGACTTTAACCACATCATTTATGCTTTTTTGTGCACATCTGCAAGAGCTACTTGAAATCGTCAGTTCTCAAATTTTGATCTGGGAGTTCTGGAAGTACCCAAGATTCTTTAAGGGCATCCATAAGGCTAAAAAAATTATAATAAAACAGATAATCCTTTGCCTTTTTCACTTTTCATTTTTTCATACTATACAACTAAAATTTCATACTATACATTTGGAAGATTTGCATGACCCAGTAAGCCAATATTTTCCAAATGCCCAATAGGTGAAGTTATAAAATTATGCATGAGTATAGACTTATTCATAGCACAAGAAAGGTTGTTTCTACATCTTTGCTATTGTTAATAATGCTGTAGTGAGTATGGGGGCGCAGAACTCTTTTTGACGTTCTGATTTCAATTCATTCGGATATTTACTCAGTAGTAGGATTTCTGGATCAATGGGCACAAAGTTTCAGTTAGAAAGGTGTAATAAGTTTTGGTGTTCTGGTACATAGTATGGTGGCTGTGGCTAATAATCATGTATTACACATTTCTAAATAGTTAAAACAGAGGATTTTAAATGTTCTCATCACAAAGAAATGATAAATATTTGAGGTGACGAATATGCTAGCCTGATTTGGTCATTCCACAATGTATACACATATATTAACATCATGGTACCAAAGAAATACATAAAACTATTATTTTCAAATTAAAAAATTTTTAAAACAAAGTAACGGATTTTAGTGTAAAAGTGTCCAAAATATTTATTGACATGGCTACAGTTTCCATGGGAGTAAGCATTTTTAAGGAACTATTTATTGAGTCCTACTAATTGGGTTTTGATATAGTATAATAGTACATCGTATAAAAAGAATATCCATAATTATATAAAAATATTAAAATACTCATTCCTTTAGCAAATACATATCTATGTGGGACCCGATTTTCTTCATATAGTTCAACCAGAACAACATATTGAATCAGAATTATTGCAGAGGCAGCTATGTGAATCCAACCATCTCCTATTAAACCAGATGAAAAGATATAAACAGTGCCACTGTTCTCACTATTTTTTTTATTTTGGAAAAAGTATTTTTCATAAAATATGTCATTTTAAAAAGTACCAGATTTACTATGCGATTTTAAAATAAATTAATAAATGAAGTTTATCAGGTTTAACTTCTGTATGGTAAATGTTGACATATATAATTCACAAAAATAAAACTTCTTAAGGCCTTCAAAAATTTTTCAGAGTTTAAAGGTGTCCCGAAACAAAAAAAAAGTTTGAGAATTGCTCTTCCAAGGGTATACACTTAGCAGTGGAAATGATGAGGTGTAAGATATGCACCGATTTTAGCAGATATTGGAAAAATATTCTTCAGTACTGTTATACCAAATATAATGCCACCATTCACAAAGATTCTTAGTTTTTTATTTTCATATCATTGCCAATATTCGGAATATTGGGAAGTTTTATTTTTCAATATGGTGGGTGTGAAATGACATATAATTGTTTTACTTTATATTTCTCTGCCTGTTTTGGTACCAGTGCCATAGTTTACTGAGAATGATGGTTTCCAGCTTCATGCATGTCCCTAAAAAGGACATGAAGTCATCCTTTTTATGGCTGCATAGTATTCCATGGTGTATATGTGCCAAATTTTCTTAATCCAGTCTATCATTGTTGGACATTTGGGTTGGTTCCAAGTCTTTGCTATTGTGAATCATGCTGCAATAAACATACGTGTGCATGTGTCTTTATAGCAGCATGATTTATAATCCTTTGGGTATATACCCAGTAATGGGATGGCTGGGTCAAATGGTATTTCTAGTTCTAGATCCCTGAGGAATCGCCACACTGACTTCCACAATGTTTGAACTAGTTTACAGTCCCACCAACAGTGTAAAAGTGTTCCTATTTCTCCACATCCTCTCCAGCACCTGTTGTTTCCTGACTTTTTAATGATCACCATTCTAACTGGTGTGAGATGGTATCTCATTGTGGTTTTGATTTGCATTTCTCTGATGGCCAGTGATGGCGAGCATTTTTTCATGTGTTTTCTGGCTGCATAAATGTCTTCTTTTGAGAAGTGTCTGTTCATGTCCTTTGCCCACTTTTTGATGGTGTTGTTTGTTTTTTTCTTGTAAATTTGTTTGAGTTCATTGTAGATTCTGGATATTAGCCTTTGTCAGATGAGTAGGTTGCAAAAATTTTCTCCCATTTTGTAGGTTGCCTGTTGACTCTGATGGTAGTTTCTTTTGCTGTGCAGAAGCTCTTTAGTTTAATGAGATTCCATTTGTCAATTTTGTCTTTTGTTGCCATTGCTTTTGGTGTTTTAGACATGAAGTCCTTGCCCATGCATATGTCCTGAATGGTAATGCCTAGGTTTTCTTCTAGGATTAAAGACTTAAACGTTAGAAAAGGGGATGAGTTTGAAAGAACTTGATGGATCCTCTTGCTGAATGTTTCCTAGCAATCAGATGTGCTAATCATGGTTAACCCAATGTGTTAAATGGATGAAGATTGGGAACGAAGGCTGTGTCAGTGCTCACTTGCCACACAAGGATGAAGCATACTCAAAGACTCCCCAAAACCCCTTCACGTTCCAAGAGGGATAATCAGTAGATAAAAACTTTAAAACCAAAAACGTTTTATAAGGGACACACTCTACTTACTGATATGTGTGAATGCAAACCTGAAGGTCTCATTTGGAATGTGAAGGTGTTTGTGGAATTCCTGAGCAAGCTTCACTCTCACTCTATATATAAGCTTCACTCTATATATATTTATTTGTGGAATTCCTGAACGAGCTTCACTCTATATGTAGCTAGTTAATACAAATACAAACGAAATTAATCACATGAAAGCAAAACTTATTTTTTAAAAGAAAAAAACATGGACTTTTTAAAATCTAGTAATATAGGCAATGAGATTCAAGAGGATGTGACATCCATTAAGTTATAATGTTGCAGCCATAAAAAGAGTATGCTTGTTACTAAGGGCACAATTGTTGAATCATAGGATATGTTTAGTTTAGTAAATAAACTAAACAAACTTTCTTTGCAAGTGGCTATATCATTTTGCATTCTGATCAGCAAAGAATGACAGTTTCTTTTCCCGCACATCCTTGCTGGCAGTTTTCGATTTTAGCCAATTTAATATGTCTGTAATGGTACCTCATTGTTTCTTAGATCATTTTAATAGACAGTCAGATATTTTTTTGTGTCTATATCCAGTAATGAAATTGCTAGGTCAAATGGTATTTCTGTCTTTAGGTCTTTCAGGAATCGCCACACTGTCTTCCACAATGGCTGAACTAACGTACATGCCCATCAACAGTGTATAAGCTTTGCTACTTCTCCGCTACATCACTGGCATTTTTGACTTGTCAATGGTAGCCATTCTGACTGGTGTTAGATGGTATCTCATTGTCATCTTGTTTTGCATTTCTCTAATGATCAGTGATGTTGGGCTTTTTACATATGATTGTTGGCTGCATGTATGTCTTCTTTTGAAAAGTGTCTGTTCATGTTCTTTGCCAAATTTTTATGGGGTTGCTTGGGTTTTATTCTTGTAAATTTGTTTAATTGCTTACAGATGCTGGATATTCGATGTTTGTCAAATGCATAGTTTGCAAAAATTTTCTCCCAGTCTGTAGAGTGTCTGTTTACTTTCTTGATAGTTTCTTTTGTAGAGCAGCTCTTTAGTTTAATTAGATCCCAATCAACCTAAATGCCTATCATTGATAGACTGCATAAGGAAAATGTGGTACATATTTACCATGGAACACTATATAGCCATAAAAAAGAATGAGATATTGTCCTTTTTCAGAACATGGATGGAGCTGGAGGCCATTATCCTTAGCAAACTAACATAGGAACAGAAAACTAAATACTGCATATTCTCACTTATAAGTGAGAGCTAAATAATGAGAACACATGGACACATAGGAGGGAACAACATACATTGGGGCCTTTCAGAGGGTGGAGGGTGGGAGAAGGGGGAACATCAAGAAAAATAACTAACAGATACTAGGCTTAATACCTGTGTGATGAAATAATCTGTGCAAAACCCCCATGACACAAGTTTACCTGTGTAACAAACCCACACTTATACCCCTGAACTTAAAATAAAAGTTTAAAAAATAAAAAATAGAGGGCAGAATAAACTCAACTAAAAATAAAAATATTCATTTAGAAGGTTAGCTCAAATATTTCAATTGTTGTCAAGATCAATAGCAAAAAGAAATGAAATGAAAAATTTTAATAGCTCTTGGGACATAATTTACATATCATAACATTCATGCATTTTAAATGTACAGTTTTATGACTTTTATAACCATGTTTATACATGTTTTATAACCATGATCACAATCCAGTTTTTAAAACATATTAATCAACCCCAAAATTCTCATCATGACACTTTGCAGTAAATCCAGGCTCTCACTCCTGGCCTTACATAACCAGGGCTGTACTTTCTCTGTCATATTTCTAAACATTTCATAGAAATGGAATCTTACTATAAGTCGATTTTTATACCTGGCTTCTTTTGTTTAAAATAATGCTTTTGAGATTAATTAATGTTGTTGCACATATCATCAGTTTGTTCCTTTCTACCTCTGGGTAGTATTGTGTTATAGACATACAGCTCATTTTGTTTATCCTTTCACTAGTTGATGGACTTTTGGATTTTTTTTTAAGTTCAAGGCTATTATAAGCAATGATACTTATGATCAATCCCAAGCAACGATTTGTATGAACATTTATACTTTATTATTGTTGGGTAGACACTTAGGAGTGCAATCGCTAGACTTTATGGTAATATAGATGTATAACTTTTTAAAGAAGCTGCCAAGCTGTTTTCCAAAGTAGCTTAAACATTTCCATTTTTACCAGCAGCGTATGAAGTTTCCATGTTTTTCCAAATCCTTGCCATCGCTTGGTATTATTAGTCTTTTGGCTTATAGTCCTTCTAGTTGGTATGTAATAGTATCTCTTTGTGGTTAAAATGGAAATTCTGAGAGAAAACCTTACAGAGAAAAAAGAAAAATTGAAGAGGTATGACTATATTTGACAAAATTTTCAAAAAAGAAAATGGCATGTAAGAAAGAAACAATAAGAAAGGTAGGATTTCAATGACAAATGTTGAATAATGATCTCTATCCAGATATATTTTTGGTTGTGTTTATAAACTTCAATGATAAAGGAAAAACCATGCGGACTTCCAGGCAGACAAATATATTACCTACAAATAAAGATAATCAGATTAATATAAAAATTATTATTTACCACACTAAGTTCTGGAAGGCAATGTAGTAGCACACAGCATGAAGACAAACAATTTTGAACTTAGATAAACAGCACAATTGGTATTCACAAATGAAAGCAAAGGAAAATACTAGTTAACTTGCCTGGGGAAAAAATGAGAAAATATTGTAGCTAAATGCAACCATGAAAATAAAAAACAGAATACAGAAATCAAGAAATGATAACTTTCATATAAACAAATAATTACAATGTTTAATATTGTTATTCGAATAAGGTGGTGTGAGAACACAAAGGAAGGAAAATTCAACACTGCCTGAAGATATCAAAAGAGGCCTCTAAAAGGAGGGAGCATGTGAATTAAACCTTGAAGGATAAGTCCAATCAACAGGTGAACACATATGGAAGAGGGAGCATAGAAAAAAGAATAAGGAAAATGGATGGATAAAACAGTGATTCTTTAGCTCAGGTCTAAAAAACTAAAAATAAAATAAAGCTTCACTTGCCTATCTGTAGCACGAATATATTTTTGAATACAATTTACTAAACAGTTCTAACACATTTGTTCATAAAACATATATTAAATGTGTATTATTTGTTTTTCCCTGTGTCAGATTCTGGGTGTTGAAACAAAGTAAGTTATCATTCATATTCAACACCTGCTCATAGTGTAGAAGAAATAAAATGAAGAATTACACAAGATATTATAATATATAAGAAATCAAATTATTCAGGACACAGACTCTGACACTCTGAAATTTGCATCCAGGAGATTTATTCAGCAATTCTCTTGAAAAAGAGTCCCAGGTGATAGAAGAGGATTGGGTGGGAGAGAGACATTTAACTGTCATGCAGGCTCAACAAAAGTTTCAGGTGATTCCATAGGGATATCTGGAGTTAGGCTTTCCCTTAAGAGATTTCCTCAATTTAGCCAAAGGAGTTAAGCCATGAAAGTCAGTGTAGAGGAGAAAAAAATATCTTCCAATGGGCAAAGCTTCTAGAAGTTCACCTGGTCACACACTGTGTGAAATGAGGAGACTCTAAGATGAGTATATACATTCCTAGGCTATTGCCAATGGCCTAGTTGTCTGGTTAGGAGCTTAGAAGGAAAAGAAATGGAGAGTGGAGAAAATGAGGTCTGGAATGGAGTCATATAGATAGACATAAGGAAGTGGGTGCAAAGTGTGAAGATTTTATATGGCACATTAATGTCCATCAGAAACCATCCATGATGAAAGAACCACTGTAAAGTAGTGCAGAGTAAAGTATTATAAAGTGTTGCAAGGTATATAAAATGGCTCTGCCAGTAAATACTAGCCAGTTTTTACGGATTCGTCACTATCAAACTGGCACAACAGGCACGTGGACTGACCGTCCACAGTGTCAGAAATACCGGCTACCCATCAACCCATGCCAAATCTATCAGTAACAGAGACCAAAGCGAGCCTGATACAACACTATTTCTCACTGAGACCAATTTGCCACTAGATGGTAAGATAACCAGATCAGGCCTCTTTCTTGAAAGAATAAGAAGTTTCCCCTCACAGAGATAGATACCTATTCAAGGTATAGGTTTGTCATTCTTGCCCACAGAGCCTTAGCTAGCACCACCTAGAGGCTGACAGAATGCCTGATTCAAAATTATAGGATCTCACACAATACAGCATCTCACTAAGGGAACTGCCAGAACATACCATCTGACCATTGGTCATGTTACATACCACACTATCCAGAAGCAAGATGGCCTCATTGAACACTGGAACAGTCTTCTGAATGCGTAGCTAAACTAACATCTAGAAGGCAACACTTTGAAAGAAGAAGGCACCATTCTTCAGGATACAATGTATGTATTCAATCAGAGACTTCTATATGGCACTCTGTCCTCAATAGAAAGCATACATAGGTCCAGAGACAAAGGGTAAAAGCAGGAGCAGCGCCACATAACATCTTTCCCAGTAATCTGCTGGGGATTTGAGCTTCTAATCTTTGCAACTCTGCTCTTGTAACCCTAGGCTTTGCGGGTTTGGAGGTGCTGGTCCCCAAGGGAAGCATATTCTTGCCAGGGTGCACAGTATGGATTTCAATAATTTATAATATATGGCTCCAAACAAGGAATTTTGGACTCCCCATCTACAGATAGCATCATCGAAGAATGGACATCATCAGTGTGGCAGGAGTAACTGATTCTGATTGGAAGAAATTGATGGGGCTTCTTTTACACAATGAGGTAAATGAGGACATGTAGCACCAAAGTGATCTGTTTAGGTACCTTCTGATTATAACTTGCTCTATCTTAACTGTGAATGAACACATGCAACATCTGAGTCTGAAAAGGATACAAACCAAGGTCTCAGTCCACTCAGGTAGAAAGTTTTGGTTATAATACCAGCTAAGCTAACTGAGGTGATAACTAAGGGTGAATACAATATGAAATAATGGAAAAGAGAAATGGTGAATACCAGCTGTAATCTTGAGACCACCTGCAACATGAAAGGATATAGTTCCTCCCACTATCTCCTTTCCAAATTTCCCCTCAGGAAGAGAGACCATAGGAATCATGGAGAAGCTGTTCCCTAAATGCAGGACGAAATAGATCTGCACTGTCACGTGGAGTCTGATGGCCATAAAAATTCACCACTCCTTCTTTAGAAAGCATAATTGACTAACAGCCCAACTTCTGCTCTGCTGGATCCTCCCTCACACTGTGCTGAGGCCATGCTTACTTCAGGCTGCTGGTAGCCAGCACCGCGGCACAATGAGGACACTAATGGAAGTAAGGCTGGAATCCCTTGACAGGTGACCATGGCTTGAGGACTCCCCATAAACCCAGCCAAAACTTTCTCAGACTCTAGAATCTTTCCAATCTTTTTTCCTCCACCTCTAACTCAAAAGAGTGAAACCAACATCATGGTCTGAAGGCCCTCCCCACTTTCTCTGTCTTCCTCTCCTTTGTCCTTCACAAACATTTCCTGATATATATGTCTTGCATATCTAATTTCATATGGAGGATGCAAATCAGGACAGAAGGGATCATGTCTTATTCATTCTTTTACTTTCAGCACTTTAGAGAGTGCCAGGTATATATAGAGCTTAAATCTATCCCATTTTATACTCAGAACTCAAGAGAAGTTCTGACATGCAGTAGTTATTCAGTACATATTTGTTGAATAAATGGATGCAATCAAGAAATGTTTGTTGAATTAATTACAGTGATATCTAAACTAATGACTTCATATAATCTAATAAAATACAAATTTCAGTTATAGCAATTTATTGGCATCAAGCGTATCTCAAAGGATATGAATTTTAAATGCTTTGAAAATACCTTCAAAATTTTATGTGGGAAATGTGCATATGTTAATAACTTGGTAAAAGTAAAGGTAATTTAGGTTAACAATGCATTAGAGTTTTAAGACAGGTTACAAATAACCTTATCGGTTAATGTTCTTTTTTTTTTTTTTTTTTTTTTTTTGAGACGGAGTCTCCCTCTGTCGCCCAGGCTGGAGTGCAGTGGTGCAATCTCTGCTCACTGCAGCCTCCACCTCCCAGGTTCAAGTGATTCTCCTGCCTCAGCCTCTGAGTAGCTGGGATTAAAGGCGTGTACCACCACGCCCAGCTAATTTTTTTTTTTTTTTTGTATTTTTAGGAGGGATGGGGTTTCACCATGTTTGTTAGGCTGGTCTCAAACTCCTGATCTCGTTATCTGCCCACCTCGGCCTCCCAAAGTGCTGGGATTACAGGCGTGAGCCACCGCCCCTGGCCCTGTTAATGTTCTTAAAGAGTGATGAAGTACCTTGTCCTTAGAAATGAGAGTTTGTGATTTCCTCAAACATTTTCATATTCTTCTGGATAAAAATTAATGTTATTGGAATGTTAAAATTATCATGGTTGCAAAATTTCTATTGATATTAAATACTATCATTAAAGTGGACAAGAAAGTATAGGACTAATAAATTTAACCTAAAAGGGATGATATGGTACTAGCAACATAAAATGAACAATAATTTAATATTATTAATGTATAAGTCAGGGTGGACTGCCATAACAAAATACCACAGACTGGGTGACTTAAACAATAGAAAATTATTTTCTCATAGACCTGTAGTCTGGGAAGTCCAAGATCAAGTTGCTGGCTGATTCTGCTCCTGATGAGGGCTCTCTTCCTAGCTTACAGATGGCCATCCTCATGGTGGAGAGCAGTAAGGAGCTCTCTGGTATATACTTTTGTAAGGACACTGATTCTGTCAAATTAGGACTCCATCCTTATAAGCCCATTTAACTTTAATCACTTCCTTAAATAAAATATATCCACAATGAGGGTTAGGACATTAACATATGAATTTTGAGGGGACACAGTTCAGTTCGTAGCGCCTAATAAACACTCAAAGTTGAATCTAGCTTTTTCTTGGACCTACAGTTACAGAATCAGTGTTCATTTAAGTCTGACAAGGAGGAAAAATATAAATCGTTTTGTGAGCATTTGAAAGGAATAAATGTTGCAAGAACAAGGTTGGAAAATACGTGTAGGAACACTGCATCATTTCCACCTTTGCAAGTAATCCATTTTTGGCTTTCTGATATCTCTATATTCCCTCTCTCCCTCTCCCTCTTGTCACTCTACCACTTTTTCCACTCTCAGTCTTTTTTTCCCTTCTTCCCAAACATCTGAGTATGAAAGTTATATAATGATGGACATGTACACACTAATTATAAAATTACAATTCTTGATGGTGTTTCCAGTTTATCAAAAGAAACAGAGTAACAAAGCATTTTACACAAATAATACCCATTTTTCCCCTCGCAAAGATAAAATTTGATGTAAGAGAATACTGCAGTCCCCATACTGTCTTTATTTTGCTTTGTCTAGCTTGGGGCTTCTGAGACTACGGCAACCAAAGCACAAAACAATCATGTCGGGAAAGGTTAGTATATTTGGTTTCTGTTGTTCCCTGTCATATTATGGCAAGCTTGGTGGTCTTAAACAACTTCTATTTATTAGTTCCAAGTTGTGTATGTCAGGGTCAGGCAGTGTGGCTGGGTTCTCCGCTCAAGGTCTTACAAGCTAAAAGCAGCGTCCACCAGGCTGCACTCCTAGCTGGAGGTTCTAAAAGGGATCTACTTTCATGCTCATTCAGGTTGTTGTCAGAATTTGTTATTGCAGTTGTAGAACTGAGGCCCTTTCTGTTTTTCTAGCTGTGGACCTGGGATAGCTCTCAGCTTACAGACATTGTTCTCAGGTCCCCCCACCCAGGCAGCCCCTTCCACTTCAGCAACGGACGACATCCTTTGTATCAAAACCGTCTTATACAGAAAATCTCTCTGACCTCTATGCCTCACCACTGAGAGAAAAACTGTCTGCTTGTAAAGGGTTCACGTGATTAGGTCAAGCATAACAAAATAACCTCGATATCTTGAGGTTAGCTGGGCCATAGAATGTAACCTAATCACAGGAGTAAAACTCATCACATTTACAGCTCAGTGGATCAAACAGGGAAGTGTACACCACAGTTGGGAATCCTGGAGACCATCTTAGAATTCTTCCTATCATAGCCAGTTAGAAGGAAAATTAGTTTTTAAAAAAATTATCAACAAATAAAATCTAAAACCCCATCTTGTTTTCAAAAATGTCTTTAAAAACAAGTCACTTTAAAAAGTTTGTGTGTGTGCATTTATAAACAGAAATAATCTGTCACTTTTTGTGATGATTCTTCATCAGTTTTTTACTTACTAGGCTGGTATGTACACACAATTTAAAAAAAGCAATTGAGAGGAATTTAAGTTAAGTTTAAGGCCCAACTCCATAACTCCTAAATTTATTCTTTCATTTTGGACCATTTTCCTCCTTGTTCAACTTTTGAGTTTCTGCCACAAAAACAAAGCTCTATATTATTGACATAAATGCTCATAATTTTTTTTTAGGAAACAGAGATTTTCCTGCTGGAATATGCATAGTTCAGTCTAGTTCAGCATTTTTATCAAGAAAATATATATAATTATCAATTCTAAAATGACACAAATTGTCCAAATCATCCCTATACATTACCATTAATAGCTACAAAGATACTATTTGTATCAGCCTGTCGTTTTTCTTATGAACATTATGTAAGACACTTTACCAGACTCACTTTTTGCCTTCAAACTATTACTCTCACACTTCCCACTCCCAACTCTGAGTCATATTCATTTTTATACTAATCTTTTTAACTGTGAAGTAATTTATTTGAACTGACATTCAGGTACTTTATGTGAAGTCATGTATATAGTTTTAAATTAAAGAAAAGAAAATCAACTGAAGATAGTACTCTCATTCTAGACTTTGAAACTTTACATAACTGGCTACACTGGATTTTTATTTAATTTGTATTCTCAGCTGTAATAATTCTCTGCTCTGGAAATTTATGCCAGCTATACTCTGAAATAACACTGGAGATTCATGCTTTTGAAGGCTATATTGGAAATGAAATTCTCAACTGGGAGGAGAATCCTAATTCTTGCAGTAGTGAGCGGGAGCTTTTACCTCTCTCTCCCTGAGTAAAGCAACTAGAATCAATACTGCCTAGCTGGAATCCCAAGGTGTCTCCCTAGAGTTGGATTCAGAATATGTCCACTACTGCCTCGCATCCAAAGTCACCAACACTGGCCAACTGTGGCCATACTATACAATAGCAAAATTCTCAAATTTGGAGATGTTCTTTGTGGACTACATGAAATGATTTCTGAATATCTGATCCTGTTAATTAATACTTTACAAAACTCTTGAAATGAAAAAAAAAAATAAACAAATGCTTTCTTTATGAAGACAGATTAAATTATCAAAATTGTTTGTTTGGAAGCAAATGAGATTAGACTACAGATGCTCCTTAGCTGGGTGTAAGCAGAGTAAGGTGAAAAAGATTGGTGTTTTCATCTTGATGGCAGCTGCAGAGCACTGTGAGGCATGTTTCTATTTACATAAAGATTATTCTAGAAGTTTGCCACTGGAAACACAAGAGTGAGAAATCCAAGAAACTCATGAGTCTTTTAAGTGTCAGCTAACAGGGCAAATGGAAGACAAAGTTTCTAGACCTTCTGAAACTTGATAAAAACTTACTTAGAGTAATATTTTTTGTGAAGGAAAACACAGTGTGCAGCAGACAATCCAAGCTTTTGAAATTGAGAAATGAAGGAATATTATGCTAAGTGTTGTTCTACAGGAGAAGATAAATCTTTAAGTTTATGTCAAATAAGGGTGATGTTTGAGCTGCAAAGTGTGCAGTAATGCTGATGCTTTGAAAATGCTACTGTTTAATTAAAAATTGAGTAATAGATATGGATTGGTGGTTTGGTTAACGGAACAAGCAGCATATTACTTTTACTACTTTTCATTGTGTAAACTCAATAACCTTTTTAAGTATTTAGTTTTCATATTGATAAAATACCAGTACATAATTCTTGAAAAAATTTCTCATCAGCAGCAGCATCATCATTGTATGAAGCATCTATGAATGCTTCTCTTGATGTACAATGCCAGGCACTATACAACTCCTATTCTGAAAGTCACAGATATGCAGTCCAAGTACTCCCAAGTGTAATAGAAAGTTATGTTGACAGGGATTGATATTTGAAAAAGGAAACTATTCAGCTAAGAAAAAAAGTAAACAAATATTTATATGTTAAGGAATAGATGCATTTGATGTCGTAGAGCATAAAGAGAAAATCCAAAGCAGAGCCTGGAATAGAAAGCCAGCAAGTCAGTGGTGAACTTACTGAACACAGATAATTCCTGCTCTCCTGGAGCTTGAGTTCTAATGGTTTGTGAAAGTGAACTACTCAGACTCGCTCTGAGGAGAGCCACACAGATGAAGTGGAAACTTTCTGATAGATGGGCCTGGTAAAGTTGCGTTTTACCTATAGGGATTTATTCAAAAATGCAACCTAATAAAAGAGAGGCAGGAAGAGAAACTGAGTGAACAATGAGGGTATGTAAGATATATGCGTGTGAGAAGTTATGTAAAATGTAGTTTAACATAGATATAGAGAGTGGAATGATAGGCAATGGAAACTCAGAGGGGGAAAGAACAGGAGGGGGTAGATGATGAGAAATTATTTAATGTGTACAATATATTATACATGATTCAGATGATACATCCCCTAAAGCCTTGACTTGACCACTATGCAATCTATACATGTAACAAAATTGTACTTTTACCCTATGGGTTTAGAGATTTTTTTAAAATTAAGAAATAAAGTATAATGTCATGAAGAAAATGCATAATAGATAAAGCAGGATTTCAAAAAATATCACAAAACAGGACATGACCAAAGATGCCTGACTCTCCACAGAGCCCCTTTCTACCAATCTCTGCTGAGACTCTCTTCAAGAGACCATTCATTGGATCTTATTGAATCTGCTTCCATTTGCATGCCAGTCACATACTATGTCAATATTTGGATAAATTTTTGTTTATTTAGCCCTCATCTCTGTCTTGTTTGTTTGTGGAAACTCACAGAACCTGTCTTAGTGAAGTATATATAAGATTTCAATGTATGTGTTTTGGATTGAATAATTTGATTGTATATTTATATTCAAAATAGCAAAACGAATATTTTATTTCTCTTAGATTTTGTCACAATGTATTCCACTTTCTCAGATTATATACATTAATTTCCTATCTTTGGGTCTTTCAAAATATTTTATGAAGAAAAGAGTAGGGAGAATCTATTAAATAAAACAAATATAGAATAATAATGTATCTTATAAAGTTTCAAGGATTTTTCTATCAAAGAGATATCACATCATCCAGCACTTCTAGTTAATGACTCCAAAGAGACATCATACATTTAGTTTACATAAACTTCATTCTGTGACTTTATTTGTGTGTGCCTTCTTGGAGAAGTGAGCTCACGAATAAACTTCCTTGGTATTGATTGCCATGGATGATTTCACAGGTTAAGAAAGGGGCAGGGGAAACAAAAGTGTACTTGGCTGAAGGGCTTTTGTGAAAAATAAGGCTGCCTCTTGAGTGGTCAAGAAATATCACAAGAAGAGAAAAATGGTAATCAGAAATTTATGTAGGCTGGTTGCAAGTCACACTGACCTAAGGAGAGTCCTGAGATGAAGTAAATTATTTTCCTCTATGTCTTGGACAGCTTATCCTTATGTCACTGTGACCCAACCAGTTTCCCTGGATACAGCCAGTGTCCATGTGTAGGGGGCTGAAAGAACAAGTGAATCTACATTTATGCTCTTCATCACACAAAAAAAATGCAACCTAAATTTTAAAAGCAAGTGCATGTTCATTTCTAAAACACCAAAAACAATGGCAACAAAAGCCAAAATTGACAAATGGGATCTCATTAAACTAAAGAGCTTCTGCACAGCAAAGGAAACCACCATCAGAGTGAACAGACAACCTACAGAATGGGAGAAAAGTTTTGCAATCTACTCATCTGACAAAGGGCAAATATCCAGAATCTACAATGAACTCAAACAAATTTACAAGAAAAAAACAAACAACCCCATCAAAAAGTGGGCGAAGGATAAGAACAGACACTTCTCAAAAGAAGACATTTATGCAGCCAACAGACACATGAAAAAATGCTCATCATCACTGGCCATCAGAGAAACGCAAATCAAAACCACAATGAGATACCATCTCACACCAGTTAGAATGGCGATCATTAAAAAGTCAGGAAACAACTGGTGTTGGAGAAGATGTGGAGAAATAGGAACAGTTTTACACTGTTGGTGGGACTGTAAACTAGTTCAACCTTTGTGGAAGTCAGTGTGGCGATTCCTCAGGGGTCTAGAACTGGAATTACCATTTAACCCAGCCATCCCATTACTGAGTATATACCCAAAGGACTATAAATCATGCCACTATAAAGACACATGCACACATATGTTTATTGCTGCATGATTCACAATAGCAAAGACTAGGAACCAACCCAAATGTCCAACAATAATAGACTGGATTAAGAAAATGTGGCACATATACACCATGGAATACTATGCAGCCATACAAAATGATGAGTTCATGTCCTTTGTACGGACATGGATGAAGCTGGAAACCATCATTCTCAGCAAACTATCGCAAGGAAAAAAAACCAAACACCGCATGTTCTCACTCATAGGTGGGAATTGAAGAATGAGAACACATGGACACAGGAAGGGGAACATCACACACCTGGGCCTGTTGTGGGGTGGGGGCAGGGGAGAGGGATAGCATTTGCAGATATACCTAATGTTAAATGACGAGTTACTGGGTGCAGCACACCAACATGACACATGTGTACATATGTAACTAACTTGCACTTTGTGCACATGTACCTTAAAACTTAAAGTATAATTAAAAAAATGCGTTGTAACACTTATGGCAAAAAAACACAATTACCTTTGCACCAGCCTAATAGTTAACTGTCAGATCTAATGAATAATACCATTTCTACCAAGTAGTTAGAATGTTTCATTTTTATCACTTTGTCCTCAATTCTTAACTCTTCCTCCTTCCCTGAATAGAAATCTGTTTTCTTCCTCTCAAATCCTACTGATATTCATTGCCTTAGTCCTCATCATCCTTATAATGGTTTTTTTTCATTGGTTCCTCTTACTCCAGTCTCTCCCCATCCTGTGCACCAAAGTTACCAATCTCTTCCCTATCTCTTCCACCAGGGTTGCTTTCTATTACACACATCTGATTGGATCTCCTCATAGATAATGTCTTCTAATGACTCCATCTTGCCAATTGGATAAAGTTAACTTTGCTTGGCATAATATACAAAGCCCTTCTACATACAAGCTTATATTTCCTCTCCAACCTCATCTTTATCCACCTTTCCTCTATCACAATTCCAAACTGGACTTTTATATACATGTCATGACGCGTGATGTTCTAAACACACTTGCACTTTTTTTTTTTTGACTGGTATTGTGGGCTATTTATTGTTGCCTAGAATTGCTTCCACCACCTTGTCCTCTCATTCTTCCCCTTGGAATCCCTCCATGACTGCCCCACACAGAATTAGTTGCACATTCTTTTTCTGCAACCCTTAGTATTTTGTACATAACAATATTGGTTTATAGTAATTTACCTGCTTTACAATTATCTGTTTACTTGCCTTTCATCTCTACTAGATAATGTTTTCCATAATAACAGGGCTATCTTAGTCATCTTTGAGTTCTTGGTCCCCAAAATAATAGATGATCAAATGTCAATGAATTGAAATTTGATTTTTAGTTTGAAATGTAACTATTCTATTTCTCAAATACATTATTTGTATCAAAGTTTTCCTTAATTTTTTTTACAAAAGAATTCTCTATTATTTAAATCTGGCCTCCAGAGTCACACTAACAGTCTAATGGAAAATTTAAAAACACCTTCGTAATCCCTTTTGTGACAATCTCAGGAAAGCAGGTCTTGACAAATAATGAGTTCCACAACTCAGGAAGGAAAGTTTGGTCTCAGCGATAATAGTATGAAATACTTTAAAAATTCTAAATTTCAAGTGGAGGGAAGGGCCTGCCTCTGGATGTTCAAAAGTTTTTGTGTGGATCCACAACACTGGTGTCATCTCAAAGTTTGCAAGAAACACAAAGGCCCCACCTCAGACTTTCCAAATCAGTTTTACTCCCCAAGTAATTCAGATGCATGTTAAAGCTTGAGAAACACTGCTCTGGGAGAGATCAGTATGAGTGTATGTGTGTATGTATAAATATTAATATCCTAAAGTAATACTAATGTATGTATAACATTTATTAATACACACACTCTATGTGTGTGTATGTGTGTATGTATAAACATTTATTAATATCCTAAAGTAATATTCTGAGAAATGCCCTTTGGGATATGCTTGCCTAGCTCATACATTATAGGTTAGTCTTGTTCCTTTTTCTTCTTCACCAGAAAACCTATTTACTTCATTTTATGTATTTCATTTAGCTTTGATATTTGACCTTTATTCCAACACATCTATCTCATCCCTGACCTAGGAACCAAGTAAGAAGCCACTGAAAAATATAGTTTCAGGAAAGTTTTAAGCATTTACTTGCCCAAGATCATCAAGGTTCTGTGTATTTATAACCTTAGCTATCTGGTCTCCAATTTTCTGGCTTCACAGTCTGGTTTTCAAAGTGAGTCTGAATTCTTATTTTGATGTCCATTCTATCTTACCAGTTTCTCATTTCACAAATCTGAATGATTTCTTCATTTTCATAGTAACCGTGGCTCTGGGAAACAGAACATCCTTCCTCTGTCCTAGCAAAAAAAAAAAAAAAGCCATTGATAAGTTTAGTCTCCTACTCAACACCTTTCTCTTAAGACAACTGAAATTGTAATATTTAAAAAGTTATTTCCATTTAAACTGTACATTATTTTTTACCTAAATAAATAGCTCTGCACAAGATAAGATGTAAAAAATTCTAATGTTACACTGTGTCAATATTCATAGAGATAAGCCTTGAGGTAGAATGTTTAGCCACAGATCATCAAATATCATAGAGACTTACTTAAAAAATAATGGCATAATATTTTATGTTTCTTTCCTTTATTAAAAATATGTTTTCCTTGTTTAGAGGAGTAGCAAAATGTTTTTAACCCCAGGTCCTACTTTTATACACTCATTTTCACTATGAATTCAAGATACAATAAAAGTAAATATTGGGTTCAGTAATGACAGTGTTTTCATTTACAGTGTCTTGGCTAACTGGTTTCCAAATTTCTGGCTCTGTAATATTCTGAGACAACCTTTGGGATATGCTTGCTTAGCTTATACATTACAGCCTAGTCCTATGACTTTTTTGCCAGATTACCTATTTACTTCATTTTATGTATTTAATTTAGCTCAGATATTTGACCTATATACAAATATGTTCATCACATATGTTTGTCCCTTGCTTAAAACAAATGAATACAGGCAAAAGTTAAGATTTCATTTAGTTTTACAGTAAACTACTACCTAACCTAGATGCCCATTTATTTACTTATTTATTTTTTATTACACTTTAAGTTCTAGGGTACATGTGCAGATTGTTACATAGGTATACATGTGCCATGGTGGTTTGCTGCATCCAACAACCCATCATCTACATTAGGTATTTTTCCTAATGCTATCCCTCCCCTAGCCCCCCACCCCCTGAGAGGCCCAAGTGTGTGATATTCCCCTCTCTGTGTCAATGTGTTCTCATTGTTCAACTCCCATCTATGAGTGAGAACATGAGGTGTTTGGTTTTCTGTTCCTGTGTTAGTTTGCTGAGAATCATGCTTTCTAGCTTCATCCACATCCCTGCAAAGGACATGAACCCATCCTTTTTTATGGCTGCATAGTGTTTCATGGTGTGTATGTGCCACATTCTCTTTATCCAGTCTATCATTGATGGGCATTTGGGTTGGTTCCAAGTCTTTGCTATTTGTGAACAGTGCCGCAACAAACATATGTGTGCATGTGTCTTTATAGTAGAATGATTTATAATCCTTTGGGTATATACCCAGTAATGGTATTGCTGCATCAAATGGTTATTTCCAGTTCTAGATCCTTGAGGAATTGCCACGTTGTCTTCCCTAATAGTTGAACTAATTTACACTCCCATCAACAGTGTAAAAGCATTCCTGTTTCTCCACATCCTCTCCAGCATCTGTTGTTTCCTGACTTTGTAATGATCGCCATTTTAACTGGCGTGAGATGGTATCTCATTGTGGTTTTGATTTGCATTTCTCTGATGACCAGTGAGGATGAGCATTTTTTCATATGTTTGTTGGCTGAATAAATGTCTTCTTTTGAGAAGTGTCTGTTCATATCCTTTGCCCACTTCTCGATGAGATTGTTTGTTTTTTTCAGGTAAATTTGTTTAAGTTCTTTATAGATTCTGGATATTAGCCCTTTGTCAGATGGATAGATTGCAAAAATTTTCTCCCATTCTGTAGGTTGTCAGTTCACTCTGATAAGAGTTTCTTTTGCTGTGTAGAAGCTCTTTAGTTTGATTAGATCCTTGGTGTTTTAGTCATGAAGTCTTTGCCCATGCCTAAGTCCTGAATGGTATTGCCTAGGTTTTTTTTTCTAGGAATTTATGGTTTTAGGTCTTACATTTAAGTCTTTAATCCATCTTGAGTTATTTTTTGTATAAGGTGTAAGGATGGGGTCCAGTTTCAGTTTTCTGCATATGGCTAGCCAGTTTTTCCAACACCATTTATTAAATAGGGGTTTCTTTCCCCGTTGCTTGTTTTTATCAGGTTTGTCAAAGATCAGATGGTTGTAGATTTGTGGAATTATTTCTGAGGCTTCTATTCTGTTCCATTGGTCCATATATCAGTTTTGGTACCAGTACCATGCTGTTTTTGTTACTGTAGCCTTGTAGTATAGTTTGAAGTCAGGTAGTGTGATGCCTCCAGCTTTTTTCTTTTTGCTTAAGATTGTCTTGGCTATGTGGGCTCTTTTTTGGTTCCATATGAAATTTAAAGCAGTTTTTTTTCCAATTCTGTGAGAAAGTCAATGGTAGCTTGATGGGGAAAGCATTGAATCTATAAATTACTTTGGGCAGTATGGCCATTTTCATAATATTGATTCTTCCTATTCATGAGCATGCAATGTTTTTCTATTTGCTTGTGTCCTGTCTTATTCCTTGGAGCAGTGGTTTGTAGTTCTCCTTGAAGAGGCCCTTCACATCCCTTGTAAGTTGTATTCCTAGGTAGCTTATTCTCTTCATAGCAATAGTGAATGGGAGTACACTCATGATTTGGCTCTGTCTATTATTAGTGTATAGGAATGTTTGTGATTTTTGCACATTGATTTTGTATCCTGAGACTTTGCTGAAGTTGCTCATCAGCTTAAGGAGATTTGGGGCTGAGACAATGGGGTTTTCTAAATATACAATCATGTCATCTGCAAACAGAGACAATTTGATTTCCTCTTTTCCTGACTGAATATCCTTTATTTCTTTCTCTTGCCTGATTGCCCCAGCCAGAACTTTCAGTACTATGTTGAATAGGAGTGGTGAGAGAGGGCATAATCTGATGCCCTTTTATTGGGTCAAATTAGAAAGATACAAATCCAGTCATTTCAATTAATAATTAGGTGGGTGGATAATAGCAAAGCATTTTGTGCACAGATTAGGACACAGCTATTGCAGTTTTAAAAACAGCTTTTGAATAAACCTCTCAAAGATAAAGGCAATTGGGGTTGTGGAAGGGGCTGAACTCATCTTCTCATCCTTCAGGGACAGCTACTCAAAAGTGAATCTCCAAACCACCTTGAGATTATATCATGACCAAAGCACTAGAAAGCAATTTAGGTTATTTGTTTATCAATTCTTCCCCTTCCACCACCACCTTTTTTTTTCAAAAGTTTCTCTACCACGAACTGAGGACAAAAGCTTGGATTTGGATTAAGTGTTGATTATAACCAGGAGTCAAACAAAAAGGACCTAGTTTGAAATAACCAGTGTTATTTTGGTCAGTGACATCTTGTTGTGGCACATTCAGCATATATTAACAATCGCACTAAAGTTTAAAAAACTGAATTTCTCACTTCTTTCTATGAAGCAATAGAGCATATAATTTTAAGCTCATCTTCTCAATTTAAGACACTTTATTTTACAGCTTTTTGACATACATAACACTAGAATGAACTAGTGCCAAATATTCTTCAACTGTGTTCTTTTTGCTGGTCTTTCTTCATTTTTGAATCTTTTTTATAATCTCTATTCTGTCTGAAGTAGTTTGACAAAATATCAAGGAGAATGTATTTTAAGTTATGAGGGATCAACAAAAATTTTCATACAGGAGTAGTTCATTGCAAGTCTTCAAAGTGCCACAAAATCAACTGTACTCTTTAGCCTGGCATTCAAGAGCTTTTACAATTTTACCCACTCAAGTTCTCTTCTTATACCCTTGTAAATGAAGTCTCCTATCTAGTCAAACTAGCCTACTCATGGTTCCTTAAATATACCCTTTGTGTTTCTGACGTTTTATCTCTTGTGCATGTCATGTCCCCTGCATGAAGTAGCTTTCTTCTTGCTTTCTTCTTCTGCCTCCACCCTATGCATCTTTTAAGGCACAATTAAAATCCCATTCCCCTGAGAAGTCTTTCTTTATTTCCCCCAACATTCCTTATTATCAATGTTTCTCATGAGTCATATTAAAAACCCTAATTTACATTGTTACTTATCCTTTTATATGTAAGTTCTGTGATCTTTCAGAGAATAAGAATCTATATCAGGGATCAGAAAATTTTCTATAAAGAGCCAGATATTAAATATTTAAGGTTTTTAGGCTAAGAGTCAAAATTTAGGATATTACATAAGTAGTCATAAAACAAGACAGATAATTTAATTCTACAATTTTATGAAATTTAAATAATAAGAATTGAGTACAATCTTAAATCTACTGATGAAAAGAATAACAATATTTGGAGGGATAGCATTTTGCACATTTGGAGGTCAAAGTTAACTGACTACAAATATTCATCTCAGTGCTGATTTATAATTAGATTTTATGTACATTCATGTGTCACAGAATAATGTTTTGGTCAACAATGAGCCTCATTTATGATGGTGTTCCCATAAAATTATAATATTATATTTTTGCTGTATTTTCTCTATGTTTAGATATGTTTAGATACACATATATTTCCCATTGTGTTACAATTGCCCAGAGTATTCAATACAGTAACATGCTGTGCAGGTTGGTAGCCTAGGAGCATAGAGCCTATGTTACACCTCACAATTTGTGTTAAGTACACTCTAAAAAGTTAGCACAATGATGATATAGCCTAAGAGCCCATTTCTCAGAGCATATTTCCATCATTAAGTAATGCATGACTGTATTTCATGTTTGAAGCTGTATTTTTACATAGACAGGTATTGTCAAATACTGATGATATTGACTTCAATCCACAAGCATGATTTTAGTTGAGTATATTCATCATTTGGAAGATATCAATGGAATTCTATTAGCCTTTTAGCATGTCAGCACATTGCAGATTAATCCTTCTAATTAAAAATTAAGTTGAAACTCCTCAATTGCAAATATAGATTTTGAAATGCATAGATTTCTTTTGCACTTGCACCAAAGTTTGAACTATGTTAATGCAGCTGAGATTTAAGCAAATACATCCACTATAATTTGTGTGAGAATGGAGATTTGCTTCTTGTTTCAACTTTTGGCAGCACAGGAAGTATATAAAGCAGTGTGACATTACTTGTGATTCAAAAATGTTAGTTGTCAAAATGACTTTACCATAGTGTGATTTTTCACATATAAACACTGCTTTTTCTTGGAGTTTTAGGTTAAATTCATTAAGAAACATTATCAAAATGATACCTCTTTTCTCCTTTAGAAAAAAATATAATCTCATTCGGGAGCCAAAAACATCAAAGAAAGAGAAAAAGAAAAAAAAAAAAAAAAAAACTCTGCCAAGTCATCAAACTACCCTTTGGTGAAAGAACTCAGGATATTTAAGATAAAGTTCATCACTGACACTAGTGGTTCAATAACACATAATGGAGTCAAACATTTTTTATAAAATAGTTGCTAATGAATAATACAATGAATAAGCTTTTAAAATCTTAACAGATTTCATTCCAGTTTGTATTGAATTTGAGTTTTCTAAACTTCTTTGAAAATATCATCGTAGATATTCACAGAGGCTAATGCTTAGGTCACTTCAAACTCAGCTCCGAGTACTTGACAAAGCAATATCGACTGAGCAGTGTTGGTAGCATCAGGCAATTCATCAGGAATGAAGTAAAACCAGGAAAAAAAAATTGTTTTGTTCTTTTTTTGATGCTCCTCCCAAAGTCCTCAACAATTCAAACAACTATTCTTGCCTAAAGGCTAAAAATTTAAACAAGTTTATTTTCTATGGACAAATTTCTTCAGCACCTGAAATCAAACATGATTTAATTAACTCACCATTGTTAAGTGGCTTTCCTTGACTAACAAAGGAGGTACTTGAAAAGTTACTTTGCAGCCTCCTTTTAATTTTTTTTTTCTTTCTTGGGAAGAAAACCACACTGATAAGATATCTCATTTTAGATTTCCTCATTTTTTGGCCATTGGTTTCCTATGAATTGGGAATATTATGATGGTTGCTTAGTCTGTGATATCGTTTGGCTGTGTCCCCACAGAAATCTCAACTTGAATTGTATCTCCCAAAACTCCCACATGTTGTGGGTGGACCAAGGGAGAGGTAATTGAATCATGGGAGGTGATCTTTCCCATGCAATTGTCATGATAGTCAATAAGTCTGACAAGAGCTGATGGGTTTATCGGGGGTTCCACTTCTGCTTCTCTCATTTTTCTCTTGCCATGTAAGAAGTGCCTTTCGCCTCCCACCATGATTCTGAGGCATCCTCAGCCACGTGGGACTGTAAGTCCATTTTTTTTCTTGTTCTTAGTTTCGGGTATGTCTTTATCAGCAGCATGAAAACGAACTAATACAGTCTGGTAATGGTTCTTTTAACTAGCGATAGTGTCATCACTTAATAAACAGAATGTTTTGTCATCTAAGTTAATAACAAACTTATTCACACTTCACTTGGCCACAAAATAGTAACATTCAAAGTTCACTTTCTCTTCTTTTTATGTTTTGATGAAATGGATATGCACTGTAACTAAATACATAAATAAATACATAAATAAAACAAAATTTTGAACAATATACATGACACTCAAAACACCTTTGAGTTATAACTGTGATTTTTGTAGAGTGCTGAGCCGCAGTGAAAAGCAATGAGAGCACCATACATGTTCTCTGTTCCAGTTGCCCCACTCTGCCATTGCAGCACAGAGACAGCCATGGACGATATGTAAGTGAATGAGTGTGATATGGTCCTATAAAAGTTTCTTTACAAACACTGAAATTTAAATTTCATTTAATTTTCATGTGCCAGGAAATGTTGTTATTATTCAACTATTTTAAAATACAAAAATTATTCTTAGTTTATGAACCATAGACAAATAGGAAGTAGGTTACCCTTGGCCCAAAGGCCGTAGTTTACTGACCCCTGATATATACTATGTGCTTAATACATACCAATGCAGAGTGTGCAATCAAGAAATGTTAGTTGGCTAAAAATGACACACTTATGTATTTGGTTAACTGATGTTAATAAATTAAAATTTCTATTAAAAGATTTTAATTAAAAATTTATATTATATGTATTTACCTGATGCTAATAAGTTAAAATTTCTATAAATATGGATATACTCTTTAATCTGTGCATTGGTGAAGAAGGATACTCTCTACTATTTATTCATAAGGAACCAGAAATATGCTGTCAAGCGTGTATTAGTAAAAAGAAGCAAATGACCTACTGTGTACTACTGAAGTCAATTAAGACTAAGGTAATTTGAGCTAATCTGTATCCACATCCACCTGTTTGGAAAGAAAACATTATACTGATCAGTGCTGGGCTATTTAAAAATTTATAGTTTCAAAGTGTTTATTGGTTATGCACCTAAACTTTAAAAATAATGCTTTTAAATTTTTGCTTCTGAAGGAACTCGTTGAATAACAACTGTGATGATTCAAATTTAGACAAGTTTTACTTATTTGACTGTTTTTCTTAGTTTAGATTTGCATCCTTGGAAAGCAGCACAAGGTAAATAATTTATTTCTGTGCATTGGGACACTGACTTCTGTTGTAACAACTGGGAGGTTCATTCTGCCCTAAAAACCAGTTGAGAACATATAGGCAGCTTACAACATTTTCTATTTTTGTGTCTGTGGAAAATTAATCATGATTCAATAAATTCGCCCTACAAAAGCAAACATAAGGGGGTTACTTATAACATATTTTCAGATTGCAAGTTTGTACCATCTGCCTACAATGAGCCAGAACTTGAAACATTCTGAAAATATTTAGAAAAACAGCAGAACACATGTTTAATTCACTTTATTTATTTATTTATTATTATTATTATACTTTAAGTTTTAGGGTACATGTGCACAATGTGCAGGTTAGTTACCTGTGTATACATGTGCCATGCTGGTGCACTGCACCCAGTAACTCTTCATTTAACATTAGGTATATCGCCCAATGCTATCCCTCCCCCCTCCCCCAACCCCACAACAGGCCCCAGAGTGTGATATTCCCCTTCCTGTGTCCATGTGTTCTCATTGTTCAATTCCCACCTATGAGGGAGAATATGCGGTGTTTGGTTTTTTGTACTTGCCATAGTTTACTGAGAATGATGGTTTCCAGCTTCATGCATGTCCCTAAAAAGGACATGAAGTCATCCTTTTTTATGGCTGCATAGTATTCCATGGTGTATATGTGCCACATTTTCTTAATCCAGTCTATCATTGTTGGACATTTGGGTTGGTTCCAAGTCTTTGCTATTGTGAATCATGCCGCAATAAACATACGTGTGCATGTGTCTTTATAGCAGCATGATTTATAATCCTTTGGGTATATACCCAGTAATGGGATGGCTGGGTCAAATGGTATTTCTAGTTCTAGATCCCTGAGGAATCGCCACACTGACTTCCACAATGGTTGAACTAGTTTACAGTCCCACCAACAGTGTAAAAGTGTTCCTATTTCTCCACATCCTCTCCAGCACCTGTTGTTTCCTGACTTTTGAATGATTGCCATTCTAACTGGTGTGAGATGGTATCTCATTGTGGTTTTGATTTGCATTTCTCTAATGGCCAGTGATGATGAGCATTTTTTCATGTACTTTTTGGCTGCATAAATGTCTTCTTTTGAGAAGTGTCTGTTCATGTCCTTCACCCACTTTTTGATGGGGTTGTTTGTTTTTTTCTTGTAAATTTGTTTGAGTTCATTGTAGATTCTGGATATTTGCCCTTTGTCAGATGAGTAGATTGCAAAACTTTTCTCCCATTCTGTAGGTTGTCTGTTCACTCTGATGGTGGTTTCCTTTGCTGTGCAGAAGCTCTTTAGTTTAATGAGATCCCATTTGTCAATTTTGTATTTTGTTGCCATTGCTTTTGGTGTTTTAGACATGAAGTCCTTGCCCATGCCTATGTCCTGAATGGTAATGTCTAGGTTTTCTTCTAGGGTTTTTATGGTTTTACGTCTAACATTTAAACCTTTAATACGTCTTGAATTAATTTTTGTATGAAGTGTAAGGGAGGGATCCAGTTTCAGCTTTCTACACATGGCTAGCCAGTTTTCCCAGCACCATTTATTAAATAGGGAATCTTTTCCCCATTGCTTGTTTTTCTCAGATTTGTCAAAGATCAGATAGTTGTAGATATGCGGCATTATTTCTGAGCGCTCTGTTCTGTTCCATTGATCTATATCTCTGTTTTGGTACCAGTACCATGCTGTTTTGGTTACTGTAGCCTTGTAGCATAGTTTGAAGTCAGGTAGTATGAAGCCTCCAGCTTTGTTCTTTTGGCTTAGGATTGACTTGGCGATGCGGGCTCTTTTTTGGTTCCATATGAATTTTAAAGTAGTTTTTTCCAATTCTGTGAAG
Organism: Homo sapiens; assembly: GCF_000001405.40. Lineage (NCBI taxonomy): Eukaryota > Metazoa > Chordata > Mammalia > Primates > Hominidae > Homo > Homo sapiens. The sequence goes on from NC_000005.10 coordinate 45,882,768, forward strand.
AAAGTCATTGGTAGCTTGATGAGGATGGCATTGAATCTGTAATTTACCTTGGGCAAGATGGTCATTATCACGATATTGATTCTTCCTACCCATGAGCATGGAATGTTCTTCCATTTGTTTGTGTCCTCTTTTATTTCATTGAGCCATGGTTTGTAGTTCTCCTTGAAGAGGTCCTTTACATCCCTTGTAAGTTGGATTCCTAGGTATTTTATTCTCTTTGAAGCAATTTTGAAAGGGAGTTCACTCATTATTTGGCTCTCATTTGTCTGTTGTTGGTGTATAAGAATGCTTGTGATTTTTGTACATTGATTTTGTATCCTGAGACTTTGCTGAAGTTGCTTATCACCTTAAGGAGATTTTGGGCTGAGACGATGGGGTTTTCTAGATATACAATCATGTCGTCTGCAAACAGGGACAAATTGACTTCCTCTTTTCCTAATTGAATACCCTTTATTTCCTTCTCCTGCCGAATTGCCCTGGCCAGAACTTCCAACACTATGTTGAATAGGAGTGGTGAGAGAGGGCATCCCTCTCTTGTGCCAGTTTTCAAAGGAAATGCTTCCAGTTTTTCCCATTCAGTATGATATTGGCTGTGGGTTTGTCATAGATACCTCTTGTTATTTTGAAATATGTTCCATCAATACCTAATTTATTGAGAGTTTTTAGCATGCAGGGTCGTTGAGTTTTGTCAAAGGCCTTTTCTGCATCTATTGAGATAATCATGTGATTTTTGTCTTTGGTTCTGTTTATGTGCTGGGTTACATTAATTGATTTTCGTATATTGAACCAGCATTGCATTCCAGGGATGAAGCCCACTTGATCATGGTGGATAAGCTTTTTGATGTGCTGTTGGATTCAATTTGCCAGTATTTTATTGAGGATTTTTGCATCAATGTTCATCAAGGATATTGGTTTAAAATTCTCTTTTTTGGTTGTGTCTCTGCCTGGCTTTGGTATCGGAATGATGCTGGCTTCATAAAATGAGTTAGGGAGGATTCCCTCTTTTTCTATTGATTGGAATAGTTTCAGAAGGAATGGTACCAGTTCCTCCGTGTACCTTTGGTAGAATTCGGCTGTGAATCCATCTGGTCCTGGACTCTTTTTAGCTGGTAAGCTATTGATTATTGCCTCAATTTCAGAGCCTGTTATTGGTCTATTCAGAGATGCAACTTCTTCCTGGTTTAGTCTTGGGAGAGTGTATGTGTCCAGGAATTTATCTATTTCTTCTAGATTTTCTAGTTTATTTGCATAGAGGTGTTTGTAGTATTCTCTGATGGTAGTTTGTATTTCTGTGGGATTGGTGGTGATATCCCCTTTATCATTTTTTATTGCGTCTATTTGATTCTTCTCTCTTTTTTTCTTTATTAGTCTTGCTAGCGGTCTATCAATTTTGTTGATCCTTTCAAAAAACAAGCTCCTGGATTCATTAATTTTTTGAAGGGTTTTTTGTGTCTCTATTTCCTTCAGTTCTGCACTGATTTTAGTTATTTCTTGCCTTCTGCTAGCTTTTGAATGTGTTTGCTCTTGCTTTTCTAGTTCTTTTAATTGTGATGTTAGGGTGTCAATTTTGGATCTTTCCTGCTTTCTCTTGTGGGCATTTAGTGCTATAAATTTCCCTCTACACACTGCTTTGAATGCATCCCAGAGATTCTGGTATGTTGTGTCTTTTTTCTCATTGGTTTCAAAGAACATCTTTATTTCTGCCTTCATTTTGTTATGTACCCAGTAGTCATTCAGGAGCATGTTGTTCAGTTTCCATGTAGTTGAGCGGTTTTGAGTAAGATTCTTAATCCTGAGTTCTAGTTTGATTGCACTGTGGTCTGAGAGAGAGTTTGTTACAATTTCTGTTCTTTTACATTTGCTGAGGAGTGCTTTACTTCCAAGTATGTGGTCAATTTTGGAATAGGTGTGGTGTGGTGCTGAAAAAAATGTATATTTTGTTGATTTGGGGTGGAGAGGTCTGTAGATGTCTATTAGGTCCGCTTGGTGCAGAGCTGAGTTCAATTCCTGGGTATCCTTGTTGAGTTTCTGTCTTGTTGATCTGTCTAATGTTGACAGTGGGGTGTTAAAGTCTCCCATTATTAATGTGTGGGAGTCTAAGTCTCTTTGTAGGTCACTCAGGACTTGCTTTATGAATCTGTGTCCTCCTGTATTGGGTACACATATATTTAGGATAGTTAGCTCTTCTTGTTGAATTGATCCCTTTACCATTATGTAATGGCCTTCTTTGTCTCTTTTGACCGTTGTTGGTTTAAAGTCTGTTTTATCAGAGACTAGGATTGCAACTCCTGCCTTTTTTTGTTTTCCATTTGCTTGGTAGATCTTCCTCCATCCTTTTATTTTGAGCCTATGTGTGTCTCTGCACGTGAGATGGGTTTCCTGAATACAGGACACTGATGGGTCTTGACTCTTTATCCAGTTTGCCAGTCTGTGTCTTTTAATTGGAGCATTTAGTCCATTTACATTTAAAGTTAATACCGTTATGTGTGAATTTGATCTTGTCATTAGGATGTTAGCTGGTTATTTTGCTCATTAGTTGATGCAGTTTCTTCCTAGTCTCGATGGTCTTTACATTTTGGCATGATTTTGCAGCGGCTGGTACCGGTTGCTCCTTTCCATGTTTAGCACTTCCTTCAGGAGCTCTTTTAGGGCAGGTCTGGTGGTGACAAAATCTCTCAGCATTTGCTTGTCTGTAAAGTATTTCATTTCTCCTTCATTTATGAAGCTTAATTTGGTGGGGTATGAAATTCTGTGTTGAAAATTCTTTTCTTTAAGTATGTTGAATATTGGCCCCCACTCTCTTCTGGCTGGTAGAGCTTCTGCCGAGAGATCCACTGTTAGTCTGATGGGCTTCCCTTTGAGGTTAACCCGACCTTTCTCTCTGGCTGCCCTTAACATTTTTTCCTTCATTTCAACTTTGGTGAATCTGACAATTTTGTGTCTTGGAGTTGCTCTTCTCAAGGAGTATCTTTGTGGTGTTCTCTGTATTTCCTGAATCTGAATGTTGACCTGCCTTGCTAGACCGGGGAAGTTCTCCTGGATAATATCCTGCAGAGTGTTTTCCAACTTGGTTCCATTCTCCCCGTCACTTTCAGGTACACTAATCAGACGTAGATTTGGTCTTTTCACATAGTCCTATATTTCTTGGAGGCTTTGCTCATTTCTTTTCATTCTTTTTTCTCTAAACTTCCCTTCTCACTTCATTTCATTCATTTAAATGTTCCATCGTTGATACCCTTTCTTCCAGTTGATCACATCAGCTCCTGAGGCTTCTGCATTCTTCGCGTAGTTCTCCAGCCTTGGTTTTCAGCTCCATCAGCTCCTTTAAGCACTTCTCTGTATTGGTTATTCTAGTTATACATTCTTCTAAATTTTTTTCGAAGTTTTCAACTTCTTTGCCTTTGGTTTGAATGTCCTCCTGTAGCTCAGAGTAATTTGATTGTCTGAAGCCTTCTTCTCTCAGCTCATGAAAGTCATTCTCCGTCCAGCTTTGTTCCGTTGCTGGTGAGGAACTGCATTCCTTTGGAGGAGGAGAGGTGCTCTGCTTTTTAGAGTTTCCAGTTTTTCTGCTCTGTTTTTTCCCCATCTTTATGGTTTTATCTTCTTTTGGTCTTTGATGATGGTGATGTACAGATGGGTTTTTGGTGTGGATGTCCTTTCTGTTTGTTAGTTTTCCTTCTAACAGACAGGACCCTCAGATGCAGGTCTGTCGGTTGTACCCAGCCGTGTGAGTTGTCAGTCTGTCCCTGCTGGGGGGAGCCTCCCAGTTAGACTGCTCCGGGGTCAGGTGTCACGGACCCACTTGAGGAGGCAGTCTGCCCATTCTCAGATCTCCAGCTGCGTGCTGGGAGAACCACTGCTCTCTTCAAAGCTGTCAGACAGTGACATTTAAGTCTGCAGGGGCTACTGCTGTCTTTTTGTTTGTCTGTGTCCTGCCCCCAGAAGTGGAGCCTACAGAGGCCAGCAGGCCTCCCTGAGCTGTGGTGGGCTCCACCCAGTTCGAGCTTTCCAGATGCTTTGCTTACCTAAGCAAGCCTGGGCAATGGCAGGCGCCCTTCCCCCAGCCTCCTTGCCACCTTGCAGTTTGATCTCAGACTGCTGCGCTAGCAATCAGCGAGACTCCATGGGCTTAGGACCCTCTGAGCAATGTGCAGGATATAATCTCCTGGTGCGCCATTTTTTAAGCCCATCGGAAAAGTGCAGTATTAGGGTGGAAGTGACCTGATTTTCCAGGTGCCGTCTGTCACCCCTTTCTTTGACTAGGAAAGGGAACTCCCTGACCCCTTGTGCTTCCCGAGTGAGGCAATGCCTCACCCTGCTTCGGCTTGCACATGCTGCCTGCACCCACTGACCTGCGCCCACTGTCTGGCACTCCTTAGTGAGATGAATCCAGTACCTCAGATGGAAATGCAGAAATCACCCATCTTCTGTGTCACTCACACTGTAATTCACTTTATATTTAATAGAGATATATTTGTTAGTTTAGTACACATTTAAACTTGTTTTCATGCTTCTACATGGTTACCTAATTATTTTGTTTATCAATATTATTTAAAATATTACAGGCTAAATTAATGTTTATTCTCCAGAAGACCACTAGAAAACCTGAAGCTCAACCAAAACTCACTTTATGAAACCTATGTAGTGAAGGAGAACACCAACTTGACAGTTTTATTGATTTCTTAAAAGGAGGAAGTCAGGAAAGTCAGTTTTGAAGACAGATCTTGCAAGACAGGCAACTGGTTGGGTTGGGCAGAGTTTGTATTATGATAGCTTTGAACTTCTGGGCAACAGTGAAGCAAGGTTCTCAAAACAAATCTTCATGAGAAAAGTGTCAGACTTGTTAAATGTGCTGTTTTTGTTTTACTGTATTAGTTTTTTATTGCTTCATAACAAATCACCACAAATTTAGTAGCTTTAAACAACATTAATTATCTTATAGTTTGGGAAGGTTATGGCACAGCTTAGCTGAGTGCTCTGGTCAGGGTCTCAGAAGTCCACAATCTAGATGTCAAACTGCATTTCTTTTTCAATCTTGGCATCCTTTTCTAAGCACACATCGTTGTTGTCAGAATTCAGTTCCTTGTGGCTATAGGACTGAGTTCCCACTTTCTTACTGACTGTTAGCTAAGTCCTTTCCTATCCCCAGAAGCCCTCACAGCTCCTTCCCATGTGGACCTCTTACAGCATCTCTCTGAACATGGCAGACTTACATTTTCAAAGACAGAGAATCAAAAGAGGGGATAGTCCCTCTTTTAAAGGGCTCACCTCATTTAAGACAGGTCCACCCAGAATAATGTCCTTTTTGATTTTCTCAAAGTCAGTGGATTCAGGTTCTTCATTTATCTGCAAAATACCTCCACTTATTGCCATATAACATAATTATAGGAGTGATACACCAATGCCTTGGCCACTTTCTATTGTTTAAAAGCAATGCAGAGATAAGACCCACACTTAAAACGAGGGCATTATGCAAGGATTTGGGTCATTGCAGGTCATTTTAGGATTCTGCCAAAGGTAGTTAGTTACTCTGATCTTACAAAAGCAAATTTTTTTTTGGAGAAAGTAGCTCAATTATTTTTTTCTAATCCTTATTCTATTTAGCACAAAAAGAGGAAAGTATGCTTCATCATAAAATTGGTTATAATAAGCACAAGAATGTTGGTTTTCTGTTCTGAAAGCAGAGAGGTTTAACATTTCCTGATTTCCCAGTTAAATTCTCTCAGAGCCTCTAGTTAGTGGCTCAGTTTTTCCATAATTCCTATTATACAAAAGACAAAATGATAGGCCTGTAACAAATATCTAGCATCCTATGTTAGTTTGGACCATAGATATCTGTTTCATATCTAAGCACTTTGCTTTCTATAATACTTAGAATTGTAAAAACAATACTAGTAGGGAGGTAATCTCTTTATCTTAAAAGCCACTTCAACACCACATATTATATTATTTATATAATATAGGCTTACTTGATTGTGTGTTAATTTGTATCTTTCAAAATGGTTTGGAACTAAGGTCAAAATTAATCAGCAATGAGTCTTTCTTTTCCGCACACTGTATCTCTCGCTTTCTGTGCCTGACCTGATGCTGCTTACTGTGCATTCACGTTACCATCTTCCACTGTTTGTCATACATTTCTTGTGACACTTTAGTCTTCCTAGGTTCAACAATCCATTATTATAATCAATCCCATGTCCCTCTATCCTTTCAAAACTCAAACACTAGTATTATCTAAATGTCAGCTTAGTCCATACCCCTTTCTTCACAGTCAAATGTAATTGAAGAGAACACAAACTATACCAACACATTTTAAATACATGACCACTAAGTTCAAGAGGGCCTGTTTTTTGCTGATTCCTGTCTACCACTCTTCTGAACAAAATACAAAAAAAAAATTTAAATATTCTCCTCTACTGGGGGAACCAGCCCCCAATATTTCAATGTAGGTTCTTTTCTATTTCCCTAAGTGTTGGCCGGTCTGAGAAATAAAGGGAAAGAGTACAAAAGATAGAAATTTTAAAGCTGGGTGTCTGGGGGAGACATCACATGTCAGCAGGTTCTGTGATGCCCCCTGAGCTGCAAAACCAGCAAGTTTTTATTACTGATTTTCAAAGGGGAGGGAGTGTATGAATAGGGTGTGGGTCACAGAGATCACATGCTTCAAGGGCAATAAAAGATCACAAGGCAGAAGGTCAGGGTGACATCACAAGGTCAGGGCAAAACTAGACTTGCTAATGAAGGTCCATGTCCTGCTGGGCACACATTTTCATTGATAAACATCTTAGCAGGAAACAGGGTTCAAGAGCAGAGAACCGGTCTGACTAGAATTCCCCAGGTTGGTATTTCCTAATCTTAGCAAGCCTGGGGATGCTTCAGGAGACAAGGGCGTGTTTCATCCCTGATCTGCAACTGCACTCCTAGAGTGGCCATTTTTGAGGCCCCCCCGGGAATGCATTATTTTTTCAGGGCTGTTAATTATTAATATTCCTTGCTGGGGAAAGAATTGAGTGATATTTCTCTTACCCGTTTTCGGTAATGAGAGAAATATGACTCTGTCCTGTCCTGCTCCCAGGCAGTCAGACTTAATGGTAATCTCCCTTGTTCCCTGAACATTGCTGTTATCCTGTTCTTTCTTCAAGGTGCCCAGATTTCACATTGTTCAAATACACATGCTTTCTCCCTCTCCCTCTCCCTCTCCCCATGGTCTCCCTCTCCCTCTCCCTCTCCCTCTCTTTCCACGGTCTCCCTCTGATGCCAAGCCAGAGCTGGACTGTACTGCTGCCATCTCGGCTCACTGCAACCTCCCTGCCTGATTCTCCTGCCTCAGCCTGCAGAGTGCCTGTGATTGCAGGTGTGCGCCGCCACGCCTGACTGGTTTTCGTATTTTTTTGGTGGAGACAGGGTTTCGCTCTGTTGGCCGGGCTGGTCTCCAGCTCCTAACTGCGAGTGATCTGCCAGCCTTGGCCTCCCGAGGTGCCAGGATTGCAGACGGAGTCTCGTTCAATCAGTGCTCAATGTTGCCAAGGCTGGAGTGCAGTGGCATGATCTTGGCTAGCTACAACCTCCCCCTCCCAGCCGCCTGCCTTGGCCTCCCAAAGTGCCGAGATTGCAGCCTCTGCCCGGCCGCCACCCCGTCTGGGAAGTGAGGAGCGTCTCTGCCTGGCTGCCCATCATCTGGGATATGAGGAGCCCCTCTGCCCGGCTGCCCAGTCTGGGAAGTGAGGAGTGCCTCTTCCCGGCCGTCATCCCATCTAGGAAGTAAGGAGCGTCTCTGCCCGGCCACCCATCATCTGAGATGTGGGGAGCACCTCTGCTCTGCCACCCCATCTGGGATGTGAGGAGTGCCTCTGCCCAGCCACGACCCCGTCTGGGAGGTGAGGAGCGTCTCTGCCCAGTCACCCTGTCTGAGAAATGAGGAGCCCCTCGGCCCAGCAGCCACCCCGTCTGGGAAGTGAGGAGCGTCTCTGCCCGGCAGCCGCCCCGTCCAGGAGGGAGGTGGGGAGCAGCCCTTGCCTGGCCAGCCGCCCTGTCCAGGAAGGAGGTGGGGGGCAGCCCCCGCCCGGCCAGCTGCCCCGTCCGGGAGGGAGGTGGGGGGCAGCCCCCACCCGGCCAGCCTCCCCATCCCAGAGGGAAGTGGGGGGCAGCCCCCACCCGGCCAGCTGCCCCATCCGGGAGGGAGGTGGGGGCCAGCCCCTGCCTGGCCATCCTCCCCATCCCAGAGGGAGGTGGGTGCGCCTCCGCCTGGCCGCCACCCCATCCGGGAGGTGGGCTGTGCCTCTGCCCGGCCGCCACTTCTGGGAAGTGAGGAGCCCCTCTGCCTGGCCACCACCCCGTCTGGGAGGTGTACCCAACAGCTCATTGAGAACGGGGCATGATGATGATGGTGGTTTTGTGGAATAGAAAAGGGGGAAATGTGGGGAAAAGATAGAGAAATCAGATTGTTGCTGTGTCTGTGTAGAAAGAAGTAGACATAGGAGACTCCATTTTGTTCTGTACTAAGAAAGATTCTTCTGCCTTGGGATGCTGTTGATCTATGACCTTGCCCCCAACGCTGTGCTCTCTGAAACATGTGCTGTGTCCACTCAGGGTTAAATGGATTAAGGGCGGTGCAAGATGTGCTTTGTTAAACAGATGCTGGAAGGCAGCATGCTCGTTAAGAGTCATTACCACTCCCTAATCTCAAGTACCCAGGGACACAAACACTGCGGAAGGCCGCAGGGTCCTCTGCCTAGGAAAACCAGAGACCTTTGTTCACTTGTTTATCTGCTGACCTTCCCCTCCACTATTGTCCTATGACCCTGCCAAATCCCCCTCTGCGAGAAACACCCAAGAATGATCAATAAAAAAAAAAAAAGAAAAAGAAAATTTCCAGGCTCTAACCTCTCCTGTCCACACTCCCTGAATTTCTGATTCAGTAGTCAGCGGCAGGTCCCATGAATCTGCATCTGTAGCAAATACTCCAGTATTCTGATTCAGGTGATTCATGGATACTTTTTAAAATTAACTTTAAATTTTGATATAATCTCAAATTTACAGAAAAGTTGGAAAAACAACCCCAAATTTTTCACATATGCTTTACTAAGATTCATCAATTTTAAATATTTTGCTATATTTGCTTTATCGTTATTTGTCTATAAAAATGTTTTCCTAAATTATTTGAGAGTAGGTTGCATATCATCTCTATAGCCTTTAAAACTTCAGTGTATATTTCCTAAGAATAAGGATATTCTCTTTACATAACCACTGTTCAGTTATTAAATTCAGTGAATTTAACATTAATAAAATACTTATATCTAATATAAAAAAATACACATGCTTTATGAACAATTTGTGCAGTTAACACAATCATCACAGGGTCTTGGGGTGACATACATCATCAGCTTATGAAGATGACGGGACTAAGAGATTAAAGTAAAGACAGGCATAGGAAATTATAAGAGTATTGATTGGGGAAGTGATAAATATCCATGAAATCTTCACAATTTATGTTCAGAGATTGCACTAAAGACAGGTGTAAGAAATTATAAAAGTATTAATTTGGGGAACTAATAAATGTCTATGAAATCTTCACAATTTATGTTCTTCTGCCATGGCTTCAGCAGGCCCCTCTGTTTGGGTTCCCTGACTTCCAGCAACACTCCTTCACTTTTCTTCACCTTCAGATGGTAGCCTTGCTTTCTACATCACTGAGAAAAGTAATGAGAACATTCACATGTTCCTTCTACCACATTTGCAGAACCAGTTTTATCAGTTCTAATGAACTTTGCCATCCTTGTTAATATGCACAAACTCTCTGTGACTCCAAGGCCAAACCCTCCACTGTTCTACCTCACTAAACCAAGAACATTATTCTAGCAATGTTTCCTAATTTATATTGCAGTATTTCTTTTTTGCCCCTCCTGTTGGATCATTCCCATGGGCACACAAAGATGCTATTGTTTCTTTTATCCTTAAATATATATACATATATATATATACACATACATATATTTATTTTATATATATATCCTCAAGTGTATATATATATTTCTCAAGCCCCTCCAGCTACTAACCCCCATTTTTGTGCATCATGTTCTAGCAAATTTGAAGATTATCATATATTCACTGTCCCAAAGTTCTCTCTCCCAATTGTCTTTCCTACCCACTACCATGAAATTTTAACTCCTGCCACTCTACCAAAAGAGTTACTAAATGATCACTTCTCAGCTTCACTCTGTCATATTAAGCTTTGTAAATTCAACTTTGTAAGTTGGTGCTGGGACTCTGCAAATAACATTTCTGCTTTGCCTGTTTAAGATCTATCAATAAGGCTCACTAGAGAGACTGCAAGGCTGCAGGAAGAAGTAATGATTCACTTTTTGTTTGCTATTGTGGGTTTCCTGTCGACTTCCTTTGCTTTTGCACATTCTCCACTCTGGCACTGGCAGTTCCTTACTGTAACAGTGGTTGAGTCCAGTTTGCAACGTTTCTGACACTTGTAAAACCAGCTTCACGGAGCCCCTACTCAGCAGTATCAGCACTAGATAGGTGGATTTCCCCGGTCAGAGGCAGTCTCAAATCTAAGGGGAGGCCAGTGAGGCACCTAGAACACAAATTTTAAGGAAGCACTCCCTCTCAAGGTTGTGCTCCTGCCAATCAGGGACCTGAACTTATCCAGAGCCTGCCCTTAATGTGGTAGACTAAGTCAGACTAAGTCAGTGCCATCAGATTTTGCTGTCTTTATAATTATTGCATAATCTGAACTTCTCAAAAATCTGAGAGATTGTGACAAGAATTGCATTCCTGTCCTCTGGTATTTCATTCCAGTCAGTGTTGTTATTGCACCTTGATTGCAAAACAGGTATCACTTTTCCACCTACCATTAATGACAGGGCTCCCACAGTTAGTTAACTGGCTAGTGGTCCAACTTCAAAATCCATTTTCAAGTCTGACTTCTTAGACAACACCTGAAACCAATTGTTTAAGCTCAGATTTCCCAGGATACACGCTGAGACAAAAATGTGCATGAAGGACAGAAACCTGGGGAGCACACTTGGCGGGGGGGATCAACACCTGAGAGAGAATAAATAACATAGGACTGACCAGGGGGAGAAATTGAAGTACAACACAGCTATGACTGAGGCTTCAGTTGATCCAAAAGGGAGCACTGAAATTGGAGTCATTGTTCCGTGTTGTACCATCCTAAGCCAAGGGACCTGAACCCCTACAGCTCCACATCTATCAGACATTGGGTCTTGTTGACCCCTGTAGAAGGGACATGACTTTGGCAAAACAACCTTCTTTGGCTGAGGGTAACTCCAAACAGGGAGACTCAGCTCAGACACATCACCATTCATATCTCCCAGAGGCAGGGGAGATGAGTACCTACGTTCTGAAGGAGACATCAGGAAAGCTCATCACGGCATCACTACAATTATAAAATATTAAATGAAATACAATATTTTTATCTTTAAAATATTTTATAATCATTAATAGCATTTACATGTCAATAACTTTATGACTATGTATTCAATTTGTGGAAATGTGTGGCCACAATGTATGTTTACTAATCCGTGTAAAAAAATTTAACTAATTAATAAATAGTATATTCATATGTATAAATATGTATTATTAAAAATATACACATAGGCAAATATTTTAGTTTTTCTCCCTTGGAAATTTTAGTAACCAGGAAAGAGAACCATTATTACAATGACTTATGCTTATTTTTAAATCAATTATAAATAAATCTGTGGCTGAGCGCAATGGCTCACATCTGTACTCCTAGCACTTTGGTAGGCCAAAGTGGGAGAATTGCTTGAGGCCAGGAGTTTGAGACCAACCTGGGCAACATAGCAATACCTTGTCTCTACAAAACATAAATAGATAAAATAAATGTCTTAAATAATTAAATTTGTAGTTGCTACTTTATACTCTTCTATTCATCTTACACTCTTTTATTGTCATTTCTTTCTATGACTATGGATAACTAAGTGACTTTGTTCATCCTGGGTAACTGAACTGAAAATATTCTTAACTAAGTTTTCACTTGCATGATAAAAGCATATCATTAAATATTTACTCAGACATCTTAAGAAGATGAATAACAAAATTGAATAAGTGTTCTTACTTAAGAATTCAAAGAGAGATGAATTTATACAAAATAAATATTTAGAGTTATGAGAAATTTGTAATCTACAGTATTAGTTGTCCACAGATGTAATGTTTTCCTAATGCTTATCAAAGTATTATGATTCTAATATACTCAAAAAGATTTATAATAGAGCACATTTTCTATTTAACAATACTGGTAGCAGCAAGTATATCATATAGTAAAAATTTGAATATTGAAAGCAGTATAAGTATACCAATTAGTCTTTTATTGTGCATTCACAAGTCTTTGTTTACAGGACAATATGCAAATCAGAGTAAAGGCAGTCTTCAGGAATTACTTGGTATGATTAACCACATAATTTGCACATTGAATCAGATCATCATGAAATAAGGAAATATATGGTCAATGTTCACCTGCTTTAAAAGCTTTCACACATTTTGTGGGGGAGTTAAAACATGTTTTTAGAAGATAATTGCAGAAAAAAATGCTGAAAAGAATAAGTAAGAATTTTTTGTTATATGCTTACACGTAGTACATAATAATTAATGGAGAAGTGGTAACATAGAAAACTCAGTTTTTGTCAAGTATTTTTGATTCATTGATTCATTTGCTCATTCAGTATTTCCTGAGTACTGCCATGGTTGAGATGTAGCTTGTCCCCATTAAAACTCATATTAAAATTTGTTTTCCAATGTGACAGTGTTGGTAGATGGGGCCTAATGGGAAGTGTTTGGATCATGGGGATGGATCTCTCATAATTAGATTAATGTCATGTCATGGGAGTGAGTTCTCACTTTTCTGCTTTCTGCCATAATTTGAAGCAGCACAAGACCTTCACTAGATGCAGCTGCCCAATCTTGAACTTTCCAGCCACCAGCATCAAATAAATCTTTCTTCTTTTTAAATTACCTAGTGTCAAGTGTTCTGTTACAGTAATACTAGACATTAAGATAAGTGCTTTCCTTTTTCCAGGTGCTGTTTTAGGACGTGAGAGTACACCCAAAACAAAAATGGACAGAAATTCCAGTCTCATAAATGTGAGAGATCCAGAAGATACTTCTACAATTTCCCTTCAGTTACATATGGACACTTTAATAAAAGAATATTATTTTTAAGTGAAAAAACTTAAGCTTATTCCTCAAGGTTCTAAAATTTCAATCAACTATGGAAGTGAAAATTTCCTGATATTTTCTATGCATATGAATTTAGTCCCACTCTCTTTGGTTTATACAAAAGGAACTTGTATCAGTTTGTTAAATCACAGCCTTAGAAATTAAGAATTAATGTTCAGGATTAGAGAGCTATAGGGTCTCATATTTTGGTTTTATTTTGTAAGAAAGTAATAAAGGTCATTGTAGTAAAAGCTGCCAATTAAGGCTAATTCTAGAAGTCAGGACCTCAGTTTTATTTTCTATAGTATCGTATGCTTCTTCCCTTTCTACTTGTAAATTTATTTTTATTTCCTAATGCATAATTTTCTAAAACATTAGTAATCATTAAAATTCTTATAGCATGAAATAAAAAAGTTCTCTTTCACAACAAAGCACTCTCCTATGATATATTTTCTTATTTCTTAAAAAAGTTTTTATAAAATACACGTACTTCACAAGTAACTGTGTTCAGGTGAGAAGCAAGATAATAACAATGGTTAAGTGAAAATATGCAGGACTCAGAAATCCTGGGTTCATCTACATCCTAACTTGACCACCGCCTGGCCACACTGTGTTACTTAACTTGTGTGCATCACGTATTTTTTTTTTCATTCTTAGAATAAGGGAAATAATCTCTTACAGTATTATCATGAAAATTAAATGTGTTTATACACAAGAGCACTTATTTTAAAAATACCAAAAGATAATAAACAATAAACAGAATAGACTAAGGCCTAACAGTTCTTTTTTCTTTTTTTGAGACAATTTCACTCTGTCACCCAGGCTGAAGTGCAGTGGCACAATCTCTGCTCACTGCGACCTCCACCTCCCGGGTTCAAGCGATTCCCCTGCCTCAGCCTACTGAGTAGCTGGGACTTTAGATGTGGGCGACTTTAAGTGCATGCTACCATGCCCAACTAATTTTTGTATTTTTAGTAGAGACGTGGTTTTGCCACGTTGGCCAGGCCAGTCTTGAACTCCTGACCTCAAGTGATCCACCTGCCTCGGCCTCCCAAAGTACTAGGATTACAGGCATGAGCCACTGTTCCTGGTCAGGTCTCACAATTCTTATGGAGAAGTGAGTCAACCAGTTGTGATATTTATTCAGTGTCTATTGTGATTAGATAATGTAAAAAAGAAATTAGAGATAAAGCAAAAGGGAAGTATCTCTGAATTTGAGAATCTGAATGAGAAGAGAATCATTGAAGTATTCACACATACAACAGATATAGTAACATAAGTATACAGTGGGCATATTTTTACACATTACTGATGTATCACCTACATATCATAAAATTTACACATTTTTAAGTGTAAAATGTAATGCCTTTTAGAAAACTTACAAAGTTGTACGATCACACTACAATCCAATTGTAATATATTTTTATCACTCCAAACAGTTCAGTTAATCCACATTCCCGCTCCCAGTCTTAGTCAATTAACAATTTGGTTTCTGTCTCTATAGATTTACCTCTTCTGAGCATATCATATGAAAGAAAACATAATATGAAGCTTTAGGAGCCTGTTTTCTTTCATGTAGAATACTATTTTTGTGGGTCATTATAGTTTGTATCAACTTGTCTTTATATTACTGAATAATACTCCAGTGTGTGGTTATATTACATTTTGTTCATTTACTAGTTGACAAATACTTGGACTATTTCCACCTTTTTGTGAATAAGGCTGCTATGAGCATTTATATACAAGTCTTTTAGTGGACATATGTTTTTATTTTTCTTGGGTTGATTCCTAGTCATGGACTTGCTATGTTGTTTGGTATATTTATGTATAACTTTTTAAAATATTTTCCAAAATGTCTCTGTCATTTTATATTTCTACTAGTATATATGAGGAGTCCATTTCTTCTATATCCTTACTGTGCTATTATTAGATGACTTTTTATTATTATAACCATTCTAATTGTAGATTTAATTTGCATTTTATTAGTGAATAATGATGTTGAGTGTTATTTAATGTGCTTACTAGATATTTGCATGACTTGGTGAAAAGTCTATTAAAGGCTGGGCATGGTGGTTCATGCCTGTAATTTTAGCACTTTGAGAGGCCATGGTAGGCAGATTGCTTGAGCCCAGAAGTTCGAGAACAACCTGAGCAACATATCTAAACTCTGCCTGCAAAAAATACAAAAATTAGCTGAGTGTGGTGGGCACATACCTGTAGTCCCAGCTACTAGGGAGGCTCAGCTATGAAGATTGTTTTAACCCAGGGGGTTGAGGCTGCAGTGAGCCATGAGCATGCCATTGCACTCCAGCCTGGGCAACAGAGCAAGACCCTGTCTAAGAAAAGAAAAAAAGGCTATTAAAGTTATTTAATCATTTTTAATTAATTTGTTTGTCTTAATAATGAGTAGTGGAAGATTTCGTATATTTTGAATACATTATAATATGTTAACATATGTTAATACATGTTTTAAAATTATCTCTCCCAGTCTAAGCCTTATTTTTCATTTTCTTAATGGTTTCTTTTGAAGTGCAACTTTTAAAATTATTTTGAAGCTCAACTTTTAAAATTATTTTGAAGCCAAATTTACCAAGATTTTTTTTTATGGATTGTGTTTTTAGTTTCGTATCTACTAATTATTTGTCAACTAAAGGTAATAAAGATTTTCTCCTATATTTTATTCTGAAAGTTTTATAATTTGGGCTTTTACATTTCAGGTTATTTTGAATTTAGTGTGAAGTAAGGATCTAAAGTCATCTTTTTGCATGCCTGTGTCCAGTTATGCTAGCACCATTTGTTGAAAAGAGTGTCCTTTCTCCTATTAAATGGTCTTGGCTTCTTTCTTAGAAAATCAATTGACTGTAAATGTAAGAGTTTATTTCTGGTGCTCTCAATTCTGCTCCATTGATCTATGTCTATCCTTACACTAGTACCATGATGTTTAATTATTATAGTTTTTAAGTAAATTTGAAATGGGAAAGTTTAGATCCACAAGCTTTGCTTTTTTCAAAATTACTTTGGCTATTCTGGGTCCTTTGCATTTCCATATAAATTTTAAGATCGGCTTGGCAATTTATGTCCCCACCAACACACACAAAACAGCCTGCTGAGATGTTTATTATGATTACACTGAATCTATAAATCAATCAGGGAAGCTTTACCATGTTAACAACATTGTCTTCCAATTAATAAGTCTGGAATTTTTCTCCATTTATTTAGATCCTATTTTATAGTTTATTAGCAATATTTTATAGTTTGCAGTACACAAGTGTTGTGCTTTATTCATTAAATTTATTTCTATTTTGTTCAATTGGTCCTTTTTCTTCAACATTGATTTTAATTTTGGGAGCACACGTGCAGGATGTACAGGTTTGTTACATAAGTAAACGTGTGCCATGCTGGTTTGCTGCACAGATCAACCCATCATGTACTTATTTAGCCCAGCATCCGTTAGCTAATCTTCCTGAGTCTCTCTCTCCCCCTACCCTCTAAGAGGCCCCACTGTGTGTTGTTTCCCACAATGCGTCGTCCTTCAGCTCCTCCTTATAAGTGAGAACATGTGGTGTTTTGTTTTCTGTTTCTGCATTCATTTGCTGGGTATCACGACTTCCAGCTCCAACCGTGTTTCTACAAAGGACATGATCTTGTTCCTTCTTATGGCTGCATAGTATTCCCTTGTGTATATGTACCACACTTTCTTTATGCAGTCTATCAATAATGAGCATTCGAGTTGATTCTGTGTCTTTGCTATTGTGG
This sequence comes from Homo sapiens, assembly GCF_000001405.40. Taxonomy (NCBI): domain Eukaryota; kingdom Metazoa; phylum Chordata; class Mammalia; order Primates; family Hominidae; genus Homo; species Homo sapiens. The sequence goes on from NC_000005.10 coordinate 45,899,730, forward strand.
ATAGTGCTGCAATAAAGTACGTGTGCATGTATCTTTATAACAGAATGATTTATTTTCCTTTGGGTATATACCCAGTAATGGGATTACTGAGTCAAATGGTATTTCTGCCTCTTAAGTCTTTGAGGAATCACCACACTGCCTTCCACAATAGTTGAACTAATTTATACTCCCACCAACAGTGTAAAAGCATTCCTTTCCCTCTGTGTGAACATCCATTGTTTCTTGACTTTTTAATGATCACCAGTCTGACTGGCATGAGATGATATGTCATTGTGATTTTGATTTGCATTCCTCTAATAATCAGTGATGTTGAGATTTTATATATATATACATATATATATACATATATATATATATATATATATATATATATATATATATCCATCATCCATCCATTCCCTAACTAGTCCCTTAGAATGGAAAGAGCATATTTACTTGAGGGAATCCTTTTGGTATCCTGTGACCATATAAATTCCTTTTTAGAAGGATATTTCAAATGGAAAGAGTGAGTCTGTCTTTCTTGCTATTACAAGAGCTATAATCCTTTAGTGGACAGAAAACAAAAATTAAATTATACAATTGATCACCCACCTGGGCAAAGCCAGTACCTGAAATAGGCATGAAACTGAGCCCTGATGAGGTGGATAGACAGAGGGATTAGGACGGAAAACTGGCAACAATGGAAGTAGCAGAGCAGAACATACCATGGCTTGTAAGGATCAAAACAATGTTGTGGTGACTGAGACGTGTATTGTTATTTGCCTAGAATTCACTATGTAAGGAAATCACATGAGAGCTTGAGAACAAATGCTATCCCTATCCCTTTATTAAAGCCTGTGACTGCCCGATTATGTGGTCTGAATCCTAGGGAAAAACAGAAAGTCAAGATTTCTAATGCCATCTCTTCTGAGGTCATGTGAAACCCACACTTCCTCCTTCTGGGCAATTTCTGAGATAGTACAAGTCATTGCTTCAGGGAAAGACTTTCCAACACAAATTTCTTAATTTCTTAAAAACTTCCATTACCAACCAGAATTTGAAAGTCAAAAATTACATTTTATTAAATTTTAAAAATTGTGTGTATGTGAAATTCTCTCTACTTTCTTCATTGAGAAAAGACTTGGTTAGAATTGTCTTATTTTCCAAAGGTGAATCATATATGAGGTCAAGGAAAATAAATACATAGTTTTTCCAAAGATCACTTACTAAATTGAAAAATAAACCAAATATTATGTAAAAGACACTGAATGGAAACAACTTTTAAAACAAACAAAAATTATAACCACAAACACCATCTGAAGGAATAATAGTACCCAGGAAATTTTTAGTACAGTAAAGTCTAGAAAACTATTTAGGTGATTCTCTTTTAATGTAAAAGGCAAAGCTCTTCCCTCATTCATTGTTTAAAAACAGAGGAAAAAGACCTAAAAAAATGCATAATATTCTCAATTAGAAAGTTACTGGTATTCAGGAGTTATTTACTGGAAATGTGAGACACATCTGTGAGAGACCCAGAAAGGAGAGAAAAAAATGATATACAGAGAGAAGAGTTCTCACCACCAAGGTGTCATCAGAGAAGCACTGCTATTAGAATTCCTCATGATAAGGAAATACTTACTGCAATTCTAAGATGAATGACATCTGATATCAAATATGAAGTTGCTTTCTTATGTATGATACAATTACCCTCTGCTTCCCCCAAATATTCAGTAAACATTTGTAAATTTTTGCCACAAACAACATTGTGGTAAAGTGGAAAATTAAGAAATACGTACATCACACTATAAAGTGTCACACTGAAAAGGAATATTAATTTAGGTATCAGCTATAAAGGCATTTATAATTAATAATAATAATATAAGCACTCCTGGAAATCTGTGGAAATAGTGGAGACGGGATTAGGGTCACATTTTGTGAGATGAGATGAAACCATATTGCTCATTTATTAACATAAAGGATGTCCTCAGATGACTGAATGGTTTGGAGGCATCTCTGTTATATTATTCAAGCACAGAAAACAAACAAATGTTTCATTCTTGGGTCTTCAAAACAGGAATATCTTCTTTCTCCCTCTCTAGGCTCTTTGAGGCCCTTCTATTCCATGAAAAATTTGACTGCTTTTATCGGTTCCATGTTCCTTTTTATTTGAAACCTAATTTTTCACTAATTATTGCATTTAGGAAATAATTTTGATGCTTGATGATTTTTTAGCTATCCCCAAACTTTTTAGAATCAGATGGACTAATAAACTATAAATATAAGGTAAATGCTGAGAATAAGGGAAAATGAAGTTAATACCATCAGCTATTATTAATTAATATTTCAGCATTCTGGATTTTTTAACTAGCTTTCTTTCCTAGAATAACAACTAGCTGAAGCAATGCCCGTCAAAAAGGCAAACATTTCATTGGTCATAAAAAAGTGTAAAAGAAAGAGAAAGAAGAAAAGAGCAATAAAACAGGAATTGGAAGTGGATGGGTAACAAGCATACTGTACCTTTATATACTCAATTTTTCTAAATTCCATTCATTTTTTTTCCTGTTTATTTCTTAACTTGGTCAGAATAAGTGCTGCTTATCAAATAGTTTTGGCAAGTTTAAAGTGGTAAAAATAAACCACACTAATATGACCCCATATTTTCAATTCCAGCATTAAATTGCTTAGATGACTTTCAGTCTTTAAAATGTCCTTACAGAAGCCCTTTTCAACTCAGTACACTGAAGTATGAATGTGAAAGTTTATTATTTTAAAAATTTACATTAAATGTTTTGACAGCATCATACAAAAATGACAGTCATAAAGCCCATTCTATTGCCTGTGAAATTGTAAAAATCCTCATGGTTGATTGACTACTACAGAAGACTAGGGGATGGTGTACACTTTACACATAATGGATTTCTGAAGGGAATAAAAAGTTAAAAGTACAATGTCTTGAGAGATAATACTCTTCTTAAGGTTTCCTGTGGTCCATATTTGCAAAAATGTTGGTACTTAATAATAACAGTCATTTGGAGCTTAAAGTCGACATATGGAACATAGAATTCTACTTGATGAGCAAAGCACATACTGTTCCATTGTATTATAATTGTGGCATTAATGAAATATGAAGGAATTATTCTAACTCTGAGTGCATTTATTAACTCAAAGTTCACTCTTAATATCAAAGCATAAACTTCAATTTTCAAAGGCCTATGCTTTTGTTATATTAAATTTAGTAAGGGAAAAATGTTTTCCAGCTATTCACAAGTAAATAACTTACTAGTTCCAAAACAGACAATGACTTATTTCCATTTTTTTCTGCCAAGTGATAAAATTATTTCACCGGTTGACTTCTAATATTTATTTTCTAGGTAAATGAGATCATTGTTCATAGAATAGTAGAGACAGTCAATGAAAGAAACAGTGTCAACAAGCCAAACACAAAACGATAACAAAACCAGTAGTTGGGCAAAGCCTAAATAAATTGAAAACAAGCAAGGAATAATCAAGATTTAAAGTTTCATTTAATTTTTGTGGATATGTGTGTTAATTGAAGTTTTTAACAAATATCTATACCTGTAAATATCATGGATCATTTTATTTTTAATGTTTCTTTTTTACTATTTCTGGTTTCTAAATTTTCAAAAAAAAAACCTGTATTGATTTTGTAACCAGAAAAAAAATGTTATTTAAAATAAAAATAATCTCATCCATTAACAATACAATGAAGACATTTGTTTTGCAGAAAATTCTGCATTACTTTGGAAAAGTGCACTAATCTATTCTAGAGTCCTTTTTACTTTTAAACATAAAAAATGAAATATTAATCATTGGCTTTTGGCCACCTTTAAAAGAGAGAACTTAGGCAGAAGGAATGACTAGCTCACCCTACCCCACCCACAAAAAATAACACACAGCTATATGTTAGGGCAAGTTAAGCAAATGAGAGGAGAAAGACAGATGGTGATTGATGCTGTGCTTAGTACATAGATTTGAACACTAGTTGAAGCCAAGTTTCCTTTGAAAGAGGCATCCTTTCCAAAATATCACTGGTTTAGGTATTTGTTATATTTTCCATTTATAAAGTGGCCCATTTAATACATTGTAGTTTATATTGTGTATTAAATAAACAATATTTTATTTATGAAATAGTGTATAAGTTTAGGAAAGAAGTATTTTACGTTGGCATAGATATATAAATTTGTCCTTGATGAAGCTATTAAAGATATTTCATGAAATGTCAATAATAATAATAATAATGAAGAAGAAGAAGAAGAAGAAGAAGAGGAAGAAGAAGAGGAAGAAAAAGAAGAAGAAGAAGAAAAAGAAGAAGAAGAAGAAGAAGAAGAAGAAGAAGAGGAAGAAGAAGAAGAAATTTCCCTCTGGAAAAGGAAGAAAATCCAGATGCTATATGTTATTTATTTATTTGTTTATTTGAGACAGAGTCTTTCTTACTCTGTGACCCAGGCTGGAGTGCAAGTGGCATTATCTCAGCTCACTGAGATAATGAGCCTTCACTTCCTAGCTCAAGCGTTCCTTCTACTTCAGCCTCCAGACTAGCTGGGAATACTGGCACATGCCACTGCACCTGGCTTATTTTTTTGTACTTTTTTGGAGACGGTTTCATCTTGTTGCCCAGGCTGGTCTCAGACTTCTGAGCTTAAACAATTCACCTGATTTGGCCCCCAAAATCTTAGGATTACGAGTGTGAGCCATGATGCCTAGCCTGTTTATTAAATATTTAGTTTTGGTTTGGGTAGATAAATGGAGTAGATAATTTTTTTTTTTCTAAATGATATACCAAGAGATTTTTTATGAAAAAAAGTCAAAGTGAGGCACTTTGGTTTTTCTTGTTGTTGTTTTGTTTTTCAATTTTTTTTAGAGGCACAGTCTCACTCTGTCACCTGGGCTGCAGTGCAGTGGTGGGATCTCGGCTCACTACAACCTCCACTTCCCAGGTTCAAGTGATTCTCCTGCTTCAGCCTCCCAAGTAGCTGAGAATAGAGATGCATGCCACTAGACTGGGCTACTTTTTTTTTTTTTTGAGAAGGAATTTCACTCTTGTTGCCCAGGCTGGAGTGCTATGTCGTGATCTCAGTTCACTGCAACCTCTAGCTCTCAGGTTCAAGCAATTCTTCTTCCTCAGCCTCATGGGAGCTGGGATTACAGGCGCCTGCCACCACACATGGCTAATTTTGTATTTTTTTTAGTAGAGACGGGGTTTTGCCATGTTGGTCAGGCTGGTCTTGAACTCTTGACATCAGGTGATTCACCCAACTCAGCCTCCAAAAGTGCAGGGATTACAGGCGTGAGCCACTGCATGCAGCCTAGGGACTTTGCTTTTAAATTACATTTACTTTTCCCTATGTAATGCTACCTCAGACACCAAGAGGGTTTTGGGCAAGCTGTGGCCTCAATATCTGATTAATAAGACAGGAAATCTGATATAAGAAAATGATATAAGAGGCCAATAACTTTAAAAAATTCTAAAGGGATAACATCAGTAAAAATCATGCCTCCAAAAACAATCTTCTCCATAAAAGCAATGAAAACACAGGCAAAAATAGAAAGAATCAGCTTTTTCAGAACTCTGTATATTGACCAAAGAATTGCAGCAATGTGGGGAGAATGTATTCAGGAAAAACACAGAAAGTTGGTAAGAGAGTAAGTTTTGTCATGTGTTAACTTGCCCTATTCCTATCTCACATTCACCAGCTCCACAGTAGCCTTGTTATACAACATCCCATAGTCATGATGAAAACCAACAGGCTGGCAGCTAGTGGAGAGGAAAGAATGAGGTTGGAAACACTTTAGAACCCTTTGTGAAAAGAATTGTCACTATTTGATCTGTCTGGTAGTTTCCTGGAAGACCTAATACGCAAAACTCTTTGTTTGACCTGACTCAGAGCTTGCCCAATGCAAACAGCCTTTTCCTGAGGTGCAACTGCAAACAACCACGTGCAATTACTGAACAAATCTGCTGAATGAGTAGTAAATAACAACTGGAGCAAGCAACAGGCTTAAAAAGGAAATGTTTAAAAGGAAAAGCTAGGTAATAAAATGCCATAGGGAGATTTGAAAAACTCTGACATATTTCTCAGAATCTGGAAGTTTGAGGCAGTGTTGTAAAACTGCCTAAAGGAGTGTTGAAGGCATGCCCCAATATGCACAGGGGAGAGAATGGAACTAAGCAGGAACAAAGATTTTGTATTCAGTTGAAATTCTATTGTTACTAATCAGGAAAAAAATTGTTTTAAGTTAAAAAGTAAATTGCAATCCTCATGGCAATAGGAAAGAAAATAACTCAAAAAAAGCTCAGTAAAAGAAATGACAAGATAATTTAAGTGATACAGAAAAAAATATCTATTTAACACACAAAAAGACAGCAGTGGCATACTGGAATTATAATATATACAGAAAATTAACAACAAAATGGCAAAATCTTACCTAATTACTAATCACCTTTAATGTAAATATATTAGACTTTCCATTTAAAAGGTAATGTGACAGAAAGTTAAAAAAAGATCCAACTGTATACTGTCTATAAGAGATACAATTTATATTAAAAGACAAAAATAGGTTAAAAATAAGGTGATGGATAAATATACACCATGCAAAGAGTAGCCAAAAGAAAGCTGGAGTGATTATACTAATATCAGAGAAAATAGACTTCCAGACAAAATTTGTTACAAGAGAAAAAGAAAGATATTTTATGATGATAAAAAGGTCCATCCTTTTAGAAGATACTACAATTATATATTTATGGTCAATTGATTTTGACAAGTGTGTCCTGATAATTCCATGGAAAAAGAATAGCCTTTTCAACAGATTGTTCTGGGACAACTGGATATCTACATACAAAACAAGATTGGATTCCCCAGCCTCACACCATATACACAATTAAACTCAAAATAAATCAAAGGCTTAAAAGTAAAAAGTAAAATTCTAGAATTCATAATAAAAAACATACATGTAAATCTTTGTTGCCTTGGACTAGGCAATGGTTTCTTAGATATGGCAACAAATGCACAAGCAACACAAGAAAAAAAGATAAGTTAAACTTAATCAAAATTTAAAATGTCATGCTTCAAAGGACATTATCAAGAAAATGAAAATACAGCTCAAATCAGAAGAAATATTTGAAAGTCATCTATCTTATAAGGGTCTAGCATCCAAAATATATAAAAAATGATCACAACTCAACAATAAAAAGTACATGTTATAAATAAGCAAAGGACTTTCATAGATATTTCTCCAAAGAAAATAGAGAAATGGCTGACAAACATATGAAATAATGTTTATTTGTCATTGGTGTCGATGAAAAGAGTCAAACTCTGTAAAATATTTGAAAACATTTACTTTAAGCCAAATATGAGTGACCATGGTCTGTGATACAGCCCTCAAGAGGTCCTGAGAACATGTGCCTAAAGTGGTTGGGGTACAGCTTGGTTTTATATATTTTAGGTAGGCATAAGACATCAATCAAATACATTTAAGAAATACATTGGTTTCGTTCAGAAAGCTGGGACAACTCAAAGCCAGAGACTTCCAGGCTATAGGTAAACATTTTCTGGTTGACAATTGGTTGAGTTTATCTAAAGACCTGGGGTCAAAGGAAATGTTCAGGTTAAGATAAAGGATTGTGGAGACCAAGTTTTATTGTGCAGAGGAAGCTCTCAGATAGCAGACTTCAGAGAGAGCAGGTTGTAAATTTTTTTTTGTCAGACTTAAAAGAGTGCCTGGCTCTTAGATGATTATCTCCTGGATCTGGGAAGGAAGGATGGAAAACAAAGGGAAAAAGGGATTCTCCATAGAGTGTGGATTTTTCCCATAAGAGACTTTGCAGGACAATTTCAAGGTATGGCAAGGAAATAAATTTTGGGGTTAAATATTTTTTCCTTGTCTCACAATGTTATGCCAGAGTCAGATTAAAAACTAAGTCACAATATATAGGATCAAATAAAATCCATCTGATGAGAATTTATGGTTTGTAGGCATGACTTCCTAGACCCCTTAGGTAACAATTTGGGAAAGATAAGAAATCAGAGCTTCGTCCTCTTTGGAAATGCAAATCAAAACCTCAGAGAGCTATGACTTTACACCAACTAGAATGACTATACTAAAATAGACAAGCAACAACAATTGGCTAGGATGTGGAGAACTTAGAAGATTACTCAGAATAATCAAAAAATGGAAACAATGCAACTATCCATCAACTGATAAATGGATAAACTTACAATGGGCTACTATTTACCTATATAAGGAATGAAATATTGATTAATGGTATAATATGCATAAACCTGTAAAATATTAGCTAAGTGAAAAAACCAGACCCTAAAAGCCATATATTATATCATTCCATGTATAGAGAGTGCCCAGAATAGGCAAATCCAGAAATAGAAAGTGGATCAAAAGTTGCCAAAGGTTGAGTGTAAGAGGAAATGCAGAGTGACTGCTAAAATCAACAGGAGATTTTTTGGGGAAGGACACCAAAAATGTAGTAAATTAGATATTAATAATGGTCACACAACTTTGTGAATATACCAAATGCCACTGAATTTCATGGTATTTGACTTATATTTTGTTTTCTAAAATGGCTCTAAAATACTCTGTTTTAGCAACTAGACAACATCCCTTACTATAACCTCCTAATTGTCACTGATGGATTATATATCCATCATTGAGTTGTGGGTTAAGCACCATTGCAGTTAATTTTAAAGATAAAGAAAAAGACACTGAGAAAAGTTAAGAAACTTATGGTTATGCCATGGAGGAGAAGGATTTTAAGGTCTGCTGTTTGTGATTCCAAGTTTATCCTCTAAACTTACACATAATGCTACCTCATATGATAACGCAGAACAATTCAGTTTTTTTAGCGTGACTTAATTCAGCTCACAGAGTTAAAATTTTCTTTAGTTTCAGCAATTTAGAAACACTGTTTTTGTCCATTCTGTGAATGGACATTTGGGAGCTCATTGAGGCCAACTGCAAAAAAGCAAATATCCCAAGATAAAAACTAGAAGGAAGCTATCTGGGAAACTGTATTGTGAAGTAAGCATTCATCTCACAGAGTTAAAACTTTCTTTTCACTCAGCAGTTTGGAAATACTGTTTTTGTAGAATCTGCGAAGGGATATTTTGGAGCACATTGAGGCCTGTGGTGAAAAAGAAAATATCTTCAGATAAAAACTAGAAATAAGCTTTCTGAGAAACTGCTTTGTGAGGTTTGCATTAATCTCAAAGATTTGAACCTTTCTTTTGATTCAGCTATTTGGAAACACTGTTTTTGTCCGTTCTGCGAATGGATGTTTGGGAGCTCATTGAGGCCAATAGCGAAAAAATGAATATCTCAGGATAAAAACTAGAAGGAAGCTATCTGGGAAATGGTTTTGTGATGTGTGCATTCATCTCACAAAGTTAAATCTTTCCTTTCTTTCAGCAGTTTGGAAACACTGTATCTGTAGAAACTGTGAAGGGATATTTTGGAGCACATTGAGGCCTATGGTGAAAAAGAAAATATCTTCAGATAAAAACTGGAAAGAAGCTTTCTGAGAAACGGCTCTGTGGTGTGTGCATTCACCTCACAGAGTTAAACGTTTCTTTTTATTCAGTAGTTTGGAAACACTGTTTTGGTCTCTTCCATGAATGGACTTTTGGGAGCTCATTGAGGTCAATGGTGAAAAACCAGATATTCCAGGATAAAAACTAGAAGGAAGCTATCTGAGAAACCGCTTTGTGATGTGTGCATTCATCTCACAGCATTAAACCTTTCTTTTCATTCAGAAGTTTGGAAACACTTTGCAGAATCTGCAGAGGGATATTTGGCAGCTCATTGAGGCCTATGGTGTAAAAGAAAAATATCTTCAGAAAAAAACTAGTAACAAGCTTTGTGAGAAACTGCTTTGTGATGTCTGCATTCATCTCACATAGGTAAAACTTTCTTTGTATTCAGCAGTTTGGAAACACTGTTTTTGTCCACTCTGTGAATGGTCATTTGGGAGCTCATTGTGGACAACGGTGAAAAAGCAAATATCCAGGGATAATAACTAGAAGGAAGCTATCTGAGAAAACATTTTGTGAAGTGTGCATTCATCTCACAGAATTAAACCTTTCTTTTGATTCGGCAGTTTGTAAACACTGTTTTTGTACATTCTGCGAATGGACATTTGGGAGTGCATTGAGGCCTATGGTGAAAAAGAAAACATCTTCTGATCAAAATTAGAAGTTTTCTGAGAAACTGCTTTTTGATGTGTGCATTCACCTCTCATAGTTAAATTTTTCTTTCATTCAGCACTTTGAATACATTGTTTTTGTAGGATCTGTGGAGGGATACTTGTGAGCACATAGAGTCCAATAGTGAAAAAGAAAATATCTTCAGATAAAACTAGAAATAAGCTTTCTGAGAAACTATTTGTGTTATGTGCATTAATCTCACAAAGGTAAACCCCTTTCTTGGCATTCAGCAGTTTGGAAACACTGTTTTTGTAGAATCTTTGAAGAGATATTTGGGAGCACGTTGAGGCCTATGTTGAATTAAAAAAACCTTCAGAAAAAAATAGAAAGAGGGTTTCAGAGAAACTGCTTTGTGATGTGTGCATTCTTCTCACAGAGTTAAACCTCTCTTTACTTTCAGCAGTTTGGAAACACAGATTTTGTCCATTCTGCCAATGGACATTTGGGAGCTCACTGAGGCCAATGGTGAAAAAGTGTATCTTCCAGGATAAAAACTAGAAGGAAACTATCTGAGAAACCACTTTTTGATGTGCGTATTCATCTCACAAAGTTAAACCTTACTTTTCCTTCAGCAGTTTGTAAACACTGTTTTTTTAGAATATGTGAATGGATATATGGGAGTGCATTGAGGCTTATGGTGAAAAAGAAAATATCTTCTGATAAAAATTAGAAAAAGGCTATCTGAGTAACAGCTTTGTGATGTGTACATTCGTCTCACAGAGTTAAACCTTTGTTTAACTTTTGTTTTTATCCTGGGATATTCACTTTTTTGCCATTGGCCTCATTGAGCTCCCAAATGTCCATTCACAGAATGGACAAAAACAGGGTTTCCAAACTGCTCAATCAAAAGAAAGCTTAACTCTGTGAGACTAATGTACCCATCACAAAGCAGTTTTTCAGAAAGGTTATTTCTAGTTTTTATCTGAGGATATTTTCTTTTTTGCCATAGGCCTCAATGTGCTCCCAAATATCCCTTCGCAGATTCTAAAAAACAGTGCTTCCAAACTGCTGAATGAAGGGAAAGATTTAACTCTGTGAGATGAATGCACATATCACAAAGCAGTTTCTCAGATCACTTTCTTCAAGTTGTTATCCTGGGATCTTTCTTTTTTGCCATTGGCCTCAATAACCTCCCAAATGTCCATTCACAGAATGGGCAAAAACGGTGTTTCCAAACTGCTGAATCAAAAGAAACATTTCACTCTTTGAGATGAAAGCACACATCACAAAGCAGTTTCTCAGAAAGCTTATTTCTAGTTTTTATCTGAAGATATTTTCTTTTTCACCTTAGGCTTCAATGCGCTCCCAAATATCTTTTCAAAGAGTCTACAAAAACAGTGTTTCCACACTGCTGAATGAAGTGAAAAGTTTCCCTAAGTGAGATGAATGCACACATCAAAAAGCAGTTTCTCAGAAAACTTCTTTCTAGTTTTTATCTGAAGATATTTTCTTTTTCAACATAGGCCTCAAGCACTCCCAAATAGCCCCACACAGATTCAACAAAAACAGTGCTTCCAAACTGCTGAATGAAAAGAAAGGTTTAACTATGTAGGTTGAATGCACACATCACAAAGCAGTTTCTGAGATAGCTTCCTTCTAGTTTTTATCCTGTGACAGTTGCTTTTTTACCATTGTCCTCAGTGAGCTCTCGAATGTCCATTCACAGAATGCAGAATGCACAAAAACCATGTTTCCAGACGGCTAAATCAAAAGAAACGTTTGACTATGTGAGATGAATGCACATATCACAAGGCAGCTTCTCAGAAAGCATCTTTCTTGTTTTTATCTGAAGATATATTCTTTTTCACCATAGGCCTCGCTGTACTCCCAAATATCCTTTTGCAGATTCTACAAAAACAGTGTTTCCAAACTGCTGAATGAAAAGGAAGGTTTAACTCTGTGAGATTAATGGACACATCATGAAGAGGTTTCTCAGATAGCTTCTTTCTATTTTTTATCCTGGGATATTCTCTTTTTCACCACTGGCCTCAAAGAGCTCCCAAATGTCCATTTACGGAATGCACAAAAATGGTGTTTCTAACCTGCTGAATCAAAAGAAAGGTTTAATTTTGTGAGATGAATGCATACATCACAAAGCAGTTTCTCAGAAAGCTTCTTTCTACTTTTTATCTGAAGATAATTTCTTTTTCACCGTAGGACTCAATGTGGTCCCAAATATCTCTGTGCAGATTCCACCAAAACAGCATTTCCAAACTGCTGCATGAAAAGAAACTTTTAACTCTGTGAAATGAATGCACAGCACACAAAGCCGTTTCTCAGGTAGCTTCCTTCCAGTTTTTTTCCTGGGATATTCGTTGTTTCACCATTGGCCTCAATGAGCTCACAAATGACCATTCACAAAATGGACAAAAACAGTGTTTGCAAACTCCTCAATCAAAAAGTGGTTTAACTCTGTGAGATGAATGCACACATCACAAAGCGGTTTCTCAGAAAGCTTATTTCTACTTTTTATGTGAGGATATTTTTTTTTCACTGTAGGCATCAATACTTTCCCAAATATCCCTTCAGAGATTCTACAAAAACAATGTGTCCAAACTGCTGAATGAAAAGAAAGGTTTAACTCTGCCAAATGAATGCACAGATCATGAAGCAGTTTCTCAGAGAGCTTCATTCTAGCTTTGATACTTGGATATTCACTTTTTCACCATTCACCTCAATGAGCTTCACAATGTCTATTTGCTGAATGTTCAAAAACAGCATTTCCTAACTTCTCAAATGAAAGTTTTATTTCTGTGATATGAATGCACACATCACAAAGCAGTTTCTCAGAAACCTTTCTAGTTTTGATCTGAAGATATTTTCTTTTTAACCATAGGTCTCAATGTGTTCCCAAATATTCCTTGGCAGATTCTACAAAAACAGTGTTTCCACACTGCTGAATGAAAAGAAAGGTTTAACTCTGCGAGATGAATGCATAAAGAAAGTTTTAACTCTGTGAGATAAATACACACATCACAAAGTGGTTTCTCAGACAGCTTCATTCTAGTTTTTATTCTGGGATATTCACTTTTTCACCACTGGCCTCAATGATTTCCCACATGTCCATTTACAGAATAGACAAAAACTGTGTAATGAAACTGTTGAACCAAACAGAAAGATTTAACTCTGTGATATGAATGCACACGTCACAAAGCAGTTTCTCAGAAAGCTTCTTTCTAGTTTTTATCTGAAGATATTTGATTTTTCACCACAGGCCTCAGTGCACTCCCAAATATCCCAGTGTAGATTGTACAAAACTAGTGTTTCCAAATGGCAGAATGAAAAGAAAGTTTTAACTCTGAGTAATGAATGCACATATCACTAAGTGGTTTCTCAGATATCTTCCTTCTAGTTTTTATCCTGGGATATTCCCTTTTTTGCCATTGGCCTCAATGAGTTCCCGAATGTCCATTCCCAGAATGGACAAAAACAATGTTTCCAAACTGCTCAATCAAAGGAATGGTTTAACACTGTGAGATGAATGCACACATTATGAAGCAGTTTCACAGAAAGTTTCTTTAGTTTATATCTGAAGATATTTCCTTTTTCACCATAGGACTCAATGTGCTACCAAAAATCCCTTAGCAGATTCTACAAAAACAATGTTTCAAAACGGCTGAATGAAAAGAAAGGTTTAACTCTGCATGATGAATGCTCCATCACAAAGCAGTTTCTCAGATACATTCCTTCTAGTTTTTATCCTGAGATATTCACTTTTTCACACTTGTCCTTAATGAGCTCCCAAATGTCAATTCACAAAATGGACAAAAACCATGTTTCCAAACTTCTGAATTGAAAGAAAAGTTTAAGTCTGTGAGATGAATGCACACATCACAAAGCAGTTCCTAGAAATCTTCTTTCAAGTTTTTATCTGAAAATATTTTCTTTTTCACCATAGGTCTCAATGTGCTCCAAAATATCCCTTCACAGATTCTACAAAACCAGTGTTACCAAACTGCTGAATGAAAAGAAAGTTTTAACTCTGAGAGATGAATGCACACATAACAAAATGATTGCATAGATGGCTTGCTTGTAGTTTTTATCCTGGGATATTCACTTTTTTGCCATTTGCCTCAAAGAAGCCCAAAATGTCCATTCCCAGAATAGACAAAAACTGAGTTCCCTAACTGCTGAATCAAAAGAAAGTTTTAACTCTGTGAGACGAATGCACACATCCAAAGCAGTTTCTCACAAAGCTTCTTTGTAGTTTTTATCTGAACATATTTTGTTTTTCACCATAGGCCTCGATGTGCTAACAAATATCCCTTTGCATATTGTACCAAAACAGTGTTTCCTAACTGTCGTATGAAAAGAAAAGTTTAACTCTGTGAGATGAATGCACACATCACAACACGGTTTCTTATATAGCTTCCTTCTAGTATTTGTCCTGGGATATTCGCTTTTTCACCATTGGCCTCAATGAGCTCCGAAATGTCCATTTGCAGAATACACAAAAACAGTGTTTCCAAACTGCACAGTGAAAAGAATGCTTTAACTCTTTAAGATGAATGCTCACATCACAAAGCAGTTTTTCAGAAAGCTTCCTTCTAGTTTTTATCTGAAGATATTTTCTTTTAAACCATAGGCCTCAATGCACTCCCAAATATCCCATCACAGATTCTGCAAAAAAATGTGTTTATGTGAAGTTTTTTTCTTTTTCACCACAGGCCTCAATGTGTTCACAAATATCCTTTCCCAGATTCTACAAAAAGAGTGTTTCCAAACTGCTGAATGAAAAGAAAGATTTAACTCTGTGAGAAGAATGCACATATCACAAAGTGGTTTCCCAGAGAGATTCGTTCTAGCTTTTTTCCTTGAATATTCACTTTTTTGCCATTGGCCTCAATGAGTTCCCAAATGTCCATTCGCAGAATGGACAAAAACAGTGTTTCCAAACTGCTCAATCAAAGAATGGTTTTATCTGGGGAAACCAAGGACATTATTCTTCCACCCCCCTCAATAGAGTGACAATATTTTCCATGGCTACATGGACCCTTCCCTGTTTTAACAGGTCTACATCTAAAGTTCCTTTTTCAGGAAACCAAGGACCGTATTTTTCTACTGCAATGAATAGAGTGACCATATTTTCCATGGGCACACGAACCTTTCTCTGTTTTAACAAGAGTTTAATATAGTAGATATAAGTATAATGTTTATACTCTGTGTGACCCATAGGTAACCCAGACCATACACAGACTACTCACCAGTTGTCAGGGAGTTGAACAAGCATTTCTGTGGACTGAACTGATGATGTTTCTCCACACACACTAAAGGGAATCGGGTTCCCTCATGCACTTGGGAAAAAGAGAAAACCACATTGGTGCACCAGATATTGGGGGAACCAGCCCCTGATATTTCAAAGTAAGTTCTTTTCTCTTTTCCCTACATGTTGGCCAGTCTGAGAAATACAGGAAAAGAATACAAAAGAGAAATTTTTAAATCTGGTTTTCTGGGGCAGATATCACATGTCGCCCTGTTCAGTGATGCCCCCTGAGCCATAAAACCAGCAAGTTTTATTAGCAATTTTCAAAGAGGAGGGAGGGTATGAATAGGATATGGGTCACACAGAGATCACATGCTTCAAGGGCAACAAAATATCACAAGGCAAATGATCTGGGCAAGGTCAAAAGGCCAGGACAAATCTAGAATTACTAATGAGGTTCCCGTTCCTGCTGTACGGGCATTGTCATTGATAAACATTAGGAAACAGGGTTTGAGAGCAGACAACTGATCTGACTAAAACTTACTAGGCAGGAATTTCCTAATCCAAATAAGCCAGTTGGTGCTGCAGGAGACTAAGGTGTGTCTCATCCCTATTTACAACTGCATAAGGCAGACACTACCAGAGCGGCCATTTTAGAGGGTGCTCCCAGGAATGCATTCTTTTCCCAGGTCTGTTAATTATTAACATTCCTTACTGGGGAAATAATTCAGCAACATTTCTCTTACCAGTTTTTGGCAATAAGAGAAATATGGCTCTATGCTGCATGGCTCCCAGGCAGTCAAACCTATTGGTTATCTCCCTTGTTCCCTGAACATTGCTGTTATCCTGTTCTTTTTTCAAGGTGCCCAGATTTCATATTGTTCTAACACACATGCTTTATGAAAAATTTGTGCAGTTAACACAATCATCACAAGGTCCTGAGGCAACATACATCCTCAGTTTACAAACATGACATGATTAAGAGATTAAAGTAAAGACAGGTATATGAAATTATAAGAGCATTGATTGGGAAAATGATAAATGTTCATGAAATCTTCACAATTTATGTTCAGAGATTGCAGTAAAGACAGGCATAAGAAATTATAAAAGTATAAATTTGGAGGACTAACAAATGTCCACAAAATCTTCACAATTTATGTTCTTCTGTCATGGCTTCAACCAGTCCCTCCTTTTGGGGTGCCTGACTTCCTGCAACAGGTTTAACTCTATGAGATGAATGCACACATCACAAAGCAGTTTCTCAGAAAGACCCTTTCTAGTTTTTATCTGAAGATATTTTCTTCTGCACCATAGGTCTCAATGTGCACCAGAATATCCCTTTGCAGATTCTACAAAAACAGTGCTTCCAAGAGGCTGAATGAAAAGAAAGGTTTAACTCTGTGAGATGAATGCACATATCACAAAGCAGTTTCTCAGAAATTTTCCTTATAGTTTTTATCCTGATATATTCACTTTTTCACCACTGGCCTCAAAGAGCTCCCAAATGTCCATTCTGTGAATGGACACAAAGAATATTTCCAAACTGCTCAGTCAAAAGAAAGTTTTAACTCTGTGAGATGAATGCACATATCACAATGCAGTTTCTCAGAGCAGTTCCTTCTAGATTTATCCCGACATATTCACTTTTTCACCATTGGCCTCAATGAGCTCCAAAATGTCCATTCACAGAGTGGACAAAAACAGTGTTTCCAAACTGCTCAATCAAAAGAACGGTTTAACTCTGTGAGATGAATGCACACATCACAAAGCAGTTTTGCAGAAAGTTGCTTTCTAGTTTTTATCTTAAGATATTTTGTTTTTCACCAGAGGCCTCAAAGCACTCCCAAATATCCCTTCACAGAATGTAAAAAAACAGTGCTTCCAAACTGCTGAATGAAAAGCATGGTTTTTACTCTGCAAGATGTCCACGCCCATCAGAAAGCAGTTTCTCAGACAGCTTCTTTCTACATTTATCCTGAGATATTCACTTTTTTGCCATAGGCCTCAATGAGCTCCGAAATGTCCATTCACAGAATAGACAAAAACTGTGTTCCCAAACTGCTGAATGAAAAGAAAGTTTTCCCTTTGTGAGATGAATGCACACATCTCAAAGCAGTTTCTCAGAAAGCTTCTTTCTAGATTTTATCTGAAGATATTTCCTTTTTCAAAATAGGTCCCAATGCACTGCCAAATATCCCTTAACAGATTCTACAAAAACAGTGTTTCCAAACTGCTGAATGAAAATAATGGTTTAACTCTGTGAGATGAATGCACACATCAAAAAGCAGTTTCTCAGAGAGCTTCCTTCTAGTTTTTATCCTGGGATGTTCACTTTTTGGCAATAGTCTCCAGTGAGCTCCCAAATGTCCATTCGCAGACAGGACAGAAATAGTGTTTCCAATTTGCTGAATCCAAAGAAAGGTTTAACTCTGTGAGATGAATGCTCACATCACCAAGCAGTTTCTCATTAAGCTTCTTCCTGGTTTTTATCTGAAGATATTTCCTTGTTCAGCATAGGCCTCAATGCACTACCAAATATCTTTTCACAGATTCTAAGAAAACAGTGTTTCCAAACTGTGGAATGAAAAGAAAGGTTTAACACTTTGAGATGAATGCACACATCACAAAGTGGTTTGTCAGATAGCTTCTTCCTAGTTTTTATCCTGGGATATTCCTTTTTTTGACATTGGCCTCAATGAGCTCCCAAATGTCCATTTGCAGAATGGACAAAAACAGTGTTCCCAAATTGCTGATTGAAAATAAAGGTTTAACTCCATGAGGCATATGAACACATCAGAAAGCAGTTTCTCAGAATGCTTCTTTCTAGTTTTTATCTGAAGATATTTCCTTTTTCACCTTAGGCCTCAATGCACTGCCAAATATCCCTTAACAGATTTCTACACAAACAGTGTTTCCAAACTGATGAATGAAAAGGAAGGTTTAACTCTGGAGATGAATGCACACATCATAAACTGATTTCTTAGATAATGTGCTTCTAGTTTTTATCCTGGGTTATTCACTTTTTCACAATTGGCCTCAATAAGCTCCCAAATGTCCATTTGCAGAATGGACAAAAAGAGTTTTTCCAAACTGCTGAATCCAAAGAAATGTTCAACTCTGCAAGATGAATGAATACACCATGAAGCAGTTTCTCAGAAACCTTTCTAGTTTTAATCTGAAGATATTTCCTTTTTCACCATAGGCCTCAATGTGCTGCCAAATATCCATTTCCAGATTCTACAATAACAGTGTTTCCAAAGTGCTGAATGAAAAGAAAAGTTTAACTGTGTGAGATGAATGCACACATCACAAAGCAGTTTCTCAGAAAGCTTCTTTCTAGTTTGTATCTGAAGATATTTCCTTTTTCACCATAGGCCTCAATGCGCTCCAAAATATCTTTTTGCAGATTCCACAGAAACAGTGCTTCAAAACTGCTGAATGAAAGGAAAGGTTTAACTCTGCAAGACGAAAGCACACATCACAAAGTGGTTTCTTAGATAGTTTCCTTCTAGTGTATACACTGGGATATTTGCTTTTTTGCCAAGGGCCTCAATGAGCTCACCAATGTCCATTCAAAGAATTTTTAAAAAACAGTGTTTCCAAACTGTTCAGTCAAAAGAAATTTTTAACTCTGTGAGATGAATGCATACACCACAAAGCAGTTTCTCAGAAAGATTCCTAATAATTTTTATCTGAAAATATTTCCTTTTTCACCATAGGCCTCAATGTGCTCCAAAATAACCCTTCATAGATTCTACCAAAATAGTGTCTCTAAACTGCTGAATGAACAGTAAGGTTTAGCTCTGCAAGATGAATCCACACAACACAAAGCAGTTTCTCAGATAGCTTCCTTCTAGTTTTTATCCTGGGATATATGCTTTTTCACCATTGGCCTCAATGAACCCCCAAATATCCATTAGCAGAGTGCACAAAAACATTGTTTCCAAATTACTGAATCAAAAGAGAGGATTAACTCTGTGATATGAATGCACACATCAGAAAGCAGTTTCTCAGAAAGCTTCTTTTTAGTTTTTATCTGAAGACATTTACTTTTTCATCATAGTCCTCAATGTGCTCCAAAATATTCATTCACAAATTGTACAAAAACATTGTTTCCGAACTGTTGAATGAAAAGAATGGTTGAACCCTGTGAGATGAGTGCACACCTCAAAAACCAGCTTCTCAGATAAATCCTTCTAGTTTTTATCCTGGTATATTCACTTTTTCTCTATTGGCTTCAATGAGCTCCCAAATTTCCATTCTCAGAATTTTCAAAAATAGTGTTTCCAAACTGCTCAGTCAAAAGAAAGTTTGAACTCTGTGAGATGAATGCAAATATCACAAGGCAGTTTCTCCAAAAGCTTCTTTCTAGGCTTTATCTGAAGATTTTTTCCTTTTCCCTGCAGGCCTCAATGTGCTCCCAAATATCCCTTCACAGATTCTACAAAAACAGTGTTTCCAAACTGCTGAATAAAAAGATAGGTGTAACTCTGTGAGATGAATGCACACATCACAACGCAGTTTCTCAGGTAGCTTCATTCTTGTTTTTATCCTGGGATATTCGTTTTTTTGCCATTGGCCTCAGTGAGCTCCCAAATGACCATTGGCAGACTAGATAAAAACTGTGTTCCCAAACAGCTGAATAAATAAAAGGTTTAACTCTGTGAGATGAATGCAAACATTACAAAGCAGCTTCTCAGAAAGTTTCTTTCTAGTTTATATCTGAAGATATCTTACTTTTCACCATAGGCCTAAATGCAATCCCAAATATCCCTTCACAGTTTCTACAAAAACAGGGATTCCAAACTGCTGAATCAAAAAAAAGGTTTAACTCTGTGAGATGAATTCACACATAACAAAGCAGTTTCTTAGAAAGCTTCTTTATATGGTTTATCTGAAGATATTTTCTTTTTCACCATAGGCCTCTATGCACTCCAAAATATCCCCTTGCAGATTCTACAAAAACAGCGTTTCCAAGCAGCTGAATGAAAACAAAGGTTTAACTCTGCAAGATGAATGCACACATCACAATGTGGATTCTCTAATAGCTTCATTCTAGTTTTATCCTGGGATATTTTTGCTTTTGTGCCATTGGCCTCAATGAGCTACCAAATTACCATTCCCAGAATGAACAAAAACAGTGTTTCCAAACTGCTAAATCAAAATAAAGGCTTAAATCTGTGAGATGAATGTACACATCACAAGGCAGTTTCTCAGAAACATTCTTTCTAGTTTTTATCTGCACATATTTTCTTTTTCACCATACACTTCAATGCCCTCCCAAATATCTGTTTGAGGTTCTACAACAAGAGTGTTCCCAAACTGCTCAATCAAAAGAACAGTTTACCTCTTTGAGATGAATGTACAACTCACAAAGCAGTTTCCCAGAAAGCTTCTTTCTAGTTTTTATCTGAAGATATTTTGTTTTTCACCATAGGCCTCAATCCAATCCCAAATATTGCTTCACACATTCTACAAAAAAAGCTTCCAAACTGCTAAATGAATAGAAAAGTTTAACTCTGAGATGAATGCACACATCACAAAGCAGTTTCTCAGATAGCTTCCTTCTAGTTTTTATCTTGGGATATTCACTTTTTCACCATTGGCCTCAATGAGTTCCAAAATGTCCATTCACAGAATGGACAAGAACAGTTTATCCAAACTGCTGAACCAAAAGAAAGGTTAAACTCTGTGAGATAAATGCACACATCACAAAGCTGTTTCTCAGAAAGCTTCTTTCTAGTTTTTATCTGAACATGTTTTCTTTTTCACCATAAACTTCAATGTGCTACAAATATCCCTTTGCAGATTCTAGAAAAACAGTGGTTCCAAACTGCTGAAAGAAAAGAAAGGTTTAACTCTGCGAGATGAATGCACACATCACAAAGTGGTGTCTCAGATATCTCCCTACTAGTTTTTATCCTGGGATATTGTGTTTTTCACATTAGGCCTCAAAGAGATCCACAATGACCATTTGCAGAATTTTCCAAAACAATCTTTCCAAACTGCTCAGTCAAAGGAAAGGTTTAACTCTGCGAGTTGAATGCACACTTCACAAAGCAGTTTTTCAGAAGATTCTTTCTAGTTTTTATCTGAAGTTATTTTTTTTTTCACCATAGTTCTCAATACGCTCCCGAATATCCCTTTGTAGATACTACAAAAAGAGTGTTTACAAACTGCTGAAGGAAAAGAAAGGTTTAACTCTGAGAGATGAATGGGCACATCACAAAGTGGTTTCTCAGATAACTTTCTTATGGTTTTTAACCTGGGATATTCGCTTTTTCACCATTGGCCTCAATGAGCTCCCAAATGTCCATTCCCAGAATGGACAAAAACAATGTTTCCAAACTCCTGATTCAAAAAAAACGGTTTATCTTGGTGAGATGAATGCACACATCACAAAGCATTTTCTGAGAAATCTTCTTTCAAGTTTTTATCTGAACATACTTTGTTTTTCACCATAAGCCTCTATGCACTAACAAATATCCCTTCACAGATTCTACAAAAGCAGTGTTTCCAAACTGCTGAATCAAAAGAAGAGTTTAACTCTGTGAGATGAATGCAAACATCACAAAACTTTTTCTCGGAAAGATTCTTTCCAGTTTTTATCTGTAGATATTTTCTTTTTTTTTATTATACTTTAAGTTTTAGGGTACATGTGCACAATATGCAAGTTAGTTACATATGTATACATGTGCCATGTTGGTGTGCTGCACCCAGTAACTCGTCATTTAACATTAGGTATATCACCTAATGCTATCCCTCCCCCAGATCCCCACCCCACAACAGACCCTGGTGTGTGATGTTTCCCTTCCTGTGTCCATGTGTTCTCATTGTTCAATTCCCACCTATGAGTGAGAACATGCAGCATTTGGTTTTTTGACCTTGCGATAGTTTGCTGAGAATGATGATTTCCAGCTTCATCCGTGTCCCTACAAACGACATGAACTCATTATTTTTATGGCTGCATATTATTCCATGGTGTATATGTGCCACACTTTCTTAATCCAGTCTATCATTGTTGGACATTTGGGTTGTTTCCAAGTATTTGCTATTGTGAATAGTGCCGCAATAAACATATATCTGCATGTGTCTTTATAGCAGCATGTTTTATAATCCTTTGGGTATATACCCAGTAATGGGATGGCTGGGTAAAATGGCATTTCTAGTTCTAGATCCTTGAGATATCGCCACACTGACTTACACAATGGTTGAACTAGTTTACAGTCCCACCAACAGTTTAAAATGTTCCTATTTCTCCACATCCTCTCCAGCACCTGTTGTTTCCTGCCTTTTTAATGATCACCATTCTAACTGGTGTGAGATGGTATCTCATTGTGGTTTTGATTTGCATTTCTCTGATGACCAGTGATGATGAGCATTTTTTCATGTGTCTTTTGGCTGCATAAATGTCTTCTTTTGAGAAATGCCTGTTTATATCCTTCGCCCACTTGTGGATGGGGTTCTTTGTTTTTTCTTGTAAATTTGAGTTCATTGTAGATTCTGGATATTAGTCTATTGTCAGATGTGTAGATTGCAAAAATGTTCTCCCATTCTGTAGGTGCCTCTTCACTCTGATGGTAGTTTTTTTTTGCTGTGCAGAAGCTGTTTAGTTTAATTAGATCCCATTTGTCAATTTTGGCTTTTGTTGCCATTGCTTTTAGTGTTTTAGACATGAAGTCCTTGCCCATGCCTATGTCCTGAATGGTATTGCCTAGGTTTTGTTCTAGAGTTTTTATGGTTTTAGGTCTAACATTTAAGTCTTTAATACATCTTGAATTAATTTTTGTATGAGGTGTAAGGAAGGGATCCCGTTTCAGCTTTCTACATATGGCTAGCCAGGTTGCCCAGCACCATTTATTAAACAGGGAATCACTTCCCCATTTCTTGTTTTTGTCAGGTTTGTCAAAGATTAGATAGTTGTAGATATGTGGCATTATTTCTGAGGGCTCTGTAATGTTTCGTTGGTCTATATGTCTGTTTTGGTATCAGTACCATGCTGTTTTGGTTACTGTAGCCTTCTAGTATAGTTTGAAGCCAGGCAGCGTGATGCCTCCAGCTTTGTTCTTTTGGCTTAAGATTGACTTGGCAATGGGGGCTCTTTTTTGGTTCCTTATGAACTTCAAAGTGTTTTTTTCCAACTCTGTGAAGAAAGTCATTGGTAGCTTGATGGAGATGGCATTGAATCTAGAAATTACCTTGGGCAGTATGACCATTTTCACGATATTGATTCTTCTTACCCATGAGCATGGAGTGTTCTTCCATTTGTTTGTATCCTCTTTTATTTCACTGAGCAGTGGTTTGTAGTTCTCCTTGAAGAGGTCCTTCATGTCCCTTGTGAGTTGGATTCCTAGGTATTTTATTCTCTTTGAAGCAATTGAAAATGGGAGTTCACTCATGATTTGGCTCTCTGTTTGTCTGTTATTGGTGTATAAGATTGCTTGTGATTTTTGCACATTGATTTGTATCCTGAGACTTCGCTGAAGTTGCTTATCAGCTTAAGGAGATTTTGGGCTGAGAGGATGGGGTTTTCTAGATACTCAATCATGTCACCTGCAAATAGGAACAATTTGACTCCCTCTTTTCCTAATTGAATGCCCTTTATTTCCTTCTCCTCCCTGATTGCCCTGGCCAGAACTTCCAACACTATGTTAAATGGGAGTGATGAGAGGGGGCATCCCTGTCTTGTGCCACTTTTCAAAGGGAATGCTTCCAGTTTTTACCCATTCAGTATGATATTGGCTGTGGGTTTGTCATAGATAGCTCTTATTATTTTGAGATACGTCCCATCAATACCTAATTTACTGAGAGTTTTTAGCATGAAGGGTTGTTGAATTTTGTCAAAGGCCTTTTCTGCATCTGTTGAGATGATCATGTGGTTTTTGTCTTTGGCTCTGTTTCTATGCTGGATTACATTTATTGATTTGCATACATTGAACCAGCCTTGCATCCCAGGGATGAAGCCCACTTGATCATGGTGGATAAGGTTTTTGATGTGTTGCTGGATTTGGTTTGCCAGCATTTTATTGAGGATTTTTGCATCGATGTTCATCAAGGATATTGGTCTAAAATTCTCTTTTTTTGTTGTGTCTCTGCCAGACTTTGGTATCAGGATGATGCTGGTCTCATAAAATGAGTTAGGGAGGATTCCCTCTTTTTCTGTTGATTGGAATAGTTTCAGAAGGAATGGTGCCACCTCCTCCTTGTACGTCTGGTAGCATTCGGCTGTGAATCCATTTGGTCCTGGACTTTTTTTGGTTGGTACGCCATTAATTATTGCCTCAATTTCAGAGCCTGTTATTGGTCTATTAAAGATCCAACTTCTGCCTGTTTTAGTGTTGGGAGGGTGTATGTATCGAGGAATTTATCCATTTCTTCTAGATTTTCTAGTTTATTTGCATAGAGGTGTTTATAGTATTCTCTGATGGTAGTGTGTATTTCTGTGGGATCATTGGTGATATCCCCTTTATTTTTTATTGTATCTATTTGATTCTTCTCTCTTTTCTTCTTTATTAGTCTTGCTAGTGGTCTATCAATTTTGTTGATCTTTTCAAAAACCAGCTCCTGGATTGATTGATTTTTTTGAAGGGATTTTAGTGTCTCTATTTCCTTCAGTTCTGCTCTGATCTTAGTGATTTCTTGCCTTCTGCTAGTTTTTGAATGTGTTTGCCCTTGCTTCTCTAGTTCTTTTAATTGTGATGTTAGGGTGTCAATTTTAGATCTTTCCTGCTTTCTCTTGTGGGCATTTAGTGCTATAAATTTCTCTCCACACACTGCTTTGAATGTGTACCAGAGATTCTGGTATGTTCTGTCTTTGTTCTTGTTGGTTTCAAAGAACATCTTTATTTCTGTCTTCATTTTCTTATGTACCCAGTAGTCATTCAGGAGCAGGTTGTTCAGTTTCCATGTATTTGAGGGGTTCTGAGTGAGTTTCTTAATCCTGAGTTCTAGTTTGATTGCACTGTGGCCTGAGCAGAGTTTTTTATAATTTGTATTCTTTTACATTGGCTAAGGAATGCTTTATTTCCAACTGCGTAGTCAATTTTGAAATAGGTGTGGTGTGGTGCTGAAAAGAATGTATACTCTGTTGATTTGGTGTGGAGAGTTCTGTAGATGTCTATTAGGTCTGCTTGGTGCAGAGCTGAGTTCAATTCCTGGATATCCTTCTTAAATTTCTGTCTCATTGATCTGTCTAATGTTGACAGTGGGGTTTTAAAAATCTTCCATTGTTATTGTGTGGGAGACTAAGTATCTTTGTAGTTCTCTAAGGACTTGCTTTATAAATCTGGATGCTCCTGTATTGGGTACATATATATTTAGGATAGTTAGTTCTTCTTGTTGAATTGATCCCTTTACCATTATGTAATGGCCTTCTTTGTCTCTTTTGATCTTTGTTGGTTTCAAGTCTGTTTTATCAGAAACTAGGATTGCAATCCTTGCTTTTTTGTTTTCCATTTGCTTGGTAGATCTTCCTCCATCAATTCATTTTGAGACTATGTGTGTCTCTGCACATGAGGTGGGTTTCCTGAATACAACACACTGATGGGTCTTGACTCTTTATCCAATTTGCCAGTCTGTGTCTTTTAATTGGAGCATTTAGCCCATTTACATTTAAGGTTAATATTGTTATGTGTGAATTTGATCCTGTCATTATGATGTTAGCTGGTTATTTTGCTCATGAGTTGATACAGTTTCTTCCTAGCATTGATGGTCTTTACAATTTGGTATGTTTTTGCAGTGGCTGGTACCGGCTGTTCCTTTTCATGTTTAATGCTTCCTTCAGGAGCTCATGTAGGGCAGGCCTGGTGGTGACATATTCTCTCAGCCTTTGCTTGTCTGTAAAGTATTTTATTTCTCCTTCACTTATGAAGCTTAGTTTGGCTGAATATGAAATTCAGGGTTGAAAATTCTTTTCTTTAAGAATGTTGAATATTGGCCCCCAGTCTCTTCTGGTTTGTGGAGTTTCTGCCAAGAGATCCACTGATAGTCTGATGGCCTTCCCTTTGTGGGTAACCCGACCTTTCTCTCTGGCTCCCCTGAACATTTTTTCTTCATTTTAACTTTGGTGAATCTGACAATTATGTGTCTTTGGGTTCGTCTTCTTGAGGAGTATCTTTGTGACATTCTCTGTATTTCCTGAATTTGAATGTTGACCTGCTTTGCAAGGTTGGGGAAGTTATTGGATAATATCCTGCAGAGTGTTTTCTAACTTGTTTCCGTTCTCCCCATCGCTTTCAGGTACACCAATCAGACGTAGATTTGGTCT
The DNA here is from genome assembly GCF_000001405.40 of Homo sapiens. Taxonomy (NCBI): domain Eukaryota; kingdom Metazoa; phylum Chordata; class Mammalia; order Primates; family Hominidae; genus Homo; species Homo sapiens. The sequence continues at coordinate 45,926,410 of NC_000005.10, forward strand.
TTTCACATAGTCCCATATTTCTTAGAGGCTTTTCTTTTCTTTTGATTTTTTTTTCTCTAAACTTCTCTTCTCACTTCATTTCATTCATTTGATCTTCAATCACTGATACCCTTTCTTCCAGTTGATCAAATCAGCTATTGAATCTTGTGCAGTTGTCACATAGTTCTCATGCCATGGTTTTCAGCTCAATCAGTTCTTTAATGACTTCTCTGCATTGGTTATTTTAGTTGCCATTCATCTAATCTTATTTCAAGGTTTTTAAATTCTTTGTGATTTGTTTGAACTTTCCCCTTTAGCTCAGAGACGTTTGATCATCTGAAGCCTTCTTCTCTCAGGGAAATCCCTTTCATAGCCAAGCAAATCTGTGAGAGATGACACCTAGAAAATCAGATCACTCCCACCCTAATACTGTGCTTTTCTAACGGTCTTAGCAAATGGCACACCAGGAGATTATATCCTGTGTCTCACCAAGGGGTCCGGCACCCACGGATTATTGCTCTTTGCTAGCACAGTAGTCTGAAATCGAACTGCAAGGTGGCAGTGAGCCTGGGGAAGGTGTGCCCACCATTGCTGAGGCTTGAGTAGGTAAACAAAGTGACCATGAATCTCAAACTGGGTGGAGCCAACTACAGCTCAAGGAGGCCTGCCTGCCTCAGGAGACTCCACCACTGCTATGTGATGTGTACATTCGTCTCCTAGAGTTAGACCTTTCTTTGCATTCAGCAGGTTGGAATCACTGTTTTTGCAATATCTGCAAAGGGAAATTTGAGAGCGCACTCAGATCTTTCATGAAATAGGAAATATCTTCAGATAAAAAGTAAAAAGATGCTTCTTGAGAAATTGCTTTGTGATGTGTGCATTCCTCTCACAGAGTTAAAACTTTCTTTGGAGGCAGCAGTTTGGGAATACTGTTTTTGTCCATCCTGTGAATGGACATTTTGGAACTCTTGAAGGCAATAGAGAAAGAGCAAATATCCCAGGATAAAAAATAGAAGGAAGCCATCTGAGAAACTGCTTCGTGATGGATGCATTCATCTCCCAGAATTAAAACGTTGTTTTCATTCAGCAGTTTGGAATCAGTGTTTTTGCAGTATCTGAGAAGGGAAATTTGGGAGTGTATTGAGGCCTTTGATTAATAGGAAATATCTCCAGATAAAAACTAGAAAGAAACTTTCTGAGAAACTGCTTTGTGATGTGCACATTCATCTCCGAGAGTTAAAAGTTTCTTTGGATTCAGCAGTTTGGAAACAATGTTTTTGTCCATTCTGTGAATGGACATTTTGGAACTCTTTGAGGCCAATGGTGAAAAGGCAAATATCCCAGGATAAACACTAGAAGGAAGCTATCTGAGAAACTGCTTTGTGATGTGTGCATTCATCTCCGAGAGTTAAACCTTTCTTTCCATTCAGCAGTTTGGAATCACAGTGTTTTGCAGTATCTGTGAAGGGAAATTTGGGAGTGCATTGAGACCTTTACTGAAAAAGGAAATATCTTCAGATAAAAACAACAAAGAAGCTTTCTGAAAAACTGCTTTGTGATGTGTGCATGCATCTCACCAAGGTAAACTTTTCTTTGTTTTCCACAGTTTAGAAACACTGTTTTTGCCCCCTTGATGAATTGACTTATTGAGCTCACTGAAGCCTATGAGGATAAAGTGAATATCCCAGGATAAATACAATAAGGAAGCTATCTGAGAAACCACGTTGTGATGTATGCATTCATCTTGCAGAGTTAAATTTGTTTTCATTGAGCAGTTTGGAAACACTGTTTTGGAAGAATCTGTGAAGGTGTATTTGGGAACACATTGAGGCCTATGGTGAAAAAGGAAATATCCTTAGATAAAAATTAGAAAGAAGATTGCTGAGAAATTGTTTTGTGAAGTCTGCATTCATCTCACAGAGTTAAACGTTTTCTTTAGATTCAGCATTTTGGAAACAGTTCTTTTCTCCATTCTGCAAATGGACATTTGGGAGCTCATTGAGGCCAATGGTGAAAATGGGAATATCCCAGGATAAAAAATTAGAATGAAGCTATGTGAGAAATCGCTTTGTGATGTGTGCATTAATTTCACAGAGTTAAAACTTTCTTTTCATTCAGCAGTTTGGAAACACTGTTTTGGTTGAAGCTGCAAAGGGATATTTGGGAGTCCACTGAGGCATTTGATGAAACAGGAAATATCTTGAGATAAAAAGTAGAAAGAAGCTTTCTGAGAAACTGCTTTGTGATGTGTGCATTCATCTCACAGAGCTTTACATTTCTTTGGATTCCACAGTTTGGAAAAAGTATTTTGGTAGAATCTGCAAAGGGATATTGGGAGGGCATTGAAGACTACGGTGAAAAAAGGAAATATCTTCAGACAAAACTAGAAGGACGCTTTCTGAGAAATTGCTTTGTGAAGTGTGCATTTATCTCACAGAGTTAAACCTTTCTTTGGATTCAGCAGTTTGGAAACTGATTTTTCCATTCTGGGAATGGATATTTGGGAACTCATTGAGGGCAATGGCAAAAAAAGGAATATCCCAGAATAAAAACTAGAAGGAAGCTATCTGTATAATCACTTTGTGATGTATGCATTCATCTTGCAGAGTTAAACCTTTCTTTTCATTCAGCAGTTTGGAAACACTGTTTTGGCAGAAGCTGTGAAGGGATATTTGGGAGTGCTTTGAGACCTATGGTGAAAAAAGAAATGTCTTCAGATAAAAACTGGAAAGAAGCTTTTGAGAAATTGCTCTGGAAGTGTCCATTCATCTCACAGAGGTAAACCTTTCTTTGGATTCAACAGTTTGGAAACACTGTTTTGTCCATTCTGTGAATGCATATTTGTGAGCTCATTGAGGGCAGTGTCAAAAAAGAGAATATCCCAGGATAAAAACTAGAAGGAAGCTATCTGAGAAACTACTTTGTGATGTGTGCATTCATCTCACAGGGCTAAAACTTTCTTTTCATTCAACAGTTTGGAAACACTGTTTTGGTAAAATCTGTGAAAGTATATTTTGCAGCACGTTGAGTCCTATGGTGAAAAAACACATATCTTTAGATAAAAACTGGAAATAAGCCTTCTGGGAAACAGCTTTGTGATGTCTGCTTTCATCTCACGGAGTTAAAACTTTCTTTGGATTCAGCAGTTTGGAAACACTGTTTTTGTCTATTCTGCTAGAGGACATTTGAGATCTTATTCAGGCCACTGTTGAAAAAGGGAATAAACCAGGGTAAATACTAAATGGAAGCTATCTGAGAATCCGTGTTGTAATATGTGCATTCATCTCACAGACTTAAAATTTTCCTTTCATTCATTATTTGGGAAACACTGTTTTGGTTAATTCTGTGAAGAGGTATTTGGGAGCACATTGAAGCCAATGGTGAAAAACGAAATATATTCAGATAAAAACTAGTAGAAGCTTTCTGAGAAACTGCTTTGTGATAAGTACATTCATCTCACAGAATTTAACATTTCTTTGGATTCAGCAGTTTGGAAACACTGTTTTTGTCCATTTTGTGAATGGACATTTGGGAGCTCATTGAGGCCAATGGTGAAAAGGGGAATATCCCTGGATAAAAACTGGAAAGAAGCTATCTGAGAAAGTGCTTAGTGATGTGTGCATTCATCTCACAAAGTTAAACCTTTCTTTTCATTCAGCAGTTTGGAAACACTATTTTGGTAGCATCTGTGAAGGGATATTTCGGAGCACTTTGAGGCCTACTGTGAAAAAGGAAATATCTTCAGATAAAAACTAGAAGGAAGCTTTCTGAGAAACTGCTTCGTGATGTGTGTGTTCATCTACAGAGTTAAGCCATTTTTTTATTCAGCAGTTATGAAACACTGTTTTTGTCCATTCTACAAATGGACGCATTGAGTCCAATGGTGAAAAAGCAAACATCCCAGGATAATTACTAGAAGGAATCTATTTGAGAAAGTGTGTTGTGTTGTGGTCATTCATCTCACAGAGTTAAACCTTTCTTTTCCTTCTGCAGTTGGCAAACACCGTTTTGGTAGAAATTGTGAAGGGATATTTGGTGGTGCATTGAGGCCTATGGTGAAAAAGGAAATATCTTCATATAATAACTAGAAAGAAGCTTTCTTAGAAACTGCTTGGTGATGTGTGCATTAATCTCATAGAATTAAAACTTTATTTGGATTCATCTGTTTGGAAAGACTGTTTTTGTCCGCTCTGTGAATCGAAATTTAGTAACTAATTGAGGCCAATGGTGAAAAAAGTGAATATCCTAGGAAAAAAACAAGAAGGAAGCCATTTGACAAAATGCTTTGTGATGTGTGCATTCATCTTGCAGAGTTAAAACTTTCATTTCATTCAGCAGTTTGCAAACACTGTTTTAGTAGAATATGTGAAGGGATATTTCAGAGTGCATTGAGGTCTATTTTGAAAAAGGAAATATCTTCAGATAAAAACTAGAAAGAATCTGAGAAACTGCTTTGTGATGCATGCATTCATCTCACAGAGGTAAATATTCCTTCAGATTCAGCAGTTTGTAAACACTGTTTTTGTCCATTCAGTGAATGGACATTTTGGAACTCCCTGAAGCCAATAGAGGAAAGAGCAAATATCCCAGGATAAAAACTAGAAGAAAGCTATCTGAGAAACCACTCTGTTATGGGTGCATTCATCTCCTAGAGTTAAAGCATTGTTTTCTTTTTTTTTAAATTTTTTTTATTATACTTTAAGTTTAAGGGTACATGTGCACATTGTGCAGGTTAGTTACATATGTATACATGTGCCATGCTGGTGCGCTGCACCCACTAACTCGTCATCTAGCATTAGGTATATCTCCCAATGCTATCCCTCCCCCCTCCCCCCACCCCACAACAGTCCCCAGAGGGTGATATTCCCCTTCCTGTGTCCATGTGATCTCATTGTTCAGTTCCCACCTATGAATGAGAATAAGCGGTGTTTGGTTTTTTGTTCTTGTGATAGTTTACTGAGAATGATGATTTCCAATTTCATCCATGTCCCTACAAAGGACATGAACTCATCATTTTTTATGGCTGCATAGTATTCCATGGTGTATATGTGCCACATTTTCTTAATCCAGTCTATCATTGTTGGACATTTGGGTTGGTTCCAAGTCTTTGCTATTGTGAATCATGCCGCAATAAACATACGTGTGCATGTGTCTTTATAGCAGCATGATTTATAGTCCTTTGGGTATATACCCAGTAATGGGATGGCTGGGTCAAATGGTATTTCCCGGTGCAGATCCCCGAGGAATCGCCACACTGACTTCCACAATGGTTGAACTAGTTTACAGTCCCACCAACAGTGTAAAAGTGTTCCTATTTCTCCACATCCTCTCCAGCACCTGTTGTTTCCTGACTTTTTAATGATTGCCATTCTAACTGGAGTGAGATGGTATCACATTGTGGTTTTGATTTGCATTTCTCTGATGGCCAGTGATGATGAGCATTTTTTCATGTGTTTTTTGGCTGCACAAATGTCTTCTTTTGAGAAGTGTCTGCCATCACTCAGGATTAAGAATCTCACTCAAAACCGCTCAACTACATGGGAACTGAACAACCTGCTCCTGAATGACTACTGGGTACATAACGAAATGAAGGCAGAAATAAAGATATTCTTTGAAACCAACGAGAACAAAGACACAACATACCAGAATCTCTGGGACGCATTCAAAGCAGTGTATAGAGGGAAATTTATAGCACTAAATGCCCACAAGAGAAAGCAGGAAAGATCCAAAATTGACACCCTAACATCACAATTAAAAGAACTAGAAAAGCAAGAGCAAACACACTCGAAAGCTAGGAGACGGCAAGAAATAACTAAAATCAGACCAGAAATGAAGGAAATAGAGACACAAAAAACCCTTTAAAAAATTAATGAATCCAAGAGCTGGTTTTTTGAAAGGATCAACAAAATTGATAGACCGCTAGCAAGACTAATAAAGAAAAAAAGAGAGAAGAATCAAATAGACACAACAAAAAATGATAAAGGGGATATCACCACTGATCCCACAGAATACAAACTACCATCAGAGAATACTACAAACACCTCTATGCAAATAAACTAGAAAATCTAGAAGAAATGGATAAATTCCTCGACACATACATTCTCCCAAGACTAAACCAGGAAGAAGTTGAATCTCTGAATAGACCAATAACAGGAGCTGAAATTGTGGCAATAATCAATAGCTTACCAACCAAAAAGAGTCCAGGACCAGATGGTTTCACAGCCGAATTCTACCAGAGGTATAAGGAGGAGCTGGTACCATTCCTTCTGAAACTATTCCAATCAATAGAAAAAGAGGGAATCCTCCCGAACTCATTTTATGAGGCCAGCATCATCCTGATACCAAAGCCGGGCAGAGACACAACCAAAAAAGAGAATTTTAGACCAATATCCTTGATAAATATTGATGCAAAAATCCTCAATAAAATACTGGCAAACCGAATCCAGCAGCACATCAAAAAGCTTATCAACCATGATCAAGTGGGCTTCATCCCTGGGATGCAAGGCTGGTTCAATATACGCAAATCAATAAATGTAATCCAGCATATAAACAGAACCAAAGACAAAAATCACATGATTATCTCAATAGATGCAGAAAAAACCTTTGACAAAATTCAACAACCCTTCATGCTAAAAACTCTCAATAAATTAGGTATTGATGGGACGTATCTCAAAATAATAAGAGCTATCTATGACAAACCCACAGCCAATATCATACTGAATGGGCAAAAACTGGAAGCATTCCCTTTGAAAACTGGCACAAGACAGGGATGCCCTCTCTCACCACTCCTATTCAACATAGTGTTGGAAGTTCTGGCCAGGGCAATTCGGCAGGAGAAGGAAACAAAGGGTATTCAGTTAGGAAAAGAGGAAGTCAAATTGTCCCTGTTTGCAGACGACATGATTGTATATCTAGAAAACCCCATTGTCTCAGCCCACAATCTCCTTAAGCTGATAACCAACTTCAGCAAAGTCTCAGGATACAAAATCAATGTACAAAAATCACAAGCATTCTTAAAGCATTGTTTTCATTCAGCATTTTGGGATCACTTTTTTTGCAGTATCTGCAAAGGGAGATTTGGGAATGAACTCAGGCCTTCTTTGATGAAATAGGAAATATCTTCAGTTCAAAATTAGAAAGAATCTTTCTGAGAAACGGTTTTTTGATTCTGCATTTATCTCACAAGAGTTAAACCTTTCTTTGGATGCAGCAGTTTGGAAACACTGTTTTTGTCCATTCTGTAAATGGCCATTTTGGAACTCCTTGAAGCCAATATAGAAACAGCAAATATCCCAGGATAAAAAATAGAAGGAAGCTATCTGAGAAACCACTTTGTGATTGGTGCATTCATCTCCTAGAGTTAAAACATTGTTTTCATTCAGCCATTTGGAATCACTTTTTTTGCAGTATCTGTGAAAAGAAATTTTGGAGTGTATTGAGACCTTTGATTAAATAGGAAATATCTCCAGATAAAAACTAGAAAGAAGCTTTCTGAGAAACTGCTTTGTGATGTGTGCTTTCATCTCACCAGGTTAAACTCTTCTTTTCATTCTGCATTTTGAAACAATGTTCTGGTAGAATCTATGAAGGAATATTTGTGAATGCATTGAGTCCTATGGTGAAAAAGGAAATATCTTCAGATAAAAAATAGAAAGATGCTTTCTGAGTAACTGCTTTGTGAAGTGTGCATTCATCACACAGAGTTAAACGTTTCTTGGGATTCAGCAGTTTGGAAACACTGTTTTTGTGCATTCTGCAAATGGACATTTGGGAGCTCATTGAGGCCAATGGCAAAAAAGGGAATATCCCAGGATAAAATATAGAAGAAAGCTATCTGAGAAAAAGGTTTGTGATGTGTGCATTCATCTTCTAGATGTAAACCCTTCTTTTCACTCAGCAATTTGGAATCACTGTTTTTGCAGTATCTTTGAAGGGAAATTGGGGAGTGTATTGAGTCCTTTGATGAAACAGGAAATATCATCATATGCAAACTAGAAAGAAGCTTTCTGAGAGACTGCTTTATGATGTGTGCACTAATATCATAGAGTTAACTGTTCCTTTGGATCCAGCAGTTTTGAAACACTGTTTTTGTCCATTCTGCAAATGGATATTTGAGAGCTCATTGACGTCAATGGCAAAAAGGCAAATATCCTGGGGTAAATACTAGAAGGAATCTTTCTGATAAAGAGTGCTGTGATGTATGCATTCATCTCACAGAGTTAAACATTTCTTTTCATTCAGCATTTTTGAAACACTTTTTAGGTGGAATCTGTGAAGGGATATTTGGGAGTGCATGGAAGCCTATGGCGAAAGACAAAATATCTTCAGAGAAAAACTAGAAAGATGCTTTCTGAGAAAGTGCTTTGTGATGTGGGCATTCAACTCACAGACTTAAACTTTTCTTTTGATTCAGCAGTTTGGAAACACTGTTTTTGTCCACTTTGCAATTGAAAATTTTGGAACTCACTGAGTCCAAAGTCAAAAAAGTGAATATCCCAGGATAAAAACTTGAAGGAACCTATCTGACAAACCGCTTTGTGATATGTGGATTCGCCTCCTAGAGTTAAAATATTCTTTTCATAGCAGTTTGGAATCAATGTTTTTGCAATATCTGAGAAGTGATATTTGGGAGCGCATAGAGGCCTTTTATGAAATAGGAAATATTTTCAGACAAAAACTAGAAAGATGATTTTTAGAAACTGCTTTGTGATGTGTACATTCATCTCACAGGTTTAAACGTTTTTTGAATGCAGCATTTTGGAAACACTGTTGTTGTCCATTCTGTGAATGGACATTTTGGAACTCCTTGAAGCCAATAGAGAAAGAGCAAATATCCCAAGATAAAAACGAAAAGAAGCTATCTTAGAAACCTCCTTGTGATGGTTGCATTCCTCTTTTAGAGTTAAAACGTTTTCATTCGGCATTTTGGAATCAGTTTTTGTGTATCAGTGAAGGGAAATTTGAGATTGTATTGAGGTCTTTGATTAAATAGGAAATATCTCCAGATAAAAACTAGAAAGAAGCTTTCTGAAAAACTGCTTTGGGATGTGTGCATTCATCTTGCAGGATTAAATTCTTCTTTTCATTCAGCAGTTTGGAAACAATGTTTTGGTAGAATCTGCGAAGGAATATTTTTGATCTCATTGAGGCCTATGTTGAAAAAGGAAATATCTTCAGAAAAAAGGTAGAAAGAAGATTTCTGAGACTCTCCTTTGTGATGAGTGCATTCTTCTCACAGAATTAAACATTTCTTGGGATTCAGCAGTTTGGAAACACTTTTTTTTTTTTTTTGTATTCTGTGAATGGACTTTTGGGAGCTCATTGAGGCCAATTTTGAAAAATGGAATATCCCAGGATAAAAACTACAAGAAAGCTGTCTGAGAAACCACTTTGTGATGTGTACATTCATCTCCTAGAATTAAACCCTTCTTTTCATTCAGCAGTTTGGAATCACTGTTTTCGCCATACTTGTGATGAGAATTTCAGGAGCACATTGAGTCCTTTGATGAAATAGGAAATTTCTTCAAATGAAAATGACAAAAAAACTTTCTGAGAAACTGCTGTGTGATGAGTGCACTCATCTCACAGAGGTAAATGTTAGTTTGGATTCAGCAGTTTGGAAACACTGTTTTTTTCCATTCTACCAATGGACATTTTGACTTCATTGAGGCCAATGATGAAAAAGCGAACATCCCAGGATAAATACTACAAGAAAGCTACCTGAGAAACCACTTTGTGTTGTGAGCATTCATCTCTCACAGCTGAACTTTTCATTAAGCAGTTTGGAAACACTATTTTGGTAGAATCAGTGAAGGCCTATTTGGGAGTGCTTTGAGGCCTATGGTGAAAAAGGAAATATCTTCTGATAAAAATTAGAAAGAAGCTTACTGAGAAACCGTGTTGTGATGTGTGCATTCATCTCACAGAGGTAAACATTTCCTTTCATTCAGCAGTTTAGAACCACTGTTTTGGTGGAACTGTGAAGGGATATTTGGGAGTGCATGGAGGCCTGTGGTGAAAAAGGATATATCTTCAGATGAAATTAGAAAGAAGATTTCTGAGAAACTTCCTTGTGATGTGTGCATTCATATCACAGAGTTAAACTTTTCTTTGGATTCAGCAATTTGGAAGCACTGTTTTTGTCCATTCTGTGAATGCACATTTGGGAACTCACTGAGGCCAATGGTGAAAAAGTGAATATCGCAGGACAAAACCAAGAAGGAAGCTACCTGAAAAACCACTTTGCGATGTTTACATTCACCTCCTAGAGTTAAAAATTTCTTTTCCTTCAGCAGTTTGGAATCACCATTTTTGCAGTATCTGCGAATGGAAATTTGGGAGCACTTGGAGGCCTTTAATGAAAAGAGAAATATCTTCAGATAAAAACTAGAAATAAGCTTTCTCCTAAACTCCTTTGTGATGTGTGCATTCATCTCACCGATTTAAAACTTTCTGTGGATTCAACAGTTTGTAAAAACTGTTTTTGTACATTTTGTGAATGGACATTTGAGAGCTCATTGCGGTTAATGGTGAAATAGTGAATATGCCAGGATAAAAATTAGAAGTAAGCTATCTGAGAAACCACTTTGTGATGTTTGCATTCATCTCCAAAAGTTACACGTTTCTTTCATTCAGCAGTTTGGAATCACTCTTTTTACAGTATCTGCAAATGGAAATTTGGGAGCACACTCAGGCCTTTGATATAACAGTAAATATCTTCAGATAAAAACTAGAAAGAAGCATTTGTCAAACTGCTTTGTGATGTGTGCATTCATCTCACAGAATTATCCTTTCCTTGGATGCAGCAGTTGGGAAACACTGTTTTTGTCCATTCTGCAAATGGACATTTGGGAGCTCCTTGAGGCCAATGGTGAAAAAGCAAATAGTACAGGATGAAAACTAGAAGGAAGCTATCAGAGAAATGGCTTTGTGAAGTGTACATTAGTCTCCTTCAGTTAAAGCTTTTTTTTCATTCAGTAGTTTGGAACACTGTGTTGGTAGACTCTCTGAAGGGATATTTGGGAGTGCATTGAGGCCTAAGGTGACAAAGGAAATATCTCAGAAAAAAATAGAAAGAAGGTGTTTGCAAAATTGCTTTGTGATGTTGGCATTCATCTCTGAGGGTTAAATTTTCTTTTCATTTATCAGTTTGGAAATACTGTTTTGGTAGAATCTGCAAAGGGATATTTGGGAACGAAAAGTGGCCTATGTTGAAAAAGAAAATATCCTGAACGGTAATGCCTAGGTTTTCTTCTAGGGTTTTTATGGTTTTAGGTCTAACGTTTAAGTCTTTAATCCATCTTGAATTGATTTTTGTATAAGGCGTAAGGAAGGGATCCAGTTTCAGCTTTCTACATATGGCTAGGCAGTTTTCCCAGCACCATTTATTAAATAGGGAATCTTTTCCCCATTGCTTGTTTTTCTCAGGTTTGTCAAAGATCAGATGTTGTAGATATGTGGCGTTATTTCTGAGGGCTCTGTTTTGTTCCATTGATCTATATCTCTGTTTTGGTACCAGGACCATGCTGTTTTGGTTACTGTAGCCTTGTAGTACAGTTTGAAGTCAGGTAGTGTGATGCCTCCAGCTTTGTTCTTTTGGCTTAGGATTGAGTTGGTGATGAGGGCTCCTTTTTGGTTCCATATGAACTTTAAAGTAGTTTTTTCCAATTCTGTGAAGAAAGTCATTGGTAGCTTGATGGGGATGGCATTGAATCTGTAAATTACCTTGGGCAGTATGGCCATTTTCATGATATTGATTCTTCCTACCCATGAGCATGGAATGTTCTTCCATTTGTTTGTATCCTCTTATTTCATTGAGCCGTGGTTTGTAGTTCTCCTTGAAGAGGTCCTTCACATCCCTTGTAAGCTGGATTCCCAGGTATTTTATTCTTGGTGAAGCAATTGTGAATGGGAGTTCACTCATTATTTGGATCTCTGTTTGTCTGTTGTTGGTGTATAAGAATGCTTGTGATTTTTGTACATTGATTTTGTATCCTGAGAGTTTGCTGAAGTTGCTTATCAGCTTAAGGAGATTTTGGGCTGAGACAATGGGGTTTTCTAGATATACAATCATGTCATCTGCAAACAGGGACAATATGACTTCTTCTTTTCCTAACTGAATACCTTTTATTTCCTTCTCCTGCCTAATTGCCCTGGCCAGAACTTCCACACTATGTTGAATAGGAGCGGTGAGAGAGGGCATCCCTGTCTTGTGCCAGTTTTCAAAGGGACAAAAGCCAAAATTGACAAATGGGATCTAATTAAACTAAAAAGCTTCTGCACAGCAAAAGAAACCACCATCAGAGCGAACAGGCAACCTAAAAAGCGGGAGAAAATTTTCACAAACTACTCATCTGACAAAGGGCTAATATCCAGAATCTACAATGAACTCAAACAAATTTACAAGAAAAAAACAAACAACCCCATCAAAAAGTGGGCGAAGGACATGAACAGACACTTCTCAAAAGAAGACATTTATGCAGCCAAAATACACATGAAAAAACGCTCATCATCATTGGCCATCACAGAAATGCAAATCAAAAGCACAATGAGATAGCATCTCACATCAGTTAGAATGGCAATCATTAAAAAGTCAGGAAGCAACAGGTGCTGGAGAGGATGTGGAGAAATAGGAACAGTTTTACACTGTTGGTGGGACTGTAAACTAGTTCAACCATTGTGGAAGTCAGTGTGGCGATTCCTCAGGGACCTAGAACTAGAAATACCATTTGACCCAGCCATCCCATTACTTGGTATATACCCAAAGGATTATAAATCATGCTGCTATAAAGACACATGCACACGTATGTTTTCATGGAATCTATGAAGAAATATATTGGAGCACATTGAGACCTATGGTGAAAAAGGAAATATGTTCAGATAAAAACTAGAAGGATACTTTCTGAGAAACAGCTTTTTGATATGTGCATTCACCTCACAGAATTAAATGATTCTTTGGATTCAGCAGGTTGGGAACACTGTTGTCCATTCTGTGAATGGACTTTGGGAGCTCTTTTAGGCCAATGGTAAAAAAGTGAATATCCCAGGATAAAAACTACAAGGAAGCTATCTGAGAAACTGCTTTGAGATGTGTGCATTCATCAGGCAGAGCTAAACTTTTCTTTTCATTTAGCAGTTTGGAAACACTGTTTTTGTAGAATCTATGAAGGTATGTTTGGGATTGCGTTGAGTCCTATGATGAAAAATGAAATATCTTCAGAAAAAAAACTGGAAAGAATATGCAGTGTTTGTTTTTTTGTTCTTGCGATAGTTTACTGAGAATGATGGTTTCCAATTTCATCCATGTCCCTACAAAGGACATGAACTCATCATTTTTTATGGCTGCATAGTATTCCATGGTGTATATGTGCCACATTTTCTTAATCCAGTCTATCATTGTTGGACATTTGGGTTGGTTCCAAGTCTTTGCTATTGTGAATAATGCTGCAATAAACATATGTGTGCATGTGTCTTTATAGCAGCATGATTTATAGTCATTTGGGTATATACCCTATATACCCAGTAATGGGATGGCTGGGTCAAATGGTATTTCCCAGTGCAGATCCCCGAGGAATTGCCACACTGACTTCCACAATGGTTGAACTAGTTTACAGTCCCACCAACAGTGTAAAGGTGTTCCTATTTCTCCACATCCTCTCCAGTACCTGTTGTTTCCTGACTTTTTAATGATTGCCTATCGCAAGAACAAAAAACCAAACACCGCATATTCTCACCCATAGGTGGGAATTGAACAATGAGATCACATGGACACAGGAAGGGGAATATCACACTCTGGGGACTGTGGTGGGGTGGGGGGAGGGGGGAGGGATAGCATTTGGAGATATACCTAATGCTAGATGACGAGTTAGTGGGTGCAGCGCACCAGCATGGCACATGTATACATATGTAACTAACCTGCACAATGTGCACATGTACCCTAAAACTTAAAGTATAATAAAAAAAAAAAAACTAGAAAGAAGCTTTCTGAGAAACTACTTTGTGATGTGTGTATTTATCTCAAAGAGTTAAACTTTCTTTGGATTCAGCAGTTTGGAAACACTGTTTTTGTTGAGGATATTTTGGAACTTATTGAGGCCAATGCTGAAAAAGTGAATATCCTAGGAAAAAACTGGAAGGAAGGTATCTGAGAAAGCACTTTTTGATATGTGGATTCACATCACTGAGATAAACCATTGTTGTCATTCAGCAGTTTGGAATCATTGCTTTTGCAGTATCTTCATAGGGAAATTCGGGAGTCTGTTGAGGCCTTTGATTAATTACAAATATTTTCAGATAACAACTAGACCGAAAATTTCTGAGAAACTGCTTTTTGAAGGGTGTATTCATCTCACAGAGATAAGCTTTTCTTTGGATTCAGCAGTTTGGAAACACTCTTTTTGTCTATTCTGCGAATAGACATTTGGGAATTCATTGAGGCCATTGGTGAAATAGCAAATATCCCAGGTTAATAACTAGAAGTAAGCTACCTGAGAAATTGCTTTGTGATGTGTGAGTTCACCTCACAGGGTAAATCCTTTCTTTTAATTCAGCAGTTTGGAAACACTGTTTTGGTAGAAACTGCAAAGGGATATTTGGGAGCACAATTAGGCCTAGGGTGAAAAATGAAAAAACTTCAGATAAAAACTAGAAAGATTATTTCTGAGAAACTCCTTTTTGATTTGTAAATTCATCTCACAGAGTTAAGACTTTCTTTGGATTCAGCAGTTTTTAAACACTGGTTTTGTCCATTCTGTGAATGGACATTTGGGAACTCATTGAGGCCAATGGTGAAAAAGGGAATATCCCAGGATAAAAACTAGAAGGAAGCTATCTGAGAAACTGCTTTGTGGCCTGTGCATTCATCTCCTAGAGTTAAAACTTTCTTTTCATTCAGCTATTTGGAAACACTGGTTTGGTGGAAACTGTGAAGGTATATTTTGGAGCATATTGAGGCCTATGGTTGAAAAAGTAATTATCCTCAGATAAAAAACAGAAATAAATTTTCTGAGAAACTATTTTGTGATATGTGCTTTCATCTGAGAGAGATAAACATTTCTTTGGTTTCAGTAGTTTGGAAACAATGTTTTTGTCTATCCTGCAAGTGGACTTTTGGGAACTCATTGAGTCCAAGGGCAAAAAAGAGAATATCCCTGGATAAAAACTAGAAGAAAGCTATCTGAGAAACCCCTTTATTATCTGGGCATTCATCTCATGGATTTTAACCTTTCTTTCCATTCAGCAGTTTGGAAACACTCTTTTTGTAGAATCTTTGAAGGGATATTTTGGAGCACATTGAAGTCTATGGTGAAAAAGGAAATATCTTCAGATAAAAACTAGAAAGATGCTTTCTGAGAAACTGCTTTGTGGTGTCTGCATTCATCTGACAGATCTAAAACTTTCTTTGGATTCAGCAGTTTGGAAACAATGTTTTTGCTAATTCTGCAAATGTACATTTGGGAGCTCATTGAGGCCAATGGTGTAAATGCGAATATCCCAGGATAAAAAATAGAGGAAAGCTATCTGAGAAACTGCTTTTTGATGTGTGCATTCATCTCGTGAAGTTTAAACTTTCTTTTCATTCAAAAGTTTGGAAACACTCTTTTGGTAGAATCTGTGAAGGGATATTTGGGAGCTCATTGAGGCCTTTCTTTAAAAAGGAAATATCTTCTGATAAAAAATATAAAGAAGCTTTCTGATAAACTTCTTTGTGGTGTGTGCATTCATTTCACAGAGTTTAACCTTTCTTTGGATTCAGCATTTTGGAATAACTGTTTTTGTCCATTTCGCGAATGGACTGTTTGTTGGGATCTCTTTGAGGCCAATTGTGAAAAAGCGAATATCCCAGGATAAAAACTTGAAGGAAGTAACCTGATACACCACCTTGTGATGTGTGCATTCATCTCAGATATTTAAATATTTCTTTGGATTCAGCAGTTTGGAAACACCATTTTTTTCCATTCTACGAATGGATATTTGGGAGCTCAATGTGGCCAATGGAGAAAAATGGAATATCCTAGGTTAAAAACTAGAAGGAAACTATCTGAGAAACTGCATTTTGATGTGTGCATTCATGTCACAGAGTTAAACCTTTCTTTCATTCAGCAGTTTGGAAACACTGCTTTGGTAGAATCTCGAAGGGATATTTCAGAATGCATTGAGGACTTTGGTGAAAAAGGAAATGTCAGACAAAAACTAGAAAGAAGCTTTCTGAGAAGCTGCTTTGTCATGTGTGCATTCATCTCACATAGTTAAACCTTTCTTTGGATTCATCTGTTTTGGAATCACTGTTTTTTCCGTTCTGCAAATGGACATTTGGCAACTCATTGAGGCCAATGGTGAAAAAGTGAATATCCCAGAACAAAAACTAGAAGGAAGCTATCTGAAAAATTGTTTTTTGATGTGTGCATTCATCTCCTAAAGTTAAACCTTTCTTTTCTTTCAGCAGTTTTGAAACATTGTCTTGGTAGAATCTGCAAAGGGATATTTGGGAGTGCATTGATTCCTGTGGTGAAAAAGGAAATATCTTCAGATAAAAAATAGAAAGAATCTTTCTGAGAAACTGTATTGTGATGTTTGCATTCATCTCACAGACTTAAACTTTTCTTTGGATGCAGCAGTTTGGAAACACTGTTTTGTCTATTCTGTGAATGGACATTTCGGAACTCATTGAGGCCAAAGGTGAAAAACTGAATATCCCAGGATAAAAACTAGAAGGAAGCTATCTGAGAATAAGCTTTGTGATGTGTGCATTCATCTCACAGAGTTAAGCCTTTCTTTCCATTCAGCAGTTTGGAAACACTGTTTTTTAGAATGTTGGAAGGGATATTTGGGAGCTCATTGAGACCTATGGTGAAAAAGAAAATATCTTCAGATAAAAAGTGGACAGAAGCTTTCTGATAAACTGCTTTGTGATGTGAGCACTCCTCTCACAGAGTTCAACTCTTCTTTTGATTCGACAGTTTGGAAACACTGTTTTTGTCCATTCTCTGAAGGGACATTTTGGAGCTCATTGAGGACAATTGCAATAAAATGAAGATCTCCCTATAAAAACTAGAAAGAAGCATTCTGAGAAACCCCTTTGTGAGGTGTGCATTCATCTAAAAGAATTAAACCTTTCTGTTCATTCAGCTGTTTGGAAACACTATTGTTGTAGAATCTGTAAAGGGAATTTTGGGAGCCCATTGAGGCCTATGGTGAAAAAGAAAATATGTTCAGATAAAAGCTAGAAAGAAGCTTCCTGCGAAACTGCTTTGTGATGTGTGCATTCATATCCCAGATTTAAACCTTTCTTTTGATTCAGCAGTTTGGAAACGCAAATTTTTTTCAATTCTGCTTATGAGCATTTGGGAGCTCATAGTGGTTAATGGTGAAAAAGTGAATATATTAAGATTAAAAAAAGAAGATATCTATCTGAGAAACCACTTTGTGATGTGTGCTTTCATCTCACAGAATTAAACCTTTCTTTTCATTCAGTAGTTTGGAAACACTGTTTTTGTAGTATCCATGAATGGATATTTAGGAGAGCATTGAGGACTATGGTGAAAATATATTCAGATAAAAATTAGAAAAAAGCTGTCTGAGAAACTGATTTGTGTTGTGTGCATTCACCTCACAGAGTTAAACCATTCTTTTGATTCAGCTGTTTGGAAACACTGTTTTTGTCTATTCTGCGAATGGACATTTGGGAGCTCATTGAGACCAATGGCAAAAAAGTGAATATCCCAGGATAAAAACTAGAAGGAAGCTATCTGAGAAACTACTTTGTGAGGTGTGCATTCATCTTGTAGTGTTAAACCTTTATTTTCATTCAGCAGTTTGGAAACACTGTTTTTGTAGAATCTGCAAAAAGATATTTTGGAGTGCTTTGAGGCTTATGGTGAAAAAGAAAATATGTTCAAATAGAAACTAGAAAGAAGCTTTCTGAGAAATGTCTTTGTGATGTGTGCATTCATATCAGAGAGTCAAACCTTTCTTTTGATGCTGCAGTTTGGAAATACTATTTTTGTCAATTATGTGTATGAGCATTTGTAAGCTCATTGAGGCTAATGGCAAAAAAGGGAATATCCCATGATAACAACTAGAAGGAAGCTAGCTGGGAAACGGCATTGTGATGTGTGCATTCATCTCACAAAGTTAAACTTTTCTTTTCATTCAGCAGTTTGGAAAAACAATTTTGGTAGAATCTGTGAAGGGATATTTGGGAATGCATTGAGGCTTATGGTGAAAAAGGAAATATCTTCATGTATAAAATAGAAAGAAGCTTTCTGAAAAACAGCTTTATGATGTTGCATTCATCACAGAGTTAAACATTTATTTTGATTCAGCAGTTTGGAAACGCTGTTTTTGACCATTCTGAGAATGGACATTTGGGAACTCATTGAGGCCAATGGTGAAAAAACGAATATCCCAGGATCCAATCCAGAAGGAAAGTATCTGAGAATCCGCTTTGTGATGTGTGCATTCATCCTGTAGCATTAAACATTTCTGTTGATTCAGTAGTTTGGAAACACTGTTATTGTACAAACTGTGAAAGGTATTTGGGACTGCCTTGAGGCCTATGGAGAAATAGAAAATATCTTCCAATCAAAACTAGAAAGAATCTTTCTGAGAAATTGCTCTGTGATGTGTGCATTCATCTAACAGAGTTAAAACTTTCTTTAGATTCAGCAGTTTGGAAACTGTTTCTGTCCATTCCGTGAATGGACACTTGGGAACTCTTTGAGGCCCATGGCGAAAAAGCAAATATCCCAGGATTAAAAACTAGAAGGAAGCTATCTGAGACTGGTCTATGATGTGTGCATTTTTCTCAGAAACTTAAAAATTTCTTTTCACTCAGCAGTTTGGAAAGACTGTTTTGGTAGAATCTGTGAAGAGATAGATATTTGGGAGCACATTGAGGCATATGGTGAAAAAGGAAATAACTTCAGATAAGACTAGAAAGAAGATTTTGGAGAAATTGCTTTGTGATGTGTGCCTTCACTTCACAGAGTTAAACATTTATGTGAATTCTGCAATTTGGAAACACTGTTTTTGTCCATTCTGCACATGGACATTTTGGAGTTCATAGAGGCCAAAGGCAAAAAAGCAAATAACCCAGGATAAAAACTAGAAGGAAGCAATCTGAGAAACTGCTGTATGATGTGTGCTTTCATATCCTGAAGTTAAACCTTTCTTTACATTCACCAGTATGGAAACACTGTTTTTGCAGTATCAGTGAAGGGAAATTTGGGAGCACATTAAGGCCTTTGATAAAATAGAAAATATCTTCAGATAAAAACTAGAAAGAAGTTTGAGAGAAAGTCTTTGTGACACGTGCATTCATCTCAGAGAGATAAAAATTTCTTTGGATTCAGAAGTTTGGAAACTGTTTTTGTCCATTCTGCAAATGAATATTAGTGAGCTCATTGAGGCCAAAGGCCAAAAAGGGAATATCCCAGGATAAAAACTCGAAGGAAGCTATCTCCGAAACCACTTTGTGATGTGTGCATTCATCTCAGAGAGCTAAACCTTTATTTTCATTCAGCAGTGTGGAAACACTGTTTTGGTAGAATCTGCGATGGTATATTTGGGAGCCCAATGAGGCCGATGGTGAAAAAGGAAATATCTTCAAATAAAAACTAGACAGGAACTTTCTGAGAAAGCATTTTGGAAACACTGTTTTGGTAGAATCGGTGAAGGGATATTTTGGAGGGCATTGAGGCCCATGGAGAAAAATGAAATATCTTCATATAAAAATTAGAAAGAAGCTGTCTGAGAAACTGCTTTGTGATGTGTGCATTCATCTCACAGAGTTAAGCATTTCTTGTGAATCAGAGGTTTGGAAACACTGTCTTTGTCCATTCTGCAAAAGGACATTCCAAAACTCATTGAGGCCAAAGGAGAAAAAGTGAATATCCCAGGATAAAAACTAGAAAGAAGCTGTCTAAGAATACACTTTTTGATTTCTGCATTCAACTCCTAGAGGTAAACCTTTCTTTGAATTCAGCAGTGTTGAATCACTGTTTTTGCAGTATTTGCAAAGGGCAGTTTTTGAGCACTTTGAGGCCTTTAGTGAACTAGGAAATATCTTCAGATAAAAACTAGAAAGAAGATTTCTGAGAAACCACTTTGAGATGTGTGCATTCATCTCCTAGAGTTCAACCACTCTTTTCATTCAGCAGTTTGGAAACACTATTTTTATAGAATCTGCAAAGGAATATTTTGAAATTCATTGAGGCCAAAGGTGAAAAGGTGACTATCCCAGGACAAAAACTACAAGGAAGCTGTCTGAAAAACCGCTTTGTGATGTGTGCATTTATCTGACAGACCTAAACCTTTCTTTTAATTCAGTAGTTTGGAAACACTGCTGTGGTAGAATCTGTGAAGGCATATTTGGGAGTGCATCGAGGCCTATGGTAAAAAAGGAAATATTTTCAAATAAAAACTAGAAAGAAACTTTCTGAGAAATTGCTTTGTGATGTGTGCATTCATCTTACAGAGTTATACTATTCTTTGGATTCATCTGTTTGGCAACGCTGTTTTTGTCCATTCTGCGAATGGATGTTTGGGAACTCTTTGAGGCCAACGGTGAAAAAGCAAATATCCCAGGATAAAAACTAGAAGGAAGCTACCTTAGAAACCACTTTGTGATGTGTGCTTTAATCTAGAGTTAAAACTTTCTTTTCATTCAGCAGTTTGGAAACACTGTTTTATTACAATCTGCAAAGGGAAATTTGGGAGTGCATTGAGGCCTTTGATGAAACAGGAAATAGCTTGAGATAAAAACTAGAAAGAAACTTTCTGAGAAACTGCTTTGTGATGTGTGCATTCATCTAACAGATTTAAACATTTCTTTGGATTCAGCAGTTTGGGAACACTGTTTTTGTCCATTCTGCGAATGGACTTTTGGGAGCTCATTGAGGCCAGTGGCAAAAAAGTGAATATCCCAAGTTAAAAACTAGAAGGATGCTACCTGAGAAAGCACTTTTTGATGTGTGCATTCATCTTACACAGCTAAACCTTTCTTTTCATTCAGCAGTTTGGAAACACTGTTTTGGTAGAATCTATGAAGGGATATTTGGGAGCACATGGAGGCCTATGGTGAAAAAGGAAATATCTTCAGATAAAAACCAGAAAGACTCTTTCTGAGAAAATACTTTGTGATATGTGCATTCATCTCACAGAGTAAGCATTTCTTTTGCTTTAGCAGTTTGGAAACACTGTTTTAGTCCACTCTGTGAATGGACATATGGGAACTCTTTGAGTCCATGGTGAAAATCGAATATCCCTGGATAAAAACTAGAATTAAATTATCTGAGAAACAACTTTGTGATGTGTGCATTCATCTCCTAGGGTTAAACATTTCTTTTAACTCAGCAGTTTGAAAACACTGATGTGCTATAACCTGCAAAGGGATATTTGGGAGTGCACTGAGTCTTATGGTGAAAAAGGAAATATCTTCAGATAAAAACTAGAAAGAAGATTTCTGAGAAACTGCTTGGTGATATGTGCATTCATCTCACAGAGTTAAACCTTTGTTTTGATTCAGTAGTTTGGAAACACTGTTTTTGTCCATTCTGTGAATGGACATTTGGAAACTCATTGAGGCTAATGGCAAATATCCCAGGATAAAAACTAGAAGGAAGCTATCTGAGAAACTGCTTGTGATGTTTGCATTCATCTCCCACAGTTAAACCATTCTTTTCATTCAGCAGTTTGGAACCACTTTTTTTACAGTATCTGCGAAGGGAAATTTTGGAGCACATTGAGGCCTTTGATGATAAAGGAAATATCTTCACAGAAAAACTAGAAATATTTTTTCTGAGAAACTGCTTTGTAATGTCTGCATTCATCTCATGGACTTTAACATTTCTTTGTATTCAGCCATTTGGAAACATTTTTTTTTCCATTCTGTGAATGGACATTTGGGAACTCACTGAAGCTAATGGAGAAAAAGGGAATACCCCAGGATGAAAACTGGAAATAAGCTATCTGAGAAACTGCTTTTTGATGTGTGCATTCGTCACCAAGAGTTCAACATCTCTTTTCATTCAGCAGTTTGGAATCACTGGTTTTGCAGTATCTGCGAAGGGATATTTGGGAGTGCAATGAGGCCTTTGATGAAATAGGAAATGTCTTCAGATAAAAACTAGAAAGACGCTTTCTCAGAAACTGCTTTGTGATGCGTGAATTTATCTCACAGACTTAACATTTCTTTGGATTCAGCAGTTTCAACATACTGTTTTTGTCCATTCTGTGAGTGGACATTTCAGAACTCATTGAAGCCTTTGGTGAAAAAGTGAATATCCCAGTATAAAAAGTAAAAAGAATCGATCTGAGAATCTGCTTTGTGATGCTTGCATTCATCTCTTTGAGTTTAAAACTTTCTTTTCATTTAGCAGTTTGGGATCACTGGTTTTGAAATATCTGTGAAGGGAAATTTTGGAGCACATTGAGGCCTTATATGAAAAAGGAAATATCTCCGATAGAAATAAGAAAAAATATTTCTGAGAAACTGCTTTGGGATGCATGCATTCATCTCACAAATTTAAACACTTTTTTGGATTCAGCAGTCTGGTAACACTGTTTTTGTGCATTCTGTGAATGGACATTTGGAAGCTCATTGAGACCAATGGTGAAAAAGGAAATAACCTAGGATAAAAACTAGAAGGAAGCTATCTGAGAAACACTTTGAGATGCATGCTTTCATCTTGCAGAGTTAAACCTTTCTTTTCATTCAACAGATTGGAAACACTGTTTTGGTAGAATCTACAAAGGGATATTAGGGAGTGCATTTAGGCCAATGGAGAAAAAGGAAATAGCTTAAGATAAAAATTAGAAAGAAGCTTTCTGAGAAACTGCTAAGTGATGTGTTCATTCATCTCACAGAGTTAAACTTTTCTTTGGGTTCAGTAGCTTGGAAACACTGTTTTGTCCATTCTGCGGCTGGACATTTAGGAGTTAATTGAGGCCAATGATGAAAAAGTGAATATCACAGGATAAGTAGTAGAAAGAAGCTATCTGAGAAACCACTTTGTGAAGTCTGCATTCATCTCCTAGATTTAAACACTTCTTATCATTCACCAGTTTGGAATCAGTTTTTGCAGTATGTGTGAGGGAAATTTGGGAGCGCATTGAGACCTTTGATGAAATAGGAGATATCTTCAGATAAAAAAAAGAAAGAATCTTTCTGAGAAACTGCTCTGTGATGTTTGCATTCATCTCACAGACTTAAGCATTTCTTTGTATGCAGCAGTTTGGAAACACTGTTTTTGTGCGTTCTGCAAATGGACATTTGGGAGCTCATTGAGGCAAGTGGTGAAAAAGGGAATACACTGGGATAAAAACTAGAAGAGGCTATGTGAGAAACACTTTGGGAAGTGTGCCTTTATCTTGCCGTCTTAAAACTGTCTTTTCATTCAACAGTTTGGAAACACTGTTTTGGTAGAATCTACAAAGGGATATTAGGGAGCGCATTTAGGCCAATGGTAAAGAAGGAAATAGCTTCAGATAAAAATTAGAAAGAAGCTTTCTGAGAAACTGCTATGTGATGTGTGCATTCATCTTGCAGAGATAAAGCTTTCTTTGGATTCAGCAGTTTGGAAACACTGTTTTCGTCCATTCGGTGAATGGACATTTGGGAACTCATTGAGGCCAATAGCAAAAAAGCAAATATCCCAGGATAAAAACTAGAAAGAAGCTATCTGAGGAAGCACTTTGTGATATGTGCTTTCAACTTCTAGAGTTAAACCTTTCTTTTCATTCAGCAGTTTGTATACACAGTTTTGGCAGAATCTGTGAAGGGATATTTGGGAGCACTTTGAGGCCTATGGTGAAAAAGGAAATATCTTCTGAAAAATGAGAAAGAAGCTTTCTGAGAAACTACTTTGTGATGTGTGCATTCATCTCAGAGTTAAAAATCTCTTTGGATTCAGCAGTTTGGAAACTGCCTTTGTCCCTTCTGTGAATGGATATTTGGGAGCTCATTGAGGCCAAAGCAAAAAAGCGAATATCCCAGGTAAATACTAGAAGGAAGCTTTGTAAGAAACTGCACTGTGATGTGTGCATTCATCTTGCAAAGTTAAACTTTTCTTTCACTCAGCAGTTTGGAAACACTGTTTTGGTATAATCTGTGCAGGGATATTTAGGATTGCCTTGAGGTTTATGGTGAAAAAGGAAATATCTTCAGATAAAAACTAGAAAGAAGCTTTCTGAGAAACTGCTGTATCGTGTGAATTCATCTCACAGAGTTAACCTTTCTTTGGATTCAGCAGCTTTGACACACTCTTTTTGTCCATTCTGCAAATGCACATTTGGGAACTCATTGAGGCTGATGCAAAGCAGCAAATATCCCAGGATAAAAACTAGAAGGACACTATCTGAGAAACTGCTTTCTGATATGTGCATTCATTTCCTAGATTTAAACTTTTCTTTTCATTCAGCAGTTTGGAAACACTGTTTTGGTAGAATGTTCGCAGGTATATTTGGGAGCACATTGAGGCCTATGGTGAAAAAGGAAATATCTTTGGATAAAAACTATAATCTTTTTGAGAAACTGCTTTTTGAAGTTTGCATTCATCTCACAGAGTTAAACCTTTCTTTTCATTCAACGGTCTGAAAACACTGTTTTTGTCCATTCTGTGAATGGATATTTGTGATCTCATTGAGACCGATGGTGAAAAAGCAAAATTCCCAGGAAAAATAATAGAGCAAATCTATCTGAGAAACCACTTTTTTGATGTGTGCATTCATCTCACAAAGTTAAAACTTTCTTTCGATTTAGCAGTTGGTAAAAACAGTTTTTATCTATTCTGAAAATGGATATTTTGGATCTCATTTAGGCCAATGGCAAAAAAGGAAAGATCCCAGGATAAAAATTAGAAGGAAGGTATCTGAGAAACTGCTTTGTGATGTGTGCATTCTTCTCACAGAGTTAAACCTTTCTTATCACTCAGCAGTTTGGAAATGCTGTTTTGCTCTAATCTGTGAAGAGATATTTGGGAGCTTGTTGAGGCCTGTGATTAAAAAGGAAATATCTTTGGATAAAATCTAGAAAGGAGCTTTCTGAGAAACTGCTTTCTTATGTGTGAATTCATCTCACAGAGTTAAACTTTTCTTTGAATTCATCTGTTTGGAAACACTGTTTTTGTCCATTCTGCAAATGGACATTTGGAAACTCATTGAGGCCAATGGCAAAAAAGTGAGTATCTCAGAAAAAAAATTAGAAGGAATCTCTCTGAGAAACCACTTTGTGATGCGTGCATTCATCTCTGAGAGCTAAACCTTTCTTTTCATCCAGCATTTTGGAATCACTGTTTTTGCAGTATCTGCAGAGGGAAAGTTGGGAGGGCAATGAGGCCTTTGATGATGAAGTAGGAAATATCTTCAGATAAAAACGAAAAATAAGTTTTCTGAGATTATGCTTTGTGAAGTGTGCATTCATCTCACAGAGTAAATGTTTCTTTGCATTCAGCAGTTTGGAAACATTGTTTTTGTCCATTCTGTGAATGGATATTTGGGAGGTCATTGAGGTCAATGGGGAAAAAGTGAATATCCCAGGATAAGTACTAGAAGGAAGTGGTCTGAGAAGCCATGCTGTGTTGTGTGCATTCATCTTGCAGATTTAAACTTTTCTTTTCACTCAGCCATTTGAAAGCACTGTTTTTGTAGAATCTGTGATGGGATACCTGGGAACACATTGAGGCCTATGGTAAAATAGGAAATATCCTCAGATAAATACTATAAAGAAGCTTTCAGAGAAGCTGCTTTGTGATGTGTGCATTCATCTCAGACTTAAAACTTTCTTTGTATTCATTTGTTCAGAAATACTGCTTTTGCCCATTCTGTGGATGGACATTTGGGAACTAATTGAGGCCATTGTTGAAAAAGTGAATATCCCAGGATAAAAACACAAGGAACCTCTCTGAGAAACCACTTTGTGATGTGTGCATTCTTCTCAGAGAGTTAAATCTTTCTTTTGATTGAGCAGTTTGGAAACACTGTTTTTGTATAATCTGCAAAGTGACGTTTGGTAGTAATAATAGGCCTATGGTGAACAAGGAAATATCTTCAGATAGTAATTGGAAAGAAGCTTTCTGAGACACAGATTTGTGATGTGTGCATTCATTTAACTGCGTTAAATTTTTTCTTTAGTGGAGCTGTCTGGAAACAACCTTTTGGCAGAATCTACAATGGGTTATTTTGGAGCGCATTGAAGCCTACAGTGAAAAAGGAAATATATCCAGATAAAAAGCAGAAAGAAGCTTTAAGAGAAACTGCTTTGGGATGTGTGCACTCATCTCACAGAGTTAAAACTTTGTTTTGATTCAGCAGTTTCGATACACTGTTTTGGTGGAATCTGTGAAGGGATATTTGTCAGCACACTGAGGCCTATGTTGAAAAAGGAAATAACTTCAGATAAAAACTAGAAAGATGCTTTCTCAGATAACACCCTGTGAAGTGTGATTTTTTTCACAGAATTATACCTGTTTTTTGATTGAGCAGCTTGGAACACTGTTTTTGTAGGGTCTGCAAAGGGATATTTGGGAGCTCATTGAAGCCTACGGTGAAATAGGAAATATCTTCAGATAAAAACTGGAAAGAAGCATTATAAGAAACTGCTTTCTGATGTGTGCGTCCATCTCACAGAGTTAAGTCCTTCTTTAGATGGAATAGTGTTTAATCACTGTTTTTGTAGAATCTACGAAGCTATATTTGGGAGGGCATTGAGTCCTATGGTGGAAAATAAAATACCTTCAGAGAAGAATAATACAGAAGCATTCTGAGAAACTGCTTTGAGATGTGTGCATTCATTTCACAGTGTTAAACGTATTTTTTGATTGATCACTTTGGAAACACTGCTTTTGTAGAATCTGAATCTGTGAAGGGATATTTGGGAGTGCACAATGCCTATTTTGAAAAAAGAAATAACTTCAGATGAAAACTAGGAGGAAGATTTTTGAAAAACTGCTTTGGGATGTCTGCATTCATCTCACAGAGTTAAGTCTTTCTTTTCATTGAGCAATTTGGAAACACTGTTTTTGTAGAATCGGCAAGGGTATATTTGTGAGTGCTATGAGGCCTAGGTTGAAAAGGAAATATCTTCACATAAAAACTAGAAAGAAGCTTTTAGAGAAACTGTTTTGTGAAGTGTGCATTCAACTCACAGAGTTAAACATGTTTTTTGATTGAGCAGTTTGGAAACACTGTTTTTGTAGAATCTCAGACAGGATAACAGGTAGATTATTGAGGCCTATGGCAATAAAGAAAACATCATCTCCATATAAAAACTAGGAAGAATCTTTTTGGGAAACTGCTTTGTGATGTGTTCCTTCATCTCACAAAGTTAAACCTTTCTTTTGATTCAGAAGTTTGGAAACAGTTTTTTGTAGAATCTGCAGATGGATATCTGTGAGCGGTTTGAGGCCTGTGGTGAAAAAAGAAATATATTCACATAAAAACTAGACAGAAGCTTTCTGAGAAACTTCTTTGTGATGTATGCTTTCATCTCACAGAGTTGAACCTTTGTTTTGATTGAGCAGTTTGGAAACAGTCTTTTTGTAGATTCTGCAGAGGGATATTTGTGAGCGGTTTGAAGGCCTATGGTGAAAAAGGAAATATCTTCACATAAAAACTAGACAGAAGCTTTTTGAGAAACTTCTTTGTGTTGTGTGCATTCATCTCACAGAGTTGAAGTTTTCTTTTGATTGAGCAGTTTGGAAACAGTCTTTTTGTACAATCTGCAAAGGGATATTTCTGAGCAGTTTGAGGTCTATGGTGAAAAAGAAATATCTTCAGATAAAAACTAGACAGAAGCATTCTGAGAAACTTCTTTGTGATCCGTGCATTCTTCTCACAGAATTAAACGTTTTTGTTTTGTTTGAGCAGTTTGGAAACACTATTTTTGTAGAAACTGCAAAGGGATATGTGGGAGTGCAATGATGCATATGGTGAAATAGGAAATATCTTCAGATAAAGACTGGAAAGAAATCCTTTGAGAAGTTGTTTTGTGATGCATGCATTCATCTCACCGAGTTAAACTTTTCTTTTGACTGAGCAATTTGGAAACAATATTTTTGTGTAATCTGTGAAGTGATGTTAAATAGTGCAAAAAGGCCTATGGCAAACAAGGAATTATCTTCAGATAAAAACTGGAGTGACGCAGTATGAAAAACTGCTTTCTGATGTGTGCATTCATCTCACAGAGTTAAATCCTTCTTTTGATGGAACTGTTAAGAAACACTGTTTTTATAGAATCTGTGAAGGGATATTAGGGACCACTTTGAGACCTTTGGTGGAAAAGGGAATGTCATCAGACAAGAGCTAGACAGAAGTTATCTGAGAAACTGCTTTTTGATGTGTGCATTCTTCTCACAGAGTTAAACCTTTCTGTTGATTGAGCAGTGTGGAAAAACTGTTTTTGTAGAATCTTCAAAGGTATATTTGGGGGCACACCGAGGCCTCTGGTGAAAAAGAAAATATCTTTGGATAAAAACAGGAAAGAAAGTTTTGAGAACTGCTTTGTGATCTGCGCATTCATCTCACAGAGTTAAACCTTTCTTTTTGATTGATCATTTTGGAAACTCTTTTTGTAGAATATTTGAGGGGATATTTGGAGTGTGCAATGACTATGTTAAAAAAGGAAATCACTTCAGATATAAACGAGAAAGAAGCTTTGTGAGAAACCACTTTGTGATGTGTGCATTCTTCTCACAGAATTAAATATTCCTTTTGATTGAGCAGTTTCAAAACACTGCTTTTGTAGAAACTGCAAAGGGATATTTGGGAGCACATTGATGCCTATGGTGAAAAGGAAATGACTTCAGATCAAAACTAGAAAGAAGCTTTTTGAGAAACCGTTTGTGATGTATTCATTCATCTCACAGAGTTAAACTTTTCTTTTCATGGAGCAGTTTGGAAACACTCTTTTTGTATAATCTGTGAAGCATTGTTAAGTAACACAAAAAGGCCTATTGTGAACAAGGAAATATCTTCAGATAAAAACTGGAAAGAATCATTATGAGAAACTGATATCAGATGTATGCATTCATTGCACAGAGTTAAATCCTTCTTTTGATGGTACAGTTTAGAAACACTGTTTTTGTAGAATTGGCAAAGCGATATTTGGTAGTGCGTTAAGGCCTATGATGGAAAAGGAAATAACTTCAGAGGAGAACTAGACAGAAGTTTTCTGAGAAACTGCTTTGTGATGTGTGCATTCTTCTAAGATAGTTAAAACTTTGTTTTGATTGAGTAGATTGGAAACACTGTTTTTGTAGAACCTGCAAAGGGATGTTTGGGAGCATGAAATGCCTATGGTGAAAAAGGAAATAACTTCAGATAAAAGCTAGAAAGAAGCTTTCTGAGAAACCACTTTGTGATTTGTGCATTCATCTCACAGAGTTAAAACTATCTTTTGATTGAGCAGTTTGGAAACACTGTTTTTGAGAATCTGCAAAAGTATATTTCAGAATTCACTGAGGCCTATGGTGAAAAGGAAATATCTTCAGATTAAAGTAGAAAAAAGCTTTTCAGAAACTGCTTTGTGATGTGGGCATTTGACTCACAGAGTTAAAGCAGCTTTTTCATTGAGCAGTTTGGAAACACTGTTTGTGTAGAATCTGCAAAAGTATGTTTCAGAATGCACTGAGGCCTAGGTTGAAAAGGAAATATCTTTGGATTAAACTAGCAAGAAGATTTTTAAGAAACTGTTTTGGGATGTGGACATTCAGCTCACAGAGTTAAAAGAGTTTTTTCATTGAGCAGTTTGGAAACACTGTTTTTGTAGAATCTGTGATGGGATATTTGGGAGTGCATTGAATCCTATGGTGATAAAGGAAATATCTTCAGATAAAAACTAGAAAGAAGCCTTTTTAGAAACTGTTTTGTGATATGTGCATTCGTCTCACAGAGTTAAACCTTTCTTTTAACTAAGCAGTTTGGAAACACTGTTTTCTCAATAATTGCGAAGCTGTATCAGGTAGCACAAAAAAGCCTATGATGAACAAGGAAATATCTTCAGATAAAAACTGGAAAGAAGCGTTATGAGAACCTGCTTTCTGATGTGTCCGTTCATCTCAGACTGCTAAGTCATTCTTCCAATGGAACAGTTTGGAAAGACTGTTTTTGCAGCATCTGCAAAGGGATCTTTGGGAGCACATTGAGGCTTAAGGTGGAAAAGGAAATATCTTCAGAGAACAGCCAGACAGAAGCTTTCTGAGAAACTGCGTTGTGATGTGGGCATTCGTCTCATAGAGTTAAAGCAGTTTTTCTCATTGAGCAGTTTTGAAACACTGCTTTTGTAGAATCTGTGATGGGATATTTGGGAGTGCATTGAAGCCTATGGTGATAAAGGAAATATCTTCAAAGAAGAACTAGACAGAAGCTCTCTGAGAAACTGCATTTTGATGTGTGCATTTGTCTCACAGAGTTAAACCTTTCTTTTGATTGAGGAGTTTGGAAACACTGTTTTTGTAGAATCTGTGAAGGGATATTTGAGAGTGCACTGATGCCTATGGTGAAAAAGGAAATATCTTAAGATAAAAACTAGAATAAGCTTTTTGAGAAACTGCTTTGTGATGAGTGCATTCATCTCACAGAGTTAAACATTTCTTTTGATTGTTCAGTTTTGAAACACTGTTTCTGTAGAATCTCTGAAGGGATATTTTGGTGTGCACATGGCCTATGGTGAAAAAGGAAATAACTTCAGATAAAAACTAGAAAGAGGCTTTGTGAGAAACTGCTTTGTGAAGAATACATTCTTCTCACAGATTTAAACATTTCTTTTGATTGAGCAGTTTGGAAGCACGGTTTACATAGAATCTGCAAAGGGATATTTGGGAGTGCATAGATGCCTACGGTGAAAAAGGAAATATGTTCGGGTAAAAACCAGAAAGAAGGTTTTGAGAAGCTGCTTTGTGATATATGCATTCATTTCACAGAGTTAAATTTTTCATTTGACTGAGCAGCTTGGAAACACTCTTTTTGTATTACCTGTGAAACAATGTTCCATAGCACAAAAAGGTCTATGGTGGAAAGGAAAATTTCTTCAGATACATTATGAGAAACGGCTTTCTGATGTGTGCATTCATCTCAGAGAGCTAAATTCTTCTTTTTATGGAACAGTTTGGAAACACTGTTTTTAGAGAATCTGAGAAGTGATATTTGGGAGCGCTTTGAGGCCTATCATGGAAATATCTTCAGAGGATAACTAGACAGAAGCTATCTCAGAAACTGCATTGTGATGTGTGTGTTCGACACACAGAGTTAAACCTGGTTTTTGAATGAGCAGTCTGGAAACACTGTTTTTGGGGAAACTGCAATGGGACATTTGAAAGCCCAGTTAAGCCTATGGTGGAAAAGGAAATATCTTTGGATATAAACTAGAAAGAAATTTTTTCAGTAACTGCTTTGTGATGTGTGCATTCATCTCGCAAAGTTAAAACTTTCTTTTGACTGAGCAGTTTGGAAACACTGTGTTTGTATAATCTGCAGAGCGATATTATTTAGTGCAAAAATGCCTATGTTGATAAAGAAATATCTTCAGATAAAAACTGGAAAGAAGCGTTATGAGAAACTGCTTTTGGATGTGTGCATTCATCTCATAGAGTTAAGTCCTTCTTTTGATGTAACAGTTTGGAAAACTTGTTTTTGTAGAATCTGCAAATGTATATTTGGGAGTGCTTTTGAGGCCTATGGTGGAAAAGGAAATATCTTCAGAGAAGAAATAGAAGCTTTCTGAGAAACTGTTTTGGGATGTGTGCATTCATCTCACAGGGTTAAACCTTTCTATTAACTAAGCAGTTTTGAAACATTTTCTTGTGTAGATTATGCGAAGGGATATTTGGGAATGAATTGTATTAAAGCTTATGGTGATAAAGGAAAAATCTTCAGATTGAAAACTAGAAAGAAGCCTTTTGAGAAATTGCTTTGTGATGTGTGCATTCATCTCACCTAGTTAAACCTTTCTTTTGATAGAGTAGTTTAGAAACACTGTTTTTGTATAACCTACGAAGTGACTTTTTGTAGTGCAAAGAAGTCTATGTTGAAAAAGGAAATATCTTTGGATAAAAACTACAGAGAAGCTTTCTGAGAAACTTCTATCAATGACTGCATTCATCTCACAGAAGTAAAACTTTCTTTTGATTGATCAGTTTGGAAACACTGTTTTTGAAGAATCTGCGAAGGCATATTTGGGAGACTTTGAGGCCTATGGTGAAAAAGGAAATAGCTTCTGATAAAAATTAGAAAGAAGCTCTCTGAGAAACTGCTTTATGATGTGTGCATTCTTCTCACAGACTTAAACATTTCTTTTGATACAGCAGTTTGAAAACACTGTTTTTGTAGAATCTGCAAAGGGATATTTGGGAGTGCACTGACACCTAAGATGAAATAGGAAATATCTTCCAAGAAAAACTTGAAAGAAGATTTTTGAGAAACTACTTTGTGATGTGTGTGTTTAGCTCACAGAGTTAAACCCGGTTTTTCACTGAGCAGTTTGGAAACACTGTTATTGGAGAATCTGCAAAGGGATATCTGGGAATGCATTGAAGCCTAGGACGATAAGGAAATATCTTTGTTTAAAAACTAGAAAGAAGATTTTTGAGAAAATGCTTTGACATGTGTGCAATCATCTCAAAGAGTTAAGTCCTTCTTTTGATGGAACAGATTGGAAACACTGTTTTTGTAGAATCTGTGAAGGGATACTTGGGAGTGCCCATGGCCTATGGTGAAAAGGAAATATCTTCAGATAAAAACTAGGAAGAAGCATTTTGAGAAACTGCTTTGCGATGTGTGCATTAAACTCAAAGAGTTAAACTTGTTTTTTGATTGAGCAGCTTGGAAACACACTTTTCGTAGAATCTGCAGTAGGATATTTGGGAGTGTTTTGAAGCCAGTGGTGAAGAAGAAAATATATCTTTGTATGAAAACTAGAAAGAAGCTTTTAAAGAAACTGCCTTATGATGTTTGAATTCATCTCAGAGAGGTAAACCTTTCTTTTGACTGAGCAGTTTGGAAACACTCTTTTTGTAAAATCTGTGAAGTGATATTAGGTAGCACAAAAAAGCCTATGGTGAAAAAGGAAATATCTTCAGATAAAAACTGTAAAGAACGGTTATGAAAAACTACTTTCTGATGTGTGCATTCATCTCACAGGGTTAAGTCTTTCTTTTGATGGAACAGTCTGGAAACACTGTTTTTGTAGAATGTATGAAGGGATATTTGGGAGTGCAATGAGGCCTATTGTGGAAAAGGAAATATCTTCAGAAAAGAACTAGACAGAAGCTCTCTGAGAAAGTGCATTGTGATGTGTGCATTCATCTCACAGAGTTAAACTTTCTTTTGATTGACCTGTTTGGAAACATTGTTTTCATAGAATCTGGGAAGGGATATTTGGGGATCGAGTAAAGCCTATGATGAAAAAGGGAATATATTTCGATAAAAACTAGAAAGAAGATTTTTGAGAAACTGCTTTTTTATGTCTGCATTCATCTCAGAGAGGTAAACCTTTCTTTTGACTGAGCAGTTTGGAAACACTGTTTTTATCAAATTTGCAAAGGGCTATTTGGGAGCACATGAGGCTGAAGGTGGAAAAGGAAATAACTTCAGATAAAAACTAGAAACATTCTTAGAAACCACTTTTTGTTGTGTGCATTTTTCTCACAAAGATAGATTTTTCTTTTGCTTAAGCAGTTTGGAAACAGTGTTTTTGTAGAATATGCAAAGGGATATTTGGGAGTCCACAGGTGCCTAAGGTGAAAAAGGAAATATCTTCAGATAAAAACTAGAAAGAAAAGTTTTGAGAAACTGTTTTGTGATGTATGCATTCATATCACAGAGTTAAACTTTCCTTTGGTTGAGCAGTTTGGAAACACCGTTTTTGTAGAATCTGCCAGGGTATATTTGGGAGCACACTGAGGCCTATTGTGAAAAATGAAATATTTTTGGATAAACACTAGAAACAAGCTTTTTGAGGAACGGCTTTGTTGTGTGTCCATTCAACTCAGAGTTAAACCTGTTTTTTGATTGAGCAATTTGGAAATGCTTTAATTGTAGAATCTGCAATGGGGTATTTGGGAGCACATTGAAGCCTACAGTGATAAAGTAAATACCTTTGGATAAAAACTAGAAAGGAGTTTTTTCAGAAACTGCTTTGTGATGTGTGCATTCATCTCACAGAATTAAACCTTTCTTTTGACTGAGCAGTTTGGAAACCCTGTTTTTACAAAATCTGCAAAGTGATGTTAGGTAGCGCAAAGGCCTATGTTGAACAGGAAAATATCTTCAGATAAAACTTGGAAAGACACATTATGAGAAACTGCTTTCTTATGTATGTGTTCATCTCACAGAGTTAAACCTTTGTGTTGATTGAGCAGTTCAGAAACACTCTTTTGTAGAATCTGGGAAGGGATATTTGGGAGCTCACATAGCTTACAGTGAAAAAGGAAATATCTTCGGGTAAAAAGCAGACAGAAGCTCTTTGAGAAACTGCTTTGTAATGTCTGCATTCAACTCACAGATTTATACCTGTTTTTTATTGAGCAGTTTGGAAACACTGTTTTTGCAGAATTTGAGCAGGGATATTTTGGAGTGCGTTGAAGCCTATGGTGATAATTGAAATATCTTTGGATAAAAACCAGAAAAAAAGCATTTTCAGAAACTGCTTTATGACGTGTGCATTCATCTCAGAGAGTTAAACCATTCTATTGACTGATCAGGTTGGAAACACTGTTTTTGCAAAATCTGTGAAACAATATTATGTAGCACAAAAAAGCCTTTAGTGAAAAAGGAAATATCTTCAGATAAAAACTGGAAAGAAGCATTATGAGGAACTGCTTTCTGATGTGTGCCTTCATCTCGCAGATTTAAGTCCTTCTTTTGATGGAGCAGTTTGGAAACACTGTTTTTGTAGAATGTGTGAAGGAATATTTGGGAGTGCATTTAGGCCTATGGTGGAAAAGGAAGTATACTCAGAGAAGAAGTAGACAGAGGCTTTCCAGGAAGCTGCTTGGTGATGTGTGCATTCATCTCACAGAGTTAAACCTTTCTTTTGAAAGAGCAGTTTCAAAACACTGTTTTTCTAGAATCTGTAAAGTTATACTTTGGTGCACGTGGTGTCTTATGTTGAAAAAGTAAAAATCATTGGATAAAAAATAGAAAGAAGATTTTTGAGAAAGTGCTTTGTGATGTGTGCATTCAACTCATGACTTTAAACCTGTTTTTTGATTAAGCAGTTTGGAAACATGTTTTTTTAGAATCTGTGATGGGATATTTTGGAGCTCATTGAAACCTATGGTGATAAAGAAAATATCTTCAGATAAAAACGAGAAAAAAAGATTTATGAGAAACTGTTCTGTGATGCCTGCATTCATCTCACAGAGTTAAACTTTTCTTTTGAATGACCAGTTTGGAAACACTGTTTTTGTAGAATTTGCGAAGGGATATTTGGAAGTGCATTGAAGCCTATGGTAAAAAAGAGAATATCTTTGGTTAAAACTAGAAAGAAGCTATTTGAGAAACTGCTTTGTGGTGTGTACATTCATTGCACAAAGTTAAAACTTTCTTTTGATTGAACAATTTGGAAACACTGTTTTTGTAGTATCTGCAAAGGTATATTTTGGAGCGCAATGAAGCCTATGGTGAAAAGGGAAATACCTTTGGATAAAAATTAGAGAGCAGGTTTTTGAGAAACTTCTTTTTTTTTCTTCTTTTCTTTGGGAATGCCCTGATTCTTTTATTTTATTTTATTTTATTTTATTATTATTATACTTTAAGTTTTAGGGTACATGTGCACAATGTGCAGGTTAGTTACATATGTATACATGTGCTGTGCTGGTGTGCTGCACCCATTAACTCGTCATTTAGCATTAGGTATATCTCCTAATGCTATCTGGATTAAGAAAATGTGGCACATATACACCATGGAATACTATGCAGCCATAAAAAATGATGAGTTCATGTCCTTTCTAGGGACATGGATGAAATTGGAAATCATCATTCTCAGTAAACTATCGCAAGGAGAAAAAAACCAAACACCACATGTTCTCACTCATAGGTGGGAATTGAACAGTGAGAACACATGGACACAGGAAGAGAAAGGGAACACCAGAAAGGCTAACATCACACTCTGGAGAAACTTCTTTGTGATGTGTGCATTCAACTCACAGTGTTAACCCTGTTTTTCATTCAGCAGTTTAGAAAGAGTGTTTTTGTAGAATATGCAAAAGGATATTTGGGAGCGCATGAGAACTATGTTGAGATAAAAACTAGAAAGAAGCTTTCTGAGAAACTGCTTTGTTATGTGTGTCTTCCTCTCACAGAGTTAAGTCCTTCTTTTCATGGAACAGTTTGGAAACACTGTTTTTGTAGAATATGTGAAGGGGTATTTGGGGGCATATTAAGCCTATGGTGGAAAAGGAAATATCCTCAGAGAAGATGTAGACAGAAGCTTTCTGCGAACCTGCTTTGTGATGTGTGCATTCATCTCACTAAATTAAAACTTTCTTCTGATTGAGCTGTTTGGAAACAGTATTTTTGTAGAATAAGTGAAGGTACATTTGGGAGCACATTGATGCCTAGGGTGAAAAAGGAAATATCTTTTAATAAAAACTAGAAAGAAGCCTTTTGAGAAACTTCTATGCAATGTGTGCATTCATCTCACAGAGTTAAACCTTTTTTTGGATTGATGAGTTTGGAAACACTGTTTTGGTAGAATCTGTGAAGGGATATTTGGAAGCCCATGAGGCTTATGGTGAAAAAAGGAATATCTTTGGATAAAAACTGGAAAGGAGTTTTTGAAAAACTGCTTTGTGATCTGTGCATTCAACTCACACAGTTAAAAGTGTTTCTTGGTTGAGCAGTTTGGACACAGTGTTTTTGTAGACCCTGTGAGGGGATATTTGGGCACACATAGAATCCTATGGTGATAAAGGAAATATCTTCAGAGAAAAACTAGAAAGAAGCTTTTTGAGAAGCTGCTTTGTGATGTGTGCATTTATCTCACTGAGTAAAACTTTTCTTTTGACTGAGCAGTTTGGAAAGGCTGTTTTTGCAAAATCTGCAAAGTGATATTATGTACTACAAAAAAGCATGTGGTGAAAAAGGAAATATCTTCAGATAAAAACTGGAAAGAAGCATTAAGAGAAATTACTTTCTGATCTGTGCGTTAATCTCACAGAGTTTAGTCCTTCTTTTGATCGAACAATTTGGAAACACTGTTTTTGTAGAATCTGCAAAGGGATATTTTGGAGCGCATTGGGGTCTATGGTCAAAAAAGGATTATCTACAGATAAAACTAGAAGGAAGATTTTTGAGAAACTGTTTTGTGATAAGTTTGTTCAACTCAGAGAGTTAAACCTGCTTTTTATTGAGCAGTTTGGAAACAGAGTTTTTGTAGAATCTGTGACAGGAAATTTGGGAGAGCTTTGAAGCCTATAGTGATAAAGGAAATATCTTCAGATAATAACCAGAAAGGAGCTTTTTGAGAAACTGATTTGTGATGTATGCATTCATCCCACAGAGTTAAACCTTTCCTTTGACTGAGCAGTTTCAGAACACTGTTTTTCCAAAAATCTATGAAGCAATATTAGGTAGCGTAAAAAAGCCTATGATGAACAAGAAAATATCTTAAGGTAAAAACTGAAAGGAAGTGTTATGGGAAACTGCTTTCTGATGTGTGCATTCTTCTCACAGAGTTAAACGTTTCTTTTGATTGAGCAGTTTGGAAACACTTTTTTTGTAGAATTGGCAAAGGGACATTTGGGAGGGCAATTATGCCTATGGTGAAAAAGGAAATATCTTCATATAAACACTAAAAAGAGCTTTCTGAGAAACTGCTTAGTGATGTCTGCATTCATCTCAGAGACTTAAAAAATACTTTTGGTTGAGCAGTTTAGAAACACTGTTTTTGTAGAATCTACAAAGTGATATTTGGGAGTGCATGAGTCCTATGGTGAAAAAGGAAATATCTTTGGATAAAAACTAGAAAGAAGCTTTTTGAGAAACTGCTTTGTGTTGTGTGTGTTCATCTCACAGAGTTAAAACTTTCTTCTTACTGAGCAGTTTGGAAACACTGTTTTTGCAAAATCTGCAAAGCAATATTTTGCAGTGCAAAAAAAGCCTATGGTGAAAAAAGAAATGTCTTCAGATAAAAACTGGAAAAAATCATTATGAGAGACTGCCTTCTGATGTGTGCATTCATCTCAGAGTTAAGGCCTTCTTTCAATGCAACAGTTTGGAAACACTGTTTTTGTAGAATCTGCAAAGGGATATTTCAGAGTGCATTTAGGCCTATATTGGAAAAGGAAATACCTTCATATAAGAACTACACAGAAGCTTTCTAAGAACTGCTTTGTGATGTGTGCATTCATCTCACAGAGTTAAAACTTTCTTTTGGTTGAGCATTTAGGAACACTGTTTTGGTACAATCTGCGAGGGAATATTTGGGAGTGCATTGAAGAATATGGTGAAAAAGGGAATATCTTTGGATAAAAACTGGAATAATGTATTTGAGAAACTCCTTGGTGATGCTTGCAGTCATCTCACAGAGTTAAATCTTTCTTTTCATGGAGCAGTTTGGAAACACTGTTTTTGTAGAAACTGCAAATGGATATTTGGGAGTGCTTGAGGCCTATGATGAAAAAGGAAATATCTTCAGATAAAAATTAGAAAGAAACTTCTTGAGAAACTGCTTTGTGTTGTGTGCTTACAACTCACAGAGTTAAAGCTGTTTTTTGATTGAGCAGTTTGGAAACACTTTTTGTAGAGTTGGCGATGGGATATTTGGGAGTGCTTTGAAGCATATGGTGATAAAGGAAATAACTTCCAATAAAAAGTAGAAAGAAGCTTTTTCAGGAACTGCTTTGTGATGTGTGTTTTCATCTCACAGAGTTAAATCCTTCTGTTGATGGAACATTTCAGAAATACTGTTTTAAGAGGGTCTGAGAAGGGATATTTTGGAGCACATTGAGGCTGATGTTGGAAAAAGGAATATCTTCAGATAAGAATTATAGAGAAGCTATCTGAGAAACTACTTTTGTGATGTGTGCATTCACCACACATATTTAAACCTTTCTGTTGATTCATCAATTTGGAAACACTGCTTTTGTAGAATCTGCAAAGGTATATTTAGGAGACCACTGAGGCTATGGTGAAAAAGGAATTATCACTGATAAAAACAGGAAAGAAGATTCTTGAGAAACTGCTTTGTGATGTGTGCATTCAACTCACAGAGATAAAGCTGACTTTTGATTGAGCAGCTTCAAAACACTGATTTTGTAGGACCTGCGATGAGCTATTTCGGAGCACATTGAAGCCTGTGGTGATAAAGGAAATATCTTTGGATAAAAACTAGAAAGAAGCTTTTTGAGAAACTGCTTTGTGATATGTGCATTCACCTCACAGAGTTAAACCTTTCTTTTGATAGAGCAGTTTGGAAACACTGTTTTTGCAAAATCTGCAAAGCGATATAATGTAGCACAGAAAAGCCTGTGGTCAAAAAGGGAATGTCTTCAGATAAAAACTGGAAAGAAGGGTTATGAGAAACTGATTTCTGATGTGTGCATCCATAACACCAAGTTAAGTCCGTCTTTTGATGAAAGAATTTGGAAACACTTTTTTTGTAGAATCTGCATAAGGATATTTGGGAGCTCATTGAGGCCTATAGTGGAAAAGGAAATATCTTCAGAGAAGACTTAGACAGAAGCTTTCTGAGATACTGCTTTGTGAGCTGTGCATTCATCTCACACAGTTAAACCTTTCTTCTGATGGAAGGGTTTGGAAACACTGTTTTTGTAGAATCTGTGAAGGCATATTTGGGAGCACATTGAAGCCTACGGAGAAAAAGGAAATATCTCCGGATAAAAACTAGAAAGAAGGTTGTTGAGAAACTGCTTTGTGATGTGTGCATTTATCTTTCAGAATTAAACCTTTCTTTTTTGGAACAGTTTGGAAACACTGTTTTAGTAGAATGCACGAAGGGATATTTGGGAGAACAGAGAGGCCCATGGTGGAAAAGGAAATATCTTCAGAGAAGAACTAGACAGAAGCTTTCTGAGAAACTGCTTTGTGATGTGTGTATTCATCTTACAGAGTTAAATCTTTCTTTTCATTGAGAAGTTTGGGTACACTGTTTTTGTAGAATCTGCAAAAAGATATTTGGGAGAGCATTGAAGCCTATGGATAAAAAGGAAATATCTTTGTATTACAACCAGAAAGAAATATTTTGAGAAAATATTTTGTGATGAGTGGATTCTTCTCACAGAGTTAAACGTTTCTTTTGATTATCAGTTTGTAAACACTATTTTTGCTTAATCTGTGAAGGGTTTTTTGGGAGTGCATTGAAGCCTCTGGGGAAAAAGGAAATATCTTCAGATAAAAACTGGAAAGAAGCATTATCAGAAACTGCTTTCTGATGTGTGTATTAATCTCACAGAGTTAAGTCCTTCTTTTGATGGAGCAGTTTGTAAAAACTGTTTTCTAGAAACTGCGAACGGATAATTGGGAGCGCATTGAGGTCTATGGTGGAAAATTAAATATCTTCAGAGAAGAATTAGAGAGAAGCTTTCTGAGAAACTGTTTTGTTATGTGTGCATTCTTCTCACAGAGTTAAACCTGCTTTTGATTTATCAGTTTGGAAACACTGCTTTTGTAGAATCTGCAAAGGGATATTTGGGAGTGCAAGAGGCCTATTTTGAAAAGGGACATAACTTCAGGTAAAAACTAGAAAGAAGCTTTCTGAGAAAGTGCTTTGTGATGTGTGCAGTCTTTTCACAGAGTTCAACGTTTCCTTTGACTGAACAGTTTGGAAACACTGTTTTTGTAGTATCTGCAATGCACCATTTGGGAGCACACTGAGGCCTATTGGGAAAAAGAAAATATGTTCAGATAAAAACTAGAAAGAAGCTCTTTGAGAAACTGCTTTCTGATGGATGCATTCATCTCACAGAAAAAAAAAACTTTTCTTTTGGCTTACCAGTTTGGAAACACTGTTTTTGTATGATCTGTGAAGTGACGTTAGGTAGCACAAAAAGGCCTATGGTGAACAACGAAATATCTTCAGATAAAAACTGGAAAGAAGCATTATGAGAAACTACTTTCTGATGTGTGCATTCATCTCACAGTTTGAAATCCTTCTTTTGATGGAACAATTCAGAAACTCTGTTTTTATAGACTCTGTGAATGGATATTTGGGAGTGAGTTGAGGCCTATGGTGGAAAAAGAAATATCTTCGGAGAAGAACTAGTCAGGATCTATTTGAGAAACAGTTTTGAGATGTGTGCATTCATCTCAGAGTTAAACATTTATTTTGATTGAACAGTTTGCAAACACTGTTTTTGTAGTGTCCACAATGCTCTATTTGGGAGCACACGGAAGCCTATGGTGAAAAAGGAAATATCTTTGGATAAAAAATAGAAGGAAGCTTGAGAAACAGCTTTATGATGTTTGCATTCATCACACAGAGTTAAACCTATTATTGACTGAACAGTTTGGAAACACTGTTTTTGCAAAATCTGTGAAACAATATTAGGTAGCACAAAAAAGGTTATGGTCAAAGAGGAAATATCTTCAGATAAAAACTGGAAAGAAGTGTTATTACAAACTGCTTTCTGATGTTCGTGTTCATCTCACAGAGTTAAGTCCTTGTTTTGATGGAACAGCTTTGAAACACTGTTTTTGTAGAATCTGTGAAGGGATATTTGGGAGCACCAGGAGGCCTATGGTGTAAAAGGAAATATCTTCAGAGAAGTAGTAGACAGAAGCTTTCTGAGA
Source organism: Homo sapiens (assembly GCF_000001405.40). NCBI lineage: Eukaryota > Metazoa > Chordata > Mammalia > Primates > Hominidae > Homo > Homo sapiens. The sequence goes on from NC_000005.10 coordinate 45,968,134, forward strand.
AACTGCTTTCTGATGTGTGCATTTATCTCAGAGTTAAATATTTCTCTTGTTTGAGCAGTTTAAAACACTTTTTTTGTAGAATCTGTGAAGGGATATTTTTGAGCGTATTAAAGCTTATGTTGAAAAAAGAAATATCTTGGTATAAAAAGTAGAAAGAAAATTTTGATAAACTGCTTTGTGATGTGTGCATTCATCTCAAAGAGTTAAACCTTTCTTTTGATTGAGCAGTTTGGAAACACTCTTTTTGTAGAATCTGCAAAGGGATATTTGGGAGCACGCTAGGCCTATGGTAAAAAAGGAAACAACTTCAGATAAAAGCTAGAAAGAAGCTTTCTGAGAAATGCTTTGTGATATGTGCATTCATCTCACATTGTTAAACCTTTCTTGTGATTGAGCAGTTTGGAAACACTGTTTATGTAGAATCTGTGAAGGGATATTTGGGAGAGCATTGAAGCCTATGATGAAAAAGGAAATATCTTTGGATACAAATTAGAAACATGAACTTTGAGAAACTGCTTTGTGATGTGTGCAGTCAACTCACAGAGTTAAAACTTTCTTTTGATTGATGAGTCTGGAAACACTGTTTTTTTAGAATTTGTGAAGGGATATTTGGGAGCTCATGAGGTTTATGGTGAAAAAGTTAAGACTTTCCTTTCATTTAGCAGTTTGGAAACTCTGTTTTTGTAGAATCTGTGAAGGGATATTTGTGAACACACAGAGGCCTATGGTTGAAAAGGAAATATCTTCAGATAAAAACTAGACAGAAATATCTTCTGATACATTATGAGAAACTGCTTTCTGATGTGTGCGTTCATCTCACAGAGTTAAAACTTTCTCTGGATTGGTTATATTGGAAGCACTGTTTTTGTAGAAACTGTGAAAGGATATTTGGAGTACATGAGGCCTGTGGTGAAAAAGGAAATAATATCATATAAAAACTAAATGGAAGCTTTTTGAAAAACCATTTTGTGATGTGTGCATTTTTATCACAGATTTAAAATTTTCTTTTTATTTAGCAGTTTGGTAACACTGTTTTTGTAGAATCCGCAAAGAGATATTTGGGAGCCCACTGATGCCTACAGTAAAAATGGAAATATCTTCAGAAAAAAAAACTAGAAAGAAGCTCTTTGAGAAACTGATTCCTGATGGATGCATTCACTTCACAGAAAAAAACTTTTCTTTTGACTGAGCAGTTTAGAAACACTGTTTTTGTATAATCTGTGAAGTGGTGTTGTAGCACAAAAAAGCCTATGGAGTACAAGGAAATAACTTCAGATTTAAACTGGAAAGAAGTGTTATGAGAAGCTGGTAATTGATGTGTGCATTCATCTCACAAAGTTAAGTCCTCCTTTTGATGGAACTGTTCTGAAACACTGTTTTTATAGCATCTGCGAAGGGATGTTTGTGAGTGCATTGAGGCCTAAGGTGCAAAAGGAAATATCTTCAGAGAAGAATTAGACAGAAGCTATTTGAGAAACTGCTTTGTGATGTGTGCATTTATCTCACAGAGTTAAACGTTTCTTTTGATGGAGCAGTTAGGAAACACTGTTTTTGTAGAATCTGTGATGGGATATTTGGGAGCACATTGAAGTCTATGATGATAAAGAAAATATCTTCGGATAAAAACTAGAAAGAAGCTTTTTGAGAAACTGTTTGTGATGTGTGCATTCAACTCGCAGAGTTAAACCTGTTTTTTGATTGAGCAGTTTGAAAACACCAGTTTTTGTAGAATGTGCAACAGGATATTTGGGTGCACATTGAAGACTATGGTGATAAAGGAAATATCCTCAGATAAAAACTAGAGAGAAGCTTTTTGAGAAACTGCTTTGTGATGAGTACCTTCATCTCAGTGAGTTAAACTTTTCTTTTGACTGAGCAGTTTGGAAACACTGTTTTTGAAAAATCTGCAAAGTGATATTAGGTAGCACAAAAAAGCCTATGTTGAAAAAGGAAATATCTTCAGATAAAAACTGTAAAGAAGCGTTATGAGAAAATGTTTTCTGATGTGTGCATTCATCTCAAAGGGTTAAGTCCTTCTTTTGATGGAAGAGTTGGAAACACCGTTTTTGTAGAATCTGTGCAGTGATATTTGGGAGCACACTGAGGCCTATGGTGGAAAGGATGTATCTTCAGAGAAAAACTAGACAGAAGCTTTCTGAGAAACTGCTTTGTGAAGGGTCCATTGAGGTAAGAGAGATAAACCTTTCTTTTGATTGAACAGTTTGGAAAAACAGTTTTTGTGGACTCTGGAAAGGGATGTTTGCAAGTGCATTGAAGCGTAAGGTAAAGAAGGAAATAGCTTCTGATAAAAACTATAAAGAAGCCATTCTAACTGGTGTGAGATGGCTTCTTTATAGTTTTTATGAGAAGTTATCACCTTCTTTACCTTAGGCTTCAATGCACTTGCAAACATCCCTTTGCAGATTCCACAAAAACTGTTTTTCCAAACTGGAAGTCAGTGTGGCGATTCCTCAGGGATCTAGAATGAGAAATACCGTTTGACCCAGCCATCCCATTACTGGGTATATACCCAAAGGACTATAAATCATGCTGCTATAAAGATACATACACACGTATATTTATTGTGGCACTATTCACAATAGCAAAGACTTGGAACCAACCCAAATGTCCAACAATGATAGACTGGATTAAGAAAATGTGGCACATATACACCATGGAATACTATGCAGCCATACAAAATGATGAGTTCATGTCCTTTGTAGGGAAATGGATGAAATTGGAAATCATCATTCTCAGTAAACTATCGCAAGGACAAAAAACCAAACACCACATGTTCTCACTCGTAGATGGGAATTAAGCAACGAGAACACATGGACACAGGAAGGGGAACGTCACACTCTGGGGACTGTTGTGTGGTGGGGGGAGGGATAGCATTAGGAGATATACCTAATGCTAAATGATGAGTTAATGGGTGCAGCCCACCAACATGGCACATGTATACATATGTAACTAACCTGAACGTTGTGCACTTGTACCCTAAATCTTAAAGTATAATCATTAAAAAAAAAACTATAAAGAAGCTTTCTGATTAACTGCTTTGTGATGTGCTTGTTCAACTCACCGAGTGAAACCCATTTTTTGATTGAGCAGTTTGGAAACACTGCTTTTGTTGAATCTGTGACAGGATATCTGGGAGCACATTGAGGTCTAAGGTGATAAAGGAAATATCTTCGGATAAAAACTAGAAAGAAGATTTTTGAGAAACCGCTTGTGATGTGTGCATTCATCTCACAGTGCTAAACATTACTTTTGATTGATCACTTTGGAAACACTGTTTTGTAGAATCTGTGAAGGGATATTTGGGAACACAGGAGACCTACAGTGAAACAGGAAATAATTCCAGATAAACACTAGACAGAAGCTTTCTGAGAAACTGATATGTGATGTGGGCACTCTTCTCACAGAGGTAAATGTTTCTTTTGATTGAGCATTATGGAAACACTGTTTTTGTAGAATCTCCAAAGGGATATTTGGGAATGCACTGATGCCTATGGTGAAAAATGAAGAATCTCCAGATAAGAACTAGAAAGAATATTTTTGAGAATCTGCTTTGTGATGTGTGCATTCATCACACAGAGCTAAACCTTTCTTTTGATAGAGCAGTTTGGAAACACAGTTTTTGTAGAATGTGTGAAGGGATATTTGGGAGCACACAGATACCTGTGGTGAAAAAGGAAATATCTTGTGATAAAAACTGGAAGGAAGGATTTTGAGAAACTCCTCTGTGATGTTTGCATTCATCTCACAGAGGTAAACCTGTTTTTCACTGAGCAGTTTGGAAACAGTTTTTGCAGAAACTGCAGAGGGATGTTTGGGAGCACACTAATGCCTTTGGTGAAAAAGGAAATATCTTGTGATAAAAACGGGAAGGAAACATTTTGAGAAACTGCTTTTTGATGTATGCATTCATCTCAAAGAGGTAAACCTTTCTTTTTACTGAGCAGTTGGGAAACATTGTTTCTGTAGAATCTCCGAAGTGATGTTAGGTACCACAAAAAGCCCTATGGTGAACAAGGAAATTTATTCTGATAAAAACTGGAAAGAAACGTTATGAGAAAGTGCTTTCTGATGTGAGTATTCATCTCACAGAGTTAAATCCTTCTAATGGAACTGTTCAAAAACATTGTTTTTATGGACTCTGTGAAGGGACATTTTGGATCACATTGAGGTCTACGGTGGAAAAGGAAGAATCTTCAGAGAAGAGCTAGATGGAAGCAATCTGAGAAACTGCTTTGTGCTTTGTGCATTTATCTCACAGACTTAAACCTTTCTTTTGATTGAGTAGTTTGGAAACACTGTTTTTGTATAATCTGCAAAGGTATATTTCAGAGTGCACTGAAGTCTATGGTGAAAAAGGGAATATCTTCAGAAAGAAACTAAAAAGAATCTTTTTGAGAAACTGCTGTGTGATGTTTGCATTCACCTCACCGAAGTAAACTTGTCTTTGGATTGAGCAGTTTGGTAACACTGTTTTTGTAGAATCTGCGCTGGAACATTTGGGAGCACATTGAAGCCTGTGGTAATAAAGGAAGCATCTTCAGATAAAAACTAGAGAGAAGCTATTTCAGAAATTGCTTTGTTACGTGTGCATTCATCACTCAGAGTTAAAACTTTCTTTGACTGATCTGTTTGGCATCACTGTTTTTTTTTATATCCATACACATGGGCGATAAGTTTATTTCCAGTGTTAACTGATTTCTCAAATATTGTAGTAGTGATATCTTTCTAAAATTTCTTTTTTTTGTATTTACTGTTCTTTTTTTAAATTTTATTGTATTATTATTATACTTTAAGTCTTAGGGTACATGTGCACAATGTGCAGGTTAGTTACATATGTATACATGTGCCATGCTGGTGTGCTGCACCCATTAACTCGTCATTTAACATTACGTATATCTCCTGATGCTATCCCTCCCCCGACCCCCCACCCCACAACAGTCTCCAGAGTGTGACGTTCGCCTTCCTGTGTCCATGTGTTCTCATTTTTCAATTCCCACCTATGAGTGAGAACATGAGGTGTTTGGTTTTTTGTCCTTGTGATAGTTTATTAAGAATGATGATTTCCAATTTCATCCATGCCCCTATAAAGGACATGAACTCGTCATTTTGTATGGCTGCATAGTATTCCATGGTGTATATGTGCCACATTTTCTTAATCCAGTCTATCATTGTTGGACATTTGGATTGCTTCCAATTCTTTGCTATTGTGAATAGTGCTGCAATAAACATACATGTGCATGTATCTTTATAGTAACATGATTTATAGTCCTTTGGGTATATACCCAGTAATGGGATGGCTGGGTCAAATGGTATTTCTAGTTCTAGATCCCTGAGGAATTGCCACACTGTCTTCCACAATGGTTGAACTAGTTTACAGTCCCACCAACAGTGTAAAAGTGTTCCTATTTCTCCACATCCTCTCCAACACCTGTTGCTTCCTGACTTTTTAATGACTGCCATTCTAACTGATGTGAGATGCTATCTCATTGTGCTTTTGATTTGCATTTCTGTGATGGCCAATGATGATGAGCGTTTTTTCATGTGTCTTTTGGCTGCATAAATGTCTTCTTTTGAGAAGTGTCTGTTCATGTCCTTCACCCACTTTTTGATGGGGTTGTTTGTTTTTTTCTTGTAAATTTGTTTGAGTTCATTGTAGGTTCTTGATATTAGCCCTTTGTCAGTTAAGTAGGTTGTGAAAATTTTCTCCCATTTTGTGGGTTGCCTGTTCACTCTGATGGTAGTTTCTTTTGCTGTGCAGAAGCTCTTTAGTTTAAGTCTTTTTTTTTTTGATGGAACAGTTTGGAAACAATGTTTTTGTAGAATCTGCGAAGGGATATTTTGGAGCACATTGAGGCCTGTGGTGAAAAAGGAAATATCTTCAGATCAAAACTAGAAACAAGCTTTCTGAGAAACTGCTTTGTGATTTGTGCATTCGTCACACAGAATTAAACTTTTCTTTTGATTTATGAGTTTGGAAACACTGTTTATGTAGCATCTGCAAAGGGATACTGGGGAGCCCATGAGGCCTATGGTGAAAAACGAAATAACTTCAGATAAAAACTAGAAATAAACTTTCTGAGAAACTGCTTTGTGAATTGTGCAGTCTTCTCACAAAGTTAAACCTGTTTTTTCATGAGCAGTTTGGAAACACTGTTTTTGTAGAATCTACAAGGGGATATTTGGGAGTGCACTAATGCCTATGGTAAAAAAGGAAATATCTTTGGATAAAAACTAGGTAGAATCTTTTTGAGAGACTGCTTTGTGATGTATGCATTCATTTCACAGAGTTAAACTTTTCTTTTGACTGAGCAGTTTGTAAACAGTCTTTTTGTATAATCCACTAAGCAATGTTAGGTAGCATAAAAAGGCCTATGGTGAAAAAGTTAATATCTTCAGATAAAAACTGGAAAGAAGCATTAGGAGAAAATGTTTTCTGATGTGTGCATTAATCTCTCAGAGTTAAATCCTTCTATTGATGGATCAGTTCAGAGACACTGTTTTTATAGAATCTGCAAAGTGATATATGGGATCGCATTGAGGCCTATGGTGGAAAAGGAAATATCTTCAGAGAGGAACTAGACAGAAGCTATCTGATAAGCTGCTTTGTGATGTGTGCATTCATCTTTCCGAGTTAAAACTTTCTTTCAGTTGAGCAGTTTGGAAAAAGATTTTTTGTAGAATCTGCAACAGGATATTTAGGAACGCATTGAAGCCTATGGTGATAAATGAAATATCTTCAGAAAAAAACTAGAAATAATCTTTTTGAGAAACTGCTTTGTCAAGTGAGCATTCATCTGACAGAGTCAAACCTTTTTTTGATGGACCAGTTTGGAAATACTTTTTTTGCAAAATCTGCAAAGTGATATTAGGTAGTGCAGAAAGCCTATGGTGAACAAGGAAGTTACTTAAGATAAAAACTGGAAAGAAGCGTTAGGAGAAACTCTCTCTGATGTGTACATTCATCTCACAGTGTTAAGTCCTTCTTTTGATGGAACAGTTTGTAAACACTGGTTTTGAAGATTCTGCAAAGGGAAACTTGGTAGTGCACTGAGTCCTAAGTTGAAAAAGGAAATTTCTTTGCATAAACACTGGAAAGAAACATTTTGAGAAAATGCTTTGTGATGTGTGCATTCAACTCACAGAGTTAAACCTGTTTTTTGGTTGAGCAGTTTGGAAACGCTGCTTTTGTAGCATCTTATATGCGATATTTGAAAACTCAGGCCATTAGGCCTATGGTGAAAAACGAAATATCTCCATATAAAAACTAGAAAGAAGCTCTTTGAGAAACTGCTTTGTGATGTATGCATTCATCTTAAAAAGCTGAACTTTTCTTTTGACTCAGCAGTTTGGAGACACTGTTTTTGCAAATTCTGAGAAGCGATATTTTGTAGCGCAAGAAAAGTCTATGGTGAACAAGGAAATATCCACAGATAAATACTGGAAAGAAGCATTATGAAAAACTACTTTCTGATGTGTGTGTCTATCTCACTGAGTTAAGTCCTTCTTTTGATAAAACAGCTTGGAAACTCTACTTTTGTAGAATCTGTTAAGGGATATTTGAGAGCGCTTTGAGGTCTATGGTGGAAAAGGAAGTATCTTTAATTAAGAACAAGAAAGAAGCTTTCTTTGAAATTGCCTTGTGATGTGTGCATTCATCTCACAGAGTTAAACTTTTCTTTTGATTGAGCAGTTTGGAAACACTCTTTTTGTAGAATCTGTGAAGGGATATTTGTGAGCACAGGAGGCCTATGGTGGAAAAGTAAACAACTTCAGATAAAAACTACAAAGAAGCTTTCTGAGAAACCGCTTTGTGATGTGCACATTCTTCTCACAGAGATAAATATTTATTTTGATTTAGCAGTTTGCAAACACTGTTTTTGTAGAATCTGCAAAGGGATATTTGGGAGTGCACCGATGCTTATTGTGAAAAAAGAAATATCTTCAGATAAAAACCAGAAAGAAGCTTTCTGAGAAACGGTTTTGAGATGTGTTCACTCTTCTCACAGAGTTAAATCTGTTTTTTGATTGAGCAGTTTGGAAACCCTGTTTTTGTAGAATCTGCAAATGTATATTTGGGAGCTCCCTGAGGTCTAGGTGAAAAAGGAAATACCTTCCGGAAAAAACTAAAAAGATGCTGTTTGGGAAACTGCTTCATTAAGTATGCATTCATCTCACAGATTTAAACCTTTCTTTTGACTGAGCAGTTTTGAAACACTGTTTTTGCCAAATCTGCAGAGCGATATTTGGTAGTGCAAAGAGCCTATGGTGAACAAGGAAATATCTTCAGATAAAAACTGGAAAGAACTGTTATGGGAAACTGCTTTCTGATGCGTGCATACATCTCACAGAGTTAAGTCTTCTTTTGATGGAACAGTTAGGAACCACTGTTTTTATAGAATCTGTGAAGGGATATTTTGGAGTTCAATGAGGCCTATGGTAGAAAAGGAAATATCTTCAGATTAAAACTGGAAAGAAGTGTTATGAGAAACTGTTTTCAGATGTGTGTGTTCATCTCACAGAGTTGTCCTTCTTTTGATGGAACAGTTTGGAAACTCTGTTTTTGTAGAACCTGCGAAGGGATATTTGGGAGTGCATTGAAGCCAATGGTGGAAAAGGAAATATCTTCAGAGAAGAACTAGACAGAAGCTTTCTACGAAACTGCTTTGTGATGTTTGCATTCATCTCACTGTGTTAAACCTTTCTTTTGATTGATCAGTTTGGAAACACTCTTTCTGTAGAATCTGCAAAGAGATATTCAGGAGCACATTGAAGCCTATAGTGAAAAAGGATAAACAGTAGAAAGAAGCTCTTTGTGAAAGTCCTTTGCAATGTGTGCACTGAGTTAAAACATTCTTTTGACTGATCAGTTTGGAAACACTGCTTTTGTAGAATTTTTGAAAGGATATGTGGGAGCACATGAGATCTACAATGAGAAAGGAAATAACTTCAGATAAAGTCTAGAAAGAAGCTTTCTGAGAGACTGCTTTGTAATGTGTGCATTCTTCTCACAGAGTTAAAAAATCTTTTTGATTGATCAGTTTGGAAACACTGTTTTTGTAGAAGCTGCAAGGGGATATTTGGGAGAGCACTGGTGCCTATGGTGAAAAAGAAAATGTCTTCGGACAAAAATTAGTAAGAAGCTTTTTGAGAAACTACTTTGTCATGTACGCATTCATCTCTTGGAGTTCAAATTTTCTTTTGATTGAGCACTTTGGGAAAACTGTTTTTTTTTTTTTTTTTTTAATGCCTGATTTGTTTATTTACTTAGAACTCATAATAGTTATTCACATTTCAGCCTGATTTAAGCATTATTATTATTTTTTTTCTTTCTTTTTTTTTTTTTATTATACTCTAAGTTTTAGGGTACATGTGCACATTGTGCAGGTTAGTTACATATGTATACATGTGCCATGCTGGTGCGCTGCACCCACTAATGTGTCATCTAGCATTAGGTATATCTCCCAATGCTATCCCTCCCCCCTCCCCCGACCCCACCCCAGTCCCCAGAGTGTGATATTCCCCTTCCTGTGTCCATGTGATCTCATTGTTCAATTCCCACCTATGAGTGAGAATATGCAGTGTTTGGTTTTTTGTTCTTGCGATAGTTTACTGAGAATGATGGTTTCCAATTTCATCCATGTCCCTACAAAGGATATGAACTCATCATTTTTTATGGCTGCATAGTATTCCATGGTGTATATGTGCCACATTTTCTTAATCCAGTCTATCATTGTTGGACATTTGGGTTGGTTCCAAGTCTCTGCTATTGTGAATAGTGCCGCAATAAACATACGTGTGCATGTGTCTTTATAGCAGCATGAGCTTCTGCACAGCAAAAGAAACTACCATCAGAGTGAACAGGCAACCTACAACATGGGAGAAAATTTTCGCAACCTACTCATCTGACAAAGGGCTAATATCCAGAATCTACAATGAACTCAAACAAATTTACAAGAAAAAAACAAACAACCCCATCAAAAAGTGGGCGAAGGACATGAACAGACACTTCTCAAAAGAAGACATTTATGCAGCCAAAAAACACATGAAGAAATGCTCATCATCACTGGCCATCAGAGAAATGCAAATCAAAACCACTATGAGATATCATCTCACACCAGTTAGAATGGCAATCATTAAAAAGTCAGGAAACAACAGGTGCTGGAGAGGATGCGGAGAAATAGGAACACTTTTACACTGTTGGTGGGACTGTAAACTAGTTCAACCATTGTGGAAGTCAGTGTGGCGATTCCTCAGGGATCTAGAACTAGAAATACCATTTGACCCAGCCATCCCATTACTGGGAAAACTGTTTTTATAAAATCTGTGAAGCAATGTTTGGTAGCTTAAAAAGGCCTGTGGTGAACAAGGAAATATCTTCAGATAAAAACTGCAATTAAGAAGTATGGGGAACTGCTTTCTGATGTGTGTTCATCTCACAGACTTAAGTACTTCTTTGGTGTAACAGTTTGTAAACATTATAAGAAATAGAACCCACGAAGGGATATTTTAGAGTGCATTGAGCCCTATGGTGGAACAGGAAATATCTTCAGAGAAGAAATAGACAGAAGCTATCTGATAAACTGATATCTGATGTGTGCATTCATCTCACAGAGTTAAAGCTTTCTTTTCGTTGAACAGTTTAGGAACACTGTTTTTGTAGAATCTGCAAAGGTATATTTGGGAACGCCCTGAAGTCGATGGTGAAAAAGGAAATATCTTTGCGTAAAAACTACAAAGAAGCTTTTTGAGAAACTGTTTTGTGATATGTGCATTCAACTCACAGAGTTAAACTTGTTTTTTGATTGGTCAGTTTGGAAACAGTTTTTGTAGAATCTGCAACGGTATATTTGGGATATTTGCGTTGAAGTCTATGGTGGTAAATGATATATCTTTGGATAAAAACTACAAAGAAGATATTAAGAAACTGCTTTGTGATGTGTGTATTCATCTCCCTGAGTTAAATATTTCTTTTGACTGAGCAGTTTTGAAACACTGTTTTTGCAAAATCTGCGAAGTGATATTATGTCACACAAAAAACCTATGGTGAAAAAGAAAATATTTTCAGATAAAAACAGGAAAGAAGTGGTATGAGAAACTGGTTTCTGATGTGTGCATTCTATTCAGAGATTTAAGACCTTCTTTTATGGAACAGTTTGGAAACACCGTTTTTGTAGTATCTGCGAAGGGATATATGGGAGCACATTGAAGCCAATGGTGGAAAAGGAAATAACTACAGAGAAGAATTAGATAGAAGCATTCCGACGAAATGCTTTGTGATGTGTGCATTCATCTCACAGAGTTATACCTTCCTTTTGATTGAGCAGTTTGGAAACACTGTTTTTGGAGAATCTGTGAAGGGATATTTGGGAGTGCACTAGGCCTATGGTGAAAAAGGAAATAACTTCAGATAAAAACTACAAAGAAGATTTCTGAGAAACCGCTTTCTGATGTGTGCCTTCTCACAGAGTTAAACGTTTATTTTGATTGAGCAGTTTGGAAACACTGTTTTTGTAGAATCTGCAAAGGGATTTTTTTTTCAATGGTTTTTCAATATATTTTTTATTTTATTTTATTATTATTATACTTTAAGTTTTAGGATACATGTGCACAATGTGCAGGTTTGTTACATATGTATACATGTGCCATGTTGCTGTGCTGTACCCATTAACTCATCATTAAGCATTCGGTATCTCCTAATGCTATCGCTGCCCCTTCCCCCCACCCCACAATGGACTCTGGTGTGTGATTTTCCCCTTCCTGTGTCCATGTGTTCTCATTCTTCAATTCCCACCTACGAGTAACAACATGTGGTGTTTGGTTTTTTGTCCTTGCTATAGTTTGCTGAGAAAGATGGTTTCCATTTTCATCCATGTCCCTACAAAGGACATGAACTCATCATTTTTTATGGCTACATAGTATTCCATAGTGTATATGTGCCACATTTTCTTAATCCAGTCTATCGTTGTTGGACATTTAGGTTGGTTCCCAGTCTTTGCTATTGTGAATAGTGCCACTCTAAACATATGTGTGCATGTGTCTTTATAGCAGCATGATTTATACTCCTTTGAGTATATACTCAGTAATGGGATGGCTGGGTCAAATGGTATTTCTAGTTCTAGATCCCTGAGGAATTGCTACACTGACTTGCACAATGATTGAACTAGTTTACAGTCCCACCAACAGTGTAAAAGTGTTCCTATTTCTCCACATCCTCTCCAGCACCTGTTTTTTCCTGACTTTTTATTGATCGCCATTCTAACTGGTGTGAGATGGTATCTCATTGTGGTTTTGATTTGCATTTCTCTGATGGCCAGTGATGATGAGCATTTTTTCATGTGTTTTTTGGCTGCATAAATGTCTTCTTTTGAGAAGTGTCTGTTCATATCCTTTTCCCACTTGTTGATGGCTTTGTTTGTTTTTTTTCTTGTAAATTTGTTTGAGTTCATTTTAGATTCTGGATATTAGCCCTTTGTCAGATGAGTAGGTTGTGAAAATTTTCTCCCATTCTGTAGATTGCCTGTTCACTCTGATGGTATTTTCTTTTGCTGTGCAGAAGCTCTTTAGTTTAATTAGATCCCATTTGTCAATTTTGGCTTTTGTTGCCATTGCTTTCGGTGTTTCAGAAATGAAATCCTTGCTCATGCCTATGTCCTGAATAGTATTGCCTAGATTTTCTTCTAGGGTTTTCATGGTTTTAGGTATAACATGTAAGTCTTTAATCCATCTTGAATTAATTTTTGTATAAGGTGTAAGGAAAGGATCCAGTTTCAGCTTTCTACCTATGGCTAGCCTGTTTTCCCAGCACCATTTATTAAATAAGGAATCCTTTTGCCATTGCTTGTTTTTGTCAGATTTGTCAAAGATCAGATCGATAGGTGTAGATATGTGGCATTATTTCTGAGCACTCTGTTCTGTTCCATTGATCTATATCTCTGTTTTGGTACCAGTACCATGCTGTTTTGGTTAATGTAGGCTTGTAGTATAGTTTGAAGTCACGTAGCATGATGCCTCCAGCTTTGTTCTTTTGGCTTAGGATTGACTTGGCCATGCAGGCTCTTTTTTGGTTCCATATGAACTTTAAAGTAGTTTTTCCAATTCTGTGAAGAAAGTCATTGGTAGCTTGATGGGGATGGCATTGAATCTGTAAATTACCTTGGGCAGTGTGGCCATTTTCAAGATATTGATTCTTCCTACCCATGAGCATGGAATGTTCTTCCATTTGTTTGTATCCTCTTTTATTTCCTTGAGCAGTGGTTTGTAGTTCTCTTTGAAGAGGTCCTTCTACAGAATAGAGAAATTTTTTGCAACTGACTTATCTGACAAAGAGCTAATATCCATAATCTACAATGAACTCAAACAAATTTACAAGGAAAAAACAAACAACTCTATTAAAAAGTGGGCAAAGGATATGAACAGACACTTCTCAAAAGAAGACATTTATGCAGTCAAAAAACACAGGAAAAAATGCTCATCATCACTGGCCATCAGAGAAATGCAAATCAAAACAACAATGACATACCATCTCACATCAGTTAGAATGGTGATTATTAAAAACTCAGGAAACAACAGGTTCCAGAGAGGATGTGGAGAAATAGGAACACTTCTTTTACACTGTTGGTTGGACTCTAAGCTAGTTCTACCATTGCATAAGTCAGTGTGGTGATTCTTCGGGGATCTAGAACTAGAAATACCATTTGACCAACCCAGCCATCCCATTGCTGGGTATATACCCAAAGGACTATAAATTATGCTGCTATAAAGACACATGCACACATATGTTTATTGTGGCACTATTCACGATAACAAAGACTAGGAACTGACCCAAATGTCCGACAATAATAGACTGGATTAAGAAAATGTGGCACATATACATCATAGAATACTATGAAGCCATAAAAAATGATGAGTTCTTGTCCTTTGTAGGGAAATGGGTGAAGCTGGAAAACATCATTCTCAGCAAACTATCACAAGGAGATAAAACAAACATGGAATGTTCTCACTCATAGTTGGGAATTGAACAATGAGAACACATGGACACAAGAAGGGGAACATCACACACTGGGGACAGTTGTGGGGTGGGGTGAGGGGGGAGGGATAGCATTAGGAGATATACCTAATGCTAAATGACGAGTTAATGGGTGCAGCACACCAACATGGCACATGTATACATATGTCACAAACCTGCACGTTTTGCACATGTACACTAAAACTTAAACTATAATAATAATAATTTTTTTTTAAAAAAGAAACTTTTGAAGAATCTGCTTTGGGAGGTATGCATTCAACTCAAAGACTCAAAACTTTCCTTGGTTGAGTGGTTCGGAAACATTGTTTTTGTAAATTCTTCGAAGGGATATTTAGGAACCCACTGAGGCCTATATTGAAAAAGGCCTTCACATAAAAACTAGAAGGAAGCCTTCTGAGAAAGTGCTTCGTGATGTATGCCTTCATCTCACAAAGAGAAAATTTTATTTGATGGAGCTCTTTGGAAAAAAATATTTTTGTGGAATCTGCAAAGGCATATTTGGGAGCACATTGAGGTCTATGGTGAAAAAGGAAATATCTTCAGAGAAAAACTAGAAAGAAGCTTTCTGAGAACTGCTTTGTGTGGTGTGCATTCATCCCACAGAGGTAAACATTAAACCTATCTTTAGATGGAGCAGTTTAGAAAGACTGTTTTTGTAGAATCTGTGAAGAGATATTTGGGAGCACATTGAGGTCTTTGTGAAAACATGAAATATGCTGGGAGAAAACCAGAAATAAGTTTTCTGAGAAACTGAGTTGTAATGTGTGCATTAATCTCACAGAGTTAAATGTTTCTTTTGATGGAGCATTTTGGAAAAACTGTTGTTTTAGAATCTGTGAAGGGATATTTTGGAGTGCATTGAGGTCTATGGTGAAAAAGGAATATCTTCAGATAGTAACTAGAAAGAAGCTTCTTGGGAAACTGATTTGCAGTGTGTGCATTCATCTCAAAGAGTTAATCCATTCTTTTAATTGGGTAGTTTGGAAACATTGTTTTTGTAGAAACTGCATAGTGATATTAGCGAGTGCCTTGAGGCCTTTGGTGTAAAAGGAAATATCTTCAGAGAAAACCTAGAAAGTAGCTTTCTGAGAAACTGCTTTGTGTTGTCTGCGTTGCTCTCACGGAGTTAAACATTTCTATGGAAGGAGCAGGTTGGAAGCACTCCTATTTTAGAATCTTTGAAATGATATTTTTGGAGTGCATTCAGGTCTATGGTGAAAAAGGAAATAGTGTAAGAGAGAAAGCAGAAAGAGGTTTACTGTGAAACTACTTTGTGATATTTGCATTCATCTTACAGAGTGAAATTTTTGTTTTGAAGGAACAGTTTGGAAACACTGTTTTTGTTGGAAGTGAGAAAGGATATTCGTAAGCACATTAGGGCCTATGGTAAAAAAGTACATATCTTCAGATAAAAACTATAAATAATCTTTCTGAGAAACTGCTTTGTGACGTTTGCATTCATCTCAGAGAAGTAAAGCTTTCTTTTAATAACGTAGTTTGCAAACACTGTTTTCGTAGAATCTGTGAAGGTGTATGTTTTAACACTTTAAGACCTATGGTGGAAAAGGAAATATCTTCAGAGAAAAAATATAAAGAATCTTTCTGAGAAACTGCTTTATGATAAGTGCATTCATTTCACAGACTAAAGCTTTTCTTTTGGTTGCAATGTTTGGAAACATGGTTTTTGTAGAATTTGGGAAGGGATATTTGGGAGTGCATTGAGGGCTATGGTGAAAAAGGAAATATCTTCAGAGAAAAGCTAGAAAAAATCTTTCTAAGAAACTGCTTTGTGATTTGTGCATTCATCACACCAAGTTAAAACATTATTTTGATTGAGCTCTTTGGAAAAACTGTTTTTGTAGAATCTGTGAAGGGATATTTGGGAGCACCTTGAGGCTTGTGGTTAAAAGGAAATATCCTCAGGAAAAACTAGAAAGATGGTTTTGAGTAAATGCTTTGTGATGTGTGTATCTTTCTCACAGGGTTAAACCTTTCTTTTGATGGAGCAGTTTGAAAACACTGTTTTGTGGAATTGGCAAAGGGACATATGGTGAAAAATGAAATATCTTCAAAGAAAAACTGGAAAGAATCTTTCTGAGAAACTGGTTTGTGATGTGTGCATCCAACTCACAGAGTTAAACATTCCTTTTGATCAGCTGTTTGGCAACACTATTTTTTTAGAATCAGTGAAGGGACATTTCGAGTGCATTGAGGCTTATGGTGAAAATGGAAATATCTACAGAGAAAAAGTGAAGACAAGCTTTCTAAGAAACTGCTTGGTTATATGTGCATCCATCTCAGAGAGTTAACCCTTTCTTTTGATAGAGCAGTTTGGAAACACTGTTTTTGTAGGATCTGCAAAGGTATATTTGGGAGTGCACTGAGACCTATTGTGAAAAATTAAGTATCTTTGGTTAAAAAATAGAAAGAAACATTCTGAAAAACTGCTTTGTGATGTGTGCATTCATCTCAAAGAGTTAAACATTTGTTTTGATGGAGCAGTTTGGAAACACTGTTTTTGTAGAACCTGTGAAGGGATATTTGTCAGGGAATTGAGGCCAATGGTGAATAATGACATGTCTTAAGGGAGAAAATCAGAAAGAACTTTCTGAGAAACTGATTTGTGAAGTGTGCATTCAAGTCACGAAGTTAAATCTTTCTTTTGATGGAGCAGTTTGCAAACACTGTTTTTGTAGAATCTCCAAAGGGACATTTGGGAGCACCTTGAGGCCTATGGTGAAAAAGAAAATGCCTCAGATAAAGAATTCACAGAAGCTTTCTGAGAAACTGCTTTGCGATTTGTGCATTCATCTCACAGAGTTAAACGTTTCCTTTGATTCAGCAATTTGGAAACGCTGTTTTCGTAGAATCTGTGAAGGGATATTTGTGAGGTAATTGAGACCAATGGTGAAAAATGACATATCTTAAGAGAAAAACCAGAAAGAAGCTTTCTGAGAAACTGATTTGTGAAGTGCACATTCATGTCATGAAGTTAAACCTCTGTTTTGATAGAGCAGTTTGGAAACACTGTTTTTGTAGGATCTGCAAAGGTATATTTGGAGCGCACTGAGACCTATGGTGAAAAATTAAATATCTTTGGATAAAAAGTAGAAAGACGCTTTCTGAGAAACTGCTTTGTGATGTGTGCATTCATCTCAAAGAGTTAAACTTTTGTTTTGATGGAGGAGTTTGGAAACACCCTTTTTGTAGAATCTGTGAAGGGATATTTGTCAGGGAATTGAGGCCAATGGTGAAAAACCACATATCTTAAGGGAAAAGCCAGAAAGAACTTTCTGAGAAACTGATTTGTGAAGTGTACATTCAAGTCATGAAGTTAAATCTTTCTTTTTGTGGGGCAGTTTGGCAGCACTGTTTTTGTAGAATTTGCAAACGGGCATTTGAGAGCACATTGAGGTCTATGGTAAAAAAGAAATTATCTCAGATAAAGAATTCACAGAAGCTTGCTGAGAAACTGATTTGTGATTTGTGCATTCATCTCACAGAGTTAAACGTTTCCTTTGATTCAGCGATTTGGAAACACTGTTTTCGTAGAATCTGTGAAGGGATATTTGTGAGGGAATTGAGGCCAATGGTGTAAAACCACATATCTTAAGAGAAAAACCAGAAATAAGCTTTCTGAGAAACTGATTTCTGAAGTGCACATTCATGTCACAAATTTAAACCTCTGTTTTGATAGAGCAGTTTGGAAACACTGTTTTTGTAGGATCTGCAAAGGTATATTTGGAGCACACTGAGACCTATGGTGAAAAATTAGGTATCTTTGGATAAAAAGTAGAAAGAATCTTTCTGAGAAACTGCTTTGTGATGTGTGCATTCATCTCAAAGAGTTAAACTTTTGTTTTGATGGAAGAGTTTGGAAACACTCTTTTTGTAGAATCTGTGAAGGGGTATTTGTCAGGGAATTGAGGCCAATGGTGAAAAACCACATATCTTAAGGGAAAATCCAGAAAGAACTTTCTGAAAAACTGACTTGTGAAGTGCACATTCAAGTCATGAAGTTAAATCTTTCTTTTTATGGAGCAGTTTGGCAGCACTGTTTTTGTAGAATCTGCAAATGGGCATTTGAGAGCACATTGTGGCTTATGTTGAAAAAGAAATTATCTCAGATAAAAAATTCACAGAACCTTTATGAGAAACTGGTTTGTGATTTGTGCATTCATCTCACAGAGTTAAATATTTCCTTTGATTCAGCGGTTTAGAAACACTGTTTTTGTAGGTTCTGTGAAGGGATATTTGTGAGGGAATTGAGGCCAATGTTGAAAAACGACTTATCTTAAGAGAAAAACCAGAAAGAAGCTTTCTGAGAAACTGATTTGTGAAGTGTGCATTCATGTCACAAAGTTAAACTTTTCTTTTGATGGAGCAGTTTGGAAACACTGTTTTTGTAGAATCTGCAAAGGGACATTTGGGAACACATTGAGGCCTGTGGTAAAAAAGAAAATATCTCAGATAAAAAATTCACAGAAGTTTTCTGAGAAACTGCTTTGTGATGTGTGCTTTAATCTTACAGATTTGAACGTTTCTTTGATGGAGAGGTTTGGAAACACTGTTTTTGTAGAATCATCAAAGGGATATTTGGGAGTGCATTGAGGCCTATGTTCACCATATGGAAATATCTTCAGAGAAAAACTAGAAAGAAGCTTTCTGACAATCATCTGCTTTGGAATGTGTGCATTCATCTCCCTCTGTTACAGCTTCCTTTTGATTGAGCAGTTTGGAAACACTGTTTTTGTAGAATCTGCAAAGGGATATTTGGGATCACATTTAGGCTTTGGTGAAAAAGGAAATATCTTCAGGAAAAACTAGAATAAAACTTTCTGAGAAACTGCCTTTTGACTTGTGCATTCGTCTCACAGAGTTCAAATTTTCTTTTGATTTAGTAGTTTGGAAACACTGTTTTTGTGCAATCTGCAAAGGGATATGTGGGAGCACATTCAGGCCTATGGTGAAAAAAGAAATATCTTCACATAAAAACTATAAAGAAGCTTTCTGAGAAACTCCTTTGTGATGTGTGCATTCACCTAACAGACTCAAAACTTTCTTTTGATGGAGCAGTTTGGAAATACTGTTTTTGTAGTATATGTGAAGGCATGTTTGAGAGCACAAAGAGGTCTGTTCTGAAAAAGGAAATATCTGCAGAGAAAAACTAGAAAGAATCTTTCTGAGAAACTGACTTGTGTTGTGTGCATTCATCTAACTGACTGAAAACATTCTGTTGGTGTAGCAGTTTGGAACCACTGTTATTGCAGAATCTGCAAAAAGATACTTGGGAGCACTTTGAGGCCTATGGTGAAAAAGGAAATATCTTCAGACAAAAAGTAGGTGGAAGCTTTCTGAGAAACTGTTTTGTGATGTGGCCATTCATCTCACAGAGTTAAAACTTCGTTTTGACTTAGCAGCTGGAAACACTGTTTTTGCAGAATCTGCAAAGGGATATTTGGGAGCACTTTGAGGCCTGTGGCCAAAAAGGAAATATCTTTAGATAAAAACTAGAAAGAAGCTTTCTGAGAAACTGATTTGTGATGTGTGCATTCATCTCACAGTGTTAAACTTTTATTTTATGGGGCAGTTTGGAAACACAGTTTTTTAGCAATCTGTGAAGGGATATTTAGGAGTGCATTGAGGATTATTGTGGAAAAGGAACTATCTTAAGAGAACAACCAGAAAGAAGATTTCTGAGAAACTGATCTGTTATGTGTGCATTCATCTGAAAGAGGTAAACATTTCTTTAGAAGGAGTAGTTTGGAAATATGGCTTTTGTAGATTCTGTGAAAGGATATTTGGGAGATCATTGAAGCCTATGGTGGAAAAAGTTATATCTTCGGAGAAAAATTAGGAAGAAGCTTTGTGAGAAACTGCTTTCTGATGTGTGCGTTCATCTCACAGAGTTAAACCTTTCTTTTGATGGAGCAGTTTGGAAACGCAATTTTGTAGAATCTGCAAACTGATTTTTGGGAGCACATTGGGACCAGTGGTGAAAAAGAAAATATCTTCAGATAAAAAGTTCAATGGAGCTTTCTGAGAAACTGCTTTATGATATGTGCATTCATCTCACAGAGTTAAACCTTTCTTTTGATAGAGCTGTTTGGAATCACTGTTTTTGTAGAATCTGTGAAGGGATATTTGGGAGCACATTGAGGCCTATTGTCAAAAAGGAAATATATTTACATAAAACTAGAAAGAAGCTTTCTGAGAAAGTGCATTGTGATGTATGCATTCATCTCACAGAGTTAAAAATTATCTGATTGGAGCAGCATGGAAACAGTGTTTTTGTAGAATCTGCAAAAGGATGGTAGGGAGCACCTTGAGGCTTATGGTGTAAAAGCAAATATCTTAAGAGAAAAACTAGAAACTAGCTTTCTGGGAAACTACTTTGTGTTGTGTGCATTCGTCTCACAAAGGTAAACATTTTTTTCAATGGAGCAGTTTGGAAACACGTTTTTGTACAATCTGTGAAGGAATATTTGGGAGCAAATTGAGGCCTATGTTGAAAAATAAAATATCTTTAGCAAAAAGCTAGAAAGAAGCTTTCTGAGAAACTGCCTTGTGATTTGTGCATTTATCTCAAAGACTCAAACCTTTATTCTCTTAGCACAGTTTGGAAACATTGTTTTTGTAGAATCTGTGAAGGGGTATTTATTTGGGAGCACATTGAGGCATGTAGTGAAAAGGGAATTATCTTCAGAGAAAAACTAGAAAGAAGTTTCTGAGAAACTGTTTTCTGTTTTGTTCATTTATCTCACAGAGGTAAACTTTTGTTTGAGCAGCTTGGAAACACTGTTTTTGTGGAATATGCAAAGGAATATTTGGGAGCACATTGAGGAGTATGCTAGAAAAGTAAATATCTTCATAGAAAAACTGGAAAGAATGTTTCTGAGAAACTACTTTGTGTTGTGTCCATTCATCTCACAGAGTTTTACCTATCTTTTGATTGAGCAGTTTGGAATCACTATTTTTTTGGAATCTACGAAAGGATATTTTGGAGCACATTGAGGCCTATGGTGAAAAAGGAAATAACTTCAGAGAAAAACTAGAAGGAAGCTTAGTGAGAAGGTGCTATGTGATGTGTGCATTAATCTCCCTGAGTTAAACATTTCCTGTCATTCAGAAGTTTGGAAACACTGTTTTTGTAAAGTCTGCAAACGTGTATTTCCATGCAAACTGAGGCCTGTGATGAAAAAGGAAATATTTTCAGAGAAAAACTAGAAAGAAGTTTTCTGAGAAACTGCTTTGTGATGTGGGCATTCATCTCACAGAATTACACTTTTCTTTTGATGGAGCATTTTGGAAGCACTGGTTTTGTAGAATATGAGAAGGGATGTTTGGGAGTGCTTTGAGTCCAATGGTGAAAAAGGAAAAATCTTCGTAGATTCTGCGAAGGGATACTTTGGAGTGCAAGAAGGCATGTGGTGAAAAGAGAATTATGTTCAGAGAAAAAGTAGAATGAAGCTTTTTGAGAAACTGCTTTGTGATCTGTCCATTTGTCTCACAGAGTTAAAACTTTCCTTAGAAGGAGCAGTTTGAAAACGCTGTATTTGTAGAATCTGCAAAGCCATATTTGAGAGCTCTTTCAGACGAATGGTGAAAAGGGAAATATCCTCAGATAAAAACTAGACAGAAGTTTTCTGAAAAAATGATTTGTGATGTGTGCCTTCAACTAACAGAGTTAAACTTTTCTTTGATGGAGCATTTGCAATCACTGTTTTCGTAGAATCTGTGAAGGGATATTTGGGATTGCATTAAGGCCTGTGTGGAAAGTGAAATATTTTCAGAGAAAAACTAGAAAGAAGCTTTTGAAGAAATTGCTTTGTGATGTGTCCATTTATCTCACAGAGTTAAACCTTTCCTTTGAAGGAGCAGTTTGAAAACACTGCATTTGTAGAATATGAGAAGCCATAATTGGGAGCCCTTTAAGGAGTATGGTGAAAAGAGAAATACATTCAGATCAACACTACACAGAAGCTTTTTGAGAAACTGCTTTGTGATGTGAGCTTTCATCTCACAGTTAAACTTTTCTTTTGATGGAGTAGTTTGTAAACACTGTTTTTGTATTATCAGCAAAGGGATATTTGGGAGCGCATTGAGTCCTATGATGAAAAGGAAATTTGTTCAAAAATTGGGAGGAAACTTTCTGAGAAACTACTTTGTGATTTGTGCATTCATCTCACATAGTTAAAGCTTTCTTTTGATGGAGCAGTTTCTTAAATCTGTTTTTGTATCAACTGCAAACGGATAGTTCAGAGCACATTGAGGCCTATGGTGAAAATGGAAATATCTTTAGACGAAAACTAGAATGAAACTTCCTGAGAGACTTCTTTGTAATGAGTGCCTTCATCTCACTGAGTTAAACCTGTCTTTTGATGGAGCAGTTTGGAAACACTGTATTTGTAGAATCTGTGAAGGGATAATTTGGAGTGCATTGAGGCATATTGTGAAAAAGGAAATGTCTTTATAGAAAATCTACAAAGAAGCTTTCTGAGAAACAGCCTTGTGTAGTGTTTATTCATCTCACTGATTTAAACCTTTCTTTGATGGAGCAGTTTGGAATCACTGTTTTCATAGATTCCGTGAAGGGTTACTGTGGAGTGCAAGAAGCCATGTGGTGAAAAGAGAAATATGTTCAGAGAAAAAGTAGATTGAAGCTTTTTGAGAAACTGCTTTGTGATCTGTCCATTCATCTCACAGAGTTAAACCTTTCCTTTGAAGGAGCAGTTTGAAAACACTGTATTTGTGGAATCTGCAAAGCCATATTTGAGAGTGCTTTCAGGCCTATGGTGAAAAGGGAAATATCTTCAGATAAACACTACACAGAAACTTTCTGAGAAACTGTTTGTGATGAGTGCTTTCATCTCAGAGAGTTAAACCTTTCTTTTGATGGAGCCGTTTGAAATCACTGTTTTTGTAGAATTGGCGAAAGGATATTTCAGAGTGCTTTTATGCCTGTGGTGTAAAGAGAAATATCTTCAGAGAAAAACTAGAAAGTAGCTTTCTGAGAAACTGCTTTGTGATGTGTCCATTCATCTCACAGAGTTAAACCTTTCCTTTGAAGGAGCAGGTTGGAAACACTGTATTTGTAGAATCTGTGAAGGGATATTTGGGAGTGCTTTGAGGCCTATGTTGAAAATAAATATCTTCAGATAAATCTAGAAAGAAGCTTACTGAGAAATTACTTTGTGATGTGTGCATTCATCTCACAGAGGTAAACCTATATTTTGATGGAGCAGGTTGTAAAGACTGTTTTTGTATAATCTGCAAATGGA
Source organism: Homo sapiens (assembly GCF_000001405.40). Taxonomy (NCBI): domain Eukaryota; kingdom Metazoa; phylum Chordata; class Mammalia; order Primates; family Hominidae; genus Homo; species Homo sapiens. The sequence continues at coordinate 45,991,462 of NC_000005.10, forward strand.
TATTTGGGAGTATTTTGAGTCCTATGGTTAAAGGGAAATACGTTCAGAGAAAAACTAAAAAGAAACTTTCTGAGAAACTACTTTGTGATGTGCACATTCATCTCACAGAGTTAAGCCTCCCTTTTGATAGAGCTGTTTGTAAACCCTGTTTTTTGTATGAACTGCAAAGGGATATTTGGGAATGCATTGAGGCCTATGGTGAAAATGGAAATATCTTTTTTTTCTTTATGTTTTAGCGTACATGACCACAACATGCAGGTTTTTTACATATGTATACATGTGCCATGTTGGTGTTAAAACTTTCTTTTGATGGACCTGTTTGTAAAACCTGTTTTTGTATAAACTGGGAAGGGGTATTTTAGAGCACATTGAGGCCTAGGAGAAAATGGAAATATCTCGAGACAAAAACTAGAATGAATCTTTCTGAGAAACTGCTTTGTGTATTGAGCATTTATCTGACAGATTTACACTTTTCTTTTGTTCGAGGAGTTTGGAAACAGTGTATTTGTAGAATCTGCAAAGGGATATTTTGGAGCACTTTGAGGCCTATGGTGAAAAAAAATTATCTTCAGAGAAAAACTAGAAAGAAGCTTTCTGAGTAACTGCTTTGCGATGTGTGCATTCATCTCACAGAGTTAAACCTTTCCTTTGAAGGATGAGTTTGAAATCTCTGTATTTGTGGAATGTGAAAAGCCATATTTTGGAGTGCTTTCAGGCCTATGGTGAAAAGGGAAATATTTTCAGATAAACACTAGATGGAAGCTTTCTGAGAAACTGCTTCGTGATGTGTGTTTTCATCTCACAGAGTTATGCTTTTCTTATGATGGAGTAGTTTGTAAACACTGTTTTTCTGTGGTTGGCAAAGGGATATTTGGGAGTGCATTGAGTCTTATGGTGAAAAGAAAATATCTTCAGAGAAAAATTAGAAAGAAACTTTCTGAAAAACTACTTTGTGATGTGCGAATTCATCTCCCTGAGTTAAACCTTTCTTTTGATGGGGCAGTTTGTTAATCCCATTTTTGTATAAACTGTGAAGGGATATTTTGGAGCACATTGAGGCCTACGGTGAAAATGGAAATATCTTTAGACAAAAACTAGAATGAAGCTTTTGGAGAAACTGCTTTGTGATGTGTTCATTCATATCACATATTTCAACCTTTTTCTTCATAGAGCAGTTTGGAATCACTGTTTTTGTAAAATCTGCAAAGAGATATTTTGGAGTGCATTAAGTCCTGCAGTGAAAAGAGAAATATCTTCAGAGAAAAACTGGAGAGAAGCTTTCTGAGAAACTGCTTTGTGATGTGGGCATTCATCTCACAGAGTTAAACCTTTCCTTTCAAGGAGAATTTTGAAAACACTGTATTTGTGTAATCTGCAAAGCCATATTTGGGAGAACTTTCAGACCTATGGAGAAAAGGGAAATATCTTTAGATAAATACGAGACAGAAGATTTCTGAGAAACTGCCTTGTGATGTTTCCTTTCATCTCAAAGAGTTAAAACTTTCTTTTGATGGAGTAGTTTATAAACACTTTTTGTATAATTGGTGAAGGGACATATTGGAATGCATTGAGTCCTACAGTGTAAAGGAAATATCATTATATAAAAACTAGAAAGAAATTTTCTGAGAAAGAATTTTGTGATGTGTGCATTCACCTCACAGAGTTAACCCTGACTCTTGATGAAGCAGTTTGTTAAGCCTGTTTTTGTATAAATGATGAATAGCTATTTCGGAGCACATTGAGGCCTACGGTGAAAATGGAAATATCTTTAGACAAAAATTAGAATGAAGCTTTCTGAGAAGCTGCTTTGTGATGTGTGCATTCATCACACAAAGTTAAAGCTTCCTTTTGATGGAGCAGTCGGGAATCACTGTTTCTGTAGAATCTGCAAAGGGACATTTGGGAGCCAGTTAAGGCCTGTGGTGAAAAGAGAAATACCTTCAAAGAAAAACAAGAAAGAAGCTTTCAGAGAAAGTGCTTTGTGATGTGTCCATTCATCTCACAGAGCTAAAACTTTCTTTGAAGGAGCAGTTTGAAAAAACTGTATTTGTAGGAACTGCAAAGCCATATTTGGGAGCCCTTTCAGGCCTACGGAGAGAAGGGAAATATCTTCAGATAAAAACTAGACTGAGACTTTGTGAGAAACTGCTTTGTGATGTGTGTTTTCATCTCACACAGCTAAACCATTCTTTTTGGTGGAGCAGTTTGGAAACAGTTTTTGTAGAATCTGTGAAGGGATATTTTGGAGTGCATTGAGGCCTCTGCTGAAAAAAAATCTTCAGATAAATCTAGAAAGAAGCTTTCTGATAAACAACTTTGTGATGTGTGCATTCATCCCACAGATTTAAAACTTTCTTTGGATAGAGAAGTTTGTAAACACTGTTTCTGTATGATCAGTGAAGGGACAAATGGCACACATTAGTCATATGATGAAAAGGAAATATCTTCAGAGAAAAATGAGAAAGAAATTTTCTGAGAAAATACTTTGTGATGTATGCATTCAACTCACATAATTAAACCTTTCTTTTGATGGAGCAGTTTGTTAAGCCTGTTTTTGTATAAATGAAGAAGGAATATTTTGGAGAACATTGAGGCCTATGGTGAAAATGGAAATACCTATAGACAAAAACCAGAATGAAGCGTCTGAGAAACTGTGTTGTGATGTGTGCTTTCATTTCACTGAGATAAAACCTTACTTTTGATGGAACAGTTTGGACACACTGTACTTCTAGAATCTGTGAAGACATATTTGGGAATGCATTGAGGCTTAATGTGAAAAAAGGAAATATCTTCAGAGGAAAACTAGAAAGAAGCTTTCTGAGAAACTTCTTTGTGACATGTGTGCATTCTTCTCACAGAGATAAACACTTCTTTTGTTGGAGCAGTTGGGAATCACTCTTACTGTAGAATCCGTGAAGGGATATTTGTGAACACATTAAGCCTGGGGCGAAAAGAGAAATATCTTCAGAGGAAAATTATAAAGAAAACTTTCTGTGAAACTGCTTTGCAATGTGTCCATTCATCTCACAGAGTTAAACCTTTCCTTTGAAAGAGCAGTTTGAAAACACTGTATTTGTAGAATCTGCGAAGCCACATTTGGGAGTGCTTTCAGGCCTATGGTGAAAACAGAAATATCTTCAGATAAAAACTGGACAGAAGCTTTGTAAGAAACTGCTTTGTGATGTGTGCTTTCATCTCATAGAGTTTAACCTTTCTATAATCTTTTAAAGCTTTTGTATAATCTCTGAAGAGATATTCTGGAGCACTTTGAGGCCTATGGTGAAAAGAAATATTTTCAGATAAATCTAGAAAGAAGCTTTCTGAGATACTATTTTGTAATGTGCGCATTCATCTCACGGAATTAAAACTTTCTTTTGATGGAGCATTTTGTAAACAGTTTTAGTATAATCTGCAAATCAATATTTGGGAGTTCTTTGAGTCCCATGGTGAAAAGGAAATATCTCCAGAAAAAAACTAGAAAGAATCTTTCTGAGAAACGACTTTGTGATGTGTGCATTCATCTCACAGAGTTAAACCTTTCTTTTGATGGAGCTATTAGTAAAACCTGTTTTTGTACAAAATGCGATGGAATATTTCAGAGCACTATGAAGCCTATGGTGAAAGTGGAAATATCTCTAGACAAAAACTAGAATGAAGCTTTCCGAGAAACTGCTTTGTGATGTAAGCATTCATTTGACAGATTTAAACAACATTTTTAATGGAGCAGCTTGGAAACACTATTTGTGGAATCTGCAGAAGACTATTTGGGAGCACATTGAGGCCTATAGTGAAAAAGGAAATATCTCCAGAGAATAACTATAAAGAAGCTTCCTAGGAAACTGTGATGTTTGCATTGATCTCAAAGATTTAAACTTTTCTTTTGATGGAGCAATTTGGAATCACCGTTTTTGTAGAATCTGCAAAAGGGTATTTGGGAGCACATTAAGGCCTGTGGTGAAAAGGATATATCTTTGGAAAAAAACTAGAAAGAAACTTTCTGAAAAACTACCTTGTGATATTTGCATTCATCTCACAGAGTTAAACCTTTCCTTTGATGGAGCAGTTCGGAAACACTGTTTTTGTAGAATCTGCAAAATGATATTTGTGAGCATAAGGATAATTTTGAGCCCTTCGTGGACTATGTTGAAAAAGGAAATATCTTTGGATAAAAACTAGAGAGAAGCCTTCTGATAAACTCCTTTGTGATGTGTACATACTTCTCACACAGTTAAACCTTTCTTTTGATTGAGCAGTTTGCAAAGACTATTTTTGCAGAGTCTGCAAAGGTATATTTGGGAGTGCACCGAGGTTTATGGTGGAAAAGGAAATATCTTCAGAGAAAAACTAGACAGAATCTATCTGAGAAACTGCAATGTGATGGGTCTGTTCATCTCTGACGTATACGTTTCTTTTGAATGAGCAGTTTGCAAACACAGTTTTTGCAAAATCTGCAGAACAATATTCAGTAGTGCAAAATAGCCTATGGTGAACAAGAAAATATCTTAAGATAAAAACTGGTAAGAATTGTTATGAGAAACTGCGTTCTGATGTGCATTCATCTCAGAGAGTTAAGTCCTTCTTTTGTTGGAAGAGTTTGCAAACACTGTTTTTGTAGAATCCACAAAGGGATATTTAGGAGTGCATTGTGGCCTATGGTGAAAAACGAAATATCTTCAGATAAAAACTAGAAACAAGCTTTTGGGAAGCTGCATTGTGATGTGTGCATTCATCTGAGAGAGTTAAACCTTTGTTTTGACTGAGCAGTTTGGAAACACTGTTTCTGCAAAATTTGTGAAGCGATATTAAGAAGAGCAAAAAAGCCTATGTTGAAAAAGGAAATAATTTCAGATAAAAACTGGAAAGAACTGTTATGAGAAACTGCTTTCTCATGTGTGTATTCATCTCACAGAGTTAAGTCCTTCTTTTGATGGAACTGTTTGGAAACACTGTTTTTCTAGAATGTGCGAAGGGTTATTTGGGAGCCCATTTATGCATATGGTGGAAAAGGAAATATCTTCAGAGAAAAACTAGACAGAAGCATTCTGAGAAACTTCTTTGTGATGTGTGAATTCTTTTCACAGAGTTGAACCTTTCTTTTGATTGAGCACTTTGGAAACAGTATTTTTGTGGTATCCGTGAAGGGATATTTAGGAGCACATTGAAGCCTATGGTGAAAAGGGAAATATCTTAGGATAAAAACTAGAAAGAAGCTATTTGAGAAACTACTTTGTGATGTGTGCATTTATCTCACAGAGTTATACTATTCTTTTAATTGATCAGTTTGGATACACTGTTTTTTTAGGATCTGCAAAGGTATATTTGGTGAAAAAGGAAATGCCATCAGATAAAAACTAGAAAGAAGTTTTTGAGAAACTGCTTTGTGATGTAGGTGTTCAACTCACAGAGTTAAACCTGTTTTTTGATTGAGGAGTTTTGAAACAGTGTTTTGGTAGAATGTGCAAAGGGATATTTTTGAGCACATTGAGGCCTATGGTGGAAAAGGAAATATCTTCAGGGAAGAACTAGATAGAAAATATGTGAGAAAGTGCTTTGTGACATGTGCATTCATGTGACAGATTTAAAACTTTCTTTTGATTGAGCTGTTTGGAAACACTGTGTTTGTAGTATCAGCAAATGTATATTTGGGAGTACACCGAAGGCTGAGGTGAAAAAGGAAATATCTTCAAATAAAAAATAGAAAGAAGCTTTGAGAAACTGCTTTGTGATGTGTGCATTCAAGTCAGATAGTTAAAAGTGTTTTTTGATGAAGCCGTTTGTAAACACTGTTGTGGAATCTGTGATGGGATATTTGGCAGTGCATTGATGCCTATGGTGATAAAGGAAATATCTTTGGATAAAAACTACAAAGAAGCATTTTGAGAAACAGCTTTGTGATGTGTGTATTCCTTGCACAGAGATAAATATTTCTTTGGACTGAGCAGTTTGGAAACAGTGTTTTTGTATAATCGATGAAGTGATGTTAAGTAGTGCAAAAATGCCTATTTTGAACAAGGAAATATCTTCAGATTGAAGCTGGAAAGAAGCGTTATGAGAAACTGCTTTCTGATGTGTGCATTCATCTCACAAAGTTAAATCCTTCTTTTGATGGAACAGATAGGAAATACTGTTTTTATAGAATCTGTGAAGGGTTATTTGAGAATGCATTGAGGCATATGGTGGAAAAGGAAATATCTTCAGAGAACTAGACAGAATTTTTCTGAGAAGCTGCATTGTGAGATGTGCATTCAACTCACAGAGTTAAACCTGTTTTTTGATTGAGCAGCTTGGAAACACGGTTTTTGTAGAATCTTCGATGGGGTATTTTGGAGTGCTTTGAAGCCTATGGAGATAAAGGAAATAACTTCGGATAAAAACTAGAAAGAAGCTTTTTGAGAAACTGCTTCTGATAAAAAATAGAAAGAAGCTTTCTGAGAAACTGCTTTGTGATGTGTGCATTCAACTAACAGGGTTAGACCTGATTTTTGATTGAGCAGCTTGGTAACAATGTTTTTGTAGTACCTTCGATGGGATATTTGGGAGTGCTTTGAAGCCTATGGTGATAAAGGAAATAACCTTGGATAAAAACTAGAAAGAATATTATTGAGAAACTGCTCTTTGATGTGTGCATTCAACTCAGAGGGTTAAATCTTTCTTTTGACAGAGTAGTTTGGAAACAGTGCTTTTGCAAAATCTGGCAAACAATAACTGGTAGTGCAAAAAAGCTTATGGTGAACAAGGAAATGTCTTCAGATAAAAACTGGAAAGAAGAATTATGAGAAACTGCTTTCTGATGCATGCATTCATCCTACAGAGTTAAGTCATTTTTTTCACGGAACAGTTTGGTAACACTGTTTTTGTAGAATTTGTAAAGTGATATGTGGGGCTGCATTGATCCTCATGGTGGAAAAGGAAATATCTTCAGGGAAGAAGTAGACAGGAGCTTTCTGAGAAACTTCTTTGTGATTTGTGCATTCATCTCACAGAGTTACACCTTTCTTATGATTAAGCAGTTTGGAAACACTGATTTTGTAGAATCCATGAAGGGATACAAGGGAACACATTTACACCTATGGTGAAAAAGGAAATAACTTCGAATAAAAACTAGAAATAAGTTTTTTGAGAAACTTCTTTGAAATGCGACCATTCATCTCATGGAGTTAAACCTTTCTATTGATTGATTTGTTTGGAAACACTGTTTTTGTGGTATCTGCAAAGGGATACTTGTGAGCACATGAGGTCTATGGTGAAAAAGGAAATAACTTCAGATAAAAACTAGAAAGAAGCTTTCCGAGAAACTGCTTTGGGATGTGTGCATTCTTCTAAAAGAGTTAAACCTGTTTTTTGCTTGAGCAGTTTGGAAACAGTTTTTTGTACAATCTGCAGAGGGATATTTTGGAGCACACAGATGCCTATGGTGAAAAAGGAAATAACTTTGGATAAAAACTAGAAAGAACGTTTTTGAGAAACTGCTTTGTGATGTATGCATTCATCTCACAGAGTTAAACATTTCTTTTCACTGAGCAATTGGAAACACTCTTTGGTATTATCTGTGAAGCAATGTTATGTAGCCCACAATGGCCTATGGTGAACAAAGAAATGTCTTCAGATAAAAACTGGAAAGAAGCTTTATGAGAAACTGATTTCTGATGTGTGCCTTGATCTGACAGAGATAAATACTTCCTTTGATGGAACACTTCAGAAACACTGGCTTTATGAAAACTGTGAAGGGACATTTCAGAGCACATAGAGGCCTATGGTGGAAAACAAATATCTTCAGAGAAGAATTAGAGAGAAACTATCTGAGAAGCTGATTTGAGATGTGTGCATTCATCTCAGAGTTAAACCTTTCTTTTGATTGGGTAGTTTGGAAACACTGTTTTGTAGAATCTGCAAAGGGATATTTAGGAGCTCAGTGATGCCTATGATGAAAAATGAAATATCTCTGGATAAAAACTAGAAAGAAGCTCTTTGAGAAACTGCTTTGTGATGTTTGCATCCATCTCACAGAGTTCAGCTTTTCTTTTGACTGAACAGTTTGGAAACACTGTTTTGAATAAACTGTGAAGTGATGCTAGGTAGCGCAAAAATGCCTATGGTCAAAAAGGAAATATCTTCAGGTAAAAACTGGGAAGAAGTATTATGAGAAACTGCTTTGTTATCCTTGCGTTTATCTTACAGAGTTAAACCTTTCTTTTGGTTGAGCAGTTTGGAAACACCATTTTTGTAGAATCTGTGAAGAGATATTTGGGAGCACATTGAAACCTGGGGTGAAAAGGGATATATCTTCAGAGAAGAACTAGACAGAAGCTTTATGACAAACTTCTTTATGGGGTGTCTGTATTCATCTAACAGAGGTAAACCTTTCTTTCAATTGAGCAGTTTGGAAAGAGTTTTTTTAGAATCTGTAAAGGGATATTTGGGAGTGCATTGAAGCCTGGGGTGAAAAAGGCAATATCTTTGGATAAAAACTAGAAAGATGATTTTTGAGAAACTGCTCTGTGAAGTGTATGCTTAACTCACAGAGATAAACCTGTTTTTTGATTGAGTAGTTTGGAAACACTGTTTTTGTAGAATCTGCAACGGGATATTTGGGAGTGAAGGGGTGGGTTGGCCCTCCAAACATGTGGCTTTTTCTCATTAGGTGGAATGAGAGACTTGGAAAAGAAAGAGACACAGAGACAAAGTATAAAGGAAGAAAAAGGAGGCCCAGGAGACTGGCATTCAGCACACGGAGGATCCCCACTGGCCTCTGAGTTCCCTTAGTATTTATTGATCATTACTGTGTGTCTCTCTAAGAGGAGCATGTGGCAGGGTCATAGGATAATAGCGGAGAGAAGGTCAGCAGCTAAACACGTGAATAAAGTTCTCTGCATCATAAACAAGGTAAATAATTAAGTACTGTGTTTTAGATATGTATACACATAAACATCTCAATGCCTTAAAGAGCAGTATTGCTGCCCGCATGTCCCACCTCCAGCGCTAAGGTGGTTTTCCCCTATCTCAGTAGATGGAATATACAATTGGGTTTTATCCAGGGATGAGCAGGAGACAGATGCCTTCCTCTTGTCTCAACTGCAAAGAGGCATTCCTTCCTCTTTTCCTAATCCGCCTCAGCACAGAGCCTTTATGGGTGTCGGGCTGGTGGATGGTCAGGTCTTTCCATTCCCACGAGGCCATATCTCAGGCTATCACATGGGGAGAGACCTTGGACAATAACTGGCTTCCCTAGGCAGAGTTCCCTGTGGTCTTCCACAGTGTTTTGTGTCCCTGGGTACTTGTGATTAGGGAGTGGTGATGACTCTTAACAAGCTTGCTGCCTTCAAGCATTTGTTTAACAAAGCATACCTTGCACAGCCCTTAATCCATGTAACCCTGAGTTGACACAGCACATGTTTCAGGGAGCACATGATTGGGGGTAGGGTTACAGATTAACAGCATCTCAAGACAGAAGAATTTTTCTTAGTACAGAAAAAAATGGAGTCTCTTATGTCTACTTTCTATATAGACACATTAACAATCTGATCTCTCTTTCTTTTCCCCACATTTCTCCATTTTCTTTTCGACAAAACTGCCATCATCATCATGCCTCTTTCTCGATGGTCACTGTCTCCTCAGAGCTGTTGGGTACACCTGTAGACTAACAACAGACAAAGCAGGAACACAAGGATTAATATGAAATTTATAATCGTAGTACTTCTGATGGTCTTAACCCAAGTGACAGGGTTAAGATTTATGAGGCCATCAGCAACTCCTGCGATTGCCTCAGTCTCTGTTACCAAATTTAAATGGGCTTTTGATGCTTTGAAAATTTGTTAACTTAATTTGGAAATGTCTAAAGTGACATTATCTTCTATTCCCTGCAGATGGCTTCTAACCATGTCACACTGATACTCTGACTCATTATAAACGTGAGGTATGATACAAAAATCTGATGTATTCAAGTCACACTGTAACTGGAAATGATGTTCTGAGCTCATGAGCCTGTCTCCCATCCAAATGACGGTTTGTCTAAGATCATTAATTTGATTTGCCAATTTTTGATCAATACCAGATTGTGAATTCCACAATCCAGTAGATTTTTTTTTGCCAATCATTAACAAAGTTTACTGACTGAACAGAACAGTGCAATGCAACTCCTGCCACAGCAGCCATAGCTGTGACTGCAATTAATCCCATAATCACTGTAATTAAAGTAAAAATGAATCCTTTGGATCTATTTAAAATGTCTTTTAATACTTCAGTCAAAATATGGTTGGATAGCGAGGCCTCCCACGGTCGGTCCATGGATACAGGGATCCAAATGCCTTCTCTTGCTCTCACCAGCAGAATACAGTGCTGCCAATTAAAAGTTGAAACAATGCAAGTTAAACAATCTAAAATTTTCACAGGTTATAGTTTGAGAGTCTGGTTTAATAATTATATTTCCTACAACTAGCATATAAGGGGGCTTTACACAACTTTGTAAAGGAACTGTTAGACTGGAATTTAGGTCAATAGTATAAAATGGCTTACAGTCTCTGGTTTCTAAAGTTTGATTTCCAGACCAAATTCTAATGCAGTAAGAGGCTACAGTAAGCCTCCACAATTCTGAATATTCAGGACCAGAAACAGGACTTGTTATTTTTGGTCTTAGGGTAGAGATTACTTTTTCTCCCCATTTCCAAGGGTAGAAAGATTGTAATTTCTTATGCTTATGTTCGTCTAAACTTTTGGTTAAGTTGCTATCAACAGTTGGACTCACTTGTGCACTGGAACACGACTGAGTTTTTCCTGTGCAATTGTGGTAGAATTGACCTCGAGGTGCCCAATCTATAACAGTTCCGAATTCACTGTTTTGTAATATCACCGCACTATTGGCCACACATTCTTCCCAAAGTAAAACTTCTGTATTTTTTGATCCTTTGGGAATTTCCTTGGGGCAAGTTTCCCTTTAGGTCTAAATTTTAATGACCTTTGATAAGAAAAGTCTTGTAAATAATTTACCTGTGGCCTGAGTGTCATCCCACTTACCATGTTATAAGTGAATCTACTGACGAGACTGACAGTAGGTACTTCTCCCAACCAATTTTGGATTACACGCATTAAACATCCTGTTGCTCTCCCTAGGCAAATAGAAGGATAATGATACTCAGTGGAAATATTTATCATCATGCCTTCTTCCTCAGGTTTGGGAGGACAGCCATCATCTCTGGGGCCAGGTGCCCGTACTCTATCATTAACATATAATTGAATAGGATTAACCATCCATGTGACTGGTGTTTCCATCTCTGTGGAGGCACTTTTCTTTGCATCTCTGAAGGGTTCGCTGTAGAACTTCAAATGTCTAGTGGATATCCAAACAGGAAGCTGATTTTCTCCTGGTGAAACACAAGCAAAACCTCCCTCCCTCGTTATCACCTTCCATAATTTCTATGTCTTATTTTTATTATCTTTCCACCAAATCAGTTTTCCTTCAATTGGGCTGTTCTTTTTACCAGTAAGAAGTTGCTCTGCAGAAGTAGTAGTCTGATTTCTATAAATGTTTGAAAAATTTAAAGTATAGAGTGCTAGATTAAGTTGCATCTGAGGAGTGGTACACTCCTTACTCTCTCCCCCTTCTTTTTGTTTAACTATTTGAGTTTTGAGTGTTCTATTAGTTCTTTCAACTATGGCCTCTCATTGGGAATTATAGGGAATTACTGTTGTATGTGAAATTTTCCACTGATTTAAGAATTTTTGGGAAGCTTTAGTACAATATCCTCGTCCGTTGTCAGTTTTATTTTTTTCTGGAACTCCCATTACAGCAAAACAAGATAATAAATGTTTTTTAACATGGGAGGTACTTTCTCTTGTCTGGCAAGTTGCCCGTATGAAATGTGAATAAGTATCAACTGTTACATGAACATACGATAATCTTCCAAATGAAGGTACACAGGTAACATCCATTTGCATAATACATTAGGACACAGACCTCTGGGATTCACTCCTGCCTCTTGAGTGGGCAGGTGTAGGACTTGACACTGGGTGCAATGTTGTACAATATATTTTGCCTGTTTCCATGTGACATCAAATTTGTTTTCTAATGTTGCTGCATTTACATGAGTCAAAGCAAGAAGTTCTTGTGCTTTTATGAATGCAGATGATACCAGTAAGTCAGCTTGTTCATTTGCTTTAGTCAAAGGCCCTGGTAAATTAGTGTGTGTTGAATATGAGTAATATAAAATAGGAAATTTCTTTCTCTTACAGTTTGTTGTAATACATTGAATAGCTGGTTTAACTGATCATCCATGCTATGTTTGATTAAAGCTGTCTCAACATTCCTTGTAGCCTATACTACATATGAAGAATCTGATACAATATTGATAGGTTGATCAAAATCTTGTAACACTGTAATGACTGCAACCAACACTGCTCTTTGAGCTGATTTATATTGAGTTTTGATTACTCACTCTTTTGGCCCTGTGTAAGCCACTTTTCCATTGCTGGAACAATTAGTAAATACCATTAAAGGGTTTTCTAAAAGTTCATGTCTGGTAATTTTAGATAAAATCCAGGTAGTCAATTTTAAAAACTGGAAGATTTTTGTTTTTGGATAATGATTATCAATAATTCCCATAAAGTTAGCAAGACCAATCTGCCATGCACCATAATTGATAAAGCTTTGTCTAACTTGTTCCTTTGTTAAAGGGACAACTATTTTGTCTGAGTCATTTCCACAGAATTTTATTATTTATAATCTTGACTGACTAATTAATGTAGCTATTTGATCCAAGTACAATGTAAAGGTCTTAATTGTACTGTGAGGAAAGAATGACCACTCCACAAGATCAGTATTTTGGACAATGATGCCTGTTGGAGAATGTGCAGTAGCAAAAACCAAAAGTTGGAGTGGGGCTAAGGGATCTATTTATTTGTGCTGACTGAATTTTTTCTTCCACTAATTTAATTTCTTTTGTTGCCCCTGGGGTTAACATTCTCTTACTATTTAAATCTGAGTCTCCTCTTAAGGTAAAGAACAAATTCTGCATGGCATAATTAGGAATGCCTAGAGTTGGCTGAATCCAATTAATATCTCCTAGCAATTTTTGAAAATCATTTAGTGTTTTTAATGTGTCTTTTCTTATTTTGATTTTTTGTGACTTAATTTTTCTATTTTCTATCTGCATCCCTAAATAATGAAAAGGAGCAGAGGTTTGAATCTTATCAGATGCTATTGCCAGTCCTGCATTGGCAACCTCTGCTTGCAGAAATGTATTACAGTAAATCAATTTGTTTCTTGATTCTGCAGCACAGAAAATATCATCAACATAATGAATGATATAACAGTCTGAAAACTCACTGGTTGAAGAGCTCGACCTCCAAAGTCTGACAAATAGTTGGACTATTAAGCATTCCCTGAGGTAACACTTTCCACTGAAACCTGGTGGCCTGTTCTTTATTTTTTATGGCTGGTATAGTAAAGTCAAATTTTTCGCCATCCTGCTCTGCCAGAGGAATGGTAAAAAAGCAATCCTTTAGATCATTTATAATTAAAGGCCAGTCTTTTGGGATCATGACCGGAGAGGGCAATCCGGGTTGAAGAAGCCCCATAGGTTGAGTTACAGCATTTACAGTCCTTAAGTCAGTTAACACATACAATTTGTTGGATTTTTTTCTGAATTACAAACACAGGCGAATTCCAAGGCAAGAATGAAGGCTTGATATGTCCCTTTTCTAACTGTACATTTGCTAATAAATGCAAAGCCTCCAGTTTTTGTTTTGGTAGAGGCCACTGATTTACCCATACTGGTTTTTCTGTTTTCCAAGTTAATGGTATGGGTTTAGGAGGCTCTACACTGTCTGCAACTGAAAAGGATACCCTATTCCTTCTCTTTTTTGATTTCTTTTAGTCTCAATTGGGACTTTAATGCCATTTTCTTTTTTTTTTCTAGTCCCTTTCCTGGTATATATCCCAACTTAATCATGATTTTTTGACTCGTGGGGCTATATAATGGAGTGGGCATAGTGATTACTGCACCCTATTGTTGTAATAAACCTCAACCCTACAGATTAAGAGGAATCGAAGTAATCATTGGCTGAACAGTACTTTCTTGATTATCTGGCCCTAAACAGTGTCAAATCTCAGTACTTTGATACACTTCCAAGAGTGTGCCTATGCCGACAGCTCCTCTAACAGCCTTTTGTTTAGGCCAATTTTTTGGACACTGATTTAAAGCAATGATAGAGACATCTGCTCCAGTGTCTACTAACCCTTCAAAATGTTTTCCTTGAATAATGGCCTTACACACAGGTCTGTTCTCTGAGACCTGACTTGCCCAATATGCAGTCTTTCCTGTCAGATCAATGCTTCCAAACCCTCCTGTTCTTCTTATCTCACTATTTCCAACCTTAATATGAGGCAGCAGTAATAATCGAGCAATCCTGTCTCCTGGACTGGCACTCCAAGGAATTGAAGAGCTAGTATCCAATTAAATTTTGCCTTTATAGTATGAATCAACCACACCAGTATGAATTTGAACTCCCTTTAGATTTAGACTTGATCTTCCTAAGATTAGTCCTACAGTCCCCTCAGGCAGTGTGCCATATAGCCCGGTGGGAATTTTTGTGGGGGCTCTCCTGGAAGCAGAGAGACTGCTTGTATATTACATAAATCTACTGCTGCACTGCTGCTTGTTGTGGGGGACAATTGTTGTATTGTGTTAACTGGCTCATTCCCTGAGGCACTTGGGACAGTGGGGGTTGTTGTTCCTGAAAACCCTGAAGAAAAAAGCACTGAATTGGGAATGCCCCAGTTTGTTTTAGGGCCTGAGGCTGGCCCCTCTTCTCATTTCCCTATAATGGTTGCCCATTTCTATCCAATTTAGAACAACATTGACTAGCCCAATGTTTTCCTTTTTTACATCTTGGACATAAGTCCGGTGGCTTTTTACCTGTTGTTGTAATAGCTTGAATAGTTATACTTTGTTTATTTGAGGCTAGGCAATTCTTTTTTTAAATGACCAATTTGACCACAATTAAAACATTTCCCTCCAAATGTTCTAACTTGTCCTTCTAAAGCAACTCCTGTCATTGCTTGAGCCATAAGCATAGCTTTATGCATAGCTCCTCCAATTCCATCACAGGCTTTTACATACTCTGAGATTACATCTGATCCTGCAAGAATCTTTCCTTTTAATGGCTTACTGGCTGATTGACACTCAGGATTGGCATTTTCTTATGCCAACAACTCCACTATGACTTTACGGGCATTTTCATCAGCAACTGACTTTTGAGCAACACCTTGGAACCTTGCCACAAAATCAGGGTAGGGCTTTTTAGAGCCTTGTGTTATTTTATTAGAGGGGCAGGCAGTTCCTGGGTCTTGGATTTTTTTCCCAGGCTCTAAAGCAGATAGCTCTAACTTGCTCAATGGCCTCATTTTGCATTAATGCCTGTTGACTAATAGTGCTCCAATTTTGATCTGTTCCTAATAGTTCATCTGCATTTATGTTAACTGGAGGATTGGCAGCCCTATTTCTTCGGACCTGTTCTTGTTACCCATCAATCCACCAAGTCTTAAATTGTAAAAATTGAGAGGGTGAGAAGACGATTTTGCCAAAATCTCCCAATCATAAGGAATGAGTCTATGACCATGAGCAATGGAGTCTAATAATGTCCTCATATAAGGGAAGTTGGGTCCATACTGTTTTACTCCCTCTTTCATATCTTTCAGCATTTTTATAGAAAAAGACTCATATCTGGCCTCAACTGTTTGAGGCTCTCCCTCTTGGGCCCCTTCTCCAGGTGGTATTGGTTCTAACGTTACTGGGAATTGCCATGCCTCAATATCTCCTTGGTTTCTTGAATTATCAATAATTTTATGTAACGCACTACCCTGTTGACTAGGTGGTGCTGTTGGATTAAGTGTCATAGTGGGTGGCTGAGGGTATGGCTCCCTGCCCTGTGGTGCTGGGAGCATTCCTGAATGTCCATACTGACTTTCTGGGGATGGCTGATGCTGAAGTTTGGCCAGTGGCCAGTATTGCTAAGCTACTGGTGGTTGGGTCTTATTTTCTCTAACCTGCATTGGAGACTGTAATGTTCCAGGCATCTCACCTGCTGGAAGAGGGCTTGGTGCTCATGGTTTATGCTCTTATGGCCCGACTAATTCTGGACCTTTTTCTTCTAATTTTAACGTTTCAAGATATATAATCTCCTGTAATTGATTATAGTCAACATTTTGGATTGTCTGAGCCATTACCAGCTCTGCAACATATTCACAATGTAAACTTTCCATTTCTTTCTGGAATTTTCTCCTTGTCTCTTCTTTACAATCTATTACACAGCTTCCAGTGGCATCAGAAACTGAAACGCTATCTTCTTCTGTTTGAAATGTTTCTAAAGCTGCTTTAATAATAGCCCAATCATTCCATACCTTAAGTGGGATGATTTTACTCTCCCTACTTGCTTGTTTTAGTTCTTTGCCAATTTTTTCTCAATCTTTTAGATCTAAAGTTCCCTGTTCTGGAAACCATGGACAAAATTCTTCTATTGTTCAAAATAGCTTGATTAGATTTTTTGTAGAGACTCTAAATCCCCCTCTTTCACACCAGTTAGAATGACAATCATTAAAAAGTCAGGAAACAACAGGTGCTGGAGAGGATGTGGGGAAATAGGAACACTTTTACACTGTTGGTGGGACTGTAAACTAGTTCAACCATTGTGGAAGTCAGTGTGGTGATTCCTCAGGGATCTAGAACTAGAAATACCATATGGCCCAGCCATCCCATTACTGGGTATACACCCAAAGGGCTATAAATCATGCTGCTATAAAGACACTTGCACAAGTAGGTTTATTGTGACACTATTCACAATAGCAAAGACTTGGAACCAATCCAAATGTCCAACAATGATAGACTGGATTAAGAAAATGTGGCACATATACACCATGGAATACTATGCAGCCATAAAAAAGGATGAGCTCATGTCCTTTGTAGGGACATGGATGAAATTGGAAATCATCATTCTCAGTAAGCTATCGCAAGGACAAAAAACCAAACACCACATGTTCTCACTCATAAGTGGGAATTGAACAATGAGAACACATGGGCACAGGAAGGGGAACATCACACTCTGGGGACTGTTGTGGGGTGGCGGTATGTGGGAGGGATAGCATTAGGAGATATACCTAATGCTAAATGACGAGTTAATGGGTGCAGCACAACAGCATGGGACATGTATACATATGTAACTAACCTGCATATTGTGCACATGTACCCTACAACTTAAAGTATAATAATAATAAAAAATGAATTTTAATAAAGCTGAGATAAGTGGCATATTTACTTTTAGTTTTACTTTTAGTTTGCCCCATTGTTACCCTGGCTTCTTCTGAGCACACAAGTTTACCATAAGGCTGACTGCAGATGTACTCAGGATCTCTCATAGACTTGTCCTCAATGACCATGCTTGAGCGTACCTTCACCCTAGAGAAAAGCACCCATGTTGGATGCCAGAGGAAGGGGTGGGTTGCCCGTCCCACCTGTGGGTTGTTCTCCTTAGGTGGAATGAGATACTTGGAAAAGAAAGAGACATAGAGAAAAAGTACAAAGAAAGAAAAAGTATAAAGAAAGAAAAAGGGGGCCCAGGAGACTGACGTTCAACACATGGAGGATCCCCACCAGCCTCTGAGTTCCCTTAGTATTTATTGATCATTATTGGGTGTTCCTCAGAGAGGGGGAGGTGGCAGGGTCATAGGATAATACTGGAGAGAAGGTCAGCAGCTAAACACGTGAACAAAGTTCTCTGAATCATAAGCAAGGTAAAGAATTCAGTGCTGTCCTTTAGATATATATACACATAAACATCTCAATGCCTTAAAGAGCAGTATTGCCACCCACAAGTCCCACCTCCAGCCCTAAGGTGGTTTTCCCCTATCTCAGTAGATGGAATATACAATTGGGTTTTATCCAGGGATGAGCAGGAGACAGATGCCTTCCTCTTGTCTCAACTGCAAAGAGGCATTCCTTCCTCTTTTCCTAATCCGCCTCAGCACAGAGCCTTTATGGGTGTCGGGCTGGGGGATGGTCAGGTCTTTTTCCATTCCCACGAGGCCATATCTCAGGCTATCACATGGGGAGAGACCTTGGACAATACCTGGCTTCCCTAGGCAGAGGTCCCTGTGGTCTTCCAGTGTTTTGTGTCCCTGGGTACTTGCGATTAGGGAGTGGTGATGACTCTTAACAAGCTTGCTGCCTTCAAGCATTTGTTTAACAAAGCATACCTTGCACAGCCCTTAATCCATGTAACCCTGAGTTGACACAGCACATGTTTCAGGGAGCACATGATTGGGGGTAGGGTTACAGATTAACAGCATCTCAAGACAGAAGAATTTTTCTTAGTACAGAAAAAAATGGAGTCTCTTATGTCTACTTTCTATATAGACACATTAACAATCTGACCTCTCTTTCTTTTCCCCACAGGGAGCGCTTGAAACCTATGCTCAAAAAGGAAATATCTTCTGATAAAAACTAGAAAGAAGCTGTTCTAGAAACTGCTTTGTCATGTGCATGTTCATTTCACGGAGTTAAACATTTCTTTTAATGAAGCAGTTTTTAAATTTATTTTTTCAATCCACAAATCAATATTTGGTGGTGCAAAAACCTTATGCTGAACAAGGAAATATCTTCAGATAAAAACTGGAAAGAAGTGTTATGAGGAACAGTTATCTGATGTGTGTTCATCTCCCAGTGTTAACTCCTTCTTTTGATGGAACAGCTTGGAAACATTTTTTCAAGAATCTGTGAAGGGATATTTGTGATTGCATTCAGGCCTGTGGTGGAAAAGGAAATATCTTCGGATAAAACCCAGAAAAAAGCATTCTGAGAAATCGCTTTGTGATGTGTGCATTCTTCACACAGAGTTAAATATTTCTTTTGATTGAGCAGTGTGGGAATACTGTTTTTGTAGAATGTGCAAAGGGATATTTGGGAGTGCATTGATGCCTGTGGTGATAAAACACATATCTTTGGTTAAAAAGTAGAAAGAAGTTTTTGACAAACTGCTTTGTGATGCATGCATTCGTCTCACAGAGTTAAACTTTTCTTTTGAATGAGCAGTTTGGAGACACTCTTTTTGCAAAATCTGTGAAGCGATATTTTGTAGCACAAAAAAGCCTATGGTGAACAAGGAAAGATCTTCAGATAAAACTGGAAAGAAGAATTACGAGAAAGTACTTTATGATGTATACATTCATCTCACACTGCTAAATCCTTTCTTTGATGGAAAAGCTCAGAAACACTGTTTTTATAGGATCTGTGAAGGGATATTTGGGAGTGCATTGAGGTCTATGGTGGAAAAGGAAATATCTTCAGAGAAGAATGAGACAGACACTTTCTGAGAAACTGCTTTGGGATGTGTGCATTCATCTCACAGCGTTAATACTTTCTTTTGATTGAGCAGCTTGGAAACTCTGTTTTGTAGAATCTGTGAAGGGATATTCGGGAGTGCATTGATGCCTAAGGTGAAAAAGGAAATATCTTTGGATAAAAACTAGAAAGAAGCTTTTTTAGAAACTGCTTTTTGAAGTGTGCATTTATTTCACAGAGTTAAAACTTACTTTTAATTAATCAGCTTGGAAGCACAGTTTTTGTAGAATCTCCGAAGGGATATTTGGGAGCCCATGAGGCCAATTGTGAGAAAGGAAATAACTTCAGTTAAAATACTAAAAAGAAGCTTTCTGAGAAACTGCTTTGTGATATGTGCATTCTTCTCACAGAGTTAAACGTTTCCTTTTGTTGAGCAATTTGGAAACACTGTTTTTGTAGAATCTGCAAAGTAGTATTTGCGAGCATAGGTAAAATTTTGTGTGCATTGAGTCCTATGTTGAAAAAAGAAATATCTTCATATAAAAAGAAGACAGAAGCTTTCTGAGGAACTGCTTTGTGATGTGTATATTCTTCTCACGCAGTTAAACATTTATTTTGATTGAGGAGTTTGGAAACCCTGTTTTTGTAGAATCTGCAATGGGATATTTGGGATCACATTGAAGCCTGTGGTGAAAAAGGAATTATTTTCAGAAAAAAAACTAGAAAGAAGCTTCTTGATAAACTGCTTTGGGATGTATCTATACATTCCACAGTGTTAAATCTTTCCTGTGTTGGAGTCATTGGGAAAAACCCTTTTGGCAGAATCTGTGAAGGGCTATTGGGAACTCATTGAGCCCTATGGTGAAAAATGTAATATCTCTAGATGAAAACCAGAAGGAAGCTTTCTGGGAAACTTCTTTGTGATTTGTGCATTCCTCTCACAGAGTTAAAGCCTTCTTTTGAGTGAGCAGTTTGGAAAAACGGTTTTGCTAGGATCTGCAAAGGGATATTTGGGAGCACAAAGAGGCCTATGTTGAAAAAGGAAATAACATTGGATAAAAACTACAAAGAAGCTATCTGAGAAATGGCTTTGTGACGTGTGCATTCTTCTCACAGATTTAAAACTTTCCTTTGATTAAACAGTTCAGAAACACTGTTTTTATAGAATCTGCAATGGGATACTTGAAAGCTCAGTTAGGCCAATGGTGAAAAAGGAAATATCTTCAGATAAAAACTAGAAAGAAGCTTTTTGACAAACTGGTTTGTGATGTGTGCATTCATCTCACAGAGTTAAAACTTTCTTTTGACTGAACAGTTTGGGAACACTGTTTTTGTATAATCCGCAAAGTGATATTTGGCAGCACAAAAAAGCCTATGGTGAAAAAGAAAATATCTTCAGATAAAAACTGGAAAGAAGCATTATGAGAAACTGCTTTCTGATTTGTGAGTTCATCTCATAGAGTTAAGTCCTTCTTTTGATGGAACAGTTTGGAAACACTGTTTTTGTAGAATCTGCAAAGGGATATTTGGGATGCCATTAAGGTGTATGGTGGAAAAAGAAATATATATTCAGAGAAGAACTAGGCAGAAGCTTTCTGACGAACTGCTTTCTGATGAGTGCATTCAACTTACAGAGTTAAACCTTTCTTTTCACTGAGTTTGGAAACACTGTTTTTTTGTAGAATCTGTGAAGGGATATTTGGGTTCATTCGAGGCCTGTGGTGAAAGGGGAAATAACTTCAGATAAAAACTAGAAAGAAACATTTGGAGAAACTGCTTTGTGATGTGTGTGTTCAACACGCAGAGTTAAACCTTTCTTTTGATTGAGCAATTTGGAAACACTGTTTTTGTAGAATCTGCAGTGGTATATTTGAAAGCGTAGTTAGGACTGTGGTGAAAAAGGAAATATCTTTGGATTTAAACTAGAAAGAAGCTTTTTGAGTCACTGGTTTGTGATGTATGATTTCATCTTAAAGAGTTAAACCTTTCTTTTGGCTGAGCAGTTTGGAAACACTGTTTCAGTATAATCTGTGAAGAGGTATTAGAACAAAAATGCCCATGATGATAAATGAAATATCTTCAGTTAAAAACTGGAAAGAAGAGTAATGAGAAACAGCTTTCAGATGTGTGCATTCATCTCACGGAGTTGAGTCCTCTTTTGATGGAACAGTTTGGAAACACTGTTTTTGTAGAAACTGTGAAGGGATATTTGGGAGTGCATTGAGGCCTAACGTGGAAAAGGCAATATCTTCAGAGAAGAACTAGACAGAAGCTTTCTGAGAAACTGCTTTGTGATGTGTGCATTCATCTCACAGAGTTAAATCTTTCTTTTGATTGATCAGTATGGAAACACTGTTTTTGTAGTATCTGCAAAGGGATATTTGGGAGTGCATGAAGCCTATGGTGAAAAAGGAAAAACTTCAGATAAAAACTAGAAAGAAGCTGAGAAATTGCTTTGTGATGAGTGCCTTCTTCTCACAGAGTTAAACCTGTTTTTGATTGAGCAGTTTGGAAACACTGTTTTTGCAGAATCTGCAAAGGGATACTTGGGAGGGCTCTGAGTCGTATGGTGAAAAAAGAAATATCTTCAGATAAAAACTAGAAAGAAGCTTTCTGAGAAACTGCTTTGTGATATTTGCATTCATCTCATGGAGTTAAACATTTCTTTTGACTAAGCAGTTTGGAGACTTGGTTTTTGTATAATCTGTGAAGCGATGTCTGGTGGTGCAAAATGGCTCACGGTGAACAAGGAAGTATCTTAGATAAGAACTCGAAAGAAGCATTATGAGAAACTGCTTTCTGATTTGTGCGTTCATCTCACAGAGTTAAATCCTTCTTTTGATGGAACTGTTCATAAACGCTGTTTTTATAGAATCTGCGAAGGGATACTTGAGAGGGCATTGAGGCCTACAGTGAAAAAAACATCTTCAGAGAATAACTAACAAGAATGTTTCTGAAAAACTATTTTGTGATCTGTGCATTCATCTCAAGAGTTAAACCTTTCTTTTCATGGAGCAGTTTGTTAACCTTGTTGTTGTATAAACTGCAAAGGGATATTTCAGAGCACATTGAGACCTCTGGTGAAAATGGAAATAAATTTAGACAAAAACTAGAAAGAGTGTCTCTCAGAAACTGCTTTGAGATGTGTGCCTTCATCACACAGAGTTAAATCTTTCTTTGATGGAGCAGTTTGTAAACACTGTATTTGTAGAATCTGGAAGGGATACTTGGGAGCACATTGAAGCCTATGGTGAAAAGAAATATCTTCAGAGAAAAACTAAAAAGAAGCTTCCTGAAAAACTACATTGTGATGTGTGCATTCATCTCACAAAGATAAAATTTTCTTTTAAGTGGACTGTTTGAATCACTGTTTTTGTAGAATCTGCATAGGGATATTTGGTAGCACACTGAAGCCAGTGGTGAAAAGAGAAATATCTACAGAGATAAACAAGAAGGAAGCTTACTGAGAAACTGCTTTGTGATGTGTGCTTTCATCTCACAGAACCAAACCTTTCTTTTTCATGGAGCAGTTTGGAAATACTCTATTTGTAGCATCTGTGAAGGGATAATTGGGAGTGCATTGAAGCCTATTTTGAAAATGGAAATATCTTGACAGAAAAATTAGAAAGAAGCTTTGTGAGAAACTACTTTGTAATGTGTGCATTCATCTCAAAGATTTAAACATTTCTTAACATGGAGCAGTTTGGAATCACTGTTTTTGTAGAATCTGCAAAGGGGTATTTAGGAGCTCATTGAGGCCTATGGTGAAAAAGGAAATATCTACAGATAAAAACTGGAAAGAAGTTTTCTGAGAAACTCCTTTTTGATGTGTGCATTGATCTCACAGAGTTAAACGTTTCTTTCCATATAGCAGTTTGGAATTACTTCTTTTGTACAATCTGCTAAGGGATATTTTGGAGTGCATTGAGTCCTATGGTGAAAAGGAAATATCTTCAGAGGAAAACTACAAAGAAATTTTCTAACAAACTATTTTGTGATGAGCGCATTCATCTCACAGAGATAAACCTTTCTTTTCTTGGAGCATATTGTTAACTCTGTTTTTGTATAAACTGCAATGGGATATTTCAGAGCACATTGAGGTCTGCAGTAAAAATGGAAATGTCTTTAGAGACAAACTAGAATGAAGCTTTCTGAGAAACTGCTTTGTGATGTTGAATTCATTTCACTGAGGTAAACCTTTCTTTTGATGGAGCAGATTGGAAACACTGTAATTGTAGAATCTGTGAAGGGATATTTCAGATGGCATTGAGGCCAACTGTGAAAAAGGAAATATCTTCAGAGAAGAACTAAAAAGAAGCTTTCTGAGAAACTGCTTTGTGATGTGTGCATTCATCTCGAAGAGTTAAACCTTCCTTTTCATTTAACAGTTTTTTTAACCCTGTTTTTGTATAATCTGTGGAGGGATATTTTGGAGAACTTGAAGCCTATGGTGGAAATGGAAATATTATTATACAAAAACTAGAATGAAGCTTTCTGAGAGACTGCTTTGTGATGTATGCATTCATCTTACTGAGTTAAACTTTTCTTTTGATGGAGCAATTTGTAAACACTGTATTTGGAGAATCTGCAAAGGTATAATTCGGAGCGCATTGAGGCGTATTGTGAAAAAGGAAATATTTCAGAAACAAACAAGAAAACTGCTTTCAGAGAAACTTCTTTCTGCTGTGTGCATTCATCTCACTGTTAAACCTTTCTTTACAAGGAGCAGTTTGGAATCACAGTTTTTGTAGAATTTGTGAAGGGATATTAGGGAGCACATTAAGGCCAGTTGTGAAAAGAGAAATATCTTCAGAGAAATAATAGAAAGAAGCTTTCTGAGAATCTGCTTTGGATATATCCATTCATCTCAGAGAGTTAAACATTTCCTTTCAAGGAGCAGTTTGAAAGCATTGTATTTGTAGAATCTATGAAGCCATATATGGGAGCACTTTCAGGTGTATGTTGAAGAGGGAAATATCTGGAGATAAAAACTAGACAGAAGCTTTCTGAGAAACTGCTTTGTGATGTAGCATTCATCTCACAGAGATAAAACATTCCTTTGGTGGAGCAGTTTGTTAAACTTGTTTTTGTATAAACTTCAAAGGGATATTTCAGAGCACATTGAGGCCTATGGTAAAAATGGAAATAACTTTAAACAAAAATTAGAAAGAAGGTTTCTGAGAAACTGCTTTGTGATGTGTCCATTCATCTCACAGAGTTAAACCTTTCTTTTGCTGGAGAAGTTTGTAAACACTGTAGTCGTAGAATCTGTGAAGGGATAGTTGGGAGTGGATTGAGGCCTAGGGTGAAAAGAAATATCTACAAAGAAAAACTAAAAAGAAGCTTTATGAAAAACTACTTTGTGATGTGTCCATTCATTTCAGAAAGATAAACCTTTCTTTTAATGGGGCTGTTTGGAATCATTGTTTCTGTAGAACCTGTGAAGGGATACTCGGGAGCACATTAAGGCTTGTGGTGAAAAGAAAAATGTCTTCAGAGAAAAACTAGAAGGAAGCCTTCTGAGAAACAGCTTTGTGATGTGTGCTTTTATCTCACAGAATCAAACCTGTCTTTTGGTGGAGCATTTTGGAAACACAGTTTTCATAGAGTCTGTGAAGGGATATTAGAAGAGCACAAGGAGGCCTATGGTGAAAAAAGAAACATATTCAAAGATAAACTAGAAAAAATTTTGTGAGAAACTGCTCTCTGATGGGTGCATTCCTCTCACAGAGGTAAACTTTTCTTTTGATGGAGCAGTTTGGAAACACTATTTTTGCAAAACCTGGAAAGTGATATTATGTAGTGCAAAAAAACCTATGGTGAAAAAGGAAATAACTTCAGATAAAAACTGGAAAGAAGCATTATCAGAAACTGCTTTCTGATGTGTGCATTCATCTCACTGAGTTAAGTCCTTTTGATGGAACAGTTTGGAAGCTCTGTTTTTGAAGAAAATGTGAAGGGATATTTGGGAGCTCATTGAGGCATATGATAGAAAAGGAAATACGTTCAGGAAAGAAGTAGACAGAAGGTTTATAAGAAAGAAACTGCTTTGTGATGGGTGCATTCATGTCACAGAGTATAATTTTTCACTTGATTGAGCAGTTTGGAAACACCATTATTTTTGTAGAATCTGTGTAGGAATATTTGGGAGCGCATTGAGGCCTAGGGTGAAATGGGAAATATCATCAGATAAAAACTAAAAAGAAGATATTTGAGAAACTGCTCTGTGATGTATGCATTCATCTCCCAGAGTTAAAACTTTTTTTCGTTATTCACTTTGGAAACAGTCTTTTTGTAGAATCTGCGAAGGGATATTTGACAGTGCAAGTGGCCTATGTTGAAAAAGGAAATAACTTCAGATAAAAATTAGAAGGAAGCTTACTGAGAAACCACTTTTTAATGTGTACATTCTCCTGAGTTAAACGTTTGTTTTGATTGAACAGTTTGGAAACACTGTTTTTGTAGAATCTGCATAGAGATATTTCGGAGTGCACTGGTGCTTATGTTGAAAAAAGAAATATCTTTGGGTAAAAACTGGAAAAAAACTCTTTGAGAAACTGTTTTGTGATGTATGCATTCATATCACAGAGTTACTCCTTTCTTTTCTCTGAGCAGTTTGGAAACACAGTTTTTGTATAATCTGTGAAGTGATGTTAGGTAGCGCAAAATGGTCTATGGCAATCAAGGAAATATCTTCATAGAAAAACTGGAAGGAAAGGATATGAGAAACTCCTTTTTTATGTGTGCTTTCATCTTAAATAGTCAAAACCTTCTTTTAATGGAACAGTTCAGAAACACTGTTTTTATAGAATATCTGAAGGGATATTTGGAAGTGTGTTGAGCCCTATGGTGAACAAGGAAATATCTTCAGAGAAGACCTAGAAAGAAGCTATCTGAGGAACTGCTTTTTGATGTATGCATTCATCTCACAGAGTTAAGCCTTTCTTTTGATTGAGCAGTTTGGAAACACTGTTTTTGTAGAATCTGTAAAAGTATATTTGGGAGCACACTAACGCCTATGGTAAAAGAGGAAATATCTTCAGATAAACACTAAAAATAATCTTTTTGAGAAACTACTTTCTGAATTATGCATTCATCTCACAGAGTCAAACATTTCCTTTTATTGAGCAGTTTGGAAACACTGTTTTTGTAGAATCTGCGAAGGGATATTTGGGAGTGCAGTGAAGCCTATGGTGATACAGAAAATATCTTCAGATAAAAACTAGAAAGAAGCTTTTTGAGAAACTGCTTTGTGATGTGTGAATTGATCTCACAGAGTTAAAACTTCCTTTTGATGGAGCAGTTTGGAAACACTGCTTCTGAAAAATCTTCGAATCAATATTAAGTATCATAAAAAGCCTATGGTGAACAAGGAAATATCTTCAGATAAAAACTGGAAAGAAGTGATATGAGAAACTGCTTTTGGATGTGTGCATTCATCTCACAGATTTAAGTCCTTCTTTTGATTGAGCAGTTTGGAAACTCTGTTCTTGTAGAATATGGGAAGGGATATTAGGGAGTGCCTAGAAAGCTATGGTGGAAAAGGAAATATCTTCAGAGAAGAACTAGAGAGAAGCTTTCTGAGAAACTGCTTTGTGATGTGGGCATTCATCTCACAGAGTTACACCTTTCTTTTGATTGAGCAGTTTGGAATCTTGGTTTTTGTAGTATCTGTGAAGGGATATTTTGGAGAAACGGAAGGCTATGATGAAAAAGGAAAGATCTTCAGATAATAACTAGAAAGAAGCTTTTTGACAAACTGCTTTGTGATGTGTGCATTATTTTCACACAGTTAAAACTTTCTTTTCATTGATGAGTTTGGAAATACTTTTTTTGTAGTTTCTGCAAAGGGATATTTGGGAGCGCATGCAGCCTACAGTGAAAAAGGAAATAACTTCAGATAAAAACTAAAAAGAAGCTTTCTCTGAAACTGCTTTGTGATGTGTGCATTCCTCTCACAGAGGTAAACCTGTTTTTTGATTGAGCAGTTTGGAAGCCCTGTTTTTGTAGAATCTGCTAAGGGATATTTGGGAGTGCACAGATGCCTGGGTGAAAAAGGAAATGTCTTCAAAGAAAAACTAGAAAGAACCATTTTGAGAAACTGCTTTGTGATGTCGGCACTCATCTCAGAGAGTTAAACTTTTCCTTTGAGCAGTTTAGAAACACTGTTTTTGTATAATCTGTCAAGCGATGTTATGTAGTGGAAAAACGCCAATGGTGAACAAGGAAATATCTTCAGATAAAAACTGGAAAGAAGCCTTATGAGAAACTGCTTTCCAATGTGTGCATTCATCTCACTGAGTTAAGTACTTCTTTTGATGGAACATTTCAGAAACACTGTTTTTGTACAATCTGCGAAGGGAAATCTCAGAGTGCATTGAGGCATTCAGTGGTAAAGGAAATACATTCAGAGGAGAACTAGACAGAAGTTATCTGAGAAGTTGCTTTGTGACATGTGCATTATCTCAAAGAGTTTAGCTATTCTTTTGATGGAGCAGTTTAGAAACCCTTTTTTTATAGACTCTGCAATGATTGATATATTTGGGAGCACACTGAGGCCTATGGTGAAAAAAGAAATATCTTTGAATAAAACATAGAAAGAAGCCATTTGAGAAACTGCTTTGTGATGTGTGCTTTCATCTCACAGAGGTAAAACTTTTTTTTGATTGAGCTGTTTGGAAACATTGCTTTTGTAGAATCTGCAATGGGAGATTTGAAAAAACAGGTAGGCCTATGATGAAAAGAGAAATATCTTTAGATAAATACAAGAAGGAAGCTTTCTGAGAAACTGCTTTCTGATGTGTGCATTCATCTAACAGAGTTAAATCTTTCTTTCGACTCAGCAGTTTGGAAACACATTTTTTGCAAAATCTGTGAAGAGAAATTAGGTAGTGCAAAAAAAGCCTACGGTGAAAAAGGAAATATCTTCAGACAAAAACTGGAAAGCATTATGAGAAACTGATTTCTGATGGGTGCGTTCATCTCACAGAGTTAAGTCCTTCTATTCATGGAACAGTTTGGAAACAGTGTTTTTGTAGAATCTGCGAAGGGATATTTGGGAGTGCATTGAGACCTGTGGTGGAAAAGGAAATATCCTTAGTGAAGAACTAGGCAGAAGCTTTCTTTGAAACTACTTTGTGATATGTGCATTCTTCTCACAGAGTTAAAACTTTCTTTTGATTCAGCAGTTTGGAACACTCTTTTTGTAGAATCTGCGAAGGGATATTTGGAGTGCATAGAAGCCTACATTAAAAAGAAAATATCTTCAGATAAAAACTAGAAAGAAGCTTTTTGAGAAATTGCTTTTTGATGTGTGCATTCATCTCACAGAGTTAAACCTTCCTTTTGATTATTCAATTTGGAAAAACTTTCTGTAGAATCTGTGAAGGGATATTTCACAGTGCATGAAGCCTATGGTGAAAAAGGAAGTAACTTCCTATAAAAACTAGAAAGAAGAAAGAAGCTTTCTGAGAATCTGCTTTGTGATGTGTGCATTCTTCTCACAGAGATAATCGTTTCTTTTGATTTAGCATTTTGGAATCACTGTTTGTGTAGAATCTGCCAAGAGATATTTGGGAGCATACTGATGCCTATGGTGAAAAAGGAAATATCTTTGGATAAACACTAGAATATTTTCGAGAAACTGCTTCATGATTTATGAATTCATCTCATAAATTTAAACCTTTATTTTGACTGAGCAGTTTGGAAACACTGTTTTTGCAAAATCTGCGAAGCGATATAAGGTAGGGCGAAAAAGCCAGCTGTCAACAAGGAAATATCTTCAGATAAAAACTCAAGGAGGCATTATGAGAAACAGCTTTCTGATGTGTGCGTACAACTCAGAGAGTTATGTCCTTCTTTTGATGGAACAGTTTAGCAACACTTCCTTTGTAGAATCTGCGAGGGGATATTTGGGAACATATTGAGGCTTAAGGGGGAAAAGGAAATATCTTCAGAAAAGAACCAGACAGAAGCTTTCTGAGAAACTGCTTTGTGAAGTGTGCATTCATCTAACATAGTTAAACCTTTATTTGGTTGAGAAGTTTGGAAACATTGTTTTTGCAGAATCTCCCATGGGATATGTGGGAGCACATTGAAACCTATGGTGATGAAGGAAATATTTTTGGATACAAACTAGAAAGAAACTTTTTGAGAAACTGCTTTGTGATGTGTGCATTTACCTCACAGAGTTAAACATTACTTTTGACTGAGCCGTTTGGAAACACTGTTTTTGCAAAATCTGTGAAAAAATATTAGGTAGCACAAAAATGCCTATGGTGAGAAAGGAAATATCTTCAGATAAAATTAGGAAAGAAGCATTATGAGAGACTGCTTTCTGTTGTGTGCATTCATCTCACAGAGTTAAGTCCTTCTTTTTATGGAACAGTTTGTAAACACTGTTTTTGCAGAATCTGCGAAGGGGCGCTTGGGAGCACATTGAAGCCTATGGCGAAAAAGGAAATATCTTCAGAGAAGAACCAGACCAAAGGTCTCTTAGAAACTGCTTTGTGATGGGTGTATTCATTTCAGAGAGTCAAACTTCTTTTGATTGAGAAGTTTTGAAACACTGTTTTTGTAGAATCTACAAAAGCATAATTAGAATCACATTGAAGCCTATGATGAAAAAGGAAATATTTATCTTCAGATAAAAACTTGAAAGAAGCGTTATGGCAAATTGCTTTACAATGTGTGTATTCACTCAGAGAATTAAGTCCTTCTTTTGATGGAACAGTTTGGAAACACTGTTTTTGTGGAATCAGGGACAGGATATTTGGGAGCACATGGAGGTCTATGGTGGAAATGGAAGTATCTTCAGAGAAGAACAAGATAGAAGCTTTCTGAGAATCTGCTTTGTGACGTGTGCATTCATCTCACAGAGTTAAATATTTCTTTTGATTCAGCAGTTTGGACACACTGTTTATGTAGAATCTGCGAAGGGTTATTTGGGAGCACGTTGATGCCTACAGTGAAAAAGGATACAACTTCACATAAAAACTAGAAAAAAGCTTTTTGAGAAACTGCTTTGTGATGTGTGTATTCATCTCACAGAGTTAAAAGTTTCTTTTGATTGATCAGCTTGGAAACACTGTTTTAGTAGCATCTGCAAAGGGATATTTGGGAGCACAAGAGGCCTATGGTGAAAAAGGAAATAACTTCAGATAAGAACTAGAAAGAACCTTTCTGAGAAACTTCTTTGTGATGAGCTCATTCTTCTCACAGTGTTAAACATTCCTTTTAACGGAGCTGTTTGGAAGCACTGCTTACATAGAATCTGCAAAGTGATATTTTGGAGTGCAAGACTCCTATGGTGAAAAAGGAAATAGCTTGAGAGAAAAACTAGAAAGAAGCTTTCTGAGAAACTGCTATGTGATGTGTGCATTCTTTTCACATAGTTAAACTTCTCTTTTCATTGAGCTGTTTGAAAACACTGTTTTTGTAGAATCTGCAAAGTGATATTTGGGAGCACATGGATACCTTTGGTGAAAAAGGAGATATCTTTGGATAAAAACTAGGAAGAAGCTCTTTAGAATACTACTTTGTGAGAGATGCATTCATCTCAAAGGGTTAAGCTTTTCTTTTGGTTGAACACTTTGGAAGCACTTTTTTGTGTATAATCTGTGTAGAGAGGTTAGGTAGTGCAAAAGGCCCATGTTGAAAAGGAAGTATCTTTAGATAAAAATTGTAAAGGAGCATTATGAGAAATGGCATTCTGATACATGTGTTCATCTCACAGAATTAAGTCCTTCTTTCAATGGAACAGGTTGAAAACACTGTTTTGTAGTATCTGAGAGTGGATATTTGTGAGCAAATGGAGGCCTATGGTGGAAAAGGAAATATCTTGAGAGAAGAACTAGAGAGAAGCTTTATGAGAAACTGCTTCATGATGTGTGCATTCATCTCACAGAGTAAAACCTTTCTTTTGATTGAGCAATTTGATAACAATGTTTTTGTAGAATCTGCGAAGGGATATTTGGGAGCACATTGAAGCTTCTGGTGAAAAAGGAAATATTTTTGGATAGAAATTAGAAAGAAGCTTTTAGAGAAACTGCTTTGTGATGTGTGCATTCATCTCATAGAGTTAAATATTTCCTTTGATTGATGAGTTTGGAAGCACAGTTTTTGGAGAATCTGCAAGGGGATATATGGGAGTGAAAGAGGTATAAAGTGAAAAAGGAAATAATTTCTGATTAAAACTAAAAAGAAGCTTTCTGAGAAACTGCTTTGTGATGAGTGCATTTTTCTCACAGACTTAAAAGTTTCTTTTCATTGAGCAGTTTGGAAACACTGTTTACATAGAATCTGGAAAGGGATATTTGGCTGGGCACCGATGCCTATGGTGGAAAAGGAAATATGTTTGGATAAACACTATAAAGAATGTTTTTGAGAAACTTCTTTGTGATGTGTGCATTCAACACAGAGTTAAAACTTTCCTTTCATAGAGCAGTTTGGAAACACTGATTTTGTAGAATCTATGAAGGGATATTTTGGAGCACATAGAGGCCTATGGTGGAAAAGGAAATATCTTCAGAGAAGAACTAGACAGAAGCTTTCTGAGAAAAAGTTTGTGCTGTGTGCATTCGTCTCATAGAGTTAAACCATTCTTTTGATTGATCAGTTTGGAAACACAGTTTTTGTAGAATCTGTGAAGGGATATTTGGGAGCACATGAGGCATATGGTGAAAAAAGGAAATAACTTCAGATAAAATTGGAAATGCTGTTTTTGCAGAATCTCTGAAGGGATATTTGGGAGCACAGGAGGCATATGGTGAAAAAGGAAATAACTTGAGATAAAAAGTAGAAAGAAGCTTTCTGATAAACCACTTTGTGGTGTGTACATTCTTCTCACAGTGTTAAAAGTCTCTTTTGAGGAGTTTGGAAATACTGTTTTTGTAGTATCTGCAAAGGGATATTTGGGAGTGCAATGATGCATTTGGTGAAAAAGGAAATATCTTGAGAGAAAAGTAGAAAGAAGCTTTTTGAGAAACTGCTTTGTGATGTATGCTTTCATATCACAGATAAACATTTATTTTACCTGAGCAGTTTCAAAACACTGTTTTTCTATAATCTGTGAAGCGATGTTAGATAGCACAAAAAGGCAAATGTTGAACAAGGAAATATCTTCAGATAATAACAGGAAAGAAACGTTATGAGAAATTGCTTTCTGATGTGTGCATTCATCTCACAGAGTTAAATCCTTCTTTGATGGAACAGTTCAGAAGCACTGCTTTTATAGAATCTATGAGAGAATATTTGAGAGTGCATTGAGGCCAATGATGGCAAAGGAAATATCTTAAGAGAAGAATTAGACATAAGCTTTTTGAGAAACTGCTTTGTGATGTGTGCACTCAACTCAGGGAGTTAAACCTGTTTTTTGATTGAGGAGTTTGAAACACTGTTTATGTAAAATCTGCGATGGGATATTTGTAAGCACATTGAATCTAATTGGGAAAAGGAAATATCTTTGCATAAAAAATAGAAAGAAGCTCTTTGAGAAACTGCATTGTGATGTGTGCATTCATCTCACAGAGTTGAACTTTCTTTTGATTGATCAGTATGAAAACACCGTTTTTGTAGAATCTGTGAGGGGATATATTGGAGTGCATGGAAGCCTATGGTCAAAAAGGAAATATCTTAGGACAAAAACTAGAAAGAAACCTTCTGAGAAACTGCTTTGTGATGAGTCCATTCATCTCACAGAGTTAAACCTTTCTTTGGACTGAGCAATTTGGAAACATCATTTTGCAAAATCTGTGAAGTGATATTAGGTAGTGCATAAATGCCTATGGTGAACAACAAAATATCTTTAGATAAGAACTGGAAATAAACGTTCTGAGAAACTGCGTTGTGATGTGTGCATTCATCTGACAGACTTAAGTTCTTCTTTTGAAGGAACAGTTTGGAAACAGTGTTTTTGCAAAATCTGCAAAGCGATATTAGATAGCACAAGAAAGACTATGGTGAAAAAGGAAATATCTTCAGATAAAAACTGGAAAGAAGAGTTATGAGAAACTGCTTTCTAATGTGTGCATTCTTCTCACAGAGTTAAGTACTTCTTTTGATGGAACAGTTTGGAAACATTGTTTTTGTAGAAAATGCAAAGGGATATTTGGGAGCACATTGAGGACTAAGGTGGAAGAGGAAATATCCTCAGAGCAGAACTAGACAGAAGCTTTCTGAGAAACTACTTTGTGATGTGCGTATTCATCTAACAGAGGTAAACCATTCTTTTGGTTGAGCAGTTTGGAAACACTGGTTTTGTAGAAACTTTGAAGGGATATTTGGGAGCACATTGAAGTCTATGGTGAAAAAAGGAATATCTTCAGATAAAAACCAGAAGAAGATTTTGAGAAACTGCTTTGGGATGTGGGCATTCAACTCAGAGAGTTAAAGCTGGGTTTTGATTAAGCAGTTTGGAAACACTGTTTTTGCAGAATCTGCAATGGGATATTTGGGAGCACATTGAAGCCCATGGAGATAAAGGAATTATCTTCAGATAAAAACCAGAAAGGAGCTTTTTGAGAAACTGCTTTGTGATGTTTGCATTCATATCACAAAGTTAAAACTTTCTTTTGATTGAGCAGTCTGGAAACACTGGTTTTGTAGAATCTGAGAATTGATGTTTAGTAGCACAAAAATGCCTATGTTGAACAAGGAAATATCTTCAGATAAAAAATGGAAAGAAGCATTATGAGAAATGGCTTTCTGATGTGTGTGTTCATCTCACAGAATTAAAGCCTTCTTCTGATGGAACAGTTCAAAAATACAGTTTTTATAGAATCTGCGAAGGGATATTTTGGCCACATTCAGGTCTATGGTGGAAAAGGAAGTATCTTCAGAATAGAACAAGATAGAACTTATCTGAGAAATTGCCTTATAATGTGTGCATTTATCTCACAGAGTTAAGCCTTTCTTTGGATTGAGCAGTTTGGAAACACTGTTTTTGCAGAATCTGAGAAGGGATATTTGGGAGCACAATGATGCCTATGGTGAAAAAGGAAATATATATGGATAAAAACTAGAAAGAGGTATTTTGAGAAACTGCTTTGTGATGTAGGCATTTATCTCACAGAGTTAAACTTTTCTGTTCACTGTGTAGATTGGAGACATTGTTTTTTTATAGTCTGTGAAGCGATGTTAGGTAATGTAAAAAGGCCTATGATGAAGAAGAAAATATGTTCAGATTAAAAATTGGAAAGAACTATTATGGGAAACTGCTTTCTGATGTATGCGTTCATCTCACAGAGGTAAATCTTTCTTTTCATGGAACAGTTTGCAAACAGTTTGTGTAGAATCTGCAAAGGATATTTGGGAGTGCATTGAAGCCTATGGTGGAAAAGGGAATATCTTGAGAAGAAATAGAAGGAAGCTATCGAGAAACTGTTTTGATAGGTGTGCATTCATCTCACAGAGTTAAACCTTTCTGTTCATTGAGCAGTTTGGAAACACTGTTTTTGTAGAATCTGTGAAGTTATATTTTAAAGTGCACTGAGGCTTATGGTGAAAAAGATAAAAACAGGAAAGAATCTTTTGAGAAACTACTATATGGTGTCTGCCCTCATCTCACAGAATTAAATGTGATTTTTGATTGAGCACTTTAGAAACACTCTTTTAGTAGAAATTACAATGGTATATTTTGGGGCACATTGAAGCCTGTGGTGGAAAAGTAATTATCTTCAGAGAGGAACTAGACAGAAGCTTTCTGAGAAACTACTTTGTGAAGTGTGCATTCATCTCAAAGAGTTAAAACTTTATTTTGATTGAGCTGTTTGGAAACATTAATTTGCACATCCTGTGAAAGGATATTTGGGAGCACATTTAAGCCTATGGCAATAAGGGAAACATCTTCTGATAAAAACTAGAAAGAAGCTTTTAGAGAACCTGCTTTTCATTGATCAGTTTGGAAACACTGCTTTTGTAGAATCTGTAAAGTGATATTTGGAGTGCACGAACCCGATTGTGAAAAAGGAAATAACTTCTGATAAAAACTAGAGAGAAGCTTTCTGAGAAACAGCTTCATGAAGAGTTTATTCTTCTAATAGACTTAAACATTTCTTTTGATTGAGCAGTTTGGAAACACTTTTTACATCAAATCTGAAAAGGGACATTTGGGAGTGCATAGATGCCCATGGTGAAAAAGGAAATACCTTCGGATAAAAACTAGAATGATGGTTTTTGAGAAAATGCTGTGTGATACATGCATTCATCTCACAGAGATAAACCTTTCTTTTGACAGAGCAGTTGGGAAACACAGCTTTTGCAAAATCTGTGAAGCGACATTCAGTAGCACAAAAAAAGCCTATGGTGAAACAAGAAATCTCTTCAGATAAAAATTGGAAAGAAGCATTATGAGAAACTGCTTTCTAATGTGAGCATTCATCTCACAGAATTAAGTCCTTCTTTTGATGGAACAGTTTGGAAACACTGTTTTTTTAGAATATGCGAAGGCATATTTTAGAGCTCAGTGAGCCCTAAGATGGAAAAAGAAATATCTTCAGAGGAGAACTAGACAGAAGCTTTCTGAGAAACTGCTTTGTCATGTGTGTATTCATCTCACAGTGTAAAACCTTTCATTTTATTGAGAAGTTTGGAAACTCTGTTTTACTGGATTCTGTGAAGGGTATCTGGGAATGCATTGAAGACTACAGTGAAAAAGGAAATTACTTCAGACAAAAACAAGAAAGAAACTTTGACAAACTGCTTTGTGATGTGTGGATACATCTCACAGAGTTAAACCTTTCTTTTGATTGAGAAGTTTGGAAACACTGTTTTTGTAGG
The DNA here is from genome assembly GCF_000001405.40 of Homo sapiens. Taxonomy (NCBI): domain Eukaryota; kingdom Metazoa; phylum Chordata; class Mammalia; order Primates; family Hominidae; genus Homo; species Homo sapiens. The sequence goes on from NC_000005.10 coordinate 46,027,563, forward strand.
ATCTGTGAAGGGATATTTGGGAGCACACTGCTTCTTACGGTGAAAAAGGATGTCTTCCGATAAAACTGGAAAGAAGTATTTCGAGAAACCACTTTGTGACACGTGCATTCATCTCACAGAGTTAAACTTTTCTTTTGACTGAACACTTTGGAAACATTGTTTTTGTATACTCTGCGAAGCGATGTTATGTAGCGCAAAAGGCCTAAGTTGAACAAGGAAATATCTTCAGATACAAACTGGAAAGAAGCGTTATGAGAAACTGCTTTCAATTTGTGCATTCTTTTCTCACACTTAAATCGTACTTTTGATAGTACAGTTTGGAAACACTGCCTTTGTAGGATCTGCAAAGGGATATTTGGGAGCACTTTGATGCCTACAGGGGAAAAAGAAATATCTTCAGAGAAATAGACAGAAGCTTTCTGAGAAACAGCTTTGTGATGTGTGCATTCATCTCACAGAGTTAAACCTTTCTTTGGTTGAGGAGTTTTGAAACACTGCTTTAATAGAATATGCAAAGGGGTATTTAGAGCACATTGAAGCCTATGGTGAAAAAGGAAATATCTTCAGATGAAAACTAGAATGAAGATTTTTGAGAAACTGCTATGTGACGTGTGCATTCATCTCACAGAATTAAACATTTCTTATGCGTGATCAGTTTGGAAAAACTGTTTTGTAGAACCTGTGAAGGGATATTTCGGAGCACACAAGACCTATGGTGAAAAAGGAAATGATTTCAGATAAAAACTATAAAGAAGCTTTCTGAGAAATAGCTTTGTGATGAGTGCATTCTTCTCACAGACTTACACATTTCTTTTGATTGAGCAGCTTGGAAACACTGTTTATGGAGAATCTGCAAAGGGATATTTGGGAGTGCATTGACTCCTATGGTGAATAAGGAAATATCTTTGGATAAAAACTTGAAGGAAGGTTTTTGAAAAACTGCTTTGTGATGTATGCGTTCATCTCACAGAGTTAAACTTTTCTTCTAAATGAGCAATTTGCAAACACTGTTTTGGTGTAATCTGCGAAGTGATGTTAGGTAGTGTAAAAAGGCCTATGTAGAACAAGGAAATACCATCAGATACATTATGAAAAGCTGCTTTATGATGTGTGCATTAATCTCACAGAGTTAAATCCTTCTTTGATAGAACATTTCAGAAACACTGTTTATAGAGAATCTGAGAAGGGATATTTGGCAGTGCTTTGAAGCCTATGATGGAAAAGGAAATATCTTCAGAGAAGAACTAGACAGAAGCTATCTGAGAAACTGCTTTCTGATGTGTGCATTCATCTCATGGAGATAAACCTTTCATTTTATTGAGCAGTTTGGAAATACTGTTTTGTAGTATCAGCAAATGTATATTTGGGAGCACACTGGGGCCTATGGTGATAAAGGAAATATCTTCAGATAAAAATTAGAAAGAAATTTTTCCAAAACTGCTTTGTGATGTGTGCATTCAACTTATAGAGTTAAACCTGTTTTTGCTTGAGCAGATTGGAAACACTGTTTTTGTGGACTCTGCAATGGGATATTTGAGAGCACATTGAACCCTATGGTGAGAAAGAAAGTATCTTTGGAGAAAAACCAGAAAGAAGCATTATGAGAAAGAGCTTTGTGATGTGTGCATTCATCTTACAGAATTAAAACTTTCTTTTGAGTGAGCAGTGTGGAAACACAATTATTGCAAATTCTGTGAAGTGATACTAGGTATCACAAAAAAGCCTACGGTGAAAAAGGAAATATCTTCAGATAAAAAATTGAAAGAAGGGTTATGAGAAATGTTTTCTAGTGTGTGCATTCATCTCACAGAGTTAAGTCCTTCTTTTGATGGAACAGTTTGGAACCACTGTTTTTGTAGAATCTGCAAGGGATATTTTGGAGCAAACTGAGGCTTATGATGGAAAAGGAAATATCTTCAGAGAGGAGCTACACAGAAACTTTCTGAGAAACTGCTTTGTGATGTGTGTATTCATCTCAAAGAGTAAAACCTTTCTTTTGATGATTGAGAACTTTTGAAACACCGTTTTTGTATGATGTAAGAAGGGATATTTGGGACTGCATTGAAGCCTACAGTGAAAAAGGAAATATCTTTGGATAAAAATGAGAAGGAAACTTTTTGACAAATTGCTTTGTGATGCGTGGATTCATCTCACAGAGTTAAACCTTTCTTTTGATTGGTCAGTTTGGAAGCACTCTTTTTGTAGAATTTCTAAAGGGATTTTTGGGAATGCATGAAGCCAAAGTTGAAAGTGGAAATAACTTCAGATAAAAAGTAGAAGGAAGATTTCTAAGAAACTGCTTTGTGACAAGGGCATTCTTCTCACAGTTTTAAACGCTTGTTTTGATTGAGCAGTTTGGAAACACAGTTTTCATAGAATCTGCAAAGGGATATTTTGTATCTCACTGATTCCTATGGTGAAAAAGTATATATTCAGATAAAACTAGAAAAAAGCATTTTGAGAAACAGCTTTGTGATATGTCCATTCATCTCACAGAGTAAAACTTTAGTTTTAAGTGACCAGTTTGAAAACACTATTTTTGTATAATCTACAAAGTGATGTTAGGTAGAGCAAAATGGACTACAGTGAACAAGGAAATATGTTTAGATAAAAACTGGAAAGAAGTACTATGAGAAACCGCATTCAGAAGTGTGCATTCATCTGATACAGTTAAATCCTTCTTTTGAAGGAACAGTTCAGAAACACTGTCTTTATAGAATCTGTGAATAGATATTTGGTAGCACTTTGAAGCCTATGATGGAAAAGGAAATATCTTCAGAGAATAAGTAGACAGAATCTGTCTGAGAAATTGCTTTGTGATGTATGCATTCATCTGAGTCAAACTTTTCTTTTGATTGTGCTGCTGGAAACACTGCTTTTGTAGAATATGCAAAGGGATATTTCAGAGCCCATTGAAGCCTATGGTGACAAAGGAAATACCTCTGAATAAAAACTAGAAAGAAGCTTTTTTTTTATTGTTATACTTTAAGTTTTAGGGTACATGTTCACATTGTGCAGGTTAGTTACATATGTATACATGTGCCATGCTGGTGCGCTGCACCCACTAACTCGTCATCTAGCATTAGGTATATCTCCTGATGCTATCGCTCCCTCCTCCCCCCACCCCACCACAATCCCCAGAGTGTGATATTCCCCTTCCTGTGTCCATGTGATCTCATTGTTCAATTCCCACCTATGAGTGAGAATATGCGGTGTTTGGTTTTTTGTTCTTGCGATAGTTTACTGAGAATGATGGTTTCCAGTTTCATCCATGTCCCTACAAAGGACATGAACTCATCATTTTTTATGGCTGCATAGTATTCCATGGTGTATATGTGCCACATTTTCTTAATCCAGTCTATCGTTGTTGGACATTTGGGTTGGTTCCAAGTCTTTGCTATTGTGAATAATGCTGCAATAAGCATACGTGTTCATGTGTCTTTATAGCAGCATGATTTATAGTCCTTTGGGTATATACCCAGTAATGGGATGGCTGGGTCAAATGGTATTTCTAGTTCTAGATCCCTGAGGAATCGCCACACTGACTTCCACAATGGTTGAACTAGTTTACAGTCCCACCAACAGTGTAAAAGTGTTCCTATTTCTCCATATACTCTCCAGCACCTGTTGTTTCCTGACTTTTTAATGATTGCCATTCTAACTGGTGTGAGATGATATCTCATAGTGGTTTTGATTTGCATTTCTCTGATGGCCAGTGATGATGAGCATTTTTTCATGTGTTTTTTGGCTGCATAAATGTCTTCTTTTGAGAAGTGTCTGTTCATGTCCTTCGCCCACTTTTTGATGGGGTTGTTTGTTTTTTTCTTGTAAATTTGTTTGAGTTCATTGTAGATTCTGGATATTAGCTCTTTGTCAGATGAGTAGGTTGCAAAAATTTTCTCCCATTCTGTAGGTTGCCTGTTCACTCTGATGGTAGTTTCTTTTGCTGTGCAGAAGCTCTTTAGTTTAATTAGATCCCATTTGTCAATTTTGTCTTTTGTTGCCATTGCTTTTGGTGTTTTAGACATGAAGTCCTTGCCCACGCCTATGTCCTGAATGGTAATGCCTAGGTTTTCTTCTAGGGTTTTTATGGTTTTAGGTCTAACGTTTAAATCTTTAAACCATCTTGAATTGATTTTTGTATAAGGTGTAAGGAAGGGATCCAGTTTCAGCTTTCTACATATGGCTAGCCAGTTTTCCCAGCACAAGACAGGGAAGCCCTCTCTCACCGCTCCTATTCAACATATTGTTGGAAGTTCTGGCCAGGGAAATCAGACAGGAGAAGGAAATAAAAGGTATTCAATTAGGACAAGAGGAAGTCAAATTGTCCCTGTTTGCAGACGACATGATTGTTTATCTAGAAAACCCCATCGTCTCAGCCCAAAATCTCCTTAAGCTGATAAGCAACTTCAGCAAAGTCTCAGGATACAAAATCAATGTACAAAAATCACAAGCATTCTTATACACCAACAACAGACAAACAGAGAGACAAATCATGAGTGAACTCCCATTCACAATTGCTTCAAAGAGAATAAAATACCTGGGAATCCAACTTACAAGGGATGTGAAGGACCTCTTCGAGGAGAACTACAAACCACTGCTCAAGGAAATAAAAGAGGATACAAACAAATGGAAGAACATTCCATGCTCATGGGTAGGAAGAATCAATATCGTGAAAATGGCCATACCGCCCAAGGTAATTTACAGATTCAATGCCATCCCCATCAAGCTACCAATGACTTTCTTCACAGAATTGGAAAAAACTACTTTAAAGTTCATATGGAACCAAAAAAGAGCCTGCATTGCCAAGTCAATCCTAAGCCAAAAGAACAAAGCTGGAGACATCACACTACCTGACTTCAAACTATACTACAAGGCTACAGTAACCAAACCAGCATGGTACTGGTACCAAAACAGAGATATAGATCAATGGAACAGAACAGAGCCCTCAGAAATAACGCCACATACCTACAACTATCTGATCTTTGACAAACCTGAGAAAAACAAGCAATGGGGAAAGGATTCCCTATTTAAGAAGCTTTTTAAGAAACTGCTTTATGATATGTGCATTCTTCTCACAGTGTTAAACGTTTCTTTTAACAAAGCAGTTGGAAATACTGTTTTTGTAGAATCTGTGATGGGATATTTGGGAGTGCCTTGAAGCCTATGGTGAAAAAGGAAACTTCTTCAGATAAAAATTAGTAAGAAGCTTTTTGAGAAACTGCTTTGTGATGTGTGCATTCATCTAACAGAGTTAAACCTTTTGTTTGATTGATCTGTTTGGAAACACAGTTTCTGTAGAATCTGCAAAGGCGTATTTTGGAGTGCACGAGGTCTATGGTGAAAAAGGAAATAACTTCTGATAAAAACTAGAAAGAAGCTTTCTGAGAAACTGCTTTGTGATGTTTGCATTCTTCTCACCAAGTTAAACATTTCTTTTGATTGAGCAGTTTGGAAACACTCTTTTTGTAGAATCTGTAAAAGGATATTTGGGAGCACATTGTTGCCTATGGTGAAAAAGGAAATATAATCAGATAAAAACTAGAAAGATGCTTTTTGAGAAACTACTTTGTAATGGATGCACTCATTTCACAGAGTTAAGCTTTTCTTTTGACTGAGCCATTTGAAAACACTGTTTTTATGTAATATGTGAAGTGATGTTTTGTAGTCCAAAGGTACTATGTTGAGCAAGGAAATATCTTTAGATAAAAACTGGAAATAAGGGTTATGAGAAACTGCATTCTGATGCGTGCATTCATCTCATAGAGTTAAGTCCTCCTTTTGAAGGAAAAGTTTGGAAACACTGTTTTTGTAGGATCTGCAAAGGGATATTTTGGAGGGATTTGAGGCCTATGGAGGAAATGGAAATATCTTCAGAGAAGAAATAGACAGAAGGTTTCTTAGAAACAGTTTGTGATGTGTGCAATAATCTCACAGAGTTAAAACTTTCTTTTGATTGATTAGTTTGGAAACGCTGTTTTTTTAGAATCCTCACAGGGATATTTGGGAGTGCACTAGGCCTATGGTGAAAAAGGAAATAACTTCAGATAAAAACTAGAAACAAGCTTTCTCTGAAACTGCTTTATTATGTGTGCATTTTTCTCACATAATTAAACATTTCTTTTGATAGAGCAGTTTGGAAATACTGTTTTTGTAGAATCTGCAAAGGGATATTGGGAACACATTGATACTTGTGGTGAAAAAAGAAATATCTTCCGTTATAAAGTAGAAAGAAGATTTTGAGAAACTGCTATGTGATGTGAGCATTCATCTCATAGAGTTAAACCTTTCTTTTGACTGAGCAGTTTGGAAACACTGTTTTTGCAATATCTGCAAAGAAATATTAGGTAGCGCAGAAAGCCTATGGCTAAAAAGGAAATATCTTTAGAGTAAAATTGGAAAGAAGTGTTATGAGAAACTGCTTTCTGATGTGTGCATTCATCTCACAGAGTTAAGTCTTCTTTTGATGGAACAGTTGGGAAACAACGTTTTGTAGATTCTGTGAAGGGATATTTGGGAGTGCATTGAGGCCCAGGGTAGAAAAGGAATAGCTTCGGATAAAAACTGGAAAGAAGCTTTCTGAGGAACTGTTTTGTGATGTGTGCATTCATCTCACAGAGTTAAAACTTTCTTTTGATTCATCAGTTTGGAAAATTTATTTTTGTAGAATCTGTGAAGGGATATTTTGGAGTGCATGAGGCTTATGCTGAAAAAGAAAATAACTTCAGATAAAAACTAGAAACAAACTTTCTGAGAAAAAGCTTTGTGATACATGCATTCTTCTCACAGTGTTAAATAATCATTTTGATTGAGCAGTTTGGAAACTGCTTTTGTAGAATCTGCCAAGGGATATTTTGAAGCACACTGATACCTACAGTGAAAAAGGAAATAACTTCAGATAAAAATGGGAGAGAAGGGTTATGAGAATCTGCTTTCTGATGTGTATATTCATCTCACAAAGTTAAGTCCTTCTTTTGATAGAGCTGTTTCAAAACACTATTTTTATAGAATCTGTGAAAGGACATTTCTGTGCACTTTGAGACCTACGATGGAAAAAGAAATAACTTCAGAGAAGAACGAGACAAAAGCTTTCTGAGAAACTGCTTTGTGATGTGTGGATTCATATCACAGAGTAAAACCCTTCTTTTGATTGACCAGTTTGGAAACACTGTTTTCATAGAATCTGTGAAGGGAAATTTGGGAGTGCATTGAAGTCTATGGTGGAAAAAGAAATACCTTCAGATAAAAACTAGAAAGAAGGTATTTGAGAGACTGCTTTGTAATGTGTACATTCATCTCAAAAAGTTAAATCTTTCTTTTGATTGATCAGTTTGGAAACATGATTTTTGTAGAATCTGTGAAGGTATATTTGGGAGCGCATGAGGTCTATCATAAAAAGGAAAAAACTTCAGATAAAAAGAAGAAAGAAGCTTTTTGAGAAACTGCTTTTTGAAGTGTGAATTCAGCTCACAGTGTTAAACCTTTCTTCTCATGATCAGTTTGGAAACACTGTTTTTGTACAATGTGCAAAGAGATATTTGGATGCACATGAGGCCTCTTGTAAAAAAGGAAATAACTTCAGATAAAAATTAGAAAGAAGGTTTCTGAGAAACAGCTTTGTTACATGTGCATTCTTCTCAGATAACTAAAATTATTTTTGATTGAGCAGTTTGGAAACACTGTTTTTATATAATCTGCGAAGTGCTATTAAATAGTGCAAAAGGCCTATGGTGAAAAAGGAAATATCCTCAGAAAAAAACTGGAAAGAGTCGTTATGACAAACTGCTTTCTGATATATGCATTCATCTCACAAATGTAAATCCTTCTTTTGGTGGAACAGTTCAGAGACACGGTTTTTATAGAATCTGTGAAGGTATATTTGGGAGTGCTTTGGGGCCTATGGTGGAAAAGGAAATATCTTCAGAGAAAAATTAGACAGAATCTATCTGAGAAACTTCTTCATGAAGTGTGCATTCATCTCAAAGAGTTAAACCTTTCTTTTCATTAAGCAGTTTGGAAACACTGTTTTTGTAGTATCTTCAAAGGTATACTTCAGAGCACACTAATGCCTGTGGTGAAAAAGGACATATATTCAGATAAAAACTAGAAAGATACCTTTTGAGAAACTGCTTTGTGATGTGGGTGTTCAACTCACAGAGTTAAACCTGTTTCTGATTGAGCAGTTTAGAAACACTGTTTTGTAGAATCTGCAAAGGGATATTTGGGAGTGCATTTTAGGTTTGGTGACAAAGAAAATATCTTCAGATATAAACCAGAAAGATATTTTTTGAGAAACTGCTTTGTGATGTGTGCATTCATCTCACAGAGTTAAACCTTTCTTTTGATTCATCAGTTTGGAAACACTTGTTTTGTAGAATCTGCAAATAGATATTTGAGTGCACATGAGGCCTATACTGAAAAAGGAAATAACTTCAGATAAAAACTGGAAAGAAGCATTCTGAGAAATGGCTTTGTGATGTGTGCATTCTTCTCTGAGAGCTAAAGGTTGCCTTTGATTGAGTAGTTTGGAAACACTCTTTTTGTAGAATCTGCAAAGGGATATTTCAGAGCACATTGAAGCCTATGGTGATAAAGGAAATGTCTTCAGATAAAAACTAGAAGGAAACTTTTTGAGAAACTTGTTTGTGATGTATGCATTCATCTCACAGAGTTAAACTTTTCTTTTGACTGAGCAGTTTGGAAACACAGTTTTTCTATAATCTGTTAAGCGATGTTTTGTAGCGCAAAAAATCCTATGGTTAACAAGGATGTTTCATCAGATAAAAACTGGAAAGAAGCCTTATGAGAAACTGCTTTCTGATGTGTGTGTTCATCTCACTTAGCTAAATACTTCATTTGTTGGAAGTGTTCAGAAACACTGTTTTTATAAAATCTGCAAAGGGATATTTGGGAGAGCATTGAGGACTATGGTGGAAAATGAAATATCTTCAGATTAGAAATAGACAGAACTGTCTGAGTAACTGCTTTGTGAACTGTGCATTCATCTCACAGCGTTAAACCTTTTGTTTGATTGAGCAGCTTTTAAACACTGTTTTTGTAGATTCTGCATGTGTATATTTGGGAGTGCACTGAGGCCTATGTTGAAAAAGGAAATATCTTTGGATAAAAACTGGAAAGAATATTTTTGACAAACTAATTTGTGATGTGTACCTTTAACTCATAGAGTTAATCCTGTTTTTTGATTGAGTGGTTTGGAAACACTGTATGTGTAGAATCTGTGATGTGATATTTGGAAGCGCATTGAAGCCTATGGTGAAAAGGAATTATCTTTAGATAAAATCCAGAAAGAAGCTTTTGGAAACTGCTTTGTGATGTGGGCATTCATCTCACAGAGTTAAACCTTTTTTTGACTGAGCAGTTTGTATACACTGTTTTAGCAAAATCTGTGAAGTGATATTTTGTAGCTCAAAAAAGCCTACGGTGAACAAGGAAATATATTCAGATAAAAACTGGAAAGAAGGGTTGTTTGAAACTTCTTTCTGATGGGAGCGTTCATCTCACAGATTTAAGCCCTTTTTTTGATGGAACAGTTGGTAAAGATTGTTTTTATAGAATCTGTGCAGGGCTATTTGGGAGTGCATTGAGGCCTATGATGGAAAAGGTAATATCTTCAGAGAAGAAATTGACAGAAGTTTTCTGAGAAACTGCTTTGTGATGTGTCCATTCATCACAGAGAGTTTATCCTTTCTTTTGAGTGAGGAGTTTGGAAACACTATTTTTGTAGAATCTGGGAAGGGATATTTGGTAGTGCCTGAGACCTATGATGAAAAAGGAAATAACTTCAGATAAAAACTAGAAAGATGGTTTCTGAGAAACCACTTTGGATATGTGCATTCTTCTCACAGAGTCAAATGTTTCCATTTATAGAACAGTTTGGAAACACAGTTTTTATAGAATCTGCAAAGGGATATTTGGGAGCGCATTGATGCCTATGTTGAAAAAGGAAATGTCTTCAAAGAAGAAAAGTTAAGAAATTTTTTGAGAAACTGGTTTGTGAAGTATGCATTCGTCTCCCAGAGTTAAAATTTTCTTTTGATGGAGCAGTTTGGAAACACTGTTTGTATATAATCTCAGAAGCAATGTTAGGTAGTGCAAAAAGGTCTACGGTGAACAAGGAAATATCTTCAGATAAAAACTGGAATTTAGCATTATGAGAAACAGCTTTCTGATGTATACTTTAATCTGCTTGAGTTAAATCCTTCTCTTGATGGAAGAGTGTGTAAACACTGTTTATATGGAATCTGTACAGTGATATTTTGGAATGCATTGAAGCCTCTGATGGAAAAGGAAACATCTTTGGAGTAGAACTATAGAGAAACTATATGAGAAACTGCTTTGTGACGTGTGCATTCATCTCACAGAGTAAAACCTTTCTTTTGATCTAGCAGTTTGGAAACACTGTTTTTGTAGAATCTGCAAAAGTATATTTGGGAAGGCCAAGATGCCTATGGTGAAAAAGGAAATAACTTCACATAAAAACGACAAAGAACCTCTTTGAGAAACTGCTTTGTAATGTGTGCATTCATGTCACAGAGTTAAACCTTTCTTTTGATGGATCAGTTTGGAAACACTGGTATTGCAAAATCTGCAAAGTGATATCAGCTCAAAAAAGCCTATGGTGAACAAGGAAATATCTTCATATAAAAACTGGAAAGAAGTGTTACGAGAAACTGCTTTTTGATGTCTGCATTAATCTCACAGAGGTAAGTCATTCTTTTGATGAAACACTGTGGAAACACTGTTTTTGAAGAATCTTCAAAGGGATAGGTAGGAGCACATTGAGGCCTATGGTGGAAAAGGTAATAACTTCAGAGTGGAAATTGACAGAAACTTTCTGAGAAACCGCTTTGTGATGTGTCCATTCATCACAGAGAGTTTAACCTTTGTTTTGATTGAGGAGTTTGGAACACAGTTTTTGTAGAATCTGGGAAGGGATACTTTGTAGTGCACGAGACCTATGGTGAAAAAGGAAATAACTTCAGATGAAAACTAGAAAGACGTTTTCTGAGAATCTGCTTTGGATATGTGGGTTCTTCTCACAGAGCCAAACATTTCTATTTATAGAGCAGTTTGGAAACACTGTTTCTGTAGAATCTGCAAAGGGATATTTGGGAGTGCACTGAGCCTATGTTGAAAAAGGAAATGTCTTTGAAGAAGAAAGGTTAAGAAAGTTTTCGAGAAACTGCTTAGTGAAGTACACGTTTATCTCCCAGAGTTAAAATTTAGTTTTGATGGAGCAGTTTGGAAACACTGTTTCTGTATAATCTATGAAGCAATGTTAGGTAGCACAAAAAGGGCTAAGGTGAATAAAGAAATATATTCAGGTAAAAACTGGAATTTAGCATTATGAGAAACAGTTTTCTTATGTGTAATTTAATCTCCTTGAGTTAAATCCTTCTCTTGATGGAACAGTGTGGAAACACTGTTTTTATGGAATCTGCATGGGGATATTTTGGAGAGCATTAAGGCCTTTGGTGGAAAAGGAAATGTCTTCGGAGAAGAACTATACCTAAACTATATGAGAAACTGCTCTGTGATATGTGTATTCATCTCACAGAGTAAAACCTTTCTTTTGATGGATCAGTGTGGAAACACTGTTACTGCAAAATCATCAAAATGATGTTAGTTAGCCCAAAAAAGCCTATGGTGAACAAGGAAATATCTTCATATAAAAACTGGAAAGATGTGTTTTGAGAAACTTCTTTTTGATGTGTGCATTCATCTCACAGAGTTAAGTCATTCTTTTGGTGGAACAGTTTGGAAACGATGTTTTTGTAGAATCTTCAAAGGGAAACTTAGGAGCACATTTATGTCTATGGTAGAAAAGAAAATATCTTCAGAGAAGAACTAGACAGAAGTGTTCTGAGAAACTGCTTTGTGATGTGTGCATTCATCTCACAGAGTTAAACTTTTCTTTTTATTCAGCAGTTTGGAAACACTGTTTCTGTTCAATCTGCAAAGGTATATTTCGGAGCCCACTGAGGCCTATGGTGATAAATTAAATAACTTCAGATAAAAACTAGAAAGAAGGTTTTTGAGAAACTGCTTTGTGAAGGGTGCATTCATCTCACAGCATTAAGCCATTATTCTGATTGAGCACTTTGGGAACACTGTTTTTGAAGAATCTCTGGTGGGATATTTGGGAACATATAGAAGCATATGGTGATAAAGGAAATATCTTTGGATAAATACTAGAAAGAAGCTTTTTGAAAAACTGCTTTGTGATGTGTGCATTCATCTCACAGAGTTAAAACTTTCTTTTGAATAGTCAGTTTGGAAACACCGTTTTTATAGACTCTGTGAAGGGATATTTGGGAGTGCACTAGGCCTATGATGAAAAAGAAATAACTTCAGATAAAAACTAGAAAAAAGCTTTCTGAGAAACTGCTTTGTGAAGTGTCCATTCTTCTCACCGAGTTAAATGATTCTTTTGATTGAACAGTTTGGAAACACTGTTTATGTAGAATCTGCCCAGGGATATTTGGGAATGGGAAGGCGTTGAATCCTACTGTGAAAAAGGAAAGATATTCGGATAAAATCAAGAAAGAAAATTTTGATAAACTGCTTTCTGATGTTGCATTTATCTCAAAGAATTAAAACTTTCTTTTGATTGATCAGTTTGGAAACACTGTTTTTGTAGAATCTGCATAGGGATATTTGGGAGCACATTTTGGCCTATGGTGAAAAAGGAAATAACTTCAGATAAAAACTAGAAAGAAGCTTTCTGAGAAGCTGCTTTGTAATGTGTGCATTCTTCTCACAGAATTAAACTTTTCTCTTGATTGAGCAGCTTGGAAGCACTGTTTTTGTTGAATCTGCAAAGCCATATTTGTGATAACACTGATGCCTATGGTGAAAAAGGAAATATCTTCAGATAAGAACTAGACAGAAGTCTTGAGAAACAGCTTTGTGATGTGTTCTTTCAACTCACAGAGTTAAAGTTTTCTTTTGAATGAGCAGTTTGAAAACACTGTTTTTGTATAATCTTAGAAGCTATGTTAGGTAGCACAACAAAGCCTATGGTTAACAAGGAAATAACTTCAGATAAAAACTGGAAAAAAGCATTATGAAAAGCTTCTTTCTGATGTGTGCTTTGATCTCACAGAGTTAAATCCTTCTTTTGATGGAACAGTTCAGAAACAGAGATTTATAGAATTTGCAAAGGGATATTTTGGAGCAAATTTAGGCCTATTGTGAAAAAGGAAATATCTTCAGAGAAGAAGGAGACAGAAGTTTTCTGAGAAATTGCTTTGTGATGTGTGCATTCACATCACAGAAATCAACCTTTCCTTTGATTGAGCAGTTTGGAAACACTGGTTTTGTAGTATCTGTGAAGGGATATATGGGAAAGCTTTGAAGCCTATGGTGAAAAATGAAATATCTTCGGATAAAAACTAGAAAGAAGCTTTTAGAGAAACTCCCTTGTGATGTGTGTTTCATGTTTTTTAATAGAGCAGTTTGAAAACACTGTTCTTGTAGAATCTACAACAGGATATTTGGGAGCACATTGAAGCCTATTGTGATAAAGGAAATATCTTTGGATAAAAACTAGAAAGAAGCTATTTGAGAAACTTCTGTGCATTCAACTCACAGAGTTATAACTTTCTTTTTACTGAGCAATATGGAATCATTGTTTTTGTAGAATCTGCAAAAGGATATTTGGGAGCGCATGAGGCCTATGATGGAAAAGGAAATAACTTTAGATAAAAACTAGAAAGTACTTTTCTGAGAAACTTCTTTGTGATGTGTGCCTTCCTCTGAAAGAGTTAAATGTTTCTTTTGATTGACAAATTTGGAAACACTATTTTTTTATAATCTGCAAATGGATATTTGGGAGCCCAGTTTTTCCTATGGTGAAAAAGGAAATATCTTCAGATAAATACTAGAAAGAAACCCTTCAAGATACTGCTTTGTGATGTATGAATTTTTCTCACAGCGTTAAAGTTTTCTTTTGACTGAGAAGTTTGGAAACACTGTTTTTGTATAATCTGCAAAGTGATGATACGTAGTGCTAAAAGGCCTATGTTGAACAAGGAAATAACTTCAGATAAAAACTAGAAAGAAGCTTTCTGAGAAACTGCTCTCTAATGAGTGCATTCATCTGACAGAATTAAAACTTTCTTTTAATTGAGCAGTTTGGAAACACTCTTACAGTAGAATCTGTGAAGGGATATTTGGGAGAGCGCTGAGGTCCATGGTGTAAAAGGAAATAACTTCGGATAAAAACTACAAAGAATATTTCTGAGAAACTATTTTGTGAAGTCTGCATTAGTCTAACAGATTTAAATATTTCTTTTGACTGAGTCATTTGGAAACACTGTTTTTGTAGATTCTGCGATGGGATATTTGAAAGTGGAGTTAGGCCTATGGTGAAAAAGGAAATATATTAGCATAAAAACTAGAAAGTAATTTTTTCAGAAACTGCTTTCTGATGTACCCATTCATCAGACAGAATTAAACTTTTCTTTTGACTGAACAGTTCGGAAACACTGTTCTTGTATAATCTGTGAAGGGTTATATGGGAGCACAAAAAAGAGTATGGTGAAAAAGGAAATGTCTTCAGATAAAAACTGGAAAGAAGCATTATGAGAAACTGCTTTCTGATGTGTGCATTCATCTCTCAGAGTTAAGTCCTTCTTTTGATGGAACAGTTTGGAAACACTCTCTTTGTAGAATCTGCAAAGGGATATTTGGAGCGTATTGAGTCCTATGGTGGAAAATGAAATATCTTCAGAGAAGAAGTAGACAGAAATTTTTGGAAAACTGCTTTGTGACATGTCCATTCATCACACAGAGTTAAACCTTGCTTTGATGGATCAGGTTGGAAATACAGTTTTTGTAGAATCTGCAAAGGAATATTTGGGAACACATTGATGCTTATTGTGAAAAAGGAAATATCTTCAGATAAAAACTAGAAAGTAGCTTTTTGATTAACTGCTTTGTGATATATGCATTCTTCTCACCGAGTTAAGCTTTTCTTTTGACTGAGAACTTTGGAAACACTTTTTTTTTTTTTGTATACTCAGCGAAGTGATGTTAGATAGCACAAAAAGCCTATGGTGAACCAGGACATAACTTCATATAAAAACTAGGAAAAAGGGTTATGAGAAACTGCTTTCTGAAGTTTGCATTCACCTCACAGAGTTACATCCTTCTTTTGATGAATAGTTGGAAAAACTGTTTTTGTAGGATCTTGGAAGTGATGTTTGAGAGCACACTGAGGCCCATGCTGGAAAAGGAAATAACTCCAGATAAGAAACAGATGCAAGCTTTCTGACATACCGCTTTGTGAGGTGTGCATGTAGCTCACAGAGTTAAATATTTCTTTGTATTGAGCAGTTTGGTAACATTGTTTTTGTTGAATCTGCAAAGGTATATTTTGGAACCCACTGAGGCCTAGGTGAAAAAGGAAATATCTTTGGTTAAGAAATAGAAAGAAGGTTTTTGAGAAGCTGCTTTGTGATGTCTGCTTTCAACTCAAAGGGTTAAACCTGTTTTTTGATTTAACTGTTTGGAAACAGTGTTTTTCTAGAATCTGCGACAAGATTTTTGGGAGCACATTGAAGCCTATGGTGATAAAGAAAATATCTTCAGATCAAAACTAGAAAGAAGCTTTTTGAGAAGCTTCTTTGTGATGTGTGCATTCATCTCACAGACTTAAAACTTTCTTTTGACTGAGCAGTTTGGAAACACTGTTTTTGCAAATCTGTGAAGCGATTTTATGTACCACCAAAAACCCTATGGTGAAAAAGGAAATATCTTCAGATAAAAACTGAAGGAAACATCACGATAAACTGTGTTCTGATATGTGCATTCACCTCACAGAGTTAAGTTGAGCTTTTGATGGAACAGTTGGAAACAGTTTTTCCAGAATCTGTGAAGGGATATTTGGGAACACATTGTTGCCTATGGTGGAAAAGGAAATATCTTCAGAGAAGAACTAGACAGAAACATTCTGAGAAACTGCTTTGTGATGTGTGCATTCATCTCAAGGAGTTAAACGTTTGTTTTGATTGAGCAGTTGGGAAACACTGCTTTTATAGTGTCTGCGAAGGGATATCTGTGAGCTCATTGAGGCCTATGGTGGAAAATGAAATATCTTCAGAGAAGAACAGGACAGAATCTTTCTGAGAAACTGCTTTTAGATGTCTGCATTCATCTCACAGAGTTAAACCATTCTTTTGATTGGCCAGTTTGGAAAAACTACTTTCTTGGAATCTGCTAATGGATATTTGGGAGCTCTTTGAAGCCTATGGGGAAAAGGAAATATCTTCTGACAAAAACTAGAAGGAAGACTTTTGAGAATCTGCTTTGTGATGTGTGCATTCATCTCACAGAGTTAAACCTTTGTTTTGATTGATCAGATTGCAAAAACTTTCTTTGTAGAATATATGATAGGATATTTGAGAGCCCAAGAGTTCTTTGGTGTAAATGGAGTTAACTTCAGATAAAAATAGAAAGAAGCTTTTTGAGAAACTTCTTTGTGATGTATGCATTCAACTCAAAGAGTTAAACCTGTCTTTTGATTGTGCAGTTTGGAAACACTGTTGTTGTAGAATCCACAAAGAGATATTTATAAGAGTGCATTGAAGTCAATGGTGAAAAAGGAAATATCTTCAGATAAAAACTAGAAAGAAGCCTTTTGAGAATCTACTTCGTGATGTGTGCATTCATCTCACAGGGTTAAACCTTCTCTTGACAGATCAGTTTTGAAACACTGTTTTTTTGTAGAATATGTGAAGGGATATTTGGGAGCCCATGAGGTCTTTGGTGAAAAAGGAAATTACTTTAGAGAAATACTAAAAAGAAGCTTTCTTAGAAACTGCTTTGTGATGTGTGTAATCTTCTCACAGTGTTTAATGTCTCTTTGGATTGAGCAGTTTACAAACACTCTTTATGTGTAACCTGCAAAGGCACATTTTGGAGTCCCCTGAGGCCTATGGTGAAAAAGGAAATATTTTGGATAAAAACTAGAAAGAAGCTATTTGAGAAAACGCTTTGTGATATATGCATTCGTCTCACAGAGTTAAACTTTTCTTTTGACTCAGCAGTTTGGAAACCCTGTTTTTGTATAATCTATGAAACCATGTTAGGTAAAGCAAAAAGGCCTATGGTGAACAAGCAAATATATTGAGACAAAACATGGAAAGAAGCATTATGAGAAACTCCTTTCTGATGTGGGCGTTCATCTCACAGAGTTCAATCCTTCTTTTGATGAAATAGTTCGGAAACAATGTTTTTATATAATCCGTGAAGGGATATTTGGGAGCGCATTGAGGTCTTTGGTGGAATAGGAAAGATCTTCAGAGAAGAGCTAGACAGAAGCGTTATGAGAAACTGCTTTGTAATGTGTGCATTCAAGTGACAGAGTTAAACCTATTTTTTGATGGCTCAGTTTGGAAACACTGTTTTTGTAGAATCTGTGATGGGATATTTGGCAGCTCACTGAAGTCTATGGTGATAAAGAAAATATCTTTTGATAAAAACTAGAAAGAAATTTTTAGAAACTGCTTTGTGATGTGGGCATTCATCTCACAGAGTTAAAGCTTTCTTTTGAAGGATCAGTTTGGAAACACTGTATTTGAAAAATCTGTGAAGTGATATTATGAAACGCAAAAAGCCCATGGTGAAAAAGGTAATATCTTAAGATAAAACAGGAAACAAGTGTTTTCAGAAACTGCTTTCTGATGTGTGCCTTCATCTCACAGATTTAAGTCGTTTTTGATGGAACAGTTTAGAAATACCGTTTTTGCAGTATCTGTGAAGGGATATTTGGAAGCTCATTGATGTCTATGGTGGAAAAGGAAATATCGTCAGAGAAAAACTGGGCAGAAGTTATCTAAGAAACTGCATTGGTTTTAGGTCAACAAGTAAGTCTTTAATCCATCTTGAATTAATTTTTGTACAAGGTGTAAGGAAGGGATCCAGTTTCAGCTTTCTACATATGGCTAGCCCGTTTTCCCAGCACCATTTATTAAATAGGGAATCTTTTCCCCATTGCTTGTTTTTCTCAGGTTTGTCAAAGATCAGATAGTTGTAGATATGTGGCATTATTTCTGAGGGCTGTGTTCTGTTCCATTGATCTGTATCTCTGTTTTGGTACCAGAACCATGCTGTTTTGGTTACTGTAGTCTTGTAGTATAGTTTGAAGTCAGGTAGCATTATGCCTCCGGCTTTGTTCTTTTGGCTTAGCTTTGACTTGTCAATGTGGGCTTTTTTTTGGTTCCATATGAACTTTAAAGTAGTTTTTTCCAATTCTGTGAAGAAAGTCATTGGTAGCTTGATGGGGATGGCATTGAATCTATAAATTACCTTGGGCAGTATGGCCATTTTCATCATATTGATTGTTCCTTCCCATGAGCATGGAATGCTCTTCCATTCGTTGGTATCCTCTTTTATTTTATTGAGCAGTGGTTTGTAGTTCTGCTTGAAGAGGTCCTTAACATCCCTTGTAAGTTGGATTCCTAGGTATTTTACTCTTGTTGAAGCAATTGTGAATGGGAATTCACTCATGATTTGGCTCTCTGTCTGTTATTGGTGTATAAGAATGCTTGTGCTTTTTGCACATTGATTTTGTACCCTGAGACTTTGCTGAATTTGCTTGTGAGCTTAAGGAGATTTTGGGCTGAGACAATGGGGTTTTCTAGATGTACAATCATGTCATCTGCAAATAGAGACAATTTGACTTCCTCTTTTCCTAATAGAATACCTTTTGTTTCCTTCTCCTGTAAGGACTTCATGTCTAAAACACCAAAAGCAATGGCAACAAAACACAAAATTGACAAATGGGATCTAATTAAACTAAAGAGCTTCTGCACAGCAAAAGAAACTACCATCAGAGTGAGCAGGCAACCTACAGAATGGGAGAAAATTTTTGCAATCTACTCATCTGACAAAGGGCTAATATCCAGAATCTACAATGAACTCAAACAAATTTACAAGAAAAAAACAAACAACTCCATCAAAAAGTGGGCAAAGGATAAGAACAGACACTTCTCAAAAGAAGACATTTAAGCAGCCAAAAAACACATGAAAAAATGCTCATTATCACTGGCCATCAGAGAAATGTAAATCAAAACCACAATGAGATACCATCTCACACCAGTTAGAATGGTGATCATTAAAAAGTCAGGAAACAACAGGTGCTGAAGAGGAGGTGCAGATATTTACACTATTGGTGGGACTGTAAACTAGTTCAAACATTGTGGAAGTCAGTGTGGCGATTCCTCAGGGATCTAGAAATAGAAATACCATTTGACCCAGCCATCCCATTACTGGGTATATACCCAAAGGGTTATAAATGATGCTGCTATAAAGACACACGCACACATATGCTTATTGTGGCACTATTCACAATAGTAAAGACTTGGAACCCACCCAAATATCCAACAACAATAGATTGGATTAAGAAAATGTGGCACATATACACCATGGAACACAATGCAGCCATAAAAAAATGATAGGTTCGTGTCCTTTGTAGGGACATGGATGAAGCTGGAAACCATCATTCTCAGCAAACTATCAGAAGGACAAAAAACCAAACACCGCATGTTCTCACTCACAGGTGGGAATTGAACAATGAGATCACTTGGACACAGGAAGAGGAACATCACACACTGGAGCCTGTTGTGGGGTGGGCGGAGGCGGGAGGAATAGCATTAGGAGATATACCTAATGCTAAATGACAAGTTAATGGGTGCAGCACACCAACATGGCACACGTATACATATGTAACAAACCTGCACATTGTGCACATGTACCCTAAAACTTAAAGCGTAATAATAATAATAATAATAATAATAATAATAATAAAGAAACTGCTTTGGGATGTGTGCATTCCTCTCCCAGAGTTAAACCTTTCTTTTCATTGAGCAGTTTGGAAACACTGTTTTTTTTTAGAATCTGCAAAGGGATATTTGGGAGCGCATGGAAGCCTATGGTGAAAAAGGAAATATCTTCGGATAAAAACTAGAAAGAGGGTATATGAGAAACTGTTTTGTGATGTGTGCATTCATCTCATAGTGTTAAGCCTTTCTTTTAATTAATCCGTTTGGAAACACTCTTTTTGTAGAATCTGCCAAGGAATATTTGCGAGTACAAGAGGCCTATTGTGAGAAAGGTAATAACTTCAGATTAAAATTAGAAACTTTCTGAAAACCTAATTTGTGATTTGTGTATACATTTCACAGTATTAAATCTTTCTTTTGATGGGGCCACTTGAAACCACCCTTTTGGCAGAATCAGCCAGGGGTTATTTGGGATCACATTGAGGCCTATGGTGAAAAATGAAATATCTCCAGATAAAAACTAGCAAGAAGCTTTCTGAGAAACTACTTTGAGATGCTTGTATTCGTCTGATACAGTTAAAGCTTTGTATTGATTGAGTAGTTTGGAAAAACTGTTTTGCTAGAATCTGACAAGGGATATTTTGGAGTGCACTGATGCCTACAGTGAAAAAGGAAATAACTTCAGATAAAAACTACAAGGAAGTTTTCTGAGAAACTTCTTTATGATGTGTGTATTCTTCTCACAGATTTAGACATTTCTTTTGATTGAGCAGTTTGGGAACACTGTTTTTGTAGAATCTGCAATGGGATAATAGAAAGCACAGTTAAGTTGATGGTGGAAAAGGAAATATCTTTTTATAAAAGCTAGAAAGAAACTTTTTGAGAAACTGCTTTCTGATGTGTGCATTCATCTCACAGACTTAAACTTTTCTTTGACTGAGAACTTTGGAAACACTGTTTCTGTATAATCTGTGAAGTAACATTACACAGTGCAAAAAAGCCTATGTTGTAAAAGAAGGAAAAAACTTCAGATAAAAAATGGAAAGAAGCATTATGAGAAACTGATTTCTGATGTGTGCTTTCATCTTACAGAGTTAAGTCTTTCTTTTGATGGAGCAGTTTGGAAACAGTGGTTCTGTAGAATCTGCGAAGGAATATTTGGGAGGGCATTGAGGCCTAAGTTGGAAAAGGAAATACATTCAGATAAGAACTAGAGAGAAGCTTTATGAGAAACTGCTTTGTGATGTGTGTATTCATCTCACAGAGTTAAACCTTTCTTTGAGCAGTTTGGAGACACTGTTTTGTGGAATCTGTGAAGGGCTATTTGGGAGCGCATGAGGCCAATGGTGAAAAAAATTAACTTCAGATAAAAAGTAGAAAGAAGCAATCTGAGAAACCGCTTTTTGATGTGTGCATTCTTCTCACAGAGTTAAATGTTTCTTTATATTGAGCTGCTTGGAAACACTGTTTTTGTAGTATCTGCAAACATATATTTAATTAAGGCCTACAGTGGAAAAGCGAATATCTTCAGAGAAAAATAAGAAAGAAGCCTTTTCAGAAACTGCTTTGTTATCTGTGCTTTCACCTCATAGAGTTAAACTTGCTTTTTATTGATCAGTTTTCAAACACTGTTAATGTGGAATCTGCAATGGTGTATTTGGGAGCACATTGAATCCTATGGTGAAAGAGGAAACATCTTCGGATAAAAACTGGAAAGAAGCATTTTGAGAAACTGCTTTGTGATGTGTGCATTCACCTCACAGAGTTAAACATTTCTTTTGATAGAGCATTTTGGAAACATTGATTTTGAATAATCTGCAAAGTGATATTTGGTAGCGCAAAGAGGCCTATGTTGAAAAAAGAAATATCTTCAGACAAAAACTGGAAAGAAGATTTCTGAGACTGATTTGTGATGTGTGCTTTCATTTAACAGTGTTAAATTTTTTCTTTGATGGAGCCGTTTGGAAACACCATTTTGCAAGATTCTGTGAAGGGTTATTTGGGAGTGCATTGAGGCCTACATTGAAAAAGGAAATATCTCCAGATAAAAACTAGAAAGAAGCTTACTGAGAAACTGCTTTGTGATGTATGCATTCATCTTACAGAGGTAAACCTTTCCTTGGGTTGAGCAGTTTGGAAACAGTGTTTTTGTAGAATCTGCAAAGGGAAATTTTGGAGCACACTAATATTTATGGTGGAAAAGGAAATACCTTAGTGTAAAAACTAGAAAAAATATTTTTGAGGAACTGCTTTGTGAGCTGTGCATTCAGCTCACAGAGTTAAACCTATTTTTTGATTGAGCAGTTTGGAAACATTGCTTTTGTAGAATCTACAACAGAATATTTGGGAGCACATTGAAGCCTATGGTGTTAAAGGAAATATCTTTGGAAAAAATCAAGACAGACGCTTTTTGAGATACTGATTTGTAAAGTGTGCATTCATCTCACTGACTTAAATGTGGCTTTTGATTGAGCTGTTTGGAAACACTGTTTTTTTGTAATCTGCAAAGTGATGCTAGGTAGCACAAAAAGGCCTATTCTGAAAAAGGAAATATGTTCAGATAAAAACTGTAAAGAAGCTTTCTGAGATACTTATTTGTCTCAGTGCTTTAATGTGTGCATTCATTTCACAGTGATTATTTTTTCCTTTGATGGAGCTGTTTGGAAACACCCTTTTGGCAGAAGTTGCAAACAGTTATTTGGGAGTGCATTGAGGCCTACGGTGAAAAAGGAAATATTTCAAGATAAAAATTAGAAAGGAGCTTTGTGAAAAACTGCTTAGTGATGTGTGAATTTATCTCAGAGTAAAACCTTTCTTTTCACTGAGCAGTTTGGAAACACTGTTTTTGCAAAACCTGGAAGAGATATTATGTAACACAAAAAGCTATGATGAAAAAAGAAACTTTTACAGATAAAACCTGGAAAGAAGCATTATGAGAAATGGCTTTCTGATGTGTGTGTTAATCTCAGAGAGTTAAGTCCCTCTTTTGATTGAACGGTTTGGAAACAGTGTTTTTGTAGAATGGGTGAATGGATATTTGGCAGCGCTCTCAGGCCAATGGTGGAAAAGGAAATGACTTCAGAGAACTAGACAGAAACTTTCTGAGAAAGTGCCTTGTGATGTCTGCATTGACCTCACATATTTAAACTTTTGTTTTGATTGAGCAGTTTGGAAATGCTGTTTTTGTAAAATCTCGAAGGGATATTTAGGAGTGAATTGAAGCCTGTGGTGAAAAAGTATATATCTTTGGATAAAGATTAGAAAGAAGCTTTTTGAGAAACTGCTTTGTGATGTGTGTGTTCTTCTCACAGAGGTAAAAGTTTCTTTTTTGTTGAGCAGTTTGGAAACACTGTTTTTGTACAATATGCAAAGGGATATTTTGGAGCGCATTGAAGGTTATGGAGAAAAATGAAATATCTTCAGTTTTAAGACCTAGAAAGAAGAAGCTTTTTGAGAAACTGCTTTGTGATGTGTGCATTCTTCTCACAGAGGTAAATGTTTCTTTTGATTGAGCAGTTTCGAAACACTGTTTTGGTAGAAAGTGTGAAGGGTTATTTGGGACCACATTGAAGTCTATAGTGAAAAATGAAATATCTTTGGATAAAAACTAGAAAGAAATTTTTGACCAACTGCTTTATGATGTGCCCATTCATCTCACAGAGGTAAACCTTTCATTTGATTGATCAGTTTGGTAACACTGTCTTTTTAGAATCTGTGATGGTGTATTTGGGAGTGCATGAGGCCTATGGGGAAAAGGAAATAACTTGAGATAAAAATTAGAGAGAATCTTTCTAAAAACCGCTTTGGGATGTGTGCATTCTTCTCACAGAGTTAACATTTTCTCTTGATTGAGCAGTTTGGAAACACTATTTTTGTAGAATCTGCAAAGGGATATTTGGGAGCATACTGAGTCTTACTTTGAAAAGGAAATATCTTCAGATAAAAAGTGGAAAGAAGCTTTTTGAGAAACTGCTATTTGATCTTTGCATTCATCTCACAGACTTAA
This sequence comes from Homo sapiens, assembly GCF_000001405.40. NCBI lineage: Eukaryota > Metazoa > Chordata > Mammalia > Primates > Hominidae > Homo > Homo sapiens. The sequence continues at coordinate 46,051,377 of NC_000005.10, forward strand.
ATCTTTCTTTTGAGTGAAGAGTTTGGAAACACTGTTTTTTTCAAAATGTGCAAGTGATATTAAGTAGCCAGAAAAGCCTGTAGTGAAAAAGTAAATATTTTCAGATAAAAACTGGAAAGAAGTGTTATGAGAAACTACTGTGTGACGTGTGCATTCATCTCACAGAGTTAAGTCCTTCTTTTGATGGAAAAGCTTAGAAATACTTTTTTTGTATAATGTGTGAAAGGATACTTTGAAACACATTGAGGCCTATGGTGGAAAAGGAAATATCTTCAGAGAAGAACTAGACAGAATCTTTAGGAGAAACTGATTTGTGATATGTGCATTCATCTCACAGAGTTAAACATTTCTTTTGATTGAGCAGTTTGGAAACACTGTTTTTGTCGAATCTGCAAAGGGGTATTTGGGGATGCATTGAAGCTAAGGTGAAAAAGGATATATCTTCGGATAAACAGTAGAAAGAAGCTTTGGAGAAACTGCTTTGTGATGTGTGCATTCATCTCACACAGTTAAAACTTTCTTTTTATTGATCAGTTTGGGAACACTCTTTTTTCAGAGTATGTGAAAGGAAATTTGGAACACACGAGGACTATGGTGAAAAAGGAAATTACTTCAGATAAAAACTAGAAAGAAGATTTCTGAGAAACTGCTTTGTGCTGTGTGCATTCATCTCACAGAGATAAGTACTTCTTTTTATGAAACAGTTTGGAAATACTGCTTTTATAGAATCTGTGAAGGGATATTTCAGAGGGCATTATGCCTTGGTGGAAAAGAAAATATCTTCAGAGAAGAAGTAGACAGAAGCTTTCTGAGAATCTGCTTTGTGATGTGTGCATTGATTTCACAGAGTTAAACCCTACTTTTGATTGAGCAGTTTGAAAACACTGTTTTGGTGGAATATGGGAAGGCATATTTCGGAGCGCATTGATGCATTTGGTGAAAAAGCAAATATCTTCAGATAAAAACTAGAAAGAAGATTTTTGAGAAAATGCTTTGCAATGTCTGCATTCATCTCACAGGGTTAAACCTTTCTTTTGATTGATCAATTTGGTAACACTGTTTCTGTAGAAACTGTGAAAGTATGTTTGGCAGCACACAAGTCCTATGGTGAAAAAGGAAATACCTTTGGATTAAAACTGGAAAGGATCATTGTAGAAACTGCCTTGTGATGTGTGCCTTCCACTCACAGAATTAAACCTTTTTTTTGATTGAGTATTATGGAAACACTGTTTTTGTGGAATCTGTGATGGGATATTTGGGCGTGCATTGAACTCTTTGGTGATAAAGTTAATATCATCAGATGAAAACTAGAAAGAAGCCTTTTGAGAAACTGCTTTGTCATGGGTGCATTTATCTAAAAGATTAAAACCTTTCTTTTCACTGAGCAGTTTGCAAACACTGTTTTTGCAAAATGTGCGAACCCATGTAATGTAGCCCAAAGTAGGTTATGGTGAAAAAGGAAACATCTTCAGATAAAATGTGCAATGAAGCATTAAGAGAAACTGTTTTCAGATGTGTGCATTCATCTCACACAGTTAAGTCGTTCTTTTCATTGAACAGTTTGGAAACACTGCTTTTGTAGAATCTGCAAAGGGATATTTGGGAGTGCACGAGATCTATGGTGAAAAAGGAAATATCTTCGGATAAAAACTGGAAAGAAGCTTTCTGAGAATATGCTTTGTGATGTGTGCATTCATCTTACAGATTTAAATCACTCTTTAGGCAGAACAGTTCAGAAACAGTGTTTTTATAAAATCCGTGAAGGGATATTTGTGAGCACATTGAGGCCTATGGTGGAAAAGGGAATATCTCCAGGTAAAAACTTGAAAGAAGCTTTTTGGGAAACTGTTTTGTGATGTGGGCATTCATCTCACAGAAATAAACTTTTCTTTTGATTGATCAGATTGGAAACACTTTTTTTGTAGAATCTGCGAAGGGAAGTTTGGGAGCGCACAAGGCCTATGGTGAGAAAGGAAATAACTTCAGATACAAACTAGAAAGAATCTTTCTGAGAAACTCCTTTGTGATGTGTGCATTCACCTCACAGAGTTAAACCTGTTTTCCAATTGAGCAGTATGGAAACACCGTTTTTGCAGAATCTGTGATAGGATATTTGAGATCGTATTGAAGCCTATGGTGATAAAAGAAATATCTTCAGATAAAAACAAAAGAGAAAGTTTTGGAGGAACTTCTTCATGATGTGTGCATTCATCTCACAGAGTTAAATGTTTCATTTGACTGAGCATTTTGGAAACACTGTTTTTGCAAAATCTGTGAAGTAATATTAGGGAGCGCAAAAAACCCTATGGTTAAGGAAATATCTTCACATAAAAGCTGGAAAGAAGCATTATGGGAAACTGCTTTCTGATGTGTGCATTCATGTTACAGATTTAAGTCCTTCTTTTGATGGAACTGTTTGGAAACACTGTTTTTGTACTACCTGCAAAGGGATATTTGGGAGTGCATGGAGGCCTATGGTGGAAAAGGAAATGTCTTCAGAGAAGAACCAGACAGAAGCTGTATGAGAAACTCCTTTGTGATGTGTGCATTTATCTCACAGAGTTAAACCTTTCTTTTGATTGAGCAGTTTGTAAACACTGTTTTTGTAGAATCTGCAAAGGGATATTTGGGAGTGCTTTGAGGCCTATGGTGGGAAGGGATATATCTTCAGAAAACAAGACAGAAGCTATCTGAGGAGCTGCTTGGTTATTAGTGCATTCATCACACGGAGTTAAACCTTTATTTGGATTGATCAGATTGGAAACACTGTTTTTGTAGAATCTGTGAAGAGATATTTGGAGCACACGAGGCCTATGATGAAAAAGGAAATAACTTCAGACAAAAACTTTCACATTAAAAGTAGAAAGAAGCTTTTTGAAAAACTGCTTTGTGATTTGTGCATTCTTCTCACAGAGTTAAATGATTCTTTTGATTGTGCAGTTTGGTAAAAATGTTTTTGAAGAATCTGCAAAGCGATAATTTGGAGCAAAGTGATACCTATGGTGAAAAAGTAAATATCTTCGTATAAAAACTACAAAGAAGCTTTTTGAGAAATTGCTTTCTGATGGATACATTCATCACACAGAGTTAAGTCTTCTGTTTGATCAGTTTGGAAACACTGTTTTTGTAGAATCTGTGGCAGGATATTTGGGAGCACACGTGGCCTATATTTAAAAAGGAAATATATGCCAATAAAAACTAGAAAGAAAGTTTCTGAGAAACAGCTTTGTCATGTGTGGACTCTTCTCAGAGAGTTAAATGTTACTTTTGACTGAGCAGTTTGGAAACAGTGTTTTTTTAGTATCTGCAAAGGGATATTTGGAATCACAGTGTTGCCTATGGTGAGAAAGGAAATAATTTCAGATAAAAACTAGAAAGAAGCATTTTGAGAAACTTCTTTGTGATGCATGCATTTTTCTCACACAGTTCAACTTTTCTTCTTACAGGGCCGTTTGGAAACACTGTTTTTGTGTAATCTGCAAACAGATATTTGGTAGTGCAAAAAGGCCTATCGTGAACTAGGAAGTATCTTCAGATAAAAAGTGGAAAGAAGCGTTATGAGAAACTGCTTTCTGATGTGTGCATTCGTGCCACATAGAGAAATACTTTTGATGGAACAGTTCATAAGCACTGTTCTTATAGGATCTGCAAAGGGATATTTGTGAGAGCATTGAAGCCTATGGTGACAAAGGAAATATCTTCAGATAAAAACTGGAAAGAAGCTTTTTTGAGAAAGTGCTGTTTGATTTGTGCATTCTTCTCTCATAGTTAAAAGTTTCCTTTTATTGAGTAGGTTGGAAGCACTGTTTTTGTGTAAACTGCTAAGGGATATTTTGTAGCACAAAAAGGCCTATGGTGAATATGGAAATATCTTCAAATAAAAACTGCCAAAGAGGGTTATGAGAACCTGTTTCCTGACGGGTGCATTCATCTCACAGAGTTAAGTCCTTCTTTTGGTGGAACTGTTTGGAAACAAGTATTTAATAGGATCTGAAAGGGGATATTTTGGGGTGTAATGAGGCCTACAGTGGAAAAGAGAATATCTTCAGAGAAGAACTTGACAGAAGCTATCTGCCAAACTGCTTTGTAAAATGTGCATTCATCTCACAGAGTTCAAACTTTGTTTTGGTTGAGCAGTTTTGAAACACTGTTTTCCTAGAAACTGAAAAGGTATATTTGGGAGTGCCCTGAGGCCTATGGTGAATAAGGGATTATCTTCAGAAAAAAACTAGGAAGAAGCTTTTTGAGAAACTGCTTCATGATGAGTACGTTCACCTCATAGAGTTGAACCTGTTTTTTGATTGAGCAGTTTGGAAACACTTTTTTTGTAGAATCTGCGACGGGATATTTGGGAGTGCATTGAAGCCTATGGTGATAAATGAAATATCTTTGGATACATACTAGAAAGAAGCTTTTTGAGAAACTAATGTGTGCATTCATCTCACAGAGTTAAACCTTTCATTTGACTAAGCTGTTTGGAAACCCTGCTTTTGCAAAATCTGCAAAGTGATATTAAGTAGCGCAAAATACCCTATGGTGAAAAAGAAAATATCTTCAGATAAAAACTGGAAAAAAGTGTTATGAGAAACTGCTCTCTGATGTGTGAGTTCATCTCAAAGAGTTAAGTCCTTCTTTTGATGGAACAGTTTGGAAACACTGTTTTGGTGGAATTTGCAAAGTGATATTAGGGAGTGCATTGAGGGCTACAGTGGAAAAGGAAATATCTTCAAAGAAGAACCAGACAGAAGGTAACTGAGAAACTACTTTTTGATGTGTGCATTCATCTCAAAGAGTTAAAACTTTCTTTTGATTGAGCAGTTTGGAAACACTGTTTTTTAGAATCTTCAAAGGTATATTTGGGGGCACACTGAGGCCTGTGGAGAAAATGAAATATCTTCAGATAAAAACTAGAAAGAAGCCTTTTGAGAAACTGCTTTGCGAAGTATGCATTCATCTCACAGAGGTAAAACTTTCTTTTCATTGAGCAGTTTGGAAACACAGTTTGTGTAGAATCTGTAAAGGGATATTTGGGAGAGCATTGAAACATATCATGAAAAGGAAATATCTTTGGATAAAAACTAGATAGTAACTTTTTGATAAACTGCATTATGATGAGCACATTCATCTCACAGAGTCAAACCTTTCTTTCAATTGATCAGTTTGGAAACACTGTTTTTTTAGAATCTGTGAAAGGGTATTTTGGAGCACATTGAGGCCTATGGTGGAAAAGGAAATGTCTTCAGAGAAGAACTAGACAGAAGCTTTCTGAGAAACTGCTTTCTGAAGTGTGATTTCAACTCACAGAATTAAACCTTGCTCTTGATCAAGCTGTTTGGAAACACTGTTTTTATAGAATCTGCAAAGGGATATTTGGGTACATGTTGAACGTATGGTGGAAAATGAAATATCTTCAGATAAAAACTAGAAAGAAGCATTTTCAGAAACTGGTTTGTGATATGTGCATTCAACAAACAGAGGTAAAGGATTCTTTTGATGGATCAGTTTGGAAACTCTGCTTTGTAGAATCTGCAAAGGAATATTTGGGAGTGCACAAGGCCTATGATGAAAAAGGAAATATCTTTGGATAAAAACTAGAAAAAAAGCTATTTGGGAATTGGCTTTGTGATGTGCACATTTAACTCATAGATTTAAACCTGTTTCTATATTGAGCCATTTGAAAAAACTGTTTTTGTAGAAATTGTGATGGGATATTTGGGAGCGCTTTGAATGCTATGGTGATAAAGGAAATATTTTCAGATAAAAATCAGAAAGAAGCATTTTGGGAAACTACTTTGTGATGAGTGCATTCACCTCACATAGTTAAGCATTTCTTTTGATGGAGCAGTTTGGAAAAACTGTTTTTGCAAAATCAGTGAAGCAATGTTACGTAGAGCAAGAAAGCCTATGGTGAAAAAGTAAATATCTTAAGGTAAATCAGGAAAGCAGCATTATGAAAAACTGCTTTGTGATGTGTGTGTTCATCTCACAGAGTTAGGTCCTTCTTTTGATGGAACAGTTTGGAAACACTGTGTTTATAGAATCTGCAAGGGGTTATTTGGGAGCACATTGAGGTCTATGGTGGAATAAGAAACATCTTCAGAGAAGAACTAGAGAGAAGCTATCTGAGACAGTGCTTTGTGATGTGTGAATTCAACTCACAGAGTTAAAGCTTTCTTTTTAATGACCAGTTTGGAAACACTGTTTTTGTAGAATCTGCGATGGGATATTTGGGAGTGTTTTGAAGCCTAAGGTGAAAAAGGAAATATCTTTGGATAAAAACCAGAAGAAAGTTTTTAGAGAAACTGCTTTGTGATGTGTGCATTCACCTCACAGAGTTAAACTTATCATCTTTTGATTGATCGGTTTGGAAACACTGTTTTTGTAGAATCTGCAAAGGGATATTTGGGAGTGTATGAGGCCTATGGTGAAAAAGGAAATATCTTCAGATAAAAACTAGAAAGATTCTCTTTGAGAAAGTGCTTTGTGTTGTATGCATTCATCTCACAGAGTTAAACCTTTCTTTTGATTGACCCCTTTGAAATCACTGTTTTTGTAGAATCTGTGTTGGGATATTTGGGAGCATAGGAGGACTACGGTGAAAAAAAACTTCACATAAATACTAGAAAGAAGCTTTCTGATAAACTGCTTTGTGATGTGTGCATTCTTCTCACAGAATTAACCTTTCTTTTGATTGAATTGATTGGAAACACTGTTTCTGAACAACATGTGAAGGGATATTTGGGAGGTCATGACACCTATGTTGAAAAAAGAAATACCTTCAGATAAAAACTAGACAAAAGCTTTCTGAGAAACTGCTTTGTGATGTGTACATTACATTGACAGATTTAAACCTTTCTTTTGATTGAGAAGGTTGGAAACACAGTCTTTGCAGAATATGCGAAGGGATATTTTGGAGTGCATTGAAGCCTATGGTGAAAAAGGAAATATCTTCAGATAAAAACTAGAAAGAAGTTTTGAGAAACTGCTTTGTGAAGTGTGGATTCAACTGACAGAGTAAAACCTTTCTTTTGATTGATCAGTATTGAAATACTTGTAGAATCTGCAAAGGGATTCTTGGGAGCAAATAAGGCCTATGGTGGAAAAGAAAATAACTTCAGATAAAAACTAGAAAGAAGCTTTCTGAGACACTGCATTGTGATGTGTGCATTTATGTCACAGAGTTAAACTTTTTTTTCAGTTGAGCAGTTTGGAAACACTGTTTTTGTACAATCTGCAAAGGGATAGTTGGGAGTGGACAAGGCCTATGGTGAAAAAGGAAATATCTTCAGATAAAAACTAGACAGACACTTTCTGAGAAACTGCTTTGAGATGTGTGCATTCAATTCACAGATTTAAAGCTTTCTTTTGACTGAGGAATTTGGAAACACAGTTTTGGTAGAATCTGTGAAGGGATATTTGGGAGCACAACAAAGTCCATGGTGAAAAAGGAAATATCTTCAGATAAAAACTAGAAAGAAGCTTTTTGAGAAACTGCTTTGTGATGTGTGAATTCATGTCACAGAGTTAAAATGTTCTTTTGATTGAGTAGTTTGGAAACACTGTTTTTGTAGAATCTATGAAGGGACTTTTGGGAGCACATGAGGCCTATGGTGAAAGAGAAAATATCTTTGGATAAACACTAGAAAGAAGTTTTCGAGAAACTGCTTTCTGATGTGTGTGTTCAACTAACAGAGTTAACCATGTTTTTCACTGGGCAGTTTGGAAATACTCTTTTTGTAGAATGTGTGATGGGATATTTGGGAGCACTTTGAAGCCTATGGGGATAAATGAATTATCTTTGGATAACAACTAGAAATTATCTTTTTGAGAAACTGATTTGTGTTGTGTGCTTTCATCTCATAATGTTAAACCTTTCTTTGACTGAGCAGTATGAAACACTATTTTTGCAAAATAGGAGAAGTGATATTATGTAGTGCATTAAAGCCTACGGTGAAAAAGGAAATATCTTGAGAAAAAACTTGAAAGAAGTGTTATGAGAAACTTCTTTCTTATGTGTGCCTTCATCTCACAGAGGTAAGTACTTCTTTTGATGGAACAGTTTTGAAACACTGTTTTTGCAGAATTGGCTAAAGGATATTTGGGAGAGCTTTGATGCCAAAGGTGGTAAAGGAAATATCTTCAGAGAAGAACTAGGCCGAAGCTTTCTGAAAAACTCACTCCTATTGATGTGTGCATTCATCTCACACAGTTAAATTTTTCTTTTTATTGAGAACTTTGGAAACGTCGTTTCTGTAGAATCTGTGAAGGCATATTTTGGAGCACTTTGAAGCCTATGGTGAAAAAGGAAATATCTTCAGAAAAAAACTAGAAAGAATCTTTTTGAGAAAATGCCTTGTGATGTGTGGATTCATCTGACAGAGTTAAATCTTTCTTTTGATTGATCAGTTTTGAAATACTTGTAGAATCTGCAAAGGGATATTTGGGAGCACAGGATGCCTATGGTGAAAAAGAAAATAAATTCAGATAAAAATTAGAAAGAATTTTTCTGAGAAACCGCTTTGTGATGTGTGCCTTCTTCTGACAGAGTTAATCATTTCTTTTGATTGAACAGTTTGGAAGCACTGTTTTTGTGTAATCCATGAACCGATGTTTAGTAGTGCAAAAAGGTCCATGGTGAACCAGGAAATATCTTCAGATAAAAACTGGAAGGAAGTGTTATGAAAAAGTGCTTTCTCATGTTCACATTCATCTCACAGTGTTAAGTCCCTCTTTTGAGGGAACAGTTTGGATACAATGTTTTTGTAGAATCTGGGTAGGGATATTTGGGAGCTCATTGAGGCTTATGGTGGAAAAGAAAGTACCTGCAGAGAAAAATTAGGCAGAAGGTTTCTAATAAACTGCTTTGTGATGACTGCAATCATCTCAGAGACTACAACCTTTCTTTTGATCGAGCAGTTTGGTAACACTGTTTTTGTAGAAACTGCAAAGGCATATTTTGGAGTGCAATGAAGCTTATGGTGAAAAAGGAAATATCTTCAGATAAAAACTACAAAGAAGCTTTTTGAGAAACAGCTTTGTGATGTGTGCATTCATTTGACAGAGTTAAACCTTTTTTTTTGATTGATCCATTTGGAAACATTGTTTTTGTAGTATCTGAGAAGGGATATTTGGGAGTGCAGGAGGCCTATGGAGAAAAAGGAAATATTCTCAGATAAAAAGGAGAAAGAAGATTTTTGAGAAAATGCTTTGTGATGTGTGCATTCAACTGACAGAATTAAACCTGTTTTTAGATTGAGAAGTTTGGAAACACTGTTTTTGTATAACCTGCGATAGGATATTTGGGAGGACATTTAAGTCTATGGTGATAAGGAAAATATTTTCTGATAAAAACTAGAAAGATGCTTTTGGAGGAACTGCCTTGTGAAGTGTACATTTATCTCACAGAGTTAAAACCCTCTTTTGGTTGATAAGTTTGGAAAGACTGTTTTTGTGGAATCTGCGATGGGATATTTGGAAGTGCATTGAAACCTATGGTGATAAAAGATACATCTTCAGATAAAAAACACAAAGAAGAATTTTGAGAAACCACTTGGTGATGTGTGCATTCATCTCACCGAGTTAAACTTTTCTTTTGACTGAGCAGTTTGGAAAAACTGTTTTTGCAAAATCTGTGAATCAATATTAGGCAGTGCAAAAAGCCTATGGTGTAAAAGGAAATATCTTCAGATAAAAACTGTTAAGAAGTGTTATGAGAATCTGCTTTCTGATGCTTCTGTTTATCTCAGACATAAGTTCTTCTTTTGATGGAACAGTTTGAAAACTCTGTTTTTGTACAATCTGCAAAGGGATATTTGGGAGTGCACTGAAGTGTATGGTGAAAAAGAAAAGGTCTTCAGAGAAGAACTACACATAGGCTTTCTGAGAAATTGCTCCATGATGAGTGCATTCATCTTACAGAGTTAAACCTTTCTTTTGATAGAGCAATTTGGAAACACTGGTTTTGTAGAATCTACAAAAGGATATTTGTGAGTGCATTGAAGTCCACAATGAAAAAGAAAATATCTTCGGATAAAAACTAGAAAGATGCTTTTTAAGAAACTTCTTGGTGATGCATGCATGCGTCTCACAGAGTAAATCTTCTTTTGTGACACAGCAGTTTGGAAACTGTGTGTTTTTGTAATCTGTCAAGCAACGTTGTGTAGCGCAAAAAGGCCTATGGTGAACAAGGAAATATCTTCAGATAAAAACTGGAAAGAAGCGTTGTGAGAAACTGCTTTCTGATGTGTGCATTTATCTCACAGCATTAAATCCTTCTTTTGGTATAACAGTTCAGAAACACTGTTTTTGTAGAATCTGTGAAGGGATATTTGGGAGTGCATTGAGGCCTACGGTGGAAAAGGAAATATCTTCAGAGAAGAGCTAGACAGAAGGTGTCTGACAAACTGCTTTGGGATGTGTGCATTCATTTCACAGAGTTAAAACTTTCTTTTGATTGAGTGGTTTGGAAATGCTGTTTTTGTAGAATCTGCAAAGGGATATTTGTGAACGCACTGAGGCCTTGGTGAAAAAGGAAATATCATCTTTGGATAAAAACTAGAAAGAAGGTTTTTGAAGAATTGCTTTGTGATATGTGCATTCATCTCAGAGAGTGAAACCTTTCCTTTGATAGAGAAGTTTGGAAGCACTGTTTTTGCACAACCTACAATGTGATATTTTGTAATGCAAATAAGCCTATGCTGAAAAAGGAAATGTCTTCAGATAAAAACTGGAAAGAAGCTTTCTGAGACACTGATTTGTGATGCATGCATTCATTTAACAGGATTAAATCTTTCCTTTGATGGAGCCATTTTGAAAAACCCTTTTGGCAGAAACTGTGAAGAGTTACTTGTGAGTGCATTGAGGCCTATGGTGAAAAAGGAAATATCTCCATACAAAAACTAGAAAGTATCTTTCTGAGAAACTGCTTTCTGATTTGTGCATTCATTTGGCAGAGTTAAAACTTTCTTTTGATTCAGCACTTTGGAAACACTGTTTTGGTATAATCTGCCAAGGGATATTTGATATCACACTGGCCCTGCCAATGGATATTTGATATCACACTGACCCACTGGTTAAAAATGAAATAACTTCAGTTAACAACTAAAAAGAAGCTTTCTGAAATACCGCTTTGTGATGTTTGATTTCTTCCCATGGAGTTAAAATTTTCTATTGAATAAGCAGTTTGGAAACACTGTTTTTGTAAAATCTGCAAAGGGATATTTGGGAGTGCACTGATGCCTATGGTGAAAAAGGAAATATCTTCGCATAAAAAAACGAGTGAGAAGCTTTTTGAGAAATGGCTTTGTGATGTATGTATTCATCTCACAATGTTAAACTTTTCTTTTGAGTGAGCAGTTTGGAAACACTGTTTTTATAAAATCTGTGAAGGTATGTTAAGTAGCATAAAAAGGCCTAAGGTGAAGAAGAAAATATCTTCAGGTAAAAACTGGAAATAAGCTTTATGAGAAACTGCTTTCTGATGTGTGCGTTCACCTCACAGAGTTAAATATTTCTTTTGAAAGAAGAATTCATGAAAACTGTTATGATAGAAACTGGGAAGGGATATTTGGGAGGGAATTGCAGCCTAGGATGGAAAAGGAACTATCTTCAGAGAAGAACTAGACAGAAGTTATCTGAGATACTGATTTGTGATGTGTGCATTTATTTCAGGGGGTTAAAATTCCTTTTGATTGAGCAGTTTGGAAACAGTGCTTTTGTAGAATCTGCAAAGTTATAATTGGGAGCACCATGAGGCCTATGGTGAATAAGGAAATATCTTAGCATAAAAACTTCAAAGAACCTTTATGAGAAACGGCTTTGTGATATGTGTGTTCAACCCACAGAGTTAAACCTTGTTTTTTGATTGAGCAGTTTGGAAACACTGTTTGTGTAGAATCTGCGATGGGATATTTGGGATCACACTGAAGCCTGTGGTGATAAAGATATATATTTGAGTTAAAACTAGAAACAAGATTATTGAGAAGCTGCTTTGTGATGTGTGCATTCAACTCATAGAGTTAAAGCTCTCTTTTGACTAAGCAGTTTGGAAACACTGTTTTTGCAAAATCTGCAAAGTGATATTCGGCTGTGCAAAAAAGCCTATGGTGAAAAAGGAAATATCTTCAGACAAAAACTGGAAAGAAACGTTATGAGAAACTGCTTTCTGATGTGAGCATTCCTGTCACAGAGTTAAGTCCTTCCTTTGATAGAACAGTTTGGAATCAATATTTTTGTGTAATCTGTGAAGCGATGTTAGGTAACTCAAAAAGGCCTATGGTGAACAAGGAAATATCTTCAGATAAAAAATGGAAAGAATTGTTATGAGAAACTGCTTTCTGATGTGTCCGTTCATCTCACAGACTTAAATCCACCTTTTAATGCAACAATTCAGGAACACTGTTTTTATAGAATCTGGAAGGGATATTTAGCAGCACACTGAGGCCTAAGTTGGAAGAGGAAATATCTTGAGAAGACATAGACAAAAGCTATAAGAGAAATTGATTTTGATGTGTACATTCGTGCCATAGAGTTAAACCTTTTTTTTGATAGAGCAGTTTGGAGACACTGTTTTTGTAGAATCTGCAAAGTTGTATTAGGGAGTGCACTGAAGCTTATGGTGAAAAAGGAAATAAATTCGGATAAAAACTAGAAGGAGTCTTTTTGAGAAGCTGCATTCATCTCCCATAGTTAAACCTTTCTTTTGAGAGAGTAGTTTGGAGACAGTGTTTTTGCAAAACCTGCGAAGGGATATTAGGTAGCACAAAAAAGCCTATGGTGAAAAAGTGCATATCTTGAGATAAAGAATGGAAAGAAGAATTATGAGAAACCACTTTCTGATGTGTGCATTCATCTCACGGAGTTAAATCCTTCTTTTCATGGAACAGTTTGTAAACACTGTTTTTGTAGATTCTAAGGGATATTTGGGAGCCCATTGAGGCATATGGTGGAAAAGGAAATATCTTCACAGAAGAACTAGACAGAAGCTTTCTTTCAACCTGCTTTGTGATATGTGCATTCATCTCAAAGAGTTAAACGTTTCTTTGATTGAGCAGTTTGGAACACTGTTTTTGTAGAATCTGCAAAGGGATATTTGGGAGCACATTGAAGCCTACAGTGAAAACAGAAATATCTTCAGATAAAAAAACTAGAAATAACCTTTTTGAGAGGCTGCTTTGTGATTTGCACATTCATCTCACAGAGGTAAACCTTTCTTTTCACTGAGCAATTTGGAAACACTGTTTTGTAGAACCTGTGAAGAGATATTTTGGAGCACATGAGGCCTTTGGTGAAAAAGAAAATAACTTCAGAACAAGCTAGAAAGAAGCATTTTGAGAAACTGCTTCATACAGTGTGCATTCTTCTCACAGAGATAAACGTTTATTTTGATTGAGCAGTTTGGAAACACTCTTTTTGTAGAATCTAGAAAGGGATATTTGGAAGTGCACTGATGCCTATGATGAAAAAGGAAATATCTTCGGATAAAAACTATAAAGAAGCTTTTTGAAAAACTGTTTTGTGCTGTATGCATTCATCTCACAGAGTTAAACTTTTCTTTTGAGTGAGCAGTTTGGAAACACTGCTTTTGTACAATCTCTGAAGCAATGTTAGGTAGCCCAAAAAGGCCTGTGGTGAACAAGGAAATATCTTCAGATAAAAACGAGAAAAAAGCAATATAAGAGACTGTTTTCTGATTTGTGCATTCATCTCACATAGTTAAATCCTTGTTTTGATGGAACAGTTGGGAAACACTGTTTTTATAGGGTCTGCAAAGGGATATTGGAGAGCATATTGAGGCTTAAGGTGCAAGATGAAGTATCTTCAGAGAACTAGATAGAAGCCATCTGAGAAACTGCTTTGTGAGTGTGCATTCATCTCACAGAGATAAACCTTTCCTTTGATTAAGCAGTTTGGAAAAACTGTGTAGGTGGAAACTGCAAAGGGATATTTGGGAGCACGCTGAGGCCTATGGTGAAAAAGGAAATACCTTTGGATAAAAACTAGAAAGAAGCTTTTTGAGAAGCTGCTTTGTAATTTATTCTTTCATCTCACAGAGTTAAAACTTTCTTTTGATTGAATAGTTTGGAAAAACTGTTTTCATAGAAACTGCCAAGAGATAATTGGGAGCACTTTGAAGCTTATAATGAAAAAGGAAATGTCTTTGGATAAAAACTAGAAAGAAGGTTTGTGAGAAACTCCTTTGTGATGTGGGCATTCATCTCACAGAAATAAACCTTTATTTTGATTGATCAGTTTGGAAACACTCTTTTTGTACAATATGCTAAAGGATATTTGGGAGCATACGAGGATTACGGTGAAAAAGGAAATAACTTCAGATAAAAACTAGAAAAAAGCTTTCTGAGGAACCGCTTTGTGATGTTTGCATTCTTCTCACAGAGTTAAACGTTTCTTTTGATTGAGAACCTTGTAAACACTGTTTTTCTAGAATCTGCAAAGGGATACTTGGGAGCACACTGATGCCTATGTTAAAAAAGAAAATATCTTTGGATCAAAACTAAAAAGGAGCTTTTTCAGAAACTACTTTTTGATGTATGCATTCTTCTCACAGAATTAAACTGTTCTTTTGACTGAGCAATTTGGAAACACTGTTTCTGTATAATCTGTGATGCGATGTTAGGTCATGCAAAAAGGCATTGTGTGCACAGGGAAATATCTTCAGATAAAAACTGGAAAGAAGCATTATGAGAAAATGCTTTCTAACAGAGTTAAATCCTTTTGATGGAAGAGTTCAGAAACACTGTTTTTATAGAATCTGCAAAGGGATATTTGGGAGGGCATTGAGGCTTCTGTTGGAAAAGAAAATATCTTCAGAGAAGAACTAGACAGAAACTATCTGAGAAATGGCTTTGTGATGTGTGTATTCATCTCACAGAATTAAAACTTCCTTTTTAATGAGTAGTTTGGAACACAGTTTTTGTAGAATCTGCAAAGGTATATTTGGGAGCACACTGAGGCCCATGATGAAATATGAATTGCCTTCATATAAAAACTAGAAAGAAGCTTTTTGGGAAACTGTTTGTGAAATGTCTGTTCAACTCATGGTGTTAAACCTGTTTTTAGATGGAGCATTTCAGAAACACTGTAGAATCTACAATGGGATATTTAGGATTCCATTGAAATCTATGGCGATAAAGGAATTCTCTGAAAAAAACTAGAAAGAAGCTTTTTGAGAAACTGCTTTTTGATATGTGCTCTAATCTCACAGAGTTAAAGCTCTCTTTTCACTGAGTAGTTTGGAAACACTATTTTTGCAAAATCTGTGAAGCGATATTAAGTAGTGCAAAAATGTCTGTGGTGAACTATGAAATATCTTCAGATAAAAATTAGAATGAAGCATTATGAGAAACTGCTTACTGATGTGTGCTTTCCTCACACACTGTTAATTCCTTCTTTGATGGAACAGTTTGGAAACACAATTTTTATAGAATCTTCAAAGGGATAATTTGGAGCACATTTAAGCCTATGAAGGAAAAGGAAATATATTCAGAGAAGACCCAAAAAGAAGCTTCTGAGACACTCCCTTGTGATGTGTGCATTCAGCTAACAAAGTTAAGCCTTTCTTTTGATTAGGCAGTTTGGAAATACTGCTTTCTATAATCTGTGAAGGGATATATGGGAGCACATTGAAGCCTCTGGTGAAAAAGGAAATATCTTCTGATAAATACTAGAAAGGAGTTTGTGAGAAACTGCATTGTGATGTGTGCATCCACCTCACAGAGTTAAAACACGGTTTCATTGATCAGTTTGGGATAAATGTTTTGGTAGAATCTGCAAAGTGATATTCGGGAGTGCATGAGACCTACGGTGAAAAAGGAAATAACTTCAGCTAAAAACTAGAAAGAAGCTTTTGAAGAAACCGCTTTGTGATGTGTGCATTCTTCTCACAGAGTTAAGCGTTTCTTTTCATTGAGCAGTTTGGTCAAACTGTTTTTGTAGAATCTGCAATGGGATATTTGGGAGCACACTAATGCCTATTCTGCAAAAGAAATATCTTCTGATAAAAACTAGAAAGAAGCTCTAAGAGAAACTGCTTTGTAATATATGCATTCATTTCACAGAGTTAAACTTTTCTATTAACTGAACACTTTGGAAACACTATTTTTGTATAATGTGTGAATTGATGTTTGGTATCGTGAAAAGGTCTATGGTTAACAAGGAAATATGTTCAGATAAAAACTGGAAAAAAGCATTATGAGAAGCTGCTTTCTGATGTGTGCATTCATCTCACAGAGTTAAATCCTTGTTTTCAAGGAACTGTTCAGAAGCACTTTTTTTTTTACAGAATCTGTGAAGAGATATCTGAGATTGCATTGAGGCCTACGGTGGAAAAGGAAATATCTTCAGAGAAGAACTAGACAGAAACTATCTGAGAAACTCCCTTGTGATGTGTGCCTTCATCCCATACAGTTAAACCATTCTTTTGATTGAGCAGTTTGGAAACACTGTTTTTTTTAGAATTTGCAAAAGTATATTTGGTAACACCATGAGGCCTATGAGGAAAAGGAAATATCTTCAGATAAAAACTAGAAAGTACCATTTTTGAGAAACTACTTTGTGAAATGTGCATTCAACTCACAGAGTTAACCCTCTTTTTTGATTGTGCAGTTTGGAAACAGTGTTATTGTAGAAACTGATACGGGATATTTGGGAGTGAATTGAAGCCTAAGATAATGAAGGAAATACCTTCAGAGAAGAACCTCACAGAAGATTTCTGAGTAACTGCTTTGTGATGTGTGCATTCATCAAACAGAGTTAAACCTTTCTTTTGGTTGAACAGTTGGGAAACACTGTTTTTGTAGAATCTGCAAAGGGATATTTGGGAGGCATTGAAGCCTAAGGTGAAAAAGGAAATATCTTCAGATAAAAACTGGAAAGAATCATTATGAGTAACTGCTTTCTGATGAGTGTGTCTGTCTCTTAGAGTTAAGTCTTTCTTTTGATGGAACAGTTTGGAAACACTGCTTTTGTAGAATCTGTGAAGGAACAATTGTGAGTGCACTGAGGTCTAGGGTGGAACATTAAATATCTTAAGAGAAGAACTAAAGAGAAGCTTTATGAGAAGCTGCTTTGTGATATGTGCATTCATCTCACAGAGTTAAATCTGTTGTTTGATTGATCAGCTTGGAATCACTGCTTTCGTAGAATCTGAGAAGGGATATTTGGGAGTGCATGAGGCCTATTTTGAGAAAAGAAATAACTTCAGATAAAAACTAGAAAAAATATTCTGAGAGAATGCTTTGTGATGTGTGCAATCTTCTCACAAAGTTAAAGGTTACATTTTATTGAGCAGTTTGGAAACACTCTTTTTGCATAATCTGCAAAGGGATATTTGGAAGCATGATGAGGCCTATGGTGTAAAAGGAAATATCTTCGGATAAAAACTAGAAAGAAGCTCTTTGAGAAACTGCTTTGTGATATATGCGTTCATGTCAAGGAGTTGAACTTTTCTTTTTACTGAGCAGTTTGGAAACACTGTTTTTGTATAATCAGTGCAGTGATGTTAGGTAGCAAAAAAGGCCTATTGTGAGTAAGGAAACATCTTCAGATACGTTAGAAGAAACTGCTTTCTGATGTGTGCATTAATCTCACAGAGTTAAATTCTATTTAGATATTTTTATAGAATCTGAGAAGGAATATTTGGGAGTGCTTTGAGGCCTATTATGGTAATGGAAATACATTCACATAAAAACTAGACAGAAGCAATCTGAGAAACTGCTTTTTGATGTGTGCATTCATCTCAGAGTTAAACATTTCTATTGATTGAACAGCTTGGAAACACTGTTTATGTAGAATCTGTGAAGGGATATTTAGCAGAGCATTGAAGCCTAATGCAATAAAGGAAATATCTTTGGATTAAAAACTAGAAAGAAGCTTTTGGAGAAACTGTTTTGAGATTGTGCATTCATCTCACAGAGCCAACCTTTCTTCTGATTGAGCAGTTTGGAAACCGTGTTTTTGTAGATTATACAAAGGTATATTTCAGAGCACACAGCCCTATGGTGAAAAAGGAAATATCATTGCATAAAAACTACAAAGAAGCTTTTTGAGAAACTGCTCTGTGATATTTGCATTGAACTCACAGAGTTAAACCTTTTCTTTTGACTGAGTAGTTTGGAAACATTCTTTCTGTAGAATCTGCCAAAGGATAATTGAGAGCACATTGAGGTCTATGGTGAAAAAGGAAGTATCATCAGAGAAGAAGTAGAAAGAAGGTCTCTGAGAATTTTTTTCTGATGTTTTCATTAATCTCACAGAGTTAAGCCTTTGCTTTCATTGAGCAGTTTGGAAACACTGTTTTTGTAGAAACTGCAGTGGGACATTTGGGAGCTTAATGAATCCTATGGTGAAAAATGAAATATCTTCAGACAAAAAGTAGAAAGAAGCGTTTTGATCAACTGCTTTGTCATGTGTGCATTCATCTCAAAGAGTTAAACCTTTCTTTTGACTGAGCAGTTTGAAAACAGTGCTTTTACAATGTCTGCCAAGAAATATTAAGTAGTGCAAAAAGCCTATGGTGAACAAGGAAATATCTTGAGATAAAAATTGGAAAGAGGCTTCATGAGAAACTACTTTCTGATGTGTGCCTTCATCTCACAGAGTTCCTTCTTTTGATGGAACAATTTGGAAACACTGCTTTTGTAGAATCTGCAAAGGGACATTTTGCAGCACATTGAGACCTAGGTGGAAAAGGAAATATCTTCAGAGAAAAACTAGACAGAAGATTTCTGAGACATTGCTTTGGGATGTGTGCATTCATCTCACAGAGTTAAAACTTTCTTTTGACTGAGAAGTTAGGAAATGCTGTTTTTGTAGAATCTGTGAAGAGATATTTGGGAGTGCATTGAAGCCAATGGGGAAAAAGGAATTAACTACAGATAAAAACTAGAAATATACGTTTTGAGAAACTGCTTTGTGATGTCTGCATTCATCTCACAGAGTTAAACCTTTCTTTTGATGGATCACTTTGGAAACACTGTTTCTGCAGAATCTGCAAAGGGATATTTATAAGTGTAGGGAAATTTTTTTGTGCATTGAGGCCTGTTTTGAAAAAGAAAATATCTTCTGATAAAAACTAGAGAGAAGCTTTATGAGAAACTGCTCTGTGATGTGTACATTCTTCTCCCAGATTTAAACCTATTAATTAAACAGTTTGGGAACACTCTTTTTGTAGAATCTGCAAAGGCATACTTGGTAGCACATGAACTCTATCACGAAAAAGGAAATACCTTCAGATAAAAACTAGAAGGAATTTTTTTGAGGAACTGCTTTTTTGTGTATGCATTCATCTCAGAGAGTTAAACTTGTTTTTGATTGAATAGCTTGGAAACACTCTTTTTGTAGAATCTGCAAAGGGATATTTGGGAGTGCATTTAAGCATATGGTGAAAAGAAAATATATTCAGATGAAAACTAGAAAGAAGCTTTTTGAGAAACTACTTTGTTATGTAGGCATTTATGTCACAGAGTTAATCTTTTCTATTCATTGAGCAGTTTGGAAACACTGTTTTTGCATAATCTGCAAAATGATGTAAGTTAGTGCAAAAAGGCCTGTGGTGAACAAGGAAATATCTTCAGATAAAAGCTGGAAAGAATCATTATGAGAAACTGCTTTCTGACGTGTGCATTCATCTCACAGAGTTAAATCCTTTTTTGTTGGAAAAATTCAGAAACTTTTTTTTTGTAGAATCTGCAAAGGTATATTTGGGAGTGCATTGAGGACCTTTGTGGAAAGGAAAATTCGTCAGAGAAGAATTAGACAGAAGCTTTCTGAGAAACAGCTTTCTGATGTGTTCATTATTCTCACAGAGTTAAACCTTTCTTTTGATTGAGCAATTTGGAACCGCTGATTTTGTAGAATCTGCAAAGTGATATTTGGCAGTGCTTTGAAGCCTCTGCAGAAAAAGGAAATATATTCGGATAAAAACTGGAAAGAAGCATTATGAGAAACTGCTTCCTGGTTTGTTCATTCATCTCACAGAATTAAGTCCTTCTTTTCATGGAACAGTTTGGAAACACTGTTTTGTAGAGACTGCAAAGTGATAATTGAGAGCTCATTGAGGTCTATGGCAGAAAATTAAATATCTTCAGGGAAGAACTAGACAGAAGCTTTCTGAGAAACTGCTTTGTTAGTGTGCATTCTTCTCACAGAGTTAATTCTGCTTTTGATTTATCAGTTTGGAAAGACTGCTTTTGTAGAATCTGTGAAGGGATATCTGGGAGTGAACGAGGCCTATCTTGAAAAAGGACATGACTTCAGGTAAAAACTAGAAGGACGCTATATGTGAAACTAGTTTGTGATGTGTGCAATCTTTTCACAGAGTTAAATGTACCTTTGATTGAGCCGTTTGGAAACACAGTTTTTGTAGTATCTGCAATGCTCTATTTGGGAATGCCCTGAGGCCTATTGGGAAAAAGGAAATATCTTCAGATAAAAGCTAGAAAGAAGCTTTTTGAGAAACTGCTTTGTGATACATATGTTCACCTCACAGAGTTAAACTTTTCTTTTGATTGAGCATTTTGGAAACACTGCTTTTGTACAATCTTCGAAGCAATGTTATTTTTTGTCCAAAACCTATGGTGAACAAGGAAATATCTTCAGATAAAAACTGGAAAGAAGCGTTATGAGAAACTGCTTTCTATTGTGTGTGTTCACCTCAGAGAGTTAAGTCCTTCTTTTCACGGAACAGTTTGGAAACACTGCTTTTTGTAGAATCTGCAATGGGATATTGAGGAGCTCATTAAGGTCTATGGTGGAAAACGAAATATCTTCAGAGAAGAACTAGACAGTAGCTCCCTAAAAAACTGCTTTGTCTTGTGTGCCTTCATCTCACAGATTTAAACCTTTCTTTTGCTAGAGCAGTTTGGAAACACTGTTTTTGTAGAATCTGTGGAGGGATATTTGGGAGCGCATGAGGTCTATGGTGAAAAATGATATAACGTCAGATAAAAAGTAGAAAGAATTTTTCTGAGAAACCACTTTGAGAAGTGTGCATTCTTCTCAGAGAGTTAAGATTTTCTTTTGGTTGGGCAGTTTGGAAACACTATGTAGCTGTAGAATCTGCAAAGGGATACTTGGAAGAGCACTGATTTCTATGGTGAAAAAGGGAAAGTCTTAAGATGAAAAGTAGAAACAAATTTTTGAGAAACTGCTTTGTGATTTATGCCTTCAGCTCACAGAGTTGTATCCTTTTTTTGATGGAACAGTTTGGAAACAGTGTTTTTATAGAATCTGCGAAGGTACATTTGGGAGCACATAGAGGCTTATGTTGTAAAAGGAAATATCTTCAGAGAAGAAGTAGACAGAAACTATCTGAGAAACTGCTTTGTTATGTGTTCCTTCATCTCACATAATTAAACCTTTCTTTTGATTGAGCAGTGTGTAAATACTGTTTTTGTAGAACCTGCAAAGGGATATTTGGGAGCACATGGAAGCCTATGGGGAAAAAGGAAATATGTTTGGATCAAAACTAGAAAGAGGGTATATGAGAAACTGTTTTGTGATGTGTGCATTCATCTCATAGTGTTAAGTCTTTCTTTTAATTAATCAGTTTGGAAACACTCTTTTTGTAGAATCTGCCAAGGAATATTTGCGAGTACAAGAGGCCTATGGTAAAAAATGATATAATATCAGATAAAGAGTAGAAATAATTTTTCTGAGAAACTGCTTTGAGAAGTGTGTATTCTTCACAGAGAGGTAAAATTTTCATTTGATTGGGCAGTTTGGAAAAACTATTCAGTTGTAGAATCTGCAAAGTGATAATTGGGAGAGCACTGATTCCTGTGGTGAAAAAGGGAAAGTCTTCAGATGAAGAGTAAAAAGAAGTTTTTGAGAAACTGCTTTGTTATTTATGTGTTCAGCTCACAGAGTTTAATCATTCTTTTGATGGAACAGTTCAGAAACATTGTTTTCATAGAATCTGCAAAGGCATATTTGGGAGTGCATAGAGGCTTATGGTATAAAAGGAGATATCTTCAGAGAAGAAGTAGACAGAAACTATCTGAGATATTGCTTTGCTGTGTTCATCCATCTCACAGAATTAAACCTTTCTTTTGATTGAGCAGTTTGGAAACACTGTTTTTGTAGAATCTGCAAAGGGATATTTGGGAGCACAGTGAGGCCTATGGTGAAAAAGGAAGTATCATCAGATAAAAGCTAGAAAGAAGTTTGTGAGATATTGTTTTGTGATGTGTTCATTCAACATAGAGAGGTAAACCTGTTTGTTGACTTAACAATTCGGAAATACTGTTTTTCTAGAATCTATGAAGGGATATTTGGGAGTGCCCAAGGCCAATGGTGAAAAAGGAAATAACTTCAGATAAAAATTAGAAAGAAGATTTCTGAGAAACTGCTTTGTGATGAATGCATTCTTCTCACAGAGTTAAGTCCTTCTTTTGATGGAACAGTTTGAAAACACTGTTTAGGGGGAAACTGTGAAGGGATATTTGGGAGTGCACTGAGGCCTGTGGTGGAAAAGGTTATATCTTGAGAGAACTAGACAGAAGCTTTCTGAGAAACTGCTTTGTGATATGTGCCTTCAACTCACAGAGTTAAAACAGTTTTTTGATTCAGCAGTTGGGAAACTGTTTTTGTAGAATCTGTGTTGGTATAATTTGGAGAACATTGCATCCTCTGGTGATAAGGAAATAGCTTCAAATAAAAACTAGAAAGAAGCTTTTTGAGAAACTGCTTTGTGATGTGTGCATTCATCTCACAGAGTTAAAATTTCTGTTGATAGAGGAGTTAGAAAACACTGTTTTTGTAGAATCTGCAATGGGATATTTGGGAATGCATTGAAGCCTGTGGTGATAAAGGACATACCTTCATATAAAAACAAGAAGGAAGTTTTTGAAAAACTTCTTTGTGGTGTGTGGATTCTTTTCACAGAGTTAAAGCTTTCTTTGGATGGAGCAGTTTGGAAACACTGTTTTTGCAAAATTTGTGAAGCAATATTTGGTAGCACAAAAGAGTCTATGGTGAAAAAGGAAATATCTTCAGTTAAAAAGTGGAAAGCATCGTTATGAGAAACTGCTTTTTGATGTGTGCATTTACTACATAGAGTTAAATCCCTTTTTGATGGAATGGTTTGGAAACAGTTTTTGTAGCATCTGTGAAGTGGTATTAGGGAGCACATAGAATCTTATTTTTGAAAAGGAAATATCTTAGGATAAAAACTAGAAAGAAGCTTTTTGAGAAACTGCTTTCTGATGTGTGCATTCATCTCACAGAGTTAAACCTTTCTTTTGACAGAGCAGTTTGGAAAACTGTTTTTGTATAATCTGCGAAGTGATATTAGGTAGCACAAAAAGCTTATGGTGAAAAAGGAAATATCTTCAGATAAAAACTGGAAAGAAGCTTTCTGAGACCCTAATTTGTGATGTGCACATACATTTCACAGTATTAAATCTTTCCTTTGATTGAGCCCTTTAGAAACACCCTTTCAGCAGAATCTGTGAAGAGTTATTTGGGAGTGGATTGAGGCCTAGAGTGAAAAAGGAAATACGTCCAGATAAAAAGCAGAAAGAAGCTTTCTGAGAAACTAACTTGTGAGGTTTGCATTCGTCTGACAGAGTTAAACCTTTCTTTTGATTGAGCAGTTTAGAAAAACTGTTTTGGTAGAATCTGCAGAGGGATATTTGGGAGTGCACTGAAGCCTATGGTGAAAAACGATTTAAATTCAGATAAAAACTACAAATAACCTGAAAAACCGCTTTGTGATTTGTGCATTCTTTTAACAGATTTAAACCTTTCTTTTGATTGATCAGTTAGGAAACACTGTTTTTGTAGAATCTGCAATTGGATACTTGAAAGAACAGTCAGGCCAATGGTGAAAAAGGAAATATCTTTGGATAAAATCTAGAAAGAAGCTTTTTGAGAAACTGCTTTGTGATGTGTACATTCATCTCACAGACTTTAACTTTTCATTAGACTGAGAAGTTTGGAAACACTGTTTTTGTATAATCTGTGAAACAATATTTGGAAGCTCAAAAAAGCCAATGGTGTAAAAGGAAATATCTTCAGAAAAAAATGGAAAGAAGCATTATGAGAAACCAGTTTTGATGTGTGCATTCATCTCACATAGTTAAGAAATTATTTTAATGGAACTGTTTGGAAACAGTGTTCTGTAGAATCTGTAAAGGGATATTTGGGAGCCCATTGAGGTGAAAGGTAGAAAAGGAAATATCTTCAGAGAACTAGACAAAAGCTTTTTGAGAAACTGCATTGTGATGTGTGCATTCATCTCACAGAGTTCAACCTTTCTTTGAGCAGTTTGGAAACACAATTTTTGTAGAATCTGCAAAGGGATATTTAGGAGCACATTGAACCCAATAGTGAAAACAGAAATATCTTTGGATGAAAACCAGAAAGAAGCTTTATGAGAAACTCCTTTGTGAAACGTGTATTCATCTCACAGAGTTAAACCTTACTTTTGATGGATCAGTGTGGAAACGCTGTTTTTGTCGAAACTGTGAAGGGATATTTTGGAGAGCATGAGGCCTACTGTGAAAAAGGAAATAACATCAGATAAAAACTAGAAAGAAGGTTTCTGAGAAACTACTTTGTGATGTGTGCATTGTTCTCAAAGAATTAAATGTTTCTTTTGATTGAGCAGTTTGGAAACACTGTTTTTGTAGTATCTGCAAAGGGATATTTGTGAGCACAGGGATATTTTTGTGAGCATTGAGGCCTATGTTGAAAAAGGAAATATCTTCATATAAAAAATAGGCAGAAGCATTCTGAGAAACTGCTTTGTGATGTGTGCATTCTTGTCAAAGAGTTAGACATTTCTTTTGATGGAGGAGTTTGGAAACATGGTTTTTATAAAATCTGCAAAGGGTTATTATGAAGCACATTGAGGCCTTCAGTGAAAAAGGAAATATCTCAAAATAAAAATTAGAGAGGAGCTTTCTGAGAAACTGCTTTCGATGTGTGCATTCATCTGCCACAGGTAAACCTTTCTTTCTATTGAGCAGTTTGAAAACTCTGTTTTTGTAGAATCTGCAAAGGGATATTTGGGAGTGCAGGAGGCCTATGGTGAAAAGGGAAATAGCTTCAGATAAAAAAAAAGAAGCTTTTTGAGAACCTGCTTTGTGATGTATGCATTCATCTCACAGAGTTAAACTCTTCTTTTGACTGATCAGTTTGGAAACACTTTTGTAATATAATCTGCAATGCGATGTTAGGTAGCGCAAAGAAGACTCCAGTGAATAATGAAATATCTTCTGATAAAAACTGGAAAGAAGGGTTATGAGAAACAGCTTTCAGATGTGTGGGTTCATCTCACAGAATTAAACCTTCTTTTGAAGGAACAGTTCAGAAACACTGTTTTCATAAGATACACAAGGGGATATTTGAGAGTGCATTGAGGTCTGCCATGGAAAAGGAAATATCTTCATAGAAGAGCTAAAATAATGATACCTGAGAAACTGATTTGTGATGTGTGCATTCATCTCACAAAGTTAAAATTTTCTTGTGATTTAGCATTTTGGAAACACTGTTTTTTATATTTTGGAAAAACAAAGGTATATTTGGGAGCACACTGAAGCCTATGGTGAAAACGGAAATATCATCAGTTAAAAACTACAAAGTAGCTTTTTGAGAAACTGCTTTGTAATGTGTGCATTCAACTCACAGTTAAACCTGCTTTTTGATTGAGCATTTTGGAAACACTGTTTTTGTAGAATCTGCGATGGGATATTTGGGAGTGCATTGAAGCCTACGGTGGTAAAGGAAATATCTTCAGATAAAAACTAGAAAGAAACTTTTTGATAACCTACTTTGTGATATGTACATTCCTCTCACAGAGTTAAACCTTTCTTCTCATAGAGCAGCTTGGAAACACTGTTTTGGTTTAATCTGTGAGGTGATATTAAGTAGCGCAAAGAAGCCTATGGTGAAAAAGGAAATATCTTCAGATAAAAACTGGAAAGAAGACTACGGAGACACTGATTTGTGATGTGTGCATTCACTTCAGTGTAAAATGTTTCCTTTGATGGAGCCGTTTAGAAACATCCTTTTGCAAAATCTGCGAAGTGTTATTTTGGAGTGCATTGAGGCTTGCAGTGAATAAGAAAATATTTCCAGATCGAAACAAGAAAGACACTTTCTGAGAAACTGCTTTGTGATGTGTACATACACCTCCCAGAGTTAAACCTATCTTTTGATTGATCAGATCGGAAACACTGTTTTTGTATAATCTGCCAAATGATATTAGGTAGCTCATGAGGCTTATGATGAAAAAGGAAATAAGTTCAGAAAAAAAACTAGAAGGAAGCTTTCTGAGAAACTTTATAGTGATGAGTGCATTCTTCTCAAAGACTTATACCTTCCTCTGATTGAGCAGTTTGGAAACACTCTTTTTGTTGAATATGCAAAGGGATATTTTGCAGTGCACTGAGGTCTGTCATGAAAAACGAAATATCTTTGGATAAAAACTAGAAAGAAGCTTTTTGAGAAACTGCTTTCTGATGTCTGTGTTCAACTCACAGAGTTGAACTTGTTTTTTGATAGATAATTTTGAAAACACTGTTTTTGTAGAATCTGCAAAGTGATATTAAGTAACACAAAGAGGCCTATGGTGAAAAAGGAAATATCATCAGATTAAAAACTGGAAAGGAGCTTTCTGAGACACTGATTTGTGATGTGTGCATACATTTCATTGTTAAATTTTTCCTTTGATGGAGCCATTTGGAAACACCATTTTGGCAGAATCTGTGAAGGGTTATTTGGGGTGCATTGAGGCCTATGGTGAAAAAGAAAATATCTCTAGATAAAAACTAGAAAGAAGCTTTCTGAGAAACTGCTCTGTGATGTGTACGTTCATCTGAGAGTTAAACATTTCTTTTGATTGAGCAGTTTGGAAACACTGTTTTTGTAGAATCCGCAAAGGGATATTTGGGAGTGCACTGAGGCCTATAGTGATAAAGGAAATATCTTGGGATAAAAACTAGAAAGAAGCTTTTTGAGAAACTGCTTTGTGTTGGAGGCATTCATCTCACACAGGTAAACTTTTCTTTTGACTGATCAGCTTGGAAACACTGTGTTTGTATAATCTGGGAAGCGATGTTAGGAAGCGCACAAAGGCCTATGGTGAAAAAGGAAATATCTTAAGATAAAAACTGGAAAGAAGTGTTATAAGTAACTATTTTCCAATGTGTGTCTTCAACTCAGAGAGTTAAAATTTTCTTTTGATTGAAACTTTCAGAAGCACTGTTTTCATAGGATCTGCGAAGGAATATTTTGGAGCACATTGAAGCATATGGTGGAAATGGGAATATCTTCAGAGAAGAACTAGACAGAAGCAATCTGAGAAAATTCTTTGTAATGTGTGCATTCATCTCACAAAGTTAAAACTTTCTTTTGATTGAGCAGTTTGAAAACACTATTTTTGCAATCTGCTAAGTGATATTCAGTAATGCAAAAAAGCCTATGGTGAAAATGGAAATATCCTCAGATAAAATCTGGAAAGAAGCATTAAGAGAAAATGCTTTCTGATATGCGCATTAATCTCACAGAGTTAAGTCATTCTATCAGTGGAACAGATTGGAAACATTGTTTTTGTAGAATCTGTGAAGGGATATTTGGGAGCGCATCGAGGCCTATGGTGTAAAAGGAAATATCTTCTGATAAATACTAGAAATAACCTTTTTGAGAAACTTCCTTGTGATGTGTGCATTGATTTCACAGAGTTAAAAATTGTTTTTTGATTGATCAGTTTGGAAACACTGTTTTTGGAAAACCTGTGAAGTGATATTATGTAGAGCAAAAAAGCCTGTGGTGACCTGAGAAATATCTTCAGATAAAAACTGGAAAGAAGTGTTATGAGAAACTTCTTCCTGATGTGTGCATTCATCTAACAGAGTTAAACCTTACTTATGATTGAGCAGTTTGGAAACACAGTTTTTGTAGAACCTGCAAAGTTATATTTGGGAGCATACTGAGGCCAATGGTGGAAAAGGAAGTATCTTCAGAGAACTAGATAGAAGCTTTTTGAGAAAATGCTTTGTGCTGTGGCATTCATCACACAGAGTTAAACCTTTCTTTTGATGGAAGAGTTTGGAAACACTGCTTTTGTAGATTCTGTGAAGGGATATTTGGGAGCACATTGTGGCCTATGGTGGAAATGGAATTATCTTCAGAGAAGAACTACACAGAAGCTTTCTGAGAAACAGCTTGGTGATGTGGGCTTTCTTCTCACAGTGTTAAACATTTCTTTTGATTGAGCAGTTTGGAAATCCTGTTTTTGTAGATCTGCAAAGGGACATTTTGGAGCACACTGATGCCTGTGGTAAAAAAGCAAACATCTTCAGATAAAAACGAGCAAGAAGCTTTTTGAGAATCTCTTTTATGATGCATGCAT
This sequence comes from Homo sapiens, assembly GCF_000001405.40. Taxonomy (NCBI): domain Eukaryota; kingdom Metazoa; phylum Chordata; class Mammalia; order Primates; family Hominidae; genus Homo; species Homo sapiens. The sequence continues at coordinate 46,079,752 of NC_000005.10, forward strand.
TCATGTCACATAAACTTTTCTTTTGACTGAGCACTTTGGAAACACTGTTTTTATGTAATCTGTGAAGAGATGTTAGGTAGCATAAAAAACCTATGGTGAATAAGAAAATATCTTCAGATAAAAAAAAACTGGAATTAAGCATTATGAAAAACTATTTTCTGATTTGTGCATTCATCTCACAGAATTAAATCCTTCTTTTGATGGAACCGTTTGAAACACTGTTTTTATAGACTCTGCAAAAGGATATTTTGGAGCACATAGAGGTGTATGGTGGAAAAAGAATTATCTACAGAGAAGAACTGGACAGAAACTATCTGAGAAAATGCTTTTTGAAGTGTGCCTTCATCTCACAGAGTTACAACTTTCTCTTGATTGAGCAGTTTGGAAACACTTTTTTTGTGGAATCTGTGATGACATATTTGGGAGCACCCTGAGGTCTGTGGTGAAAAAGGAAATATCTTCGCATAAAAACTACAATGATGCTTAAAGAGAAAATACTTTGTGGTGGGTGCATTCAACTCACAGAATTAAGCCTGTTTTTTGATTGAGCAGTTTGGAAACAGTGTTCACGTACAATCCTTGATGGGATATTTGAGAGCCCATTGTAGCCTTTGGTGATAAAGGAAATATCTTTGCATGAAAACTTGAAAGAAACTTTTTTAGAAATTGTTTTGTGATGTGTGCGTTCATCTCACAGAGTTAAAACTCTTTATTCTGAGCAGTTTGGAAACACTGTTTTTGCAAAAGCTGCACAGCAAAATTAGGTGGCACAAAATATCCTATGATAAACAAACAATGAAATATCTTCAGATAAATACTGGAAAGAAGCTTTATAAGAAACTGCATTCTGAGGTGTGAGTTGAACTCACAGAGTTAAGTACTTCTTTTGATGGAACAGTTTGAAAAACACTGCTTTTTAAAGTATGTGAATGGATATTTCAGAGCACATTGAGCCATATGGTGGAAAAGGAAATGTCTTCAGAGAAGAACTAGAGAGAAGATCTATTAGAAACTGCTTTGTGATGTGTGCATTCATCTCACAGATTTAAATCTTGCTTTGGTTTATCAGTTTTGAAACACTGTTTTTGTAGAATCTCCAAAGGAATATTTGGGAGCACTTTGCTGCCTACGGTGAAAAAGGAAATATCTTCAGATAAAAACTAGAAAGAAACTGTTTGAGAAACTGCTTTGTAATGTATGCATTCATCTAAAAGAGTTAAGCTTTTTTTCTCACTGAGCACTTTTGAAACACTGTTTTTGTATAATGTGTGAAATGATGTTACGTAGCGCAAAAAGCCTATGGTGAACAAGCGAATATCTTCATATAAAACCTGGAAAGAACCATAATGAGAAACTGCTTTCTGAAGTGTGCATTCATTCATCTCACAGAGTTAATTCCTTATTTTGAAGGAACATTTTGGAAACACTGTTTTTGTAGAATCCGCCAAGGGATATTTGGAAGCACATAGAAGCCTATGGTGAAAAAGGAAATATCTTCTGATAAAAACTAGAAAGAAGCATTTTCAGAATCTGCTTTGTGATGTGTGCATTCATCTCACAGAATTAAACCTTACTTTTGATTTTTCAGTTAGGAAACACTGCATTTGCAGGATAAGCGTAGGGATATTTGGGAGCCCACAAGGTCTACAGTGAAAAAGGAAATAACTTCATATAAAAACTAGAAAGGAGCTTTGTGAGAAACTGCTTCATGATGTGTGCATTCAACTCACAGAGAGAAAAGTTTCTCTTGACAGAGCAGAATGGAAACACTGTTTTTGCATATCTACAAAGTGATATTAGGTATCGCAAAAAGCCTATGATGAACAAGGAAATATCTTCAGATAAAAGGTGGAAAGAAGCATTATGAGAAACTTCTTTCTGATGTGTGCATTCATCTCACAGAGTTAAGTCCTGGTTTTGATGGAACAGTATGGAAACAGTTTTTGTAGAATCTGTGAAGGGATATTTGGGAGCACATTGAAGCCTGTGGTGAAAAAGGAAATATCTTCAGAGAAGAACTAGACAGAAGCCTTCTGAGAAACTCTTTTGTAATGTATGCATTCATCTCACTGAGTTAAAACTTTCTTTTGATTGGGCAGTTTGGAAACAGTGTTTTTGTAGAATCTGCAAAGGGATATTCGGAAGCACATTGAAGAGTACGGTGAAAAATATCTCACATAAAAACTAGAGAAAATTTACGAGAAACTGCTTTGTGAAGTGCGCATTCTTCTCACACAGGTTAACCTGTTTTTTGATTCATCGGTTTGGAAACACTGTTTTTGTAGAATCGGCAAGGGGATATTTGGGAGCACAAGAGGCCCATAGTGAAAAAGGGAATGACTTCAGAAAATACTACAAAGAAACTTTCTGAGAAACCGCTTTGTGATGTGTACAATCTTCTCACAGTGTTAAACGTCTCTTTGGATTGAGCAGTTTGCAAGCACTGTTTTTTGTATAATCTGAAAATGGATATTTTGGAGTGCACTGAGTCCTATGGTGTAAAAGGAAATAGTTCAGAAAAACAACAGAAAGAAGCTCTTTGAGAAAACACTTTGTGATACATTCATTCATCTCACAGAGCTAAACTTTTGTTTTGACTCAGCAGTTTGGAAACCCTGTTTCTGTACAATCTGCGAAGCAATGGTAGGTAGTGCGAAAAGGCCTATGTTGAACAAGGAAACATCTTCATATAAAAACTGGAAAGAATCGTTATGAGAAACTGCTTTCTGATGTGGGCGTTCATCTCAAAGAGTTAAATCCTTTTGATGGAACAGTTTGGAAACACTGTTTTTATAGAAACTGTGAAGGGATATTTTGTAGTGCTTTGAGACCTATAGTGCAAAAGGAAATATCTTCAGAGAAGAACAAGACAGAAGGTATGTGAGAAACTTGTTTGTGACTTGTGCATTCATCTCACAGAGTTAAAATTTTCTTTTGATTGAGTAGTTTGGAAACACTGTTTTTGTATAACCTGCAAAGGTATATTTGGGAGCCCAATGAGCCCTATCATGAAAAAAGAAGTATCTTTACATAAATACTAGAAAGAAGCTTTTTGAGAAACTGCTTTGCTTTCTGTGAATTCATCTCACAGAGTTAAAACTTTCTTTTGACTGATCAGTTTGGAAACACTGTTTTTGTAGAATCTATGAAGGGATATTTGGGAGCCCACGATACCAATGGTGAAAAAGGAAATAACTTCAGATAAAAACTAGAAAGGAGCTTTCTAAGAAACCACTTTGTGATGTGTGCATTCTTCTCACAGTGTGAAACGTTTCTTATGATTGAGCAGTTTGGAAACACTGTTTTTGTAGAGTCTGTGGAGGGATAATTGGGAGCACATTGAAGCTTATGGAGAAAAAGGAAATATCTTCAGATGAAAACTAGAAAGAAGCTTTCTGAGAAACTGCTTTGTCATGTGTGCATTCAACTCAGAGAGTTAAACCTTTCTTTTGACTGAGTAGTTTGGAAACACTGTTTTTGAAAAATCTACACAGCGATATTATGTAGCACAAAAAAAACCTATGGTGAACAAGGAAATTCCTTCAGATATAAACTCAAAAGAAGCTTTATAAGAAACTGCTTTTGATGTGTGTGTTAATCTCACAGAGTTAAGTCCTTCTTTTGGTGGAAGAGTTTGGAAACTGTTTTTATAGAATCTGTGAAGGGATATTTGGGAGTGCGTTGAGGCCTGTGCTGGAAAAGGAAATATCTTCAGAGAAGAACTGGACAGAAACTATCTAAGAAACTGTTTTGCGATGTGTGCATTCATCTCACAAAGTTAAACCTTTTGTTTGATCAGTTTGTAAACCCTTTTTTTTACAGAATCTGTGAAGGCATGTTTGGGAGTGCTTTGAAGTCTATGGTGAAAATGGAAATATCTTTGGAAAAAAAGTAGAAAGAACCTTTTTGAGAAACTGCTTTCTGATGTGTGCATTCATCTCACAGAGTTAAACCTAACTTTTGACAGATCAGTTTAGAAACACTGTTTCTGTAGAATCTGTGAAGAGGTATTTGGAAGTGCACCAGACCTATGGTGAAAAAGGAAATAATGTCAGATAAAAACTAGAAAGAAACTCTCTGAGAAACCAGTTTGGTTGTGTGAATTCATCTCACAGAGTTAAACGTTTCTTTTGATTTAGCAGTTTGGAAACTCTGTTTTTGTAGAATCTGCAAAGGGATATTTGGGAGCGCACTGATGCCTATGGTTAAAAAGGAAATGTCTACGGATAGAAACGAGTAAGAAGGTTTTTGAGAAACTGCTTTGTGATGTATGCATTAATGTCCCAGAGTAGAACTTTTCTTTTGACTGAGAAGTATGGAAACACTGTTTTTATATAATCTGCAAAGTGATGTTAGGTAGCATAAAAAGGATTATGGTGAACAAGGAAATATCTTCAGATAAAAACTGGAATTAAGCAGTATGATAAACTGCTTTCTGATTTGCATCTTCATCTTACAGAGTTAAATCCTTCTTTTGATCAGCCAGTTTGCAAACACTGTTTTTATAGGCTTTAAGAAGGGATAATTGGGAGTGCGTAGAGGACTATGGTGGAAAAGGAAATATCTTCAGAGTAGAACTAGACAGAAGCTATCTAAGAAACTGAATTGTGATGTCTGCATTCATCTCACAGAGTTAAGCCTTTCTTTTGATTGAGCAGTTTGGAAACTGTTTTTGTAGAATCTGCAAAGGTATATTTTGGAGAGCCCTGAGGCCTATGGTGAAAAAGGAAATATCTTCACATAAAATTACAAGGAAGTTTTTGAGAAACTGCTTTGTGTTGTGTGCATTCAACTCACAGAGATAAATCTGTTTTTTGATTGAGCAGTTCGGAAACAGTATTTGTGAAAGATCTGTGACAAGACATTTGGGAGTGCATTGAAGCCTATTGTGATAAAGGAAATATCTTCGGGTGAAAACTAGACCGAAGCTATCTGAGAAAGAGCTTTGTGATGTGTGTATTAATCTCACAAGGATAAACCATTCTTTTGATTGAGCAATATGGAAACACTGTTTTGTAGAATCTGCAAAGGGATATTTGGGAGCACACTGAATCCTATGATGAAAAAGGAAATATCTTTGGACAAAAACGAGAAAGAAACTTTTTGAGAAACTCCTTTGTGATGTATGCATTCATCTTACAGAGGCAAATTTTTCTGTTGACTCATCAGTTTGGAAACACTCTTTTTGTATAAAGTGCAAAGCGGTGTATGGTAGCATAAAAAGGCCTATGGTGAACAAGGAAATATCTTCAGATAAAAACTGGAAAGATGCGTTATGAGAAACTGCTTTCTGACGTGTGCATTCATCTCATAGAGTTCAATGCTTCTTTTAATGGAACAGTTTGGAAAAGCACTGTTTTTATAGAATCTGCAAAGGGATATTTGGGAGTGCATTAAGGAAAGTGGCGGAAAAGGAAATATCTTCAGAGAAGAACTAGACAGAAACTATGTGAGAAACTGCTTTGTGATGTGTGCATTCATCTCACAGAGTTAAACCTTTCTTTTCATGGAACAGTTTGGAAACACTGTTTTTGTAGAATCTGCAAAGGTATATTTGGGAGTGCCCTGAGGACTATAGTGAAAAAGGAAATATCTTCACATAAAATTACAAGGAAGCTTTTTGAGAAACTGCTTTGTGTTGTGTGTGTCCAACTCACAGAGATAAATCCGTGTTTTTATTGAGCAGTTTGGAAACACTGCTTGTGAAAAATCTGTGACAAGATATTTGGGAGCCCATTGGAGCCTATTGTGAGAAAGGAAATATCTTCGGTGAAAACTAGGCAGAAGCTATCTGAGAAAGAGCTTTGTGATGTGTGTATTAATCTCACAAGGTTAAACCATTCTTTTGATTGAGCAGTTTGGAAACACTGTTTTGTAGAATCTGCAAAGGGATATTTGGGAGCATAATGAATCCTATGATGAAAAAGGAAATATCTTCGGATAAAAACTAGAAAGAAACTTTTTAAGAAACTCCTTTGTGAAGCATGCATTCATCTCACAGAAGTAAACTTTTCTTTTGACTCATCAGTTTGGAAACACTCTTTTTGTATAATGTGCAAAGCAATGTTTGTATAATGTGCACAGCAATGTTTGTATAAGGTGCAAAAAAGCCTATGGTGAACAAGGAATTATCTTCAGATAAAAAATGGAAAGATGTGTTATGAGAAACTGCTTCTGACGTGTGCATTCATCTCATAGAGTTTAATGCTTATTCTAATGGAACAGTTTGGAAACACTGTTTTTATAGAATCTGCAAAGGGATATTTGGGAGCGCATTAAGGAAAGTGATGGAAAAGGAAATATCTTCAGAGAACAACTAGACAGAAACTATGTGAGAAACTGCTTTGTGATGTGTGCATTCATCTCACAGAGTTAAACCTTTCTTTTCATGGAACAGTTTGGAAACACTGTGTTTGTAGTGTCTGCAAAGGTATATTTCAGAGTGCACTGAGGCCTATTCTGAAAAAGGAAATATCTTCAAGTATGAAGCAGAAAGATACTTTTAGAGAAACTGCTTTGTGATGTATGCATTCAACTCACAGAGTTAAACCTGTTTTTTCATTGAGCAGTTTGGAGACATTTTTGCAGAATCTGCGTCAGGATATTTAGGAGTGTGTTGAAGCCTATGGTGATAAAGGAAATATCTTCTGATAAAAACTATCAAGAAGCATTTTGAGAAACTGCTTTGTGATGTGTGCATTCATCTCACAGAGTCAAACTTTTCTTTTGACTGAGCAGTTTGGAAACATTGTTTTTGAAAACTCTGTGAATCAATATTAGGTAGCACAAAAAAGCCTATGGTGAAAAAGTAAGTATCTTCAGATAAAATCTGGTAAGATGTGTTATGAGAAACTACTTTCTGATGTGTGCATTCATCTCACAGAGTTAATTCCTTCCTTTGATGGAACAGTTTGGAAACAGTTTTTAGATCTGCTAAGGGGTATTTGGCAGTGCATAGAAGCCTATGGTAAAAAAGAAATATCTTCAGATAAAAACTGGGAAGAAGCTTTCTGAGACACTGATTTGTGATGAGTGCGTTCAATGAACAGTGATAAATCTTTCCTTTGATGGAGCCAATTGGAAACACCTTTTTGGTGGAATCTGCAAAGAGTTCTTTGGGAGCACATTTAGGCCTATGGTGAAAAAGGAAATATCTCCAGATGAAAACCAGAAAGAAGCTTTCTGAAAAACTGGTTTCTTATGTGAACATTCATTTGACAGAATGAAACCTTTCTTTTGATTGAGTAGTTTGGAAACAATGTTTTGGTAGAATCTGTGAAGGGATATTTTGGAGCACAATGTGGCCTACAGAGAAAAAGGAAATAACTTTGGATAAAAACTACAAAGAAGATTTATGAGAAACTGCTTTGGGATGTGTGCATTATTCTCACAGATTTAAACCTTTCCTTTGATTGAGCAGTTTGGAAACACTATTTTTGTAGAATCCACAAAGGGATATTTGAAAGCACTGTTAAGCCTATGGTGAAAAAAGAAATATATTCAGATAAAAACTAGAAAGAAGCTTATTGAGAAACTGCTTTGTGGTGTGTCCATTCATCTCACAGAGTTAAAACTTTCTTTTGACAGAGCAGTTTGGAAACACTGTTTTTGTGTAATCTGCAAAGTGATACTTGTGAGCGCTTTGAGGCCTATGGTGAAAAAGGAAATATCTTCACATAAAAACTATAAAAAACTTTCTGAGAAACTAATTTGTGATGGGTGTGTTCATCTCATAGAGTTCAACGTTTCTTTCAATTGAGCACTTTGAAAACAGTCTTCTTTTAGAATCTGCAAAGGGATATTTGTGAGCGCTTTGAGGCCTATGCTGAAAAAGGAAATATCTTCATATAAAAACTAGACATAAGCTTTCTGATAAACTTCTTCATGATATGTGCATTCATCTCACAGAGTTGAAACTTTGTTTTGATTGAGCAGTTTGGAAACTCTCTCTTTGTAGATTCTGCAAAGGGATGTTTTTGAGCACTTTGAGGCCTATGGTAAGAAAGGAAATATCTTCATATAAATACTAGACAGAAGCTTTCTTAGAATCACCTTTGTGATGCATGCACTCATCTTACAGAGTTGAAACTTTCTTTTGAATGAGCAGTTTGCAAACAGTCTTTTTGTAGGACCAGCAAAGGGATATTTGTGAGTCCTTTGTGGCCTACAGTGAAAAAGGAAATATCTTCAGATAAAAACCAGACAGAAGCTTTCTGAGAAACTTCTTTGTGACGTGTGCATTCAGCTCCCAGAGTTGAACCTTTATTTTGATTGAGCAGTTTGAAAACCGTCTTTTTAGGAATCTGCAAAGGGATATTTGTGAGTGCTTTGAGGCCTATGGTGTAAAAAGAAATACCTTCACATAAAATTTAGACAGAAGTGCTCAGAAACTTCTTTGTGATGTGTGCATTCACCTCATGGAGTTGAACATTTCTTTTGATTGAGAAGTCTGGGAACTGTATTTTGTAAAATCTGCAAAGGGATGTTTGAGTGCACTTTGATGCCTATGTTCAATAAGGAAATATCATCACATAAAAACCAGGCTGAATCTTTCTGAGAGATTTCTTTGTGATGTATGCTTTCATCTCACAGAGTTGAACCTTCCTATCATTGAGGAGTTTGGAAACAGTCTCTTTGCAGAATCCAAAAAGGGATGTTTTAAGCCCTTTGAGGTCTATGGTGAAAGAGGAAATATCTTTACATAAAACTAGACAGAGGCTTTCTGAGAAACAACTTTGTGATGCGTGCATTCATCTCACAGAGTTGAAACTTTCTTTTGAATGAGCAGTTTGCAAACAGTCTTCTTCCAAAATCTGCAAATGGATATTTGTGGGCCCTTTGAGGCCTGTGGTGAAAAAGGAAGTATCTTCACATAAAAACGAGACAGAAACTTTCTGAGAAACTTCTTAGGGATGTCTGGATTCATCTCACGGAGTTGAAACTTTCTTTTGATTCATCTGTTTGAAAACAGTCTTTTTTAAAATCTGCAAAGGGATATTTTTGAGCACTTTGAGGCCTATGGTGAAAAAGGAAATATCTTCACAAAAAATCTAGACAGAAGCTTTCTGAGAAACTTCCTTGTGATGTGTTCATTCTTCTCACAAGGTTGAAACTTTTTTTTGATTGAGCAGTTTGAAAGCCATCTTCTTGTACAATCTGCAAAGGGATACTTGTGAGCACTTTGAGGCCTATGATGAAAAAGGAAATATCTTCACATAAAAACTAAAGAGACTTTCTGAGAAACATCTTTGTGATGTGTGCATTCATCTCACAGTGTTAAACCTGTTTTGTTTGAGCAGTTTGGAAACAGTCTTGTTGTAGTAACCACAAAGTGACATTTGTGAGCCCTTGGAGGCCTACGGAGAAAAAGGAAATATCGTTACATAGAAAAGAGACAGAAGTTTTCTGAGAAACTGCTTCATGATGTGTGCATTCATCCCACTGAAGTAAACATTTCTTTTCATTGAGCAGATTGGAAACTCTGTTTTTGTAGAATCTGCAAAGGGATAATTGTGAGCGCTTTGAGGCCTATGTTGAAAAAGTATATACCTTAATATTTAAACCAGACAGAAGCTTTCTGAGAAACTTCTGTGTGATGTGTGTATTCATTTCACAGAGTTGAACCTTTCTTTTGATTGAGCAGTTTGGAAACAGTCTTTCTGTAGAATCTGCAAATGGATGTTTTGTGAGCCTTTTGAGCCTTATGGTGAAAAAGGAAATATCTTCACATAAAAATTAGACAGAACCTTTCTATGAAACTTCTTTCTGATGAGTGCATTCATCTCACAGAGTTGAAACTTTCTTTTGATTGATGATCAGTTTGGAAGCACTCTTTTTGTAGAATCTGCAAAGGGGTATTTGTGAGTGCTTTGAGGCCTATGGTGGAAAAGAAAATATCATCACATAAAACTATACAGAAGATTTCTGAGAAACTTCTTGGTGATGTATGCATTTGTCTCACAGAGTTGAAATTTTCTTATCATTGAGCAGTTTGGAAACAATCTTATTGTAGAGACTGCAAAGGGATATCTGTGAGTGCTTTGAGGCCTATGGTGAGAAACGAAATATCTTCACATAAAATATAGACGGAAGCTTTCTGGAAACTGCCATGTGATTGTGCATTCATCTCACAAAGGTAAATGTTTCTATTCATTGAGCAGATTAGAAAATCTGTTCTCATAGAATCTGAAAAGTGATATTTGTAAGCACTTTGAGGCCTATGGTGTAAAAGGAAATATCTTCGCATAAAAACTAGACAGACACTTTCTGAGAAACTACTTTGTGATGCGTGAATTCGTTTCACAGAGATGAACTTTTCTTTTGAATGAGCAGTTTGGAAACAATCCCTTTGTAGAATCTGCAAAGGGATATTTGTGAGCCCTTGCAGGCTTATAGTGAAAAAGGAATTATCTTCACATAAAAACCAGACACAAGCTTTCTGAGAAACTTCTCTGTGATGTGTGCATTCACCTCACAGAATTGAATAATTTTTTTTATTGAGCAGCTTGAAAACAGTCTTCAGGCGGAATATGCATAGGGATATTTGTGAGCACTATGAGGCCTTTAGTGAAAAAGGAAGTATCTTCACATAAAAACTGGGCAGAATGTATCTGAGAAACTGCTTTGAGGCGTGCATTCATCTCACTGAAGTAAACGTTTCTTTTCATTTACCAGATTGGAAACTCTGTTCTTGTAGAATCTGTAAGGGGATATTTCTGAGTGATTTTAGACCTATGGTGAAAAGGAAATATCTTCACATAAAAACTAGACAGAAGCTTTCTGAGAAATTTCCTTGTGATGTGTGCATTCACCTCACAGAGATGATTCTTTCCCTGATTGAGCAGTTTGGAAACAGTCTTTTCTTACAATCTGCAATGTGATATTTATGAGTGATTTGAGGCCTATGTGAAAAAGGAAATATCTGCACATAAAAACTGGAGAGAAGCATTCTGAGAAACTGCTTTTTGATGTGTTCATTCATCTCACAGATTTGAAGCTTTCTTTTGATTGAGCAGTTTGGAAACAGTCTTTTTGTAGAAACTGCGAACTGATATTTGTGAGCACGTTGAGGCCTATGGTGAAAAAGGAAATATCTTCATGTAAATACTAGACAGAAGCTTTCTCAGAAACTTCATTGTGACGTGTGCATTCATCTCACTGAGATGATCTTTTCAATTGAGTAGTTTGGAAATAGTCTTTTTGTAGAATCTGCAAAAGAGTATTTTTGAGCCCTTTGAGGTCAATGGTGAAAAATGAAATAACTTCACATAAAAACTTGACAGAGCTTTCTGAGAAACTGCTTTGTGATGTGTACATTCGTCTCACAAAGGTAAACGTTTCTTTTCATTGAGCAGATTGGACACTCTGCTCTTGTAGAAACTGCAAATTGATATTTGTGAGCCCTTTGAGGCCAGTGATGAAAAAGGAAATATCTTCACATAAAAGCTAGACAGAAGCTTTCTGAGGAACTTCTTTGTGATATGTGCATTCATCTCACAGAGTTGAACCTTTCTTTTGATTGAATAGTTTGGAAACAGTCTTTTTCCAGTATCTGCAAAGGGACATTTCTGAGCCCTTTCAGGCCTATGATTAAAAAGGAAATATCTTCACTTAAAAACTATACAGAATGATTCTGAGAAACTGCTTTAAGATGTGTGCATTCATTTCACACAGGTAAACGTGTCTTTTTAAACGTGTCTTTTCATTGAGCAGATTGGTAACTCTGCTATTGTAGAATCTGCAAAGGGAGAATTGTGAATGCTTTGAGGCCTATGGTGAAAGAGGAAATATCTTCACATATAAACTAGACAGAAGCTTTCTGAGAAACTTCTTTATGATGTGCGCATTCATCTCACAGTGTTGAAACTTTTTTTCAGTGAGCTGTTGGGAAACAGTCTTTTTGTAGAATCAGCAAAATGACATTTGTGAGCCCTTTGAGGCCTATGGTGAAAAAAGATATATCTTTACATAAAAACCAGACAGAAGGTTTCTTAGAAACTGCTTTGTGATGTGTGCAGTCATCTCACAGAGTTGAACATTTCTTTTGATGGAGCAGCTTGGAAACTCTTTTTTTGTAGTATCTGTAAAGGGACATTTTTGAGCATTTTGAGGCCTATGGTGAAAAAGGAAATATCTTCAGATAAAAACTATAAGGAAGCTTTCTGAGAAACTTCTTTGTGATGTTTGCATTCATCTCACAGAGTTGAAACTTTCTTTTGATGGAGCCATTTGGAAAAAGTGTTTTTGTAGAATCTGCAAAGGGATATTTGTGAGACATTTGAGGCCTATGTTGAAATAGGAAATCTCTTCACATAAAAACTAGACAGAATGTTTCTGAGAAACTGCTTTGTGATGTGTGCATTCATCTCACAGATTTAAAAGTTTCTTTTCATTGAGCAGATTGGAAACTCTGTTCTTGTAGTATCTGCAAAGGGATATATGTGAGCACTTTGAGGCCTATGGTGAAAGAGGAAATCTCTTCACATAAAAGCTAGACAGAAGCTTTCTGAGAAACTTCTTTGTGATGTGTGCATTAATCACACAGAGTTGAAAGTTTCTTTTGATTGAGCAGTTTGGAAACTGTCTTTTTGTACTATCTGCAAAGGGACATTTGTGAGTGGTTTGAGGGTGATGGTGGAAATGGAAATATCTTCACATAAAAACTATACAGATGCTTTCTGGGAAACTTCTTCATGATGTGTGCATTTGTCTCACAGATTTGAACCTTTCTTTTGATTGAGCAGTTTGGAAACAGTCTTTTTGCAGAATCAGCAAAGGAATATTTGTGAGCCTTTTGAGGCCTATGGTGAAAAAGGAAATATCTTCACATAAAACAATACAGAAAGTTTCTGAGAAACTACTTTCAGATGTGCATATTCATCTCACAGAGGTAAAAGTTTCTTTTCATTGAAGAGATTGGAGACTCTGTTCTTGTAGAATCTGCAAACGGACATTTCTGAGTGCTTTGAGGCCCCTGGTGAAAATGGAAATATCTTCACATAAAAACTAGAAAGAAGTTTTCTGAGAAACTTCTTTGTGATGTGTGCTTTCATCTCACAGATATGAACTTTCTTTTGATTGAGCAGTTCAGAAACAGTCTTTTTGTAGAATCTGCAAAGGAATATTTGGAGTGTGTTTAGGCCTATGCTGAAAAAGGAAATATCATCACATAAAAACTAGAGAGAAGCTTTCTGGGAAAATACTTTAGGATGTGTGTATTCATCTCACAGAGTTGAAACTTTCTTTTGATCGAACAGTTTGGAAACAGTCTTTTTGTAGAATATGCAGAGTGATATTTGTGAGCGGTTTGAGGACTGTGGTGAAAAAGAAAATATCTTCATATAAATACTAGACAGAAGATTTCTGAGAAATTTATTTGTGATGTGTGCATTCATCTCACAGAGATGAATCTTTCTTTTGATTGAGCAGTTTTGAAACAGTCTTTTTGTAGAGTCTGCAAAGGGATATTTGTGATCCCTTTGAGCCTATGGTGGTAAAGGAAATATTTTCACATAAGAACTAGACAGAAGCTTTCTGAAAAACTTCTTTGTGGTGTCTGCTTTCATCTCACAGAGTTGAATCTTTCTTTCGATTGAGCAGTTTGGAAACACTCTTTTTGCAGAATCTGCAAGTGGATATTTGGAGAGCTTTTAGGCCATGGTGAAAAAGGAAATATCTTCACATAAAAACTAGACAGAAAAATTCTGAGAAAATTCTTTGTGATGTGTGCATTCATCTCACAGAGCTGAACATTTGTTTTGATTGAGTAGTTTGGAAACAGTCTTTTTGTAGATTCTTCAGGGGGATATTTGTGAGCAGTTTGAGGCCTAGAGTGAAAAAGGAATTATCTTCACATAAAAACCAAACAGATGCTTTCTGAGAAACATCTTTGTGATGTCTGCACTCATTTCACAGAGTTGACCTTTCTTTTGTTTCAGCAGTTTGGAAACATTTTTTGTAGAATCTGCAAGGGATATATGTGAGCCCATTGATGCCTATGGAGAAATAGGAAATATCTTCACATAAAAACTAGACAGAAGCTTTCTGAGAAACTTCTTTGTGATGTGTGCTTTCATCTCACAGAGTTGAAACTTTCTTTTGATTGAGCAGTTTGGAAACAGTTTTTTTTTGTAGAAATTGCAACGGGATATTTGTGAGCTATTTGAGGCCTATGTTGAATAAGGAAATATCTTCACATAAAAACTAGACAGAAGCATTCAAGTAAACTTCTTTGTGATGTGTGCATTCATCTCACAGAGTTGAACACCTCTTTTGATGGAAGAGTTTGGAAACTGTTGTTTTGCCGATTCTGGAGAAGAAAATTTGTGAGTGGTTTGAGGCCTATGGTGAGAAAGGAAATATCTTCACATAAAAACCAGACAAAATCTTTCTGAGAAACTTCTTTGTGATGTGTGCATTCATCTCACAGAGTTGAACATTTCTTTTGATTGAACAGTTTGGAAACAGTCTTTTTCTAGATTCTGCAGAGGGATATTTGTGAGTGGTTTGAGGCTTATGATGAAAAAGGAAATCTCTTCAAATGAAAACTACACAAAACATTTTTGAGAAAATTTTTTGTGATGTTTGCATTCATCTAACGGAGTTGAACCTTCCTTTTCATTGAGCAGCTTGGAAACAGTCATTTTGTACAATCTGCAAGGGATATTTCTGAGCAGTTTGAGGCCTATGGTGAAAAGAAATATCTTCACATAAAAATCAGAATCATTCTGAGAAACTTCTTGGTGATGTGTGTATTCATCTCACAGAGTTGAAACTTTCTTTTGATTGAGCAGTTTGGAAACAGTCTTTCTGTAGAATCTGCAAATGGATATTTGGAGCACTTTGAGGCCTATGGTGAAAAAGGAAATATCTTCGCATAAAAACTGGACAAAAACTCTCTGAGAAGCTTCTTTGTGATGTCTGCATTCATTTCACAGAGTCGAACCTTTCTTTGTTTGAGCAGTTTGGAAACAGTATTCTTGTATATTCTGCAGAGGGATATTTGTGAGTGGTTTGAGGCCTATGGTGAAAAAGGAATTCTGAGAAACTTTTTTGTGATGTGTGCATTCATTTTAAAGAGTTGAACCTTTCTTTTGATTGAGAAGTTTGGAAGCAGTCTTTTTGTAGAATCTGCAAAGGGATATTTGTGAGTCCATTGAGGCCTGTAGTGAAATAGGAAATATATTCACATAAAAACTAGGCAGAAGCTTTCTGAGAAACTTCTTTCTGATGTGTGCTTTCATCTCACAGAGTTGAACCTTTCCTTTGATTGAGCAGTTTGGAAACAGTCTTTTTGTAGAATCCACAAATGGATATTTGGATAGCTTTGGGGCCTCCAGTGAAAAAGGAAACATCTTCACATAAACACTAGACAGAAGCTTTCTGAGAAACTTCTTTTTGATGTGTGCTTTCATCTCACAGAGTTGAACCTTTCTTTTGATTGAGCAGTTTGGAAACAGTCTTTTTGTAGAATCTGCAAATGGATATTTGGGTAGCTTTGGGGCCTCCAGTGAAAAAGGAAACATCTTCACATAAACACTAGACAGAAGCTTTCTGAGAAACTTCTTTGTGATGTATGCTTTCATCTCACAGAGTTGAAACTTTTTTTTGATTGAGGAGTTTGGAAACAGTTTTTTTGTAGAAATTGCAGTGGGATATTTGTGAGTATTTGAGGCCTATGTTGAATAAGGAAATATCTTCACATAAAAACTAGACAGAAGCATTCAGAGAAACTTCTTTGTGATGTGTGCATTCATCTCACAGACTTGAACACCTCTTTTAATGGAGGAGTTTGGAAACTGTTGTTTTGCAGATTCTGCAGAAGGAAATTTGTGAGCAGATTGAGGCCTATGGTGAGAAAGGGAATATCTTCACATAAAAACCAGACAGAATCTTTCTGAGAAACTTCTTTGTGATGTGTGCATCCATCTCACAGAGTTGAACCTTTCTTTTGATTGAACAGTTTGGAAACAGTCTTTTTCTAGATTGTGCAGACGGATATTTGTAAGTGGTTTGCAGCCTATGATGAAAAGGAAAACTCTTCAAATGAAAACTACACAGAAGCTTTTTGAGAAAATTTTTTGCGATGCTTGCATTCATTTAATGGAGTTGAACCTTTCTTTTCATTGAGCAGCTTGGATACAGTCGTTTTGTACAATCTGCAAAGGGATATTTCTGAGCGGTTTGAGGCCTATGGTGAAAAAGAAATATCTTCACATAAAAATCAGAAGCATTCTGAGAAACTTCTTGGTGATGTGTGTATTCATCTCACAGAGTTGAAACTTTCTTTTGATTGAGCAGTTTGGAAACAGTCTTATTGTTGATTCTGCAAAGGGATATTTGTGAGCCCATTGAGGCCTATGGTGAAATGGAAAATATCTTCACATCTTCTGTTGGCTAGACTAAATATCCTGGGGATGAATTCCATTGTTGAGAGATTACTTCTATCATGTACTAAGCATGAACGGGCTCACAGAAGAAACACAGGGGCTTCTAAATTTGGATGACTCAAACAGTAATATCCGAATAACCATTTTACAATGTGTTAGGAAAATTGAGCACGGTGTACCTTTTGTATTTGCTGAAATATTTTATTTGATTGTACCCTTAGGAGGAATGAATGTTTTGTGGACCTGTGCCATACCTAGTTTCTGTAAGAAATGCAGTTGGACATAAGTCAGAGATGAGTTTTACTTCACTGCCATCATCATGATTTAATCATTTATCATAGATAACATTGTTAAGGGCTTAATATATGTCAGGAACTGTATTTATTTTAATGGTATTTGTACTTTCTAATATCACTGTGGAGTACATGTTCCTATTACCTCTCCCTTAGAGAAGTTCAGTGACCAGTTAATGGCACAGAACTCATAATAGTAGTGCCGGAATGTGACAGTAGATTGAATTCAGAATACATCTTTTTAGCCATTATGTTATGCTATAGCATTTTCCAAAATAATAATGTAACTCAGGACTACAGATTTGTTTATCAGGCTGGTCTTTGACGAACTCTAGCTGATGAATCATGATGATGAAATATTGGCTGATTCATTTGAAAAATATTGAGGGTAGTTCAAATTTGCTGAATAATATTTTTAAGTTGTTCCTCACCAATTGCTATTAAAACCTTAAAGGATCCTGGCCATAAATCAAGGCTATATTTTGTATTAAACAAATCCAGGAATGCTATATGAAAGTGGCTATATATTTGTCATAAATACAATTAATATAGATAAAAAATGACATATTTAATCAAGCAAGATTATGGACATTATATAGTGATTTATTAATTTTCTTCTCTATTCATGCATCAACTTCATGAACTATGGCTATTACAAGCCGAGAACTGAGAAAATCAGATCACAAATCATCAGAATGGATCTCATTTGAAATAATTCAAGGAATTTTAAGGGATTCTTCCGATGTTTACTTCTCTTCAACTTAATGAAATACCATATACCTAACAGATACATGAATTAACATATGAGTGTCCTACTTATAAAACCTCTTTCTTGTAGGGATTTTAGGCCTTGAGTGATCCTGGTAGATGCACATTAAATTCATTTAATTTGGGTTTATATGTCTGTTTTTGTTTTTCTCTAGAAATCAGAGTCCATAATTTTTGTGTCAGTGGCACCTAGCTAGCTAGCCAACAACCTCTCTTTCTTCTGACTTCCTTTTCTTAATTACCTTACAGTTCCCTCACAGCTACTTGGAAATTTGTTTTGAGGACACTTTCATCTTAGTTTCTTTGCAGATGTTCTCTAATGTGTGCTGTAATGGCTACTGGTGCTCAAGGTTCCCTCCTTTACTCCTTTCTCATTCTGTTGTGTTTAATTTGGCTTAGCTCACTGTATCACTGTGGCGTCAACTTCTGCTTACATACTAATGTCTCACACTCCAACCTTTAAAAAAATTACATGCATAGCTTTAAGAGGGAGATGTAACTATGCTTTTTTCTCCTTCTTTTCTTTGTGTAAATATAAGGTGTACAAATGCAGTTTTGTTAAATAAATATATTGTGTAGTCATGAAGTCTGAGCTTTTAGTGTAATCCACACCTGAATAATGCACACTGTACCTGTTACATTGGGTTGTTTAAATATTTTACATATTTTTTTAATGTACAGAAGTTTTAAATTGTAGTTGGTTGAGTCTTTCAGCCATCTCACATTTAGGCTCTGTGAATTCCACTCGGAGACTTCCACAGAAGGGGAGAGAACTTTGTACTTATTGGGCTTCCAATTTTTACAAGTTTTAAACTAATTCATCCTCACAAATCACTTCATGAGATAAATAAGGGAGTTATTTTTACTCATATTTTATATTTGAGGAACCTGAGGATACACGGTATAAAACAGTACAAAAAACAATTAGAGATCATAGCACCTTTTAAGCACTCAATAAATAGTTGTATAATGTAAATATGACACAAATTTGTAGGTTTCCTTTCCTTGACCAAGAAATTTTAGATTCACTCTTGGCAGATCCTGAGAAAGTTTGTAATAAAATCCAGGAATAAAAGTAGTTGATAAATCCAGCGGGGCCAACCTCTGACATATCCTGACTATGGTAAAGTGTTGCACCTCAATCAGTAAAGATAGAAGTTCTAGTATTTTCCATCCCATTTTCATGTAACTGAATGAGCCTTACCTGAGCAAGGACTATATGGCCTTCTCATCGTATCTGTGTATTTACCCAGGATTAACATATTTGTGTTGTTAAAGTTAGATTTCATTAACTTTATTTCTGCAAACTTATAGGTAAGGTGAACTGCCTTTTAAGAAAAATTAAGTGGGTTGGCAAAATTTGGCAATTATTCTCCTACTTGCATGTTTTCATTAGAAGTGGTACAGAAGGGTTTTTTTTTCCTGAGGAGTGAAATATAGGTTGTATTTTCCATTTTCTATGGGTTCCTATGATGAAATAATAGGTTTGGATATTAGCATTTGAATACGTACTTAAAATGCTATACAATGCTATTCCCTCATTGGCACATGCTCTGACTCATTTTACCAGGTTACTGATTACAACCTCAAAGATAAAATCGGGTATTATAATGCACTTGAAGGCATTTAGAAAAATATAAGATATTACACATGATAAATAGACAGTATATATATGGATGGTCTAATTTTTAAATATTTATCTTTATATATAGTTTTGAATATACAGTTTGGTACACAGATAAAAAATTTTTAGGAGTGTTAGATTTTTAGAAGAATTTTTTTTTCTTTATTTGGCATCTGGTTTAAGACAGTTGGCATTTTCAACACAATTCAGCATCTCTGATTAGAACTTCAGAAAATTGTAATGTAGATCAGTGATCTATAGTATTTATATGACAAGGAGCTTAAAATGAGCCGTTTAGTTTAAATATACATGAATTTTAATTGCTTCTTCAAAGAGAATCATGTTATTTTTGTGTTTCCCTATTATATCTTTTGTGATACAACTGAAGAAATAACCCAAGGCTCCAATAAAAATGTAAAATATAACTTAACAAAAACTGATTTTTCTTCTGGAGGTACTATTTGCCTCTAGCAAAAAAAATAATGTTTTTCTTAACCAATAAATCCTAGTATAGGCACCTGGGGGCAGTAAATCTTCACTATCTACAACTCAAATTCGGGAAATTAATTCTTTCCAGTAAAAAGCTATCATCAGAAGAGGAAGATAATAGGAACTCCTCACCGTCAATTTTCATTTTAAGAGGAAGTCATCAATTCAGGCACTTTGAACAACAGAAACAATATTCCCAGTCCCCTTCATTTCGGCAATGGTTCCTTGTTAAAGAAATAGTTAAATCTTTCCTTTGCCTAGACATCGCTTCTTGCTACTTGCATTATCTACATAATGGATGTGTTATCAAAGTAATACATAGTTACTTTGCATTTTATGTGCTAAATGAAACATTTGTAACTTCCCGTGAACCGAAATTTGGAGTGATTGATTTATTATGAACTTGGAAGAGCTTACACTCACTTTAAGAGAACTACATGCATGGATATATTTAATAAATCATATGACACCACTGTTAGTTTGCTTTGTTATTAATGTCATGTCCACCCCCCACATCCAGTAATTCCTCTCTTGATTTACGCAGTTAAAAATGCTTGAGGCCAGATTGCTAAAACCATAAACATATCAGGAATATACATATAATCCTATTATCCCATTTGATCTGATTCAATCTCATCCCCATGAAATAAGGAGATTTAGATTTAGCATGGACTATTCTAAGGCTCAGAAATATGTGCCATGATAATCAGAGAAGGGGATTTTAAATGATTATTTCAACATATTTTAGCATTTTATCTTTCAGTTTATTAAAAATTGTCTTTGGTAAGTAAATGATGTTCCCAATAAAGTAGTATCAGCATTATTTTCAATATAGTTATGGCTACTAAACATATTTTCCAGCCAGCATTTCACAAAATAGGTTATAGTAAGTATGTGAAATAACGTTGTTTTTGGTATGTAGAGAAGACCTAGCGAGACATTCAGTATGTCTGATTGATTTTTATGCCTCTTGGGTTGCTCAGAAAATGTGCATCTTGTTTTAGTTTTGAAACAGTGGTCCTTAAAGGCAATACTGGTTTTCCTGTACACTTGTGGGAAACATCTACACTGGTTTGTGGCTGCCTAGGACATGTCTATCGGGTAGCAACACCATCCCAGTGTTGACCAGGATGAATTTCAGAGAGCAAAGCGGAAGATCCTCTTCTCTGCTCTCAGAGAGCATAGCTTTCTCTCAGAGACCACAACGCAGAGGAAAATTAGAAAGAATGATAGATTTTCTGCTTGAAGTGAGGTTTTTATCAGATCTTCATCAGGTTAGACTGATCAGAAGATCAATGTGTGGTCTACAGTTTTTGTCTGCATTAAATTACACATTATTTCATGTGCTGTTGTTTTAAATTATTTCCTCCTTCCCAATCTAGTGATATGAATATGCTTTATTTCCTAAAGCCATTAAATCTCTAATATGAGGTTTCCTTCCTATGTTTCCACATTTATCAAATGCCCAGCCTTTAAATTTTTTAAGTGGCAGTGGAAATTCTAAATTACCATAGTTTATATAATTGAGAGAATTTTTTTCTCTCAGATAATATAATAGAAGAGTCTCCACATTGACCTGGATTAGAATAAGCAGATGGGCATTTTCTAAAATTTCTTTTGCAGTTTTTAAACAATTAGCTTTAGTTACAAAAGAAGTTGCAAGTTTTTGTCTATCTAGTCAGATAAAGTGGATGGGTGAGATAATTGTCTGATAAGATAAGCAATGACCACCCTAACCCCCTTATAGGTACAGACATGCAGGTTTTTTGACCTGATTTAATTGAAATCTAAATATCTAAATGGATCACATTCAGTAGATGAACACTATAATTTGTGCTTCACTATGCATTTTCAGACAGGTCAAGTGGGAGGACCAAAGCAAAACATAGAAAGCTTCTCCCCTAGGATTTGCCTACCTACTCTCTTAGGTAACTTAGTCTTTTTTACTGAGCTCTTTTAAAGAAGATGCTTGCTGTTAAAATACTTCTTTTATTTAAAGAGGCATGTAACCAGGCCAGTGGAAAATTCAAGCGTGGTCCCTAGGCATGTGATAGCTTCAAAGGACTGGTGGTCCCCAGAGACTGAATTTTCAACTTTGTTAGGCCAGAAACTCAATTCCATTATTAAACATAGATTTGATCTTACTCAGGGGAGCTGACTCATGCTAATGAAACTCATAAGAGACTTATCATGAGCCAGAAGGTGAGTTCATAATTAATTCATAATTAGAAATAGATCTGCGAAGAGGAAGGAAATACAGCTGGTCAGCACATTCTCTCCCAGAAAGAAAATTTACTTGCAAATGCAAAAAGGTGGCTTGGTGGCTACAGAGCCAGTGGAAAGAGGGCTGAATAATATTAGTGGACAGTTTTATGTATTTACACTATTTTCATATTCCATTTTCCTTACAGAAAACAGACTGTGATTTTCCTTTTCACAGCATGGAGTACCTTCTAAGCTTAAAAGACACTAACCCAAGTTTGCTCTTTGGATCATTTTAAAGTCAGTTTTATTACAGTATAATTGAATGACTAATATTTCTTTACATGAACATGTTATGTTTAGAGCATCTTGTGAATATAGCTTGATCTTTTTGATGGAGACTAGAAGAAACTTCATTTCAACAAGCAATAACATATTTACAAATCATTTCTAAGAATGAGTTCCTACAAGAGTGACTAGTTTCTCATTTTACAATGATTTTAATTACTTTCAATCTCAGAGTATACACTCTCCTAACTTAGGTGTCATATCTTGGAAGAGACACTAATATTTTATAAACATTTATGTTGACATGACTATTCTGTATCAATAATCAACCCCACTGGAAAATGAAATATTAATCAATGCTCTTCTTATATACTTTAAGGCATTGCAAAGAAATGCCTTAAAGTATATAAGAGCATACTGGGGTTCTTGCTATCTTCAGATATTTTGTGATGTTTGTCCCGCAGCACCCATGTGACATACGATAGAGAAAAGAACAGAAGTGTCCAGTGTGGAGAGTTTAAGTTTCTTTCCCTGGCTGGTGATACATTCCATGTGTGTTCAATGGGCACTGACTATTAGTGAGATAATACTGATAAGGTGAGGATAGAAAGGAATGACAACTTTAATTCCTACTCACAAGAAACTGACAAATATATAATGCAAATTTTGTTCAATAAAAATACAAATATAATTAAAACTAGTAAAAATATAATTTTCTCTCTTTTGGGTGACTTAGAAGGAATCCTAGAGGCTGTGTCATGAATATACATTATCACCCTAGGCAGTAGCAATCTAATATACATTAGATAGCATGCTACATTTAAAAACGTGATACAGAAAATCAAGGGGAGAGAGAGAAAGAGAGAGAAGAAGGTAATTCTATTAGTAGGCAGCTTAATGGCAAGTTCTAGCACATTCACAGGTAATTTATAAATTAAAATGTATAAATTATAAATTGAGAAACACCAATAAATTCCAAGAAATTTAGTTCTGTCTTATAAAAAGATTATGTTTAAAAAATAAAAAAATTAACATTTTTTTGAAATTTGATGGGCTTACAGAAAATGAGATGATTAAAATACATTTGACCTTAATTTTGATCAGAATTTCCTTAATCATAATAAAAGTTTTGCTGAAGTTTATATTTAATATTTTATGAAATAATATTTTGGAAATAATTCCTGATTATTTAAAAATGCCATACAATCTAGTGCTGGGGTTTTATTTAGCTATTTAGGTTTAATAAATTTTTACCACGGATAATTGTAGTATGTGAATCTGATTTTGTTTTAACCACACAGCTAAGAATTTTAAAAGAGAGATTATTTTTAATTCTTGCAAATTCTTCTTACATATTCAGGCTTAAAACACAATCATGCCTAACACATATATATCTAATATATATATCTAATATATATATATAATATATATAAACTACGAATTTCTTTGTAAACACTACCTTAGCTGTATTCCACATATTTTACATATTTTGCTTTCATTTTCATTCATGTCAAAATATTTTAAAAATATATACACATATAAAAATATGAGAGCCATTTTATATGTATGTTTATATATAAACATATACATATGTTTATATATGTATATATATAAACATATATATACATATATACATATATAATACATATATAATACATATATATACATATATATACATATATAAACCATTTTTATATACATACATACATATATACATTTTATATACATACATATATAAAGCCATTTTATCTGTATTGTTATATACATATAAAATATACAGATATATATACATACATATAAAATTATTTTCCATTAATAATAGAGCCCAGAGGATAAACATTTTACACATATACAGTATGTATTTAGATATGTAACTATTTATATGTATAAATACTTTCATATATATTTATATACATGAATACATATAAATACATATAGTCTGTCCTCTGGCCTCTTCTATTAATGGAGAGCCATTTGGTAGTTGTAATAAAGCAAATACTTCCATCCATACTCTGTTTTAGTGAGGGTGGATGTCCTTTCCCAGAGGAAAGGACAAGCAAAGGTTGGACCTGACAGTTCACACTCCTGGCAACCCACACTATCAGAGTTTCGCTCCCACACCTGCTTGCCGCATCCCTAACCCCAGCTCTGTGATATTAGCGGCTGCTGTTGGCATCTCTCCAATGTAAGGCATTTCAAGTTTTGGGGTGAAAAGTCTTTTAGATAATAGAAGTGTTGTAGTGAATATGCGCTTTAGAAAAGAAAGTAGAAAGGAGTATGAAACAGCTTTCCCTATCCTGTCTGATTCATTCTATAATCAGCAAAAAGTGCATGAGGAAACTCAACAAATGGTTCTATTTACTCTTGTCTTCTTTACGTTCCACTCTCCAAAATCGTAAGAATACCTTTGTGTAAATTTTGCTCTTATTCAGGTAAAATATGTTTAAAAATCTGATGCGTGGGAAGTGGTCTGGTTTAAAAGAATTCAATAACATCAACAACATTTTAACCCTCTGCTATAAGTGTGTACAACTCTGTCACTGTGCTTATTGTTTTATGTGATCTGGACTTAAATTGGGTCCTCATACTACTGTATACATTTTCTTCAAGGTCAGAGAGACAGTGACTTCTAAATAGAATGATATCTCCCTTTCTTCTTAGTTCTGGACTGTAGAATTCTGCTCAGGTTGCATGAATCAGCCAATGCTGATTAAACATCTATTTGAAGAGTGAGTACAAATCTTCACACTTGGGCTTGGACTAAGGAAAAAATATTTATAAATTCATACACAGCAGAATGACCAACTCTGGATACAGGGACACTCTTTTTTTCCTCAGTATTACAATTGCAGTTTGATATTTTTAATCAATATCTCATTTTTTATATTGCATCCAATTTAGGAGAAAGAAAATAATTTGTATTGATTAAAAACTCTTTCACTCTCTTCTTCAAACAGAAGGAAAAGTTGTTGGCAACACAACGGACTGCATCTAGAAAATAATTTATTATTATTATTATTATTATATCATTATTTTTGAGACGGAGTTTACCTCTTGTCACCCAGGCTGGTGTGCAGTGGCCAGAATTCAGTTCACTGCAACTTTCAACCACCGGGTTCAAGCGATTCTCCTGTCTCAGCCTCCCTAGTAGCTAGTAGCCTGCCACCACCTCTGGCTAATTTTTGTATTTTTAGTAGAGATGGCTTTCGCTATATTGGCAAGGCTGGTCTCGATCTCTTGACCTCAGGTGATCCGCCCATCTCTGCCTTCAAAAGTGCTGGATTACAGGTGTGAGCCACCTTGCCTGCAATGATGATGTTGCAGGTAAAGCAGAGAAAGAGGAAATGGAAAAGAAAATGAGATAAATTAAAAGTTGTTGACGGCATAAGATTTGCTGGTGGAGATAAAAGTGTGCACACACTCAAAATTTTGTGCCAGGCAGATAGAGAGAGGTTAGGGCCTAAAACACATTGCTTTGCTTATCCACTGCTCTTTAAAACTCTGTCTAAATTAGTGGCTGAAAACAACTGACTAGTCCTCCCTTGAGATACGTCCTGTAGTTGTGATCGTGGCAACTGGATCTGGAGCCATTTGCTGGCTGTGGGCTGGGCATCCAAGATGGCTTCTTTTCACACGTCTCAGGGTTTTTCTAGTGCTTCACTTTCCAGCAGAAAAGTCTGGGTCCTTTGTTTGTTTGTTTGTTTCTTAAAATAACTTTACTGGGCTATAGTTTATATATCAAAAATATCATCTATTTTGAAAGTACAAGTCAACTATTTTTAGCAGAAAATTATAATTATACAAAAATCACCACAACCAAGTTTTCAAATATTTTAATCATCTCAACAACTTCCTGCGAGCCTGTTTTCTTAGGGAGGAAGCCAAGTTTATTATTTTGAGAGTTTTTTATTGATACAGATGTTTCAAACTATAAATTTCTTTGTAAACACCACTTCAGCAGTATTCCACACATTTTACATATGTTGCTTTCATTTTCATTCAGCTCAGAATATTTTTAAAAAGTTTCCTGCAATTTTTTCTTTGACTCTTGGGTTATTTAGAAGTCTTGTTTAATTGTTAAATATTTGTGTGTTTTTCAGTGGTTTCTGTTGTAAAGCTCTAATTTCATTCTGTTTTCATCAGAGAGCTTATTTTGTGTTATCGCAGTCTTTTAAAATTTATGGGCTTGTTTTGCAGCTGGTAGTTTTGTAGAAAAGAATGTGTATTCTACAATCACTGGATGGAATATTCTGTAAATGTCAGTGTGTCCCTTTGGCTGATTGAGTTGCTCAAGTCATCCTCTCTGTTATTCTGTCAGTTATTGAAAACACGCTATTGAAACTCCCCACTATTATTGTTGAAATGTCCGTTCTTTCAACTTGGTCAGTCTTCATTTCAGGGCTCCAATTTTTGTGACTCTGCTGTTCTGCTTGTGTAAGTTTATAGTTCGTATCTCTGATGCTTTTTTTATTTTTTTTATTTTTATTATATTTTAAGTTTTAGGGTCCATGGGCACAACGTGCAGGTTTGTTACATATATATACATGTGCCATGTTGGTGTGCAGCACCCATTAACACGTCATTTAACATTAGGTATATCTCCTAATGCTATCCCTTCCCCCTCCCCCCACCCCACAACAGACCCCAGTGTGTGACGTTCCCCTTCCTGTGTCCATGTGTTTTCATTGTTCAATTCCCACCTATGAGTGAGAGTATGCAGTGTTTGGTTTTTTTGTCCTTGCAATAGTTTACCGAGAATGATGGTTTCCAGCTTCATCTATGTCCTTACAAAGGATATGAACTCATCCTTTTTCATGGCTGCATAGTATTCCATGGTGTGTATGTGTCACATTTTCTTAATCCACAGTCTATCACTGTTGGACATTTGGCTTGGTTCCAAGTCTTTGCTATTGTGAATAGTGCCACAATAAACCTACTTGTGCATGTGTCTTTATGGCAGCATGATTTATAATCCCTTGGGTATATACCCAGCAATGGGATGGCTGGGTCAAATGGTATTTCTAGTTCTAGATCCCTGAGGAATCGCCACACTGACTTCCACAATGGTTGAACTAGTTTACACTCCCACCAAGAGTGTAAAAGTGTTCCTTTTTCTCCACATCCTCTCCAGCACCTGTTGTTTCCTGACTTCTTAATGATCGCCATTCTAACTGGTGTGAGATGGTATCTCATTGTGGTTTTGATTTGCGTTTCTCTGATGGCCAGTGATGAGGAGCATTTTTTCATGTGTCTGTCTTTTGGCTGCATAAACGTCTTCTTTTGAGAAGTGTCTCTTCATATCCTTCGCCCACTTTTTGATGGGGTTGTTTGTTTTTTTCTTGTGAATTTGTTGGAGTTCATTGTAGATTCTGGATATTAGCCCTTTGTCAGATGAGTAGATTGCAAAAATTTTCTCTCATCCTGTAGGTTGCCTGTTCACTCTGATGGTGGTTTCTTTTGCTGTGCAGAAGCTCTTTAGTTTAATGAGATCCCATTTGTCTATTTTGGCTTTTGTTGCCATTGTTTTTGGTGTTTTAGTCATGAAGTCCTTGCCCATGCCTGTGGCCTGAACAGTATTGCCTAGGTTTTCTTCTAGGGTTTTTATGGTTTTAGGTCTAACATTTAAGTCTTTAATCCATCTTGAATTAATTTTTGTGTAAGGTGTAAGGAAGGGATCCAGTTTCAGCTTTCTACATATGGCTAGCCAGTATTCCCAGCACCATTTATTAAATAGGGAATAATTTCCCCATTTCTTGTTTTTCTCAGATTTGTCAAAGATCAGATAGTTGTAGATAAGTGGCATTATTACTGAGGGTTCTGCTCTGTTTCATTGGTTTATATCGCTGTTTTGGTACCAGTACCATACTGTTTGGGTTACTGTAGCCTTGTAGTATAGTTTGAAGTCAGGTAGCGTGATGCCTCCAGCTTTGTAGGTAGTTTTTTTCCAATTCTGTGAAGAAAGTCATTGGTAGCTTGATGGGGAAGGCACTGAATGTATAAATTATTTTGGTAATTATGGGCTTTTTCACGATATTGATTCTTCCTACTCATGAGCATGGAATGTTCTTCCACTTGTTTGTATCCTCTTTTATTTCATTGAGCAGCGTTTTGTAGTTCTCCTTGAACAGGTCCTTCACGTCCCTTGTAAGTTGCATTCCTGTGTATTTTATTCTCTTTGTAGCAATTGTGAATGGAAGTTCACTCATGATTTGGCTCTCTGTTTGTCTGTTGTTGGTGTATAAGAATGCTTGTGATTTTTTTACGTTGATTTGTATCCTGAGAGTTTGCTGAAGTTGCTTATCAGCTTAAGGAGATTTTGGGCTGAGATGATGGGGTTTTCTAGACACACAATCATGTCATCTGCAAACAGGGACAATTTGACTTCCTCTTTTCCTAATTGAATACCCTTTTTTTCCTTCTTCTGCCTGATTACCCTGGCCAGAACTTCTAACACTATGTTAAATAGGAGTGGTGAGAGAGGGCATCTTTGTCTTGTGCCAGTTTTCAAAGGGAATGCTTCCAGCTTTTGCCCATTCAGTATGATATTGGCCGTGGGTTTGTCATGGAGAGTTCTTAATATTTTGAGATATGTCCCTTCAATACCTAATTTATGGAGTTTTTAGCATGAAGCGTTGTTGAATTTTGTCAAAGGCCTTTTCTGCATCTATTGAGATAATCGTGGTTTTTGTCATTGGTTCTGTTTATATGCTGAATTACTTTTATTGATTTGTGTATGTTGAACCAGCCTTGCATCCCAGGGATGAAGTCCACTTGATCATGGTGGATAAGCTTTTTGATGTGCTGTTGGATTCAGTTTGCCAGCATTTTATTGAGGATTTTTGCATCGATGTTCATCAGGAATATTGATCTAAAATTCTCTTTTTTGTGTGTGCCTCTGCCAGGCTTTGGTGTCAGGATAATGCTGGCCTCATAAAATGAGTTAGGGAGGATTCCTTCTTTTTCTGTTGATTGGAATAGTTTCAGAAGGAATGGTACCAACTCCTCCTTGTACCACTGATAGAATTCGGCTGTGAATCCCTCTGTTCCTGGACTCTTTTTGGTTGGTAAGCTATTAATTATTGCCTCAATTTCAGAGCATGTTATTGGTCTATTCAGAGTTTCAACTTCTTCCTGATTTAGTCTTGGGAGGGTGTATGTGTTTAGGAATTTATCCATTTCTTCCAGATTTTCTAGTTTATTTGCACAGAGACGTTTGTGGTATTCTCTGATGGTAGTTTGTATTTCTGTGGGATCAGTGGTGATATCCTCTTTATCATTTTTTTATTGTGTGTATTTGATTCTTCTCTCTTTTCTTCTTCATTAATCTTGCTAGTGGTCTATCAATTTTGTTGATCTTTTCAAAAAACCGTCTCCTGGATTCATTGATTTGTTGAAGGGTTTTTTGTGTCTCTATTTCCTTCAGTTCTGCTCTGATCTTAGTTATTTCTTGCCTTCTCCTAGCTTTTGAATGTGTTTTCTCTTGTTTCTCTATTTCTTTTAATTGTGATGTTAGGGTGTCCATTTTAGATCTTTCCTCCGTTCCCTCATGGGTATTTAGTGCTATCAATTTCCCTCTACACACTGCTTTGAATGTGTCCCACAGATTCTGGTATGTTGTGTTTCTGTTCTTGTTGCTTTCAAAGAACAGCTTTAATTCTGCTTTCATTTCATTATGTACCACATAGTCATTCAGGAGCAGGCTGTTCAGTTTCCATGTAGTTGACTGGTTTTGAGTGAGTTTCTTAATCCTGAGTTCTAGTTTGATTGCACTGTGGACTGAGAGACAGTTTGTTATAATTTGTGTTCTTTTACATTTGCTTAGGAGTTCTTTTCTTCCAACTATGTGGTCAATTTTGGCATCGGTGTGGTGTGGTGCTGAAAAGAATGTATATTCTCTTCATCTGGGGTGATGAGTTCTGTAGATGTCTATTAGGTCCGCTTTTGCAGAGCTGAGTTCACATCGTGGATATCCTTGTTAACTTTCAGTCTCTTTGATCTGTCTAATGTTGACAGTGGGGTAATAAAGTCTCCCATTATTATTGTGTGGGAGTTCAAGTCTCTTTTTAGGTCTCCAAGGCCTTGCTTTATGAATCTGGGTGCTCCTGTATTGGGTGCATATATATTTAGGATAGTTAGTTCTTCTTGTTGAATTGATCCCTTTACCATTATGTAATGGCTTCTTTGTCTCTTTTGACGTTTGCTGGTTTAAAATCTTTTTTGTCAGAGACTAGGATTGCAACCCCTGCCTTTTTTGTTTTCCATTTGCTTGGTAGATCTTCCTCCATCCTTTTATTTTGAGCCTATGTGTGTCTCTGCACGTGAGATGGGTTTCCTGAATACAGCACACTGATGGGTCTTGACTCTTTATCCAATTTGCCAGTCTGTGTCTTTCAATTGGAGCATTTATCCCATTTACATTTAAGGTTAATATTGTTATGTGTGAATTTTATCCTGTCATCATGATGTTAGCTGGTTATTTTGCTCATTAGTTGATGCAGTTTCTTCCTAGCCTCGATCATCTTTATAATTTGCCATGTTTTTGTGGCTGGTACCAGTCGTTCCTTTCCATGTTTAGTGCTTCCTTCCAGAGCTCTTTTAGGGCAGGCCTGGTGGTGACAAAATCTCTCAGCATTTGCTTGTCTGTAAACGATTTTATTTCTCCTTCCCTTATGAAACTTAGTTTGGCTGGATATGAAACTCTGCATTGAAAATTCTTTTATTTAAGATCATCGAATATTGGCCCCCATTTTCTTCTGGCTTGTAGAGTTTCTGCGGAGAGATCAGCTGTTAGTCTGATGGACTTCCTTTTGCGGGTAACCTGACCTTTCTGTCTGGTTGCCCTTCACAATTTTTCCTTCATTTCAACTTTGGTGAATCTGATAATTTTTGTCTTGCATTTCTCTTCTCGAGTCTTATCTTTGTGGTGTTCTCTGTATTTCCTGAATTTCAATGTTGTCCTGCCTTGCTAGATTGGGGAAGGGCTCCTGGATAATATCCTGCAGAGTGTTTTCCAACTTGGTTCCATTCTCTGCATCACTTTCAGGTACACCAATCAGATGTAGATTTTGTCTTTTCACATAGTCCCATGTTTCTTGGAGGCTTTGTTCATTTCTTTTTATTCTTTTTTCTCTCAACTTCTCTTCTCGCTGGATTTCATTCATTTGATCTTCCATCACTGATACTCTTTCTTCCAGTTGATCAAATCAGCTACGGAAGCTTGTGCATTCATCACATAGTTCTCGTGCCATGGTTTTCAGCTCCACCAGGTCCTTTAAGGACTTGTGTGTATTGGTTATTCTAGTTAGCCATTCGTCTAATCTTTTTTCAAGGTTTTTAACTTCTTTGCCATGGTTTCGAACTTCCTCCTTTAGCTCGGAGTAGTTTGATCATCTGAAGCCTTCTTCTCTCAACTCGTCAAAGTCATTAACCATCCAGTATTGTTCCAATGCTGGTGAGGAGCTGCATTCCTTTGGAGGAGGAGAGGCAGTCTGATTTTTAAAATTTTCAGTTTTTCTCCTCTGTTTTTTCCCCATCTTTATGGTTTTATCTACCTTCGGTCTTTGATGATGATGATGACGTATAAATCGGTTTTGGTGTGGATGTCCTTCCTGTTTGTTAGTTTCCCAACAGTCAGGACCCTCAGCTGCAAGTCTGTTGGATTTTGCTGGAGGTCCACTCCAGATACTGTTTGCCTGGATATCAGCAGCAGAGGCTGCAGAACAGCGGGTATTGGTGACCAGCAAATGTTGCTGCCAGATTGTTCCTCTGGAAGTTTTGTCTCAGAAGAGTACCTTGTCGTGTGAGGTGTCAGTCTGCTGCTACTGGGGGTTGCCACCCAGTTGGGCTTTTTGGGGTTCAGGGACCCACTTGAGGAAGCTGTCTGTTCTCAGATCTGCAGCTGCATGCTGGGAGAAGCACTACTTTCTTCAAAAGTGTCAGACAGGGACATTTAAGTCTGCAGAGGTTTCTGCTGCCTTTTGTTTTGTTATGCCCTGCCCCCAGAGGTGGAGTCTACTGATGCAGGCAGGCCTCCCTGAACTGTGTTGGGCTCCACCCAGTTCGAGCTTCCAGGCTGCTTTGTTTACTTACTCAAGCCTCGACAATGGCGGGCGCCCCTCCCCAAGCCTCGCTGCCACCTTGCTGTTCGAACTCAGACTGCTGTGGTAGCAATGAGTGAGGCTCCATGGGCATAGGACCCTCCAAACCAGGTACAGGATGTAATCTCCTGATGTGCCATTTGCTAAGACCATCAGAAAAGTGCAGTATTAGGGTGAGAGTGACCCGATTTTCCAGGTGCCATCCATCACTCCTTTCCTTGGCTAGGAAAAGGAATTCTCTGACCCATTGTGCTTCCTGGGTGAGGTGATGTCTCGCCCTGCTTTGGCTCAGGCTCAGTGCCCTGACCCCACTCTCCTGCACCCAGTTTCCAACACTCCCCAGTGATATGCACACAGCACCTCAGTTGGAAATGAAGAAATCACACATCTTCTGCATTGCTCACGCTGGGAGCTGTAGACTGGAGCTGTTCCTATTCGGCCATCTTGGCCCCACCTCCTATCTGTGATTCTTCTTATATTACAACTTAGGTTCCAAGAAGCATAAAGCTAAAGATTAGGTCTTGAACTGACACAGTAGCAATTCTATCTTAGTGTGTTGGTCAGAGAAGTCACAGGCCAGTCATATATGAAGGACTGCAGGGATAGTCCCCATCTTTCAATGAGGGAGGTTCTTGCATAAAGAGAGAACGAATTGTATTTTTGGATACAAGCTATTTTTAGATATGTATCTTGAGGCTTTTTACTGTACATTTATTGTAGGTGTTAAGGGCTGATGGAACTTTTTCCTGCTACTGTTTGGTGTTTCATTTACTTCAATTAGAATTTTGTTTATGTGGGAACAAAAAGAAATGGCCAGAGGCAGTTAAAGTCATCTAGGACCTTGCTACACAAAGTGTGGTCCAAGATGAGAAATATGAGCATCAAGTTGGAGCTTTCTATCAAATGTAGAATCGCAGGCCCTAATCCAGACTTGCCAAGTCAGAATCTGCATTAACAAGACCCACGGTAGATTCATATGCACATTAAAGTTCAAGAAGCACCAGTCCAAGATTCCTCATAGGTTGGACAAAATCATTATTATTCAAAGAATGGATTTATTACTCTTTTTGTGGTAATACTTGGATCATTGGTACTTAGAAATCTTGCCATTTAATAACGTATCTACAAAAAGTGAATTTTACTCATTTATAAAACGCAATTGCTTCCTTGGTGATTTATATCCTAGGAAACTTATTTCAGTCCAAACCATACTGTACACTATGAAGTGATCATTACTATTTTCTCTAAGTTTCTCTCTCTCTTTCCGTATACATGCAATGTGTGTGTGTGTTTGTGTGTGTGTGTGTGTATATATATATATATATATATATGTATAATGTGTGTACATATAGTCCTTAAGTATTGGTTACCTGTTATACAAGAATGAAATTGATTGAGAAATTGTATAGGTATTGAAATCGTTAATCATGAGAGGTTTTATGTTCTTGACGGCATTCGATGCATTACAAATTACTGTCTCATTCATATTGTTTCATTTTGCAAAGGTGGAAAATGTTTTTGAGGATACATTTTAAAAGTAAGAACAGCAGCCATAGGCTGTAAAAGCAAGTATTTCTTAGAATCATTGTTTATGTTTAACTGTAACACAAGACTTAGAGTCAAGTAATAAGGCTGCCACTTACTTAAGCTGTGATTAATAATGACTAAACAGCTCTTAAAGACACCAAGTTACAATTGTTTCCTTCATCTCTGTTCTTGAAGTATTACATTTAAACCTGCTTTGGATAGTCTTACTTAAATTCTGTTGTTTTAACAAATGATTTTTTTTGTTATTGTTTGTTTGTTTTTTGAGACAGGTCTCCCTCCATTGCCCAGGCTGGTGTGTAGCAGTGGGATCACGGAGCACTGCAACGTTGACCTTTCAGGCTCAGGTGATTCTCCAACCTCAGCCTACAGAGTAGCTGGAACTGCAGGTCACACCACCATGCACAGGTAATTTTTTTTAGCGATGGAATGTTTCTATGTTGCCCAGGCTGGTCTCAAACTCCTGGGCACAAATGATCCTCCCCCCTTAGCCTCCAAAAGTAGTGAGATTAGAGGTGTTTTGAACCACCATGCCTACCATAAATAATATCTTTTATAAAAAGCCAATGATGAATATTACATTTACCATCTTTTTTTAAGTAAAAAGCATCAGCAACAATAGAACAGTGTGGCTGTATGGATTGTTTTGCCTTGAACACAGTTCTGCCTTAACACATAGCAACAATCTTTATATTGGGTTCTAAGTTTCCGATAATTGGGTTTAAATAAGGAAATGATAAAATCACAGTATATTTGAGCAAAATCTTATTCAAACACTTTATTGTAATCTTAGATTGAGTTATATAGCAAATGCACAATACATTTCTTAGTATAGCAGGAAGAACCTAAAGGGAAAATCAAAGACTTACTGATTCACTAGCAGGTATTAAGTAGTTACATGGGTATGTTTTTTTGGATGCTTATTATCTCAATACCTGGAAGAAAGTAAATGCCCATGAATCATTAAGTGAATAAATAAACAACTGAATAATCATGAGTAAATAATGATGAGTAAGGAAATGGATGGAAGACCTGTTGTTAGATTATTGCAAGTTATAAACCATGAGGCTGGTCTCTTTTTTGAGTAGAATTGGTCAAATTTCATATTCTATATCGGAGACAATGGTAGCTTTCAGGCTTTGAGCCAATATCAGTTTTTTGAGTGTCAGAACAGAAGATGACAGGAACCAAATTGGATGATACAACAGGTTTGGGAACAGAAGCCAGAGGCAGTAAACAGAAGAGGCAGAGAAGCTTGAAAGGATGTGCTCAGGAAGTAGATGTTGGGCCGCACAACGAAATTCAGAAAAACAATGCCTTGCTAAAAAATGACATCTTTTAAAGGGCAGGATTTAGGTTTTTGTGACAGCTCTGTTTGATTCAGCCACTGAGCAGGTTAAAACTGAAGCAAGTGTTTTCCCATACTTTTATATTTGGATCACCATTTAAAAAGAGCTTTTCTGATACTCTTTGTTGTTAGGTGTATCATAGCAAATCCACTCTCTCATACTGACAATATATTTAACGTCCTACATTGGAAGATTTAATCTCATTCAGAGCAATTAGGATCTCTGAGATGGATAGAATCATAAAAATTGTCCTGTCCTGGAAGAAGGTTGACATTTATTCTTCTACTTGTCTGATAAACCTGCTCAATCCAGTAAGCTGCTTCCTGTATGCACATTACAATGGCAATATTAAAAAGTTAATTAGTTACAGGTGTTTAAATCTTTGGATTTGTGAGTGCTATTCCATGGAATTCTACTGTCTTAAGCCTGGATAGTTTTTAAAGGGTGATGACCACCAGATCTGCATCTATCTCTATTTATGTCCTCATATTTTTCACTTGAGCCAATTAATGATCCAATAATTTTTTGTAATGCAGCTCATCTGCTTTCATGTAATTGCTCTTACCCTTAAGTCTGCTTCTTTCCAAGCTGCAATCTGCTTCCCTGCTGGACAGAATGTTGACGATTTAGTATTGGAATCTATATTTGCCTGAATCTTTTGTGCAGCTTGCTTGTCTATGTTCCTGATGCCAAACATACTCCCATTCTGTATTTTCTGATTTCTTGGAATTTCTCAAGTCTTTAGGGCTTTCAGGTTTATTTTTTGAAAACTAGACTCAATTATTTTTAAAGCACATTTAGGTACACAACAAAATTTAGTGGAAAATTCAGAGTTCACCTGCCCCCACACATGTACAGCCTTCCCCACTATCAACATCCCCCACTAGGGTAAAACATTGTTTTGATCAATTAACTTACAATGACCTATCATTATGACCCTAAGTCCGTCGTTTGTATTATGGTTTATTCGTGGTGGTGTACATTCTATGAGTTTTGACACCACTGTATTATCACGTTGAATATTTTCACTGTGCTAATAGTCTTCTATGCCCCGACTATTTATTCTCCCCTTCTCCCCCAACTCCTTGCAACAACTAATTTTTTAACTGTATTCATAGTTTTACCCTTTCAAAAATGTCATATAGTTGGAATCATACACTATGTAGAATCATACACTTTTCAGTGTCTTCTTTCAGTTAATAATATACATTCAAAATTTTTCCATGTCTTTTCCTGGGTTGATAGCTCATAACTTTTCAGCACTGAATAACATAGGATCATCTGAATGTACCACCATTTATTTGTCCATTCACTTACTGAAAGATTTCTTGGTTGATTCCAAAGTTAGTCAATTATGAATAAAATTATTATAAACATCCATGTACAAATTTTATGTGAGTGTAAGTTTTCAACTCATGGGTTGCTGTTTTAATCTGCAATTCTCTAATGCCATAAGACATTGAATATCTTTTCATGTGCTTATATGCCATTGGTATATCTTCCTTTGTGAAGAGTTCTTTGTTGTAGAGTCTTTTTTTTTGTGGCTGAGTCTTGCTCTGTTGCCCAGTCTGGAGTGCAATGGTGCAATCTCAGCTCACTGCAACCTCTGCCTCTGAGTTCAAACAATTCTCCTGCTTCAGCCTCCTGAGTAGCTGGGATTACAGGCATGCCCCCCAGCACCCGGCTAATTTTTTTATTTTTAGCAGAGATGGGGTTTTACCAGGTTGGCCAGGCTAGTTTTGAATTCCTGACCTCAAGTGATCTGCCTGCCTCAGCCTCCCAAAGTTCTGGGATTGCAGGCATAAACCATTGCGCTAGGCCCTGAAGAGTTTATTTTGCCTGAACAATTTTTTAAATTGTGTTGTTCATTTTCTTACAGTTGCGTTTTCGATGTTCTTTGTGTATTTTCGGTATCAGTCCTTTGTCAGATATGCATTTTGTAAAAAATTTTTTCAGTCTGTGGCGTATCTTTTTATTCCTACCAAAGGGTATATGAAACAGATGTAAATTCTGGAAACATGAAATTAAGTAAATACCTGGGAATCCACCGTCCAATGTAAGATTAATTATTTTGTTGGTAACATTCACACTACCTGTGCACTTTGCCAAGTTTCTGTGGGTAACTAAAAATCTAGAATTTGTTTTATTATTTTCTTTCTTTTAAAAAGTCATTTTAACACAGATGTATAGTACTAAATAATATATTTTTTTAGGTTTGATGTTTTAAGTGTTTCTAAATTTGTAATACACCTAGTAGTTTTTAGCAATTTGCCTTATTTTCCTCCACCTATTTCT
Organism: Homo sapiens; assembly: GCF_000001405.40. Classification (NCBI taxonomy): domain Eukaryota; kingdom Metazoa; phylum Chordata; class Mammalia; order Primates; family Hominidae; genus Homo; species Homo sapiens. The sequence goes on from NC_000005.10 coordinate 46,117,090, forward strand.
TCAGTTTCATCAAACTCCCCTGTGGGTATTTAATAAGGCTTTCGGATGTCCTCTCAGAAGTTACTCCTCATTCTGCTCCCAGTTAACCTTCTTTCCAAATTATATCCCAGAATGTTTATGTATTTTCCATTCAAATTACATCCCTTTTTTTTTTTGAGATGGAGTCTCACTCTGCCACCCAGGCTGGAGTGCAGTGGTGTGATCTTGGCTCACTGCCACCTCCACTTCCTAGTTTCAAGCAATTCTTCTGTCTCAGCCTCCCTAATAGCTGGTACTACAAGTGCACACCACCACACCTGGCTAATTTTTGTATCTTTATTAGAGACAGGGTTTCACCATATTGGCTAGGCTGGTCTTAAACTCCTGACCCCATGATTTTTCCCCCTTCAGCCTCCCAATGTGCTGGGGTTACAGGTGTGAGCCACTTTATGTAGCCTCAAATTATATTCTCAATGAGAATTTGGAACTCCCTCATTCTGAAAGCCATTTATCTGGTAATTTCTCAAATATAACCCATTCTAGGGAAATTTATATTCTAACAGAATTAAAGGAATGAACTGAAAGATTATAAACTCCTATATAAGAAAAGTTTAGCTGACAGTAAGCCTGTAGAGATGGATTTGGGGACATGGCAGTCTTTCTGACAATTTTGAAATTGCAACAAGAAAGTAATTTTTGCTTGCAGCATATATTAGGGGCCTCCTTTCATTATGCTAAATAATTTATTTTTTAAAATATCAGCTTTTATTATGCTAATACTGTTTAGTCATTGGCTAGCTGTAAACCAAATGGAAATAAATAGAAAGAATTTCGGTGACAGATTGAATGATGTATATAGATGGGCTAGTAACTTGTACAATGTAGAAATATTTCTCTGTTAATTAGACTCGATTGAGTTAAATTCTATTCTAATTTAAATTAGAATGGGTAAGACTAAGAAATATTTGTTTATACTAGATATTTTCAACTTTTCTAGAGTCAGTAAATCTATTGGATAATATATTTTCATGAATACTGGCTGTTAAGTATTAGAAAATCATTTGAATTTCAGCAACAAATGTTATTTGTTATCAATTCCTGTTGTCTTTATGATTGTTATCTTCAAATATTTCTCTTCGTTTTCATCAACATACTAAAATTCAAAGTGAACATATTCCTTTGTAAGTAACCACAAATCCAGTTCTCCAAAAAATTCTGAATTAAAGCTAAATATAATCTTGCTTTTCCACCATCAGAGGTTGACATCTACACTGATTTTACACTAACAAACTGAATATTTCTTGGAAAACTCTCACTTAAGAAAGTACTGTATTTGAAGAGATTTTTTATCTAGTTTTTATCTGAAGATATTTTCTTTTTCACCATAGGTCTCAATGCTCTCCCAAATATCCTTTCAAAGATTCTACAAGAAGAGTGTTTCCAAACTGCTGAATGAAAAGAAAGGTTTAACCCTGCGAGATGAATGCACACATCAGAAAGCAGCTTCTCAGATAGCTTCCTTCTAGTTTTTGACCTGCGATATTTGCTTTTTCCCTACTGGCCTCAATTAGCTCCCAAAAGTCCATTAGCAGAATGACAAAAACAGTGTTTACAAACTGCTGAATCAAAAGAAAGGTTTAACTCTGTGAGATGAATGCACACATCACAAAGCAGTTTCTCGGAAAGCTTCTTTCTAGTTTTTATCTGAAAGTGATTTCTTTTTCACCATAGGCCTGAATGCACTCCCAAATATCACTTCGCAGATTTTACACAAACAGTGTTTTGAAACTGCTGAGTGAAAAGAAAAGTATAATTCTGTGAGATGAATGCACAACACAAAGCAGTTTGTCAGAAAGCTTCCTTCTCGCTTTTATCTGAAGATATTTTCTTTTTCATCGTAGGACTTAACGCACTTGCAAATGTCCATTCGCAGAATGTACAAAAACAGGGTTTCCTAACTGCTGAATCAAAAGAAAGGTTTAACTCTGTGAGATGAATGCACACATCACAAAACAGTTTCTCAGATAGCTTCTTTCTAATTTTATTCTAAAGAAACTTGCTTTTTCATCATAGACCTCAATGCATTCCCAAATATCCCTTCGCAGATACTACAAAAACAGTGCTTCCAAACTGCTGAATGAAAAGAAAGATTTAACTCTGTGAGATGAATGCATACATCACAAAGAGGTATCTCATATAGCTGTCTTCTAAATTGTATCCTGGGATATTTCCTTTTTTGCCATTGGCCCCAATGAGCTCCAAAATGTCCATTTGCAGATTGGTCAAAAACAGTGTTTCCAAACTGCTGAATCAAAAGACAGGTTTAAATCTGTAAGAAGAATGCACACATCACAAAGCAGTTTCTCAGAAAGCTACTTTCTAGTTTTTATCTGAAGAGAATTTCTTTTTCACCATAGGCCTCAATGTGCTCTCAAATATCCCTTTGCAGATTCTACAAAAACACTGTTTCCAAACTGCTGAATGAAATGAAAGATTTAACTCTGCAAGATGAATGCACACATTACAAGCGGTTTCCCAGATAGGTTTATTCTAGTTTTTATCCTGATATAATAACATTTTCACCATTGGCTTCAACGAGCTCCCAATTGTCCATTTGCAAAATGGACAAAAACAGTGTTTCCAAACAGCTGTATCAAAAGAAAGGTTTAAATCTGTTGGATGAATGCACCCATCACAAACCAGTTTCTCAGAAAGCTTCTTTCTAGTTTTTATCTGAAGGTATTTTCTTTTTCACCATATGCCTCAAAATGCACCTAAATATCCCTTTGAAGTTTCTACAAAAAAATTGTTTCCAAACTGCTCAATCAAAAGAGATGTTTAGCTCTTTGAGATGAATGCACACATTACAAAGCAGTTTCTCAAGAGGCTTCTTTCTAGTTTTTATCTGGAGATATTTTCTTTTTCACCATAGGTCTCAATGTGCTCCCAAATATCCATTCAAAGATTCTATAAGAACAGTGTTTCCAAACTGCTGAATGAAAAGAAAGGTTTACCACTGTGAGATGAATGCACACATCACAAGTGGTTTCCAAGATAGGTTTCTTCTAGTTTTTATCCTGGAATATTAGCATTTTTGCCATTGGCCTTAATGAGCTCCCAAATTTTCATTTGCAGAATGGACAAAAACAGTGTTTTTAAACTGCTGAATTAAAAGAAAGCTTAAATTCTGTGAGATGAATGCACACACCACAAAGTAGTTTCTCAGAAAGCTTCTTTCTAGTTTTTATCTGAAGATAGTTTCATTTTCACTGTAGGCCTCAATGCACTCCCAAATATCCCTTAGTAGATTCTACAAAAACAGTGTTTCCAAACTGCTAAACGAAAGAAAGGTTTAACTCTGCGAGATGAATGCACGTGTCACAAAGCAGTTTCCAAGATAAGTTTCTTCTAGTTTTATCCTGGAATATTCACTTTTTCACCATTGGCCTCAATGAGCTCCCAAATGTCCATTCGCAGAATGGACAAAAACAGTGTTTCCAAACTTCAGAATCAAAAGAAATATTTAAGTTTGTGAGATGAATGCACACATCACAGATTGGTTGTTTAGATAGCTTCCTTATAGTTTTTACCCTGGGATATTTGCTTTTTTGCCATTGGCCTCAATAAGCTCCTCAATGTCCTTTCACTGAATGGAGAAAAACAGTGGTTGCGATCTGCTGAATCAAAAGAAAGGTTTAACTCTGTGAGACGAATGCACATACCTCAAAGCAGTTTCTCAGAAAGCTTCTTTCTAGTTTTTACCTGAAGAGATCTTCTTTTTCACCATAGGCTTCAATACACTCCCAATTATCCCTTCACAGATTCTACAAAAACAGTGTTTCCAAACTGCTGAATGAAAAGAAAGGTTTAACTCTGCCAGATGAATGCACATATCACAAAGCGGTTTCTCAGATAGCTTCCTTCTTGTTTTTATGCTGGGATATTCACTTTTTCACCATTGGCATCAATGAGCTTCCCAATGTCCTTTCACTGAATGGAGAAAAACAGCGGTTACAACCTGCTGAACAAATAGAAAGTTTTAACTCTGTGAGATGAATGCACATATCACAAAACAGTTTCTCAGAAAGATCCTTTCCAGTTACTATCTGAAGGCGTTTTCTTTTTCAGCATAGTACTCAATGCACTCCAAAGTATCCCTTCACAGATTCTACAAAATCAGTGTATACAAACTGAATAGAGAGGTTTCACTCAGTGAGATGAATGCACACATCACAAAGTGGTTTCTTAGATAGCTTCCTTATGTTTTTTATCCTGAGTATTCGCTATTTCACCATTGGCCTCAATGAGCTCCCAAATGTCCATTTGCAGAATGGTCAAAACCAGTGTTTTCAAACTGCTGAATCAAAAGAAATTTTAACACTGTGAGATGAATACACACATCACAAAAGGGTTTCTCAGAAAACTTCTTTCTAGTTTTTTTCTGAATATATTTTCTCTATCACCATAGGCCTTAATGCACTCCCAAATATCCTTTCGCTAGATAGATTCCTTCTAGTTTTTGTCCTGGGATATTCACTTTTTTGCCATTGTCCTCAAAGAGCTCCCAAAGTCCATTTGTAGAATGGACAAACACGGTATCTGCAAACTGCTGAATCAAAATGAAGTTTTAACTCTTTAAGGTCAAGGCACACGTCACAAAGAACTTCCTCAGAAAGCTTCTTTCTAGTTTTATCTGAAGATGTTTTCTTTTCCACCATAGGCCTCAATGCACTCCCAAATATCCCTTTGCAGATTCTACAAAAACAGTGTTTCCAAACTGCTGAATGAAAAGTAAGGTTTAACTCTGTGAGATGAATGCTCACATCACAGAGTGGTTTCTCAGATGGCTTCCTTTCAGTTTTTATCCTGAAATATTTGCTTTTTTGCCATTTGCCACAATGTGCTCCCAAATGTCCATTGGCAGAATGGACAAAAACAGTGTTTCCAAACAGCTGAATTGAAAGAAAGGTTTATCTCTGAAAGATGAATGCAAACATCACAAAACAGTTCCTCAGAAAGCTTCTTTCTAGTTTTTATGTGGATATTTTCTTTTTCACAATAGGCCTCAATAGGATTCCAAATATCCCTTTGCCGATTCTACCAAAACAGTGTTTCCAAACTGCCTAATGAAAAGTAAGTTTTAACTGTGTGAGATGAATGCACACATCACAAAGTGGTTTCCTAGATAGCTTCCTTCTAGTTTTTATCCTGGGATATTTGCTTTTTGACCATTTACCTCAATGAGCTCCAAAATTTCCATTTGCATAAAGGACAAAAACAGTGTTTCCAAACTGCTGAACCAAAGAAAAGTTTGACTCTGTGAGATGAATGCACACATCACAAAGCAGATTCTCAGAAACTTTCTTTCTAGTTTTTATCGAAAGATATTTAATTTTGCACCTTAGGCCTCAATGCCCTCCCAAATATCCCTTTGCAGATTCTGCAATAACTGTGTTTCCATGTTGCTGAATGAAAAGAAAGGTTTTACTCTGTGAGATGAATGCACACATCATAAAGCAGCTTCGCAGATAGCTTCCTTCTAATTTTTATCCTGGGATATTCGACTTTTGGCCATTGTCATCAAAGAGCAACAAAATGTCCATTTGCAGAATGGACAAAAACATTGTTTCCAAACTGCCAAATCCAAAGAAAAGTTTAATTCTGTGAGATGAATGATCACATCACAAAGCAGTTTCCCAGAAATCTTCTTTCTATTTTTTATCTAAAGATATTTTCTTTTTCACCATAGGCCTCAATGCACTCTCAAATATCCCTTAGCGGATTCTACAAAAACAGTGTTTCCAAACTGCTGAATGAAATGAAAGATTTAACTCTGCGACATGAATGCACACATAACAAGTGGTTTCCCAGATAGATTTATTCTAGTTTTTATCCTGGGATATTCACTTTTTTGCTATTGTCCTCAAAGAGGTCCCAAATGTCCATTCACAGAATCAACAGTGTTTCCAAACTGCTGAATCAAAAGAAAGATTAAACTCTGTGAGACATATGCACACATCACAATGTAGTTTCTCAGAAAGCTTCTTTCCAGTATTTACCTGAAGATATTTTCTTTTTCACCATAGGCCTCAAAGGGCTCCCAAATATTCCATCACAGAGTCTACAAAAGCCGTGTATCCAAACTGCTGAATGAAAAGGAAGGTTGAACACTGCTAGATGAATGCACACATCACTAAGTAGTTTCTCAGATAGATTACTTGTAGTTATTATCCTGGGATATTCTCTTTTTTGCCATTGGCCTCAATGAACACCCAATTATCCACTCACAGAATAGACAAAAACAGTGTTTCCAAACTGCTGAATCAAAAGAATGGTTAAACTCTGTGAGATGAATGCACAGATCACAAAGCAGTTTCTCCAAAAGCTTCTTTCTAGTTTTTATCTGAATAGATTTCCTTTTTCACCATAGGCTTCAATGTGCTCCCAAATATCCCTTCACAGATTCTTCAAAAAAAGTGCTTCCAAACTGCTGAATGAAAAGAAAAGTTTATCTCTGTGAGAGGGATGCATACTTCACAAAGTGGTTTCCCAGATAGTTTTCTTATAGTATTTTTCCTGGGATATTAGCTGTATTACCCTTGCCCTCAATTAGCTCCCAAATGTCCATTTGCAGAATGGATAAAAAGAGTGTTTCTAAAGTGCTGAATCAAAAGAAAGTTTTAACTCTGTGAGATGAGTGTACACATCACAAATCAGTTTTTTAGAAAGGTTGTTTCAAGTTTTTATCTGAAGTAATTTTCTTTTTCACCATAGGCCTCAGTGTGCTCCCAAATATCCCTTTGCAGATTCTACAAAAAGAGTGTTCCAAAACTGCTGAATGAAAAGAAAGATTTAATTCTGTGAGATGAGTGCACACAACACAAGGCAGTTTCTCAGATAGATTCCTTCTAGTTGTTATCTTGGGATATGTGCTTTTTCGCCATTGGCCTCAATGAGCTCCCAAATGTCCATTTGCAGAATGGACAAAAAGAGTGTTTCCAAACTGCTTAATCAAAAGAAAGTTTTAACTGTGAGATGAATGCACACATTACAGAGCAGTTTTCAGGAATGTTCTTTCTAGTTCTTATCTGAAGATATTTTCCTTCTCACCGTAGGCCTCAATGAACTCCCAAATATCCCTTCACAGATTCTGAAAAAACAGTGTTTCCACACTTCTGAATGAAAAGAAAGGTGTAATTCTGCAAGACAAATGCACACATAACAAAGCGGTTTCTCAGATTCCTTCTAGTTTTTATCCTGGGATATTCACTTTTTTTACCATTGACCTCAAAGAGCTCCCAAATATCCATACACATAATCGACAAAAAAAGTGTTTAAAAAGGGCTCAATCAAAAGAAAGGTTTAACTCTGTGAGATGAATGCTCAACTAATAAAGCAGTTTCTCAAAAAGCTTTTCTCTAATTTTTATGTGAAGATATTTTGTTTTTCAACATAGGCCTCAATGCACTCCCAAATATCCCTTTGCACATTCTACAGAAACAGTGTTTCCAAACTGCTGAAGGACAAGAAAGGTTTACCTCTGCTAGATGAATGCACACATCACAAAGTGGGTTCTCAGATACCTTCCTTCTTGTTTTTACCTTGGGATATTCACTTTTTTGCCTTTGGCTTCAATGAGCTCCCAAATGTCAAATCACAGAATGGAAAAAAACAGTGTTTCTAAACTGCTGAATCAAAAGAAAGTTTCAAGTCTGCGAGATGAATGCACACATAACAATGCAGTTTCTCAGAAAGCTTCTTTCTAGTTTTTATCTGAAGATATTTTCTTTTTCACCATAGGCCTTATTGCTCTCCCAAATGTCCCTTCGCAGTTTCTACAAAAACATTGTTTCCAAACTGCTGAATGAAAAGAAAGCTTTAACTCTCCATGATGAATGCACACATAACAAAGCAGTTTCTCATATAGATTCCTTCCAGTTTGCATCCTGGCATAATCGTTTTTTTGCCATTGGCCTCAATGAGCTCCCAAATGTTCATTCACAGAATGAACAAAAAGATTGTTTCCAAACTGCTGAATCAAAAGAAAGGTTAAAGTCTGTGAGTTCAATGCACACCTCAAAAAACAGTTTCTCAGAAAGATTCTTTCTAGTTTTTATCTGAAGATATTTTTGGTTTCACCATAGGCCCCAGTGCACTCCAAAATATCCCTTCTCACATACTACAAAAGTAGTGTTTCCAAACTGCTGAATGAAAAGTAAAGTTTAACTCTGCAAGATGAATTCACACATCCCAAAGCATTTTCCCAGATAGGTTTCTTGTAGTTTTTTTCCTGGGTTATTCAGTTTTTCATCATTGGCCACAATGAGATCCAAAATGTCCATTCACGTAATGGACAAAAACAGTGTTTGAAAAGTGGAGAATCAAAAGAAATGTTATACTCTGTGAGGTGAATGCACACATCACAAATCACTTTCTCAGAAAGAGTCTTACTAGTTTTAAAATGAAGACTTTTTTCTCACCACAGTCCACAATATGCTCCCAAATATTGCTTCATGGATTCTACAAAAAAAAAAGGTGTTTCCAAACTACTGAATGAAAACAAAGGATTATCTCTGCAAGACGAATGCACACATCACAAACAGTTTCTCAGGTAGCATCTTCTAGTTTTTATCCCGGGGTATTAACTTTTTCACCATTGGCCTCAATTTGCTCCCAAATATCTATTCACAGATTTTACAAAAACAGTGCTTCCAAAGTGCTGAATAAAAAGAAAAGCTTAACTCTGTGGGATGAATGCACACATCACAAAGTGGTTACTCAGATAACTTCCTTCTAGTTTTTATCCTGTGATATTTGCTTCTTCACCATTGGCCTCAAAGAGCTCTCATATGTCCTTTCACAGAACGGAGGAAAACAGTGTGTCTAAACTGCTGAATCAAAAGAAAGCTTAAACTCTGTGAGTTGAATGCACACATCACAAAGAAGTTTCTCAGAGAGCTTCTTTCTAGTTTTTATCTGAAGATAATTTTGGTGTAACCATAGGCCTCAATGCACTCCCAAATATCCCTTCACAGATTCTACAAAAACAGTGTTTCCAAACTTGTGAATGGAAAGAAAGGTTTAATTCTGTGAGATGAATCCACACATCAGAAAGTGATTTCTCAGAGAGCTTCCTTGTAGTTTTTATTCTGGGATATTTACTTTTCTGCTATTGGCCTCAAAGAGCTCCCAAATGTTCGTTCACAGAATGGACAACCACTGTGTATCCAAACTGCTGAATCAAAAGAATGGTTAAACTCTGTGAGATGAGTGCACACATCACAAAGCAGTTTCTCAGAAAGCTTCTTTCTAGTTTTCATCTGAAGATATTTTGTTTTTCACAGTAGGCCCCAATGCTCTCTCAAATATCCCTTTGCAGATTCTACAAAAACAGTGTTTTCAAACTGCTGAAAGAAAAGAAAGGTTTAAATCTATGAGATGAATGCACACATCACAAAGCGGTATCTCAGATAGCCTTCCTCTTGTATTTTTCCTGGGATATTCACTTTTTTGACATTGCCTCAATGAGCTCCAAAATGTCCATTCACAGAATGGACAAACACAGTGTTTCCAAACTGCTGAATCTAAAGAAAGTTTAAATTCTGTGAGAAGAAAGTGCACATCACAAAGCAGTTTGCGGAAAGCTTTTTCCAGTTTTTAGTTGAAGACATTTTCTTTTTCACCATAGGCCCCAATGCATCACAAAGCAGTTTCTCAAAAAGGTTCTTTGTAGGTTTATCTGAATATATTTTCTTCTTCACCATTGACCTCAATGTGCTCCCATATATCCCATCACAGATTCTACAAAAGCAGTGTTTCCAAAGTGCTGAATGAAAAGAAAGGTTTAACTCTGTGAGATAAAAGCACACATCACAAAGCTGCTTCCCAGATAGCTTTCTTCTTGTATTTATGCTGGGATATTCGCTTTTTCCCCATTGGCCTCCATGAACTCCCAAATGTACATTCACAGAATGGACAAAAGCAGTGTTTCCAAAGTGTTGAATCAAAAGAAAATTTTCACTCTATGAGATGAATGCACACATCACAAAGCAGTTTCTCAGAAAGATTCTTTCTAGTTTTTATCAGAAGTTACTTTCTTTTTTCAATGTAAGCCTCAATGTGCTCCCAAATATCCCTTTGTGGATTCTACAAAAACAGTGTTTTGAAACTGTTAAATGAAAATAAATGTGTAAATTTGCGAGATGAATGCTCACATCACAAAGTGGTTTCTCAGATAGATTCCTTCTAGTTTTTATCCTGGGATATTCACTTTTTTGTGACTGACCTCAATTTGCTCCAAAATGTCCATTCACAAAATGGACAAAAACAGGGTTTCCAAAGTTGAGAATCAAAAGAAAGGTTATAATCTGTGAGATGAATGCACACATCACAAAGAAGTTTCTCAGAAAGCTTTTTTCTATTTTTTTTTCTGAGGAGATTTTCTTTATCACTGTAGTCCTTAAAGCAATCGCAAATATCCCTTTGAAAATTTTACAAAAACAGTGTTTCCAAACTACCGAATGAAAGAAAGGATTAATTCCTCTAGATGAATGCATACATCACAAAGCATTTTCCCAGATAGCTTTCTTCTAGTTTTTATCCTGGGTTGTTCATTTTTCACCGTTGGCCTCAATGAACTCCAAAATTTCCATTGTCAGAGTGGAAAAAAAGCAGATTTTCCAGAGTGCTGAATCAAAAGAAAGGTTAAATTCTGTGAGATGAATGCACACATCACAAAGAAGTGTCTCACAAAGTTTCATTCTAGTTTTTATCTGAAGATATTTAATTTTGCACCTTAGGCCTTAATGCCCTCCCAAATATCTGTTCACATATTCTGCAAAAAAAGTGTTTCCATGCTGCTGAACGAAAAGATAGGCTTATCTATGTGAGATGAATGCATATATCAAAAAGCATTTTTGCAGAGGGACTTCTTCTGCTTTTATCCTGGGATATTCAATTTTTGGCCATTGCTCTCAAGGAGCTCCCAAATGTCCATTCTCAGAAGGGACAAAAACCGTGTTTCCAAACTTCTGAATCAAAAGAAAGTTTTAACTCTGTGAGATGAAAACACACACCACAAAGGAGTTTCTCAGAAAGCTTCTTTCTAATTTTGACCTGAAGATATTTTTAGTGTCACCATAGGCTTCAATAAGATCCCATATATCTCTTCACAGGTTCTACAAAACAGTGTCTCCAAAATGCTGAAAGAAATGGAAGGTTTAACTCTTTGAGATGAATGCATGTATCACAAAGTGGTTTTACAGATAGCTTCATTCTAATTTTTATCCTGGGTTATTTTCACTTCTGCCATTGTACTCAGGGAATTCCCAATTGTCCATTCCCACAATGGACTAAAACACTGTTTCCAAACTGCTGAATCCAAAGAAAGTTTTAACATGGTGAGGCGAATGAGCACATCACAAAGCAATTTCTCAGAATGCTTCTTTCTCGTTTTTATCTGAAGCAATTTTCTTTTTCAACATAGGCCTCAAAGCACCCCAAATATCCCTTAGCAGATTCTACAAAAACAGTTTTCCAAACTGCTGAATGAAAAGTAAGGTTTAGCTGTGTGAGATGAATACACAAATCACAAAGCAGTTTTTCAGATAGCTTCCTTCTAGTTTTCATCCTGGGATATTTCCTTTTTTGCCATTGACCTCAGTGAGCTCCCGAATGTCCTTAAACTGAACGGAAAACAACAGTGTTTGCAAACTGCTGAATCAAAAGAAAGGTTTTACTCTGTGAGATGAATGAACACCTCACAAAACAGTGTCTCAGAAAGCTTCTTTCTAGTTTTTATCTAAAGATATTTTATTTTTCACCACAGTACTCAATGCACTCCAAAATATTCCTTCTCAGATTTGGCAACAACAGTGTTTCCAAGGATGGGGCCAAGAAGGCTGAATAGGAACTGCTCTAGTCTACAGTTCCCAGCATGAGAGATGCAGAAGATTGGTGATTTCTGCATTTCCAACTGAGGTACTGAGGTCATCTCACAGGGGAGTGTTGGACAGTGGGTGAAGGACAGTGGGTGTAGTGCACCAAGCATGAGCTGAAGCAGGGTGAGGCATCACCTCACCCAGGAAGTGCAAGGGGTCAGGGTATTCCCTTTCCTAGTCAAAGAAAGAGGCGACAGATAGATAGCTACTGGGAAATTGGGTCACTCTCACCATAATACTGTGCTTTTCCAATGGTCTTAGCAAACAGCACTCCAGGAGATTATATCCCACGCCTGTATTGGAGGGCCCTATGCCCACGGAGTGTCACTAATTTCTAGCACAGCAGTCTGAGATCAAACCGCAAGGCAGCAGTGGGACTGGGGGAGGGGAGCCTGCCATTGATAAGGCTTGGGTAGGTAAACAAAGTGGCTGGGAACCTCAACAAAAGGCCTTTGACAAAATTCAATGCTTCATGCTAAAAACTCTCTATAAATTAGGTATTGATGGGATGTATCTCAAAATAATAAGAGCTATCTATGACAAACTCACAGCCAATATCATACTGAATAGGCAAAAACTGGAAGCATTCCCTTTGAAAACCAGCATAAGACAGGGATGCCCTCTCTCACCACTCCTATTCAACATAGTGTTGGAAGTTCTGGCCAGGGCAATCAGGCAGGAGAAGGAAATAAAGGGTATTCAATTAGGAAAAGAGGAAGTCAAGTTGTCCCTCTTTGCAGATGACATGATTGCATATCTGGAAAACCCCTTCGTCTCAGCCCAAAATCTCCTTAAGCTGATAGGCAACTTCAGCAAAGTCTCAGGGTACAAAATCTATGTGCAAAAATCACAAGCATTCTTATCCACCAATAGCAGACAAACAGAGAGCCAAATCATGAGTGAACTCCCATTCACAATTGCTTCAAAGAGAATCAAATACTTATGAATTGAACTTAAAAGGGACATGAAGGACCTCTTCAAGGAGAACTACAAACCACTTCTCAATGAAATAGAAGAGGATACAAACAAATGGAAGAACATTCCATGCTCATGGGTAGGAAGAATCAATATCATGAAAATGGCCATACTGCCCAAAGTAATTTATAGATTCAATTCAATTTATAGCATCCGCATGAAGCTACCAATGACTTTCTTCACAGAATTGGAAAAACTACTTCAAAGTTCATATGGAACCAAAAAAGAGCCCACATTGCCAAGTCAATCCCATGCTAAAAGGATAAAGCTGGACCAATCTTGCTACCTAACTTCAAACTATACTACAAGCCTACAGTAACCAAAACAGCATGGTACTGGTACCAAAACAGAGATATAGATGAATGGAACAGAACAGAGCCCTCAGGAATAATGTCACATATCTACAACTATCTGATATTTGACAAACTTGACAAAAACAAGAAATGGGGAAACAAATCCCTATTTAATAAATGGTGTTGGGAAAACTGGCTAGCCATGTGTAGAAAGCTGAAACTGGATCCCTTCCTTACACCTTATACAAAAATTAATTGAAGACGGATTAAAGACTTACATGTTAGACCTAAAACCATAAAAATCCCAGAAGAAAACATAGGCAATACAATTCAGGACACAGGCATGGGCAAGGACTTCATGTCTAAAACACCAAAAGCAATGGCAACAAAAGCCAAAATTTGCAAAAGGGATCTAATTAAACTAAAGAGCTTCTGCACAGCAAAAGAAACTACCGTGAGAGTAAACAGGCAATGGGAGAAAATTTTTGCCATCTACTCTTCTGAAAAAGGCCTACTATCCAGAATCTACAATGAAGACAAAAAAAATTTACAAGAAAAAAACAAAGAACCCGATCAAAAAATGGGCAAAGTATATGAACAGACACTTCTCAAAAGATGACATTTAGGGAGTGGAGCCATTATGACCGAATAGGAACAGCTCCAGTCTATACTGCAAGCGTGAGTGATGCAGAAGACGGGTGATTTCTGCATTGCCAACTGAGTTACCGGGTTCGTCTCACTGGGGAGTGTCAGAAAGTAGGGGCAGGACAGTGGGTGCAGTGCACTGAGCATGAGCTGTAGGAGGGTAAGGCATTGCCTCAACTGTGAAGTGCAAGTGGACAGGGGATTCCCTTTCCTGGTCAAAGAAAGGAGTGAGAGATGGCACCTGGAAAATCGGGTCACTCCCACCATAATACTGTGCATTTCCAAAGGTCTTAACAAATGGCCCGCCAGGAGATTTTATCCTGTGCCTGGCTGGGTAGGTCCTACACCCATGGAGCCTCACCATTTGCTAGCACAGCAGTCCGAGATCAAACCGCAAGGTGGCAGCAAGTTTGGGGGAGGGGTGCCCACCATTGCCAAGGCTTGAGTGGGTAAACAAAGCGGCCTGGAAGCTTGATCTGGGTGGAGTGCAATGCAGCTCAAGGAGGCCTGCCTGCCTCAGTAGACTCCATCTCTGGGGGCAGGGCATAGCCAAACAAAAGGCAGCAGAATACTCTGCAAACTTAAATGTCCCTGTCTGACAGCTTTGAAGAGAGTAGTGGTTCTCCTCGCACACAGCTGGAGATCTGAGAACTGACAAGCAGCCTCCTCAAGTGGGTCCCTGACCACGAATAACCTGACTGGGAGGCACCACACAGTAGGGGCACACTGACACCTCTCACGGCCGGGTACTCCTCTGAGACAAAACTTCCAGAGTAACAATCAGGCAGCAACATTTGCTGCTCAACAATATCTGCTGTTCTGCAGCCTCCGCTGCTGATACCCAGGAAAACAGGGTCTGGAGAAGACCTACAGGAAACTCCAGCAGACCTGCAGCTGAGGGTCCTTAATGTTAGAAGGAAAACAAACAGAAAGTACAGCCACACCAAAACCCCATCTCTATGTCACCATCATCTAAGACCAAAGGTAGATAAAACCACAAAGATGGGTAAAAAACAGAGCAGAAAAACTGGAAAACCTAAAAATCAGAGCACCTCTCCTCCTCCAAAGGAACACCCATCCTCATCAGCAACAAAGCTGGACAGAGAATGACTTTGATGACTTGAGAGAAGAAGGCTTCAGACAATCAAACTACTCTGAACTAAAGGAGGAAGTTCGAACACATGGCAAAGAAGTTAAAGACCTTGAAAAAAATTAGATGAATGGCTTACTAGAATAATCAATGCAGAGAAGTCCTTAAAGGACCTGATGGAGCTGAAAACCAAGGCACAAGAACTATGTGACGAATGTACAAGCCTCTGTAGCCGATTCAATCCACTGGAAGAAAGGGTATCAGTCATGGAAGATTAAATGAATGAAATGAAGTGAGAAAAGAAGTTTAGAAAAGTAAGAATAAAAATAAATGAACAAAGCTTCCAAGAAATGTGGGACTATGTGAAAAGACAAAATCTACATCTGATTGGTGTACATGAAAGTGACTGGGAGAATGGAACCAAGTTGGAAAACACTCTGCAGGATATTATCCAGGAGCTCTTCCCCAATCTAGCAAGGCAGGACAACATTCAAATTCAGGAAATACAGAGAACAACACAAAAATACCACTTGAGAAGAGAACTGCAAGACACAAATTTTCAGATTCACCAAAGTTGAAATGAAGGGAAAATTGTGAAGGGCAGCCAGACAGAAAAGGGAAGCCCATCAGACTAACAGCTGATCTCTCCGCAGAAACTCTACAAGCCAGAAGACAGTGAGGGCCAATATTCAACAATCTTAAAGAAAAGAGTTTTCAATGTAGGATTTCATATCCAGCCAAACTAAGTTTCATAAGGGAAGGAGAAATAAAATCCTTTACAGACAAGCAAATGCTGAGAGATTTTGTCACCACCAGGCCTGCCCTAAAAGAGTTCCTGAAGGAAGCACTAAACATGGAAAGGAACAATGGGTACCAGCCACTGCAAAAACATGCCAAATTGCAAAGACCGTCAAGGCTAGGAAGAAACTGCATCAACTAACGAGCAAAATAACCAGCGAACATCATAAGGACAGGAACAAATTCACACATAACGATATTAACCTTGAATGTAAATGGGCTAAGTGCTCCAATTAAAAGACACGGACTGGCAAATTGGATAAAGAGTCAAGACCCATCAGTGTGCTGTATTCAGGAAACCCATCTCACGTGCAGAGAAACTTGTAGGCTCAAAATAAAGGGATGGAAGAGGGTCTACCAAGCAAATGGAAAACAAAGAAGGCAGTGGTTGCAATCCTAGTCTCTGATAAAACAGACTTTAAACCAACAAAGCTCAAAGAGACAAAAAAGGCCATTACATAATGGTAAGGGGATCAATTCAACAAGAAGTACTAACTATCCTAAATATATATATGCAACCAATACAGGAGCACCCAGATTCATAAAGCAAGTCCTTAGAGATCTACAAAGAGACCTAGAATCCCACACAACAATAAGGGGAGACTTTATCACACAACTGTCAACATTAGACAGATCAATGAGACAGAAAGTTAAAAAGGACATCCAGGAATTGAAGTCAGCTCTGCAACAGGTGGACCTAATAGACATCTACAGGACTCTCCACCCCAAATCAACAGAATATACATTTTTTTCAGCACCACACCACACTTATTCCAAAATTGACCACATAGTTGGAAGTAAAGCACTCCTCAGGAAATGTAAAAGAAAAGAAATTATAACAAACGGTCTCTCAGACCACAGCGCAAACAAACTAGAACTCAGGTTTAAGCAATTCACTCAAAATCGCTCACCTACATGGAAACCGAACAATCCGCTCCTGAATGAATACTGGGTACATAAGGAAATGCAGGCAGAAGCAAAGACGTCCTTTGAAACCAACGAGAACAAAGACGCAACATACCAGAATCTCTGGGACACATTCAAAGCAGTGTGTAGAGGGAAATTGATAGCACTAAATGCCCACAAGGGAAAGCAGGAAAGATCTAAAATGGACACCCTAAACATCACAGTTAAAAGAACTAGGGAAGCAAGAGCAAACATATTCAAAAGCTAGCAGAAGGCAAGAAATAACTAAGATCAGAGCAGAACTGAAGGTAATAGAGACAAAAAAAATCCTTCAACAATCAATGAATCCAGGAGCTTGTTTTTTGAAAAGATCAACAAAATTGATAGACTGCTAGCAAGACTAATAAAAAAGAAACGAGAGAAGAATCAAATAGATGCAATAAAAATGATAAAAGGGATATAACCACTGATCCCACAGAAATGCAAACAACCATCAGAGAATACTATAAACACCTGTACGCAAATACACTAGAAAATCTAGAAGATATGAATAAATTCCTCAACACATACACCCTCCCAAGACTAAGCCAGGAAGAAGATGAATCTCTGAAAAGACCAATAACAGGCTCTGAAATTGAGGCAATAATTAATAGCTTACCAACCAAAAAAAAGTCCAGGACCAGATGGGTACACAGCTGAATTCTACCAGAGGTACAAGAAGAAGCTGGTAGCATTTCTTCTGAAACAATTCCAATCAATAGAAAAAGAGGGAATCCCCCCTAACTCATTATATGTGGCCAGCATCATCCTGATACCAAAGCCTGGCAGGGACACACCAAAAAAGAGAATTTTAGACAAATATCCCTGATGAACATCAATGCAAAAATCCTGAAAAAAAATACTGGCAAACTGAATCCAGCAGCACATCAAAAAGCATATCCACCATGATCAAGTGGGCTTCATCCCTGGGATGCAAGGCTGGTTCAATATATGCAAATCAATAAACGAAACCCAGCTTATACACAGAACCAATGACAAAAACCACATGATTATCTCAGTAGATGCAGAAAATGCCTTCGACAAAATTCAACAACCCTTCATGCTAAAAACTCTCAATAATTTAGGTATCGATGGGACGTATCTCAAAATAATAAGGGCTATCTATGACAAAACCTACGACCAATATCATACTGAATGGGCAAAAACTGGAAGAATTCCCTTTGAAAACCGGCACAAGACTGGGATGCTATCTCTCATCACTCCTATTCAACATAGTGTTGGAAATTTTGGGCAGGACAATCACTCAGGAGAATTAAATAAAGGGTATTCAATTAGGAAAAGAGGAAGTCAAATTGTCCCTGTTTGCAGATGACATGATTGTATATCTAGAAAATCCCATCATTTCAGCCCAAAATCTCCTAGAGCTGATAAGCAACTTCAGCAAGTCTCAGGATACAAAATCATTGTGCAGAAATCGCAAGCATTCTTATACACCAATAACAGACAAACAGAGAGCCAAATCATGAGTGAAATCCCATTCACAATTGTTTCAAAGAGAATAAAATACCTAGGAATCCAACTTACAAGGGATATGAAGTACCTCTTCAAGGAGAACTACAAACCACTCTTCAATGAAATGAAAGAGGTTACAAACAAATGGAAGAACATTCATGCTCATGGGTGGGAAGAATCAATATTGTGAAAATGGCCATAGTGCCCAAGGTAATTTATAGACTCAATGCCATCCCCATCAACCTACAAATGGCTTTCTTCACAGAATTGGAAAAAAACTACTTTAAAGTTCATATGGAACCAAAAAAGAGCCCACATTGCCAAGTCAATCCTAAGACAAAAGAACAAAGCTGGAGGCATCACACTACCTTACTTCAAACTATACTACAAGGTTACAGTAACCAAAACAGCATGGTACTGTTACCAAAACAATGATATAAGCCAATGGAACAGAACAGAGTCCTCAGTAATAATGTCACGTATCTACAACTATCTGATCTTTGACAAACCTGGCAAAAACTAGAAATGGGGAAATGATTCTCTATTTAATAAATGGTGCTGGGAAAACTGGCTAGCCATATGTAGAAAGCTGAAACTGGATCCCTTCTTTACATGTTATACAAAAATTAATTCAAGATGGATTAAAGACTTACATGTTAGACCTAAAACCATAAAAACCCTAGAAGAAAACCTAGGCAATACCATTCAGGATATAGGCATGGGCAAGGACTTCATGTTTGAAACACCAAAAGCAATGGCAACAAAAGCCAGAATTGACATATAGGATCTAATTAAACTAAAGAGCTGCTGCACAGCAAAAGAAACTACCATCAGAGTGAACAGGCAACCTACAAAATGGGAGAAAATTTTTGCCATCTACTCCTCTGACAAACGGCTAATATCCAGAATCTACAAGAAACTCAAATTTACAAGAAAAAAAACAAACAACCCCATCAAAAAGTGGGCGAAGGATATGAACAGACACTTCTCAAAGAGGACATTTATGCAGCCAAAAGACACATGGAAAAGTGCTCATCATCACTGGCCATCTGAGAAATGCAAATCTAAACCACAATGAGATACCATCTCACACCAGTTAGAATGGCGATCATTAAAAAGTCAGGAAACAACAGGTACTGGAGAGGATGTGGAGAAATAGGAACACTTTTTCACTGTTGGAGGGAATGTAAACTAGCTCAACCATTGTGGAAGTCAGTGTAGTGATTCCTCAGGAATCTAGAACTAGAAATACCATTTGACCCAGCCATCCCATTACTGGGTATATGCCCAAGGGATTATAAATCATGCTGCTATAAAGACACAGGCACACATATGTTTATTGCGGCACTATTCCCAATAGCAAAATCTTGGAACCAACCCAAACCTCCAATAATGATAGACTGGATTAAGAAAATGTGGCACATATACACCATGGAATAATATGCAGCCATAAAATGATGAGTTCATGTCCTTTGGAGGGACATGGATGAAGCTGGAAACCTTCATTCTTAACAAACTTTCGCAAGGACAAAAAACCAAACGCTGCATGTTCTCACTCATACGTGGGAATTGAACAATGAGAACACATGGACACAGGAAGGGAAACATCAACCACCGGGGCCTGTTGTGGGGTGGTGGGAGGGGGGAGGGATAGATATACCTAATGTTAAAATATGAGTTAATGGGTGCAGCACATCAACATGTCACATGTATACATATGTAACAAACCTGCACGTTCTGCACATGTACTCTAAAACTTAAAGTAAAATAAAGAAAAGAAAATGTCTTCAGATAAAAAATAGGCATAAGCTTAATGAGTAACTGCTTTGGGATGTGTGCATTTATCTCACAGAGTTAAAACTTTCTTTAGATTCAGCAGTTTGGTAACACTGTTTCTGTCCTTTCTGTGAATGGACATTTGGAAGCTCATTGAGGACAATGAGAAAAAGTGAATATCCCACGATAAAAACTAGAAAAGAGCTCTCTGAGAAACCGTTTTTTGATGTGTGCATTCATCTCGCAGGGTTAAACCTTTCTTTTCATTCAGCAGTTTGGAAACACTCTTTTTGTAAAATCTGCAAAGGGATATTTGGAAGTGCATTGAAGCCTAAGGTGAAAAAGGTCATATCTTCAGATAAAAACTAGAAAGAAGGTTTCTGGGAAACTTCTTTCTGATGTGTTCATACACCTAACAGAGTTAAAATTTTCTTTGGATTCAGCAGTTTGGAAACACGGCTTTTTTTCCGATCTGCTAATGGACATTTGAGAGTTCATTGAGGCCGATGATGAGCAAGTGAATATCCCAGGATAAAAACTAGAAGGAAGTTATATGAGAAACAGATTCATGATATGTGCATTCATCTTACGGAGTTAAAACTTTCTTTTCTTTCAGCAGTTTGGAAACACTGTTTTTGAAGAATCTGTGAAGAGATATTTGGGAACACATTGAGGCCAATGGGGAAAAAGGAATTTTCTTGAGATAAAAACTAGAAAGAAGCTTTCTGAGAAACTGGTTTGTGATGGGTTCATTCATCTCACAGAGTGAAAACTATCTTTGGATTCAGACCTCTGGAAACACCTTTTTTGTCCATTCTGTGAATGGACATTTGGGAACCCTTTGAGGCCAATGGCAAAAAAGTGAATATCATAGGATAAGACCTAGAAGGACCCTATCTGAGAAACCACTTTGTGATGTGTGCATTCATCTCAAAGGGTTAAACATTTCTCTTTATTCAGCAGTTTGGAAACACTGTTTTCTTAGATCTGCAAAGAGATATTTGGAAGTGCCTTGAGGACTATGGTGAAAAAGGAAATATCTTCAGACAAAAACTAGAAAGAAGCATAATGAGAAACTGTTTTGTGATGTGTTGAGTCATCTCTCAGACATAAAAATTTCTTTCGATTTAGCAGTTTGGAAACACTGTTTTGTTTGAATCTGTGAATA
This sequence comes from Homo sapiens, assembly GCF_000001405.40. Classification (NCBI taxonomy): domain Eukaryota; kingdom Metazoa; phylum Chordata; class Mammalia; order Primates; family Hominidae; genus Homo; species Homo sapiens. The sequence continues at coordinate 46,138,171 of NC_000005.10, forward strand.
GATATTTTGGAGCACATTGAGGCCTAAGGTGAAAAAAGGAAATAAGTTCAGATAGAAACTAGAAGGAAGCTTTCTGAGAAAATGATTTGTGATATGTTCATTCATCTCACAGAGTTAGGCCTTTCTTTGGATTCTGCAGTTTGGAAACACTGCTTTCCTAGAATCTGCAAGGAGATATATGGTAGCACATTGAGGCCTATGATGAAACAGAAAATATATTCAGATAAAAACTAGAAAGAAGCTTAATGAGTAACTGCTTTGTGATGTGTGCATTTATCTCACAGAGTTAAACCTTTCTTTAGATTCAGCAATTTGGTAACACTGTTTCTGTCCTTTCTGTGAATGGACATTTGGGAACTCATAGAGGACAATGCAAAAATTTGAATTTCCCAGGATAAAAACTAGAAGAAATCTCTCTGAGAAACCGCTTTGTGATGTGTGCACTCATCTCACGGAGTTAAACCTTTATTTTCATTTGGCAGTTTGGAAACACGTTTTTGTAAAATCTCCAACGGGATATTTGGCAGTGCATTGAGGCCTAAGGAGAAAAATGTAATATCTTCAGATAAAAACTAGGAAGAAGGTTTCTGAGAAACTGCTTTCTGATGTGTTCATACACGTAACAGAGTTAAACATTTCTTTGGATTTAACAGTTTGGAAACACTGATATTTTCCCATCTGTGAATGGATATTTGAGATCTCATTGAGGCCAATGGCGAAAGAGTGAATAACCAAGGATAAAAACTGGGAAGGACTACCTCAGAAACCAATTTGTGATGTGTGCATTCATCTCAAAGGGTTAAACATTTCTCTTCATTCAGTAGTTTGGAAACACTGTTTTCTTGGAGTCTGTAAAGAGATATTTGGTAGTGCATTGAGGCCTATGGTGAAAAAGGAAATATATTCAGATAAAAACTAGAAAGAACCTTTGTGAGAGACTGCTTTGTGCTGAGTGCACTCATCTCACAGAATTAAACATTTCTTTGGATTCAGCAGTTTGGAAACACTGTTTTCTTAGAATCGGCAAAGAGATATTTGGTAGAACATTGAGGCCTATGGTGAAAAAGCATGTGTCTTCAGATAAAAACTAGAAAGAGGCTTAATGATAAACTGGCTTGGGATGTGGGCATTCATATCACAGAGTTAAACCTTTGTTTGGATTCAGCAGTTTGGTAACACTGTTTTTGTCTATTTTGTGAATGGACATTTTGGAACTCAATGAGGTCAATGGCAAAAAAGGGAATATCCCAGGATAAAATCTAGAAGGACTTTATCTGAGAAACTGATTTCTGATGCGTGCATTCATCTCACAGAGTGAAACCTTTATTTTGATTCAACAGTTTGGAAACACCATTTTTGTAGAATGTGTGAAGAGATATTTGGTATCAAATATAGGCCTATGGCGAAAAAGGAAATATCTTCAGATAAAAGATGGAAAGAACCATTCAGAGAGACTGCTTTGCAATGCAGGCATTCATCTCACAGAGTTAAACCTTTATTTCTATTCAGCAGCTTGGAAATACTGTTTCTTTCCTTTCTGTGAATGGATATTAGGGAGCCCTTTGAGGCCAATGGTGAAAAAGTGAATATCCCAGCATAAAAACTAGAAGGAACCTATCTGAGAAACCGCTTTGTCATGTGTGCATTCGTCTCACAGAGTAAACCTTTCTTTTTTTAAGTAGTTTGGAAAAACTGTTTTCTTAGAATCTGCAAAGAGATATTCGGTAACGCAATGATGCCTATGGTGAAAAAGGAAATATCTCCCAATAAACACCAGAAAGAACATTTTGGAGAGACTGCTTCATGATGTGTACATTTATCTCACAGAGTTAAACCTATCTTTTGATTCAGCAGTTTGGTAACACTGTTTTTGTCCATTCTGCAAACGGACATTTGGGACCTCATTGAGGACAATGGTGAAAAAGTAAATATCCCAGGAAAAACACCAGAAGGAATATATCTGAGGAGATGCTTTGTGATATGTGTATTCATCTCACAGTGTTAAACCTTTCTTTTCATTCAGCAGTTTGGAAACACTGTTTCCTAGGGCCTGTAAAGGGATATTTGGCTGTGCATTGAAGCCTAGGGTGAAAAATGAAATATTTTCAGATAAAAACTAGAAAGAAGCTTAATGAGAAACTGCCTTGGGATGTGTGCCTTCATCTCACATATTTAAACCTTTCTTTGGACTCAGCAGTTTGAAAACACTGTTTTCTTAGAATCTGCGAGGAGATATATGGTAGCACATTGAGGCCTTTGGTGAAAAAGGAAATATATTCAGATAAAAACTAGAAAGAAGCTTCATGAGAAACTGGTTTGGGATGTGTGCATTTATGTCACAGAGTTAAACCTTTATATTCAGCAGTTCGGTAAGACTGTTTCTGTCCATTCTGCAAATGGACATTTGCTCATTGAGGACAACGTGAAAAAGTGAATATCCCGGGGTAAAAACTAGAAGAAACCTCTCTGAGAAACTGCTTTGTGATGTGTGCATTCATCTCGCAGAGTTAAAACTTTCTTTTCATTCAAAAGTTTGGAAACTTTTTTGTTTTGGAATATGAGAAGAGATATTTGGGAGTGCATTGTGGCCTAAGGTGAAATGGGATCATTTTCAGGTAAAAAAGTAGAAGGAAGTTTTCTGAGAAACTGCTTTGTGATGTGTTCATTCATCTTACAGTGTTAAACCTTTCTTTGGCTTCAACAGTTTTGGAAACACAGTTTTTGTCCATTCTGCTAATGGAAATTTGGGAGATCATTGAGGACAATGGCGAAAAAGCTAATATCCCAGTATAAAAACTAGAAGCAAGTTATCTGAGAAACTGAATTCTGTTCTTGTAGAATCTGCAAAGGTATATTTGGGAGTGCACTGAGGCCTATGGTGAAAAAGGAAATGTCTTTGGTTAAAAACTAGAAAGCAGCTTTCTGAATAACTGCTTTGAGATGTGTCCATTCAATACACAGAGTTAAAACTTTCCTTTGAAGGAGGACTTTGAAAACACTGTATTTGTAGAATCTGTGAGGGGATATTTGAGAGAGCATGAGGTCTATAGTGTAAAAGGAAATAACTTCAGATAAAATCTAGAAAGAAGCTTTCAGAGAAACCACCTTGTGATATGGGCATTTTTCTGAAAGAGTTAAACGTTTCTTTTGCTTGAGCAGTTAGGAAACACAGTTTCTGTAGAATCTTCAAAGGTATATTTTGGAGCACATTTAGGCCTATGGTGAAAAAGGAAATACCTTCACATATAAACTAGAAAGAAGCTTTCTGAGAAACTGCTTTGTGAAGTGTTCATTCACCTCACAGAGTTAAAATTTTCTTTGGCTGCAGCAGTTTGGAAACACTGTTTTGGTTCATTCTGCAAATGGACATTTGGGAGCTCATTGAGCCCAATGGTGAAGAAGTGAATATCTAAGGATAAAAACTGGAAGGACATTATTGGAGAAACCGATTTGTGATGTATGCACTCATCTCACAGTGTTGAACCTTTCTTTTCATTCAGCAGTTTGGAAACACTGTTTCTGTAGAATCTGTGAAGGGTTACTTGGCAGTGCACTGAGGCCTATGGTGAAAAAGGAAATATCCTCAGATGAAAACTAGAAAGAATATTTCTGAGAAACTGCTTTGTGATTGTTGAATCATCTCACAGAGTTAAACCTTTCCTTGGATACAGCAGTTTGAAAACACTGTTTTAGTCCATTCTGCAAGTGGACTTTTTGGAGCTATTTGGTGCCAAATGCAAAAAAGTGAATATCCCAGGATAAAAACTAGGATGTTATCTGAGAAACTGATTTCTGATGTGATCATTCATCTCATGGAAGTAATCCTTTATTTTTTTCAGCAGTTTGGATACATTCTTTTTGAAGAATCTGCGAAGAGATATTTGGTAGTGCAATGATGCCAATGGTGAAAAAGTAAATATCTTCATATAAAAACTAGAAAGAACCTCTCTGAGAAACTGCTTTGTGATGTGTACATTTATCTGACAGATTTAAACATTTCTTTTATTCAGCATTTTAGTAACACTGTTTTGTAAAATCTGTGAAAGGACATTAGGCCATGCTTTGAGGCCTATGGTGAAAAAGTGAATTTCCCAGGATAAAAATTAGAGGGAAGATATCTGAGAAAATGCATTGTGATGTGTACATTCATCTCACAGTGTTAAACATTTCTTTTTATTCAGCAGTTTGGAAACACTGTTTTTGTAGAATCTATGAAGGGACGTTTGGCACTGCATTGAGGCCTATGGTGAAAAAGGAAATATCTTCAGCTAAAAACTAGGAAGAAACTTTCTCAGATACTGCTTTCAGATGTGTTTCTTCATTGCACACTGTTAAACCTTTCCTTGGATTCAGCAGTTTGGTAACACTGTTTTTGTCCATTTTCCAAATGGACATTTGGGAGTTCATTGAGGACAATGGCGAAAAACTGTATATCCCAGGATCAAAACTAAAGGGACGTTGTCTGAGAAACTGATTTCTGACGTGTGCATTCATCACACAGAGTTAAACCTTTATTTTGATTCAGCAGTTAGGAAACACTGTTTTCGTAGAATCGGCAAAGAGATATTTGGTAGCACAATGAGGCCAATCATGAAAAAGGAAAAATCTTCAGATTAAAAGTAGAAACAACCTTTCTGAGAAACTGCTTTGTGATGTTTGCATTCATCTCACAGAGTTAAAACTTTCTTTGTGGTCAGCAGTTTCGTAACACTGTTTTTGTCTAATCTGCCAGTGAACATTTGGGAGATTTTAGAGGCCAGTGGTGAAAAAGCGAATATCCCAGGATAAAAATTAGAAGGAAGATATCTGAGAAAAAGCTTTGTTATGTATGCATTCATCTCACAGAGTTAAACTTTTCTTTATGTTCAGCTGTTTGGAAACAATGTTTCTGTAGAATCTGTGAAGGCATGTTTGGCAGTGCATTGAGGTCTATGGTGAAAAAGGAAATATCTTCAGATAAAAACTAGAAAGAAGCATAATGACAAACTGCTTTGGATTGTTCATTCATTTCACAGAATTAAACCTTTCTTTCAATTCAGCATTTTAGAAACACAGATTTCTTAGAATCTGTCACATGATATTTTGTAGGGCATTGAGGCCTATGGTGATAAAGGAAATAAATATCTCCAGATAACAACTAGAAAGAAGCTTTCTGAGAAACTGCCTACTGATGTGTTCATTCACCTCAAAGAGTTAAACCTTTCTTTGTATTCAGCTCTTTGGTAGCACTTTTTATGTCCATTCTGCAAATGGACATTTGGGAGCTCATTGAAGAACAAGGAGAAAAAGTGAGTATCCCAGGATAAAAACTAGAAGGAAGATATCTGAGAAATCATGTTGTTATGTGTGCATTCATCTCACAGTGTTAAAGCTTTCTTTTCATTCAGCAGTTTTGAACACTCTTTTTGTAGAATCTGTGAAGGGTTATTTGGTAGCACATGGAGGCCTATGGTGAAAAAGGTAATATATTCAGATAAAAACTAGAAAGAATATGTGTGAGAAACTGCTTTGTGATTTTTGATTCATCTCACAGATTTAAATATTTCTTTGGATTCAGCAGTTTGAAAACACTGTTTTAGTCCATTCTGTGAGAGGACTTTTTGGAGCTATTTGAGGCCAAAGGCAAAAAAGCAAATATCTCAGGAATAAAAACTAGGACGTTAACTGAGAAACTGATTTCTGATGTGTTCATTCCTCTCAGAGAGGTAACCCTTCATTTTTGTGCAGCAGTTTGATACATGGTTTTTGAAGAATCTGCGAAGAGATATTTGGTAGTGCAATGAGGCCAATGGTGAAAAAGTAAATATATTCATATAAAAACTAGAAAGAACCTCTCTGAGAAACTGCTTTGTGATGAGTGCATTCATCTGACAGATTTAAACCTTTCTTTCATTCAGAATTTTAGTAACATTGTTTTGCATAATCTGTGAAACGTTATTAGGCCATGCTTTGAGGTCCATGGTGAAAAAGTGAATATCCCAGGATAAAAATTAGAAGGAAGAAATCTGAGAAAATGCTTTGTGATGTGTGCATTCATCTCAAAGATGTAAATCTTTCTTTTCATTCAGCAGTTTGGAAACACTGTTTCTGTAGAATCTGAGATGGGATATTTGGCAGCACTTTGAGGCCTATGTTGAAAAAGGAAATATCTTCAAACAAAAACTAGAAAGAAGCTTTCTAGGAAACAGTTTTGTGATGTATACATTCATCTGACAGAGTTAAGCCTTTCTTTGAATTCAGCAGTTTGGAAACACTGTTTTCTTAGAATCTGCAAAAAGATATATGGTAGCGCTTTGAGGATCATGGTGAAAAAGGAATTATCTTCAGATAAAAAAAGAAAGAAGCTTTCTGAGAAACTGCTTTCTGATGTGTTCATTCACCTCACAGAGTTAAACCTTTATTTCAATTCAGAAGTTTGTAAACACTGTTTATGTCTATTCTCTGAATGGACTTTTTGGAGCTCTTTGAGGCCAACAGCAAAAAACAAATATCCCACAACAAAAACTAGAAGGACGTAATTTGAGAAACTGATTTGTGATGTGTGCATTCATATCCCAGAGGTAACCATTTATTTTGATTAAGCAGTTTGGATACACTCTTTTCAAAGAATCTGTGAAGATATATTTGGCAGTGAAATGAGGCCAAGGCTGAAAAACTTGATATCCTCAGATAAAAACTAGAAAGAACCTTTCTGAGAAACTGCTTTCTAATGTGTGCATTCATCTCACAGAGTTAGACCCTTCTTTTCATTTAGCATTTTAGTAACACTGTTTTTGTAGAATAAGTGAAAGCATACTTGGCAGTGCTTTGAGGCTTGTGGAGAAGAAGGAAATATCTTCAGATAAAAACTAGAAAGAAGCTTAATGAGAAGCTGGTTTGGGATGTGAGCATTCATCTGACAGAGGTAAACCTTTTTTTACATTCAGCAGTTTGGAAACAATGTTTTCTTAGAATCTGTGAAGAGATATTTGGTAGTGCAGTGAGGCCTATGGTAAAAAAGGAAATACCTGCAGACAAAAACTGGAAAGAACCCTTCTGAGAGACTGCTTTGTGATGTGTGCATTCATCTCCCAAAGTTAAACATTTCTTTGTATTCAGCTGTTTGATAACACCGTTTTTGTCCAATATGCAAATGGACATTTTGGAGCTCTTAGAGGCCAATGGCGAAAAAGTGAATATCCCAGGATAAAAATTAGAGAGAAGATATCTGAGAAAATGCTTTGTGATGTGGGCATTCATCTCGTAGAGTTAAAACTTTCTTTTCACTTACCCGTTTTGAAACACTGTTTCTGTTGAATCTGTGAAGGGATATTTGGCAGTGCATTGAGGCCTATGGTGGAAAAGGAAATATCTGCAGATAAAAAGTAGAAAGAAGCTTAATGAGAAATTGCTTTGTGATGAGTTCATTCATCTCACAGAGTTAAACCTTTCTTTGGATTCAGCAGTCTGGAAACACTGCTTTCTTAAAATCTGCGAGGACATATTTTGTAGCACATTGAGGACAATGGTGAAAAAGGAAATGTCTTCACATAAAAACTAGAAAGAAGCTTTCTGAGAAACTGCTTTCTGGGGAGGTCATTCACCTCAAAGAGTTAAGCCTTTCTGTGGAATCAGCAGTTTGGAAACACTGTTTTTGTCCATTCTGTGAATGGACATCTGGGAGCTCATTGACGCCAATGGCAAAAAACAGACCATCCCAGGATAAAAAATAGAAGAACGTTATCTGAGAAACTGATGTCCAATGTGTGCATTCATCTCACAGAGGTAACCCTTTATTTTGATTCAGCAGTTTAGAAACATTGTTTTTGAAGGATCTGCAAAGAAATATTTGGAAGTGCAATGAGGCCAATGGTGAAAAAGGAAATATCTTCAGAAAAAAACTAAAAGGACTTTTCTGAGAAAATGCTTTGTGATATGTGCATTCATGTCAAACAGTTAAAACTTTCTTTTCTCTCTGCATTTTAGTAACACTGTTTTTGTAGAACCAGTGAAAGGATATTTGGCAGCACTTTGAGGCAATGCTAAAAACGGAAATATCTTCAGATAAAAACTAGAAAGAAGATTAAGGAGAAACTGCTTCGTGAAGAGTTGAATCATCTCACAGAGCTAAAGCTTTCTTTACATTCAGCAGTTTGGAAACACTGTTTTCTTAGAATCTGTGAGGTGATATTTTGTAATGCAATGATGCCTACGGTGGAAAAGGAAATATCTTCAGATGCAAAATGGAAAGAACATTTCTGAGAGACTGCTTTGTGATGTATGCATTCATCTCAGAGAGTTAAACCTTTCTTTGTATTCAGCAGGTTGGCAACACTGTTTTTGTCCAATCTGTGAATGGACATTTGGGAGCTCTTAGAGACCAATGGCGAAAAAGTGAATATCCCAGGATAAAAATTAGAAGGCAGATATCTGAGAAAACGCTTTTTGATGTGTGCATTCATCTCGCAGAGTTAAACATTTCTTTTCATTCAGCAGTTTGGAAACACTGTTTCTGTAGAATCTGTGAAGGGATATTTGGCAACACATTGATCCTGTGATGTAAAAGGAAATATCTTTGGATAAAAACTAGAAAGAAGCTCAATGAGAAACTGCTTTGTGAAGTGTTGGTCATCTCACAGAGTTAAACCTTTTTTGGATTCAGCAGTTTCAAAACACTGTTTTCTTAGAATCTACAAAGAGATATTTGGTAGCATATTAGGACTATGGTGAAAAAGCAAATAACCAGATAAAAACTAAAAAGAAGCTTAATGAGAAACTTCTTTAGGATGTGTGCATTCATCACACAAAGTTAAGCTTTCTTTGGATTCACCAGTTTGGCAGCATTGTTTTTTTTTCATTCAGCGAACTGACATTTGGGAGCTCATTGAGGCCAGTGGTGAAAAAATGAATATCCAAGGATAAAAACAAGAAGGAAGACATCTGAGAAAATGCGTTCTGAAGTGTGCATTCATCTTGCAGTTTTAAATATTTCTTTTCATTCTGCAGTTTGGAAAAACTGATTTTGTAGAATCTGTGAAGGGATATTTGGCAGCACATTGAGGTCTATGGTGAAAAAGGAAATAACTTCAGATAAAAACTAGAAAGAAGCTTTCTGAGAAACTACTTTTGATGTGTTCATTCAACTCACAGAGGTAAACCTTGCATTGGATAAAGAAGTTTGGAAACACTGTTTTTGTTCATTCTGCGAATGGACATTTTGGAGCTCTTTGAGGCCAATGGTGAAAAAGTGAATATCCCAGGATAAAAACTAGAAGGAGGATATCAGAGAAAACGTGTTGTGATGTGTGCATTAATCTCGCTGTGTTAAACCTTTCTTTTCATTCAGCAGTTTGGAAACACTGTTTGTGTAGTATCTGTGAAGGGATATTTGGAAATGCATTGAGGCCTATGGTGAAAAAGGAAATATCTTCAGATAAAAACTACAAAGAAGCTTTCTGAGAAACTGTCTTCTGATGTGTTCACTCATCTCACACATTTAAACCTTTCTTTATTGTTTGTCCATACTGTGAATGGACGTTTTGGAGCTCTTTGAGGCCAATGGTGAAAAAGCGAATATCCCAGGATAAAAATTAGAAGGACTTTATCTGAGAAACTGATATCTGATGTGTGCATTCATCTCACAGAGTTAAACCTTTCCTTTGTTTCAGCAGTTTGTAAACACTGTTTTTGTAGAATCTGTGAAGAGACATTTGGTAGCACAATGAGGCTAATGGTGAAAAAGGAAATGTCTTCAGATTAAAAACTAGAAAGAACCTTTCTGATAAGCTGCTTTGTTATGTGTGCATTTCTCCCACAGATTTAACCCTTTCTTTTTATTGAGCAGTTTGGCAACACTGTTTTTATCCAATGTGCGAATGGATATTTGGTAGCTCTTAGAGGCCAATGGCGAAAAAGAAAATATTGCAGGATAAAAATTAGAAGGACGATATCTAAGAAAATGCTCTGTAATGTGTGCATTCATCTCGAAGAGTTATACATTTCTTTTCATTCAGCAGTTTGGAATCACTGTTTTTGTAGAATGTGTGAAGGGATATTTGGCAGTGCATTGCAGCCTAGGGTGAAAAAGGAAATATCTTCAGATAAAACCCAGAAAGAACCTTAATGAGAAACTGCTTTGTGAGGTGTTGAATCATCTCACAGAGTTAAATCTTTCTTTGGATTCAGCAGTTTGGAAACACTGTTTTCTCAGAATTGGTGAAGAGATATTTGGTAGCACATTGACCTCTGGTGAAAAAGCAGAAATCTTCAGATAAAAACTAGAAAGAAGCTTAATGAGAAACTGTTTTTGGATGTGTGCATTCATCTCAGAGAGTTAAACCTTTCTTTGGATTCAAGAGTTTGGAAACACTGTTGATGTCCATTCTATGAATGGACATTTGGGAGCTCTTTGAGGCCACTGGCAAAAAAGCGAATATCCCAGGATAAAAACTAGAAGGACATTATCTGAGAAACTGATTTCTGATGTGTGCATTCATCTCACAGAGGTAACCTTTTATTTTGATTCAGCCATTTGGAATCACTGTTTTTGAAGGACCTGTGAACAGATATTTTGTAGCGCAATGAGACCAATGGAGAAAAAGGAAATATCTTCATATAAAAACTAGAAAAATCCTCTCTGAGTAAATGCTTTGTGATGTGTGCATTCATCTCACAGAGTTAAACCTTTCTTTTCATTCAGCATTTTAGTAACACTGTTTTTGTAGAATCTGTGAAAGGACATTTGGCATCACTTTGAGGTCTATGGTGAAAAAGGAAATATCTTCAGATAAAAACTAGAAAGAAGCTTAATGAGAAACTGCTTTGTGATGTTTGCATTCATCTCACAGAGTTAAACCTCTCTTTACATTCAGCAGTTTGGAAACACTGTTATCTTAGAATCTGCAAAGAGATATTTGGTAGCACATTGAGTCCTATGGTGTAAAAGCAAATATCTTCAGATAAAAACTAGAAAGAAGATTAATGAGAAACTTGTTTGGGTTGTGTGCATTCAACTCACAGAGGTAAAGTTTTCTTAGGATTCAGCAATTTGGTAGCACTTTTTTTGTCCATTCTGTGAATGGACATTTGGGAGCTCATTGAGGCCAAAGGCGAAAAAGTGAATATCCTAGAATCAAAACTGGAAGGAAGGCCTCTGAGAAAACGTGTTGTGATGTGTGCATTCATCTCACAGTGTTAAAACTTTCTTTTCATTCAGCAGTTTGGAAATACTGTTTTTGTAGAATCTGTGAGGGGATATTTGTCAGCTATTTGAGGCCTATAGTGAAAAAGGAAGTATCTTCAGATAAAAACTAGAAAGAAGCTTTCTGAGAAACTACTTTGTGATGCGTTCATTCATCTCACAGAGTTAAAACTTTCTTGGATTCAGTAGTTTGGAAACACTGTTTTCTTAGAATATACAAAGACATATTTTGTAGTGCATTGAGGCCTAGGATTAAAAAGCCAATATCGTCAGATACAAACTAGAAAGAAGCTTTCTGGAAAACTGCTTTCTGATGTGTTCATTCACATCACAGAGTTAAACTTTTCTTTTGATTTAGCCGTTTGGTAATGTTGTTTTTTTCCATCTGCGAGTGGACTTTTGGGAGCTCATTGAGGCCTACGGTGAAAAAGAGAATATCCCCAGATAAAAGAAGAAGGACGTTACCTGAGAAACTGATTTCTCATGTATGCATTCATCTTACAGGGGTGACCCGTTATTTCAATTCAGCAGTTTGGAAACCATTTTCAAAGAATCTGGGAAGAGATATTTGGCAGCACAGTGGGGCCAATGGTGAAAAAGTGAATATCAGAGGATAAAAACTTGATGGAAGATAACTGAGAACAGGCATTATGATGTGCGCATTCATCTCACAGTGTTAAACCTTTCTTTTCATTCAGCATTTGGAAACACGCTTTTCTAGAAGCTGTGAAGGAATATTTGGTAGCGGTTTGAGACATTGTAAAAAAAGGAAATATCTTCAGATAATAACTAGAAAGAAGCTTTCTGAGAAACTGCTTTGTGATGTGTTCATTCATCCCACAGTGTTAAACTTTTTCTTGGATTCAGCAATTTGGAAACACTATTTTCTTAGAATCTGTGAAAAGATATTTGGTAGCACGTTGAGGCCTATGGTGAAAAAGAAATGTCTTCAGATAAAAACTAGAAGTAAGCTTTCTGAGAAACTGCTCTCTGATTTGTTCATTCACTTCACAGAGTTAAACCATTCTTTGGATTCAGCAGTTTGGTAACACTGTTTTTGTCCAGTCTGTGAATGGACATTAGGGAGCTCCTTGAAGCCACTGGCAAAAAAGTGAATATCCCAAGATAAAAACTAGAAGGACATTATCTGAGAAACTGATTTCTGATGTGTGAATTCATCTTACAGAGGTCACCCATTATTTTGATTCAGCAGTTTGGAAACACTGTTTTCCAAGAAGCTGCAAAGAGATATTTGGCAGTGCAATGAGGCCAAGGGTGAATAACTTCAGATAAAAACTAGAAAGAACATTTCTGAGAAACTGCTTTCTAATGTGTGCATTCATTTCACAGAGTTAGACCCTTCTTTTCATTCAGCATTTTAGTAGCACTGTTTTTGTAGAATCTGTGAAAGGATATTTGGCAACATTTTGAGGCCTATGGTGAAAAAGGAAATATCTTCAGATAAAAACCGGAAAGATTCTTTCTGAGAGACTGCTTTGTGATGTGTGCATTCAACTCACAGAGTTAAACCTTTCTTTGTATTCAGTAGTTTGGTAACACTGTTTTTGTCCATTCTGTGAATGGGCATTTGGGAGCTCATTGAGGCCATTGGCCAAAAACTGAATATCCCAGGATAAAAACTAGAAGGAAGATAGATATCTGAGAATACGTGTTGTGATGTGCACATTCATTTCACAGGGTGAAAACTTTCTTTTCATTCAGCATCTTGGAAGCACTGTTTCTGTAGAATCTGGAAAGGGATATTTGGCAGTGCATTGAGGTCTATGGCAAGAAAGGAAATATCTTTAGATAAAAAATAGAAAGAAGCTTAATGAGAAACTGCTTTGTGATATGTTGAATCATCTCAAAGAGTTAAGCTTTTCTTTGGATTCAGCAGTGTGGAAACACTGTTTCCCTAGAATCTGTGAAGAGATATTTGGTAAAACATTGAATTCTACGGAGAAAAATCAAATATCTTCAGAAAAAAACTAGACAGAAGTTAATGAGAAACTGGTTTGGCATGTGTGGATTCATCTCACAGAGTTAAACTCTTGTTTGTATTTAGCAGTTTGGTAATACTGCTTTTGTCCGACCTGCAAATGGAAATTTGGGATCTGTTTGAGGCCAATGGCTAAAAACAGAATATCCAAAGACAAAAATTAGAAGGAAGATATCAGAGAAAGTGGTTTGTGAAGTGTGCATTCATCTCGTGGAGTTAAAACTTTCTTTTCATTCAGCAGTTTGGAAACACTGTTTCTGTAGAATCTGTGAAGGAATATTTGGCAGGGCATTGTGGCCTATGGTGAAAAAGGAAATATCTTCAGATAAAAACTCGAAAGAAGCATAATGAGAAAAGGCTTTGTGATGTGTTGAATCATGTCACAAAGCTTTCTTCAGATTCAGCAGCTTGGAACCACTGTTTTCTTAGAATTTGCAAAGAGATATTTGGTAGCACATTGAGGCCTATGGTGTAAAAGCAAATATCTTCTGATAAAAACTAGAAAGATGCTAGAACTAGAAATACCATTTGACCCAGCCATCCCATTACTGGGTATATACCCAATGGATTATAAATCATGCTGCTATAAAGACACATGCACACGGATGTTTACTGTGGTGCCATTCACAATAGCAAAGACTTGGAACCAACCCAAATGTCCAACAATGATAGACTGGATTAAGAAAATGTGGCACATATACACCACAGAACACTATGCAGCCATAAAAAAGATGAGTTCATGTCCTTTGTAGGGACGTGGATGAAACTGGAAACCATCATTCTCAGCAAACTATCGCAAGGACAAAAAACCAAACATTGCATGTTCTCACTTATAGGTGGGAAATGAACAATGAGAACACATGGACACAGGAAGGGGAACATCACACTCCGGGGACTGTGGTGGGTGGGGGAATGGGGAAGGGATAGCATTGGGAGATATACCTAATGCTAAATGACTAGTTAATGGGTGCAGCACACCAACTCGACACAAGTACACATATGTAACAAACCTGCACATTGTGCACATGTATCCTAAAACTTAAAGTATAATAATAATAAAATTAAAACAAACACCAAAAAAAAAACAAACTAGAAAGATGCTTAATGAGAAACTGGCTTGGGATGTGTGCATTCAACTCAAAGAGTTAAACCTTTCTTAGGATTCAACAGTTTAGTAGCACTGTTTTTGTCCATTCTGTGAATGGAAATTTAAGAACTCACTGAGGCCAATGGTGAAAAAGTGAATATCCTAGGATCAAAACTAGAATGAATATATCTTAGAAAATGCATTAGGATGTGTGCACTTATCTCTCAGTGTTAAACCTTTCTTTTCATTCAGCAGTTTGGAAAAAGTGTTTTGGCAGAATCTGCAAAGGGATAATTGGGTGCACATTGAGGCCTATGGTGAAAATGGAAATACCTTCAGATAAAAACTAGAAAGAGGATTTCTGACTAACTGCTTTGTGATGTGGACATTCCTGTCACTGAGTTAAACCTTTCTTTAGATTCAGCTGTTTGGAAACACTGTATTTGTCCATTCTGCCAATGGACATTTGGGAGCTCATTGAACCCGTTGGCAAAAAAGTGAAGATCCCAGGTTAAAAACTACAAGGATGCTATCAGAGAAACCTCATTGTGATGTGTTCATTAATCTCACAGAGTTAAACCTTTCTTTTCTTTCAGTAGTTTGGCGACATTTTTTGGTAGAATCTGCAAAGTGTTGTTTGGGAGCTCATTGAGACCTATGATGAAAAAGGAAATATCTTCACATAAAAAATGGAGAGAAGCTTTCTGGGAAACCGCTTTGTGATGTGTGCATTGATCTCACATTCGTAAACCTTTCTTTGGATTCAGCAGTTTGGAAACACTGTTTTTGTAGACTCTGAGAAGGGTTTTTTTGTAGCTCATTGAGCCCAAAGACAAAAAAGGGAATATCATAGGATGAAAACTAGTAGGAAGCTTTCTGTGAAACTGCTTTGTGATGTGTGCATTCAAATTGCAGGGTTAAACCTTTCTATTCATTCAGCAGTTTGGAAAAACTGTTTTGGTAGAATCTCCAAAGGGATATTTGGGAGCACATTGAGGCTTATGTTGAAAAAGGAAATCTCTTCAGATGAAAACTAGAAAGAATGTTTCTGAGAAACTGCTTTGTGATGTGAGCATTCATCTCAGAGAGTTAAACATTTCTTTTCATTCAGCAGCTTGCAAATACTGTTTTAGTAGAATCTGCGATGGAATATTTGGGAGTGCATTGAGGCCTATGGTGAAATATGAACTATCTTCAGATAAAAAGTAGAATGAAGCATTCTGAGGACCTGCTTTGTGATGTGTGCATTCATCTCATAGAGCTAAACGTTTCTTTGGATTAAGCAGTTTGGAAACACTGTTTTTGTCCATTCTGCAAATGGACACTTGGGAGCTCATTGAGACCAATGGCAAAAAACCGAATATCTCAGGATATAAAGTAGAAGGAATCTATCTGAGAAACCACTTTGTGACGTGTGCATTCATTTCACAGAGTTAAACCTTTTTTGTCATTCAGCAGTTTGGAAATACTGTTTTGGTAGAATCTGTGAAGGGATATACAGAAGTGCATTGAGGTCTATGGTGAAAAATAAAATATCTTCAGATAAATACTGGAAAGAAGCTTAATGAGAAATTGGTTTGAGATGAGTGCATTCATGTCACAGAGTTAAAGTTTTCTTTTCATTAAACAATTTGGAAAAACCGTTTCTGCAGAATCTGCGAAGGGATATTTGGGAGCGCAAGGAGGCCTATGTTGAAAAAGGAAATATCTTCAGATAAAGAAATGAAATAAGCTTTCTAGGAAACTCCTTTGTGATGTGTTCATTCACCTCACAGTGATAAAACATTCTTCGGATTCAGCAGTTTCAAAACACTGTTTTTGTCCATTCTGTGAGTGGACGTTAGGGAGTTCATTGCGGCCAATGGCGAAAAAGCAAATATCCCAGGATTAAAACTAGAAGGAAGCTATCTGAGACACTGCTTTGTGATGTGTACATTCATCTCACAGAGTTAAATCTTTCTTTTCATTTAGTACTTTTGAAACACTGTTTTGGTAGAATCTGTGAAGGAACATTTAGGAGTGCTTTGAGGCCTATAATGAAAAAGGAAATATCTTCAGATAAAAACTTGAAAGAAGCTTTCTGAGAAATTGCTTCGTGATGTGTGCATTCATTTCTGAGAGCTAAACCTCTTTTGCCTACAGCAGTTTGGAAACTCTATTTTTGCCTATCAGAAGGGACAACTGGGAACTCTTTGAGGCCAATGGCAAAAAAGGGAATATCTTGGGATGAAAACTAGAAGGAAGCTATCTGAGAAAACGCTTTGTGATGTGAGCAAACATCTTGCATAGTTAAACCTTTCTTTTCATTCCATAGTTGGTCAACACTGGTTGGGAAGAATCTGTGAAGGGATATTTGGGAGCGCATTGAGGCTTATGGTGAAAAACGAAATTCCTTCAGATAAAAACTACAAAGAAGCTTTCGGAGAAACTGCATTGTGATGTGTGTATGTAGCTCACAGAGTTAATCCTTTCTTTGGATTCAGCAGTTTTGAAACACTCTTTTTGTCCATTCGGCAAGTGGACATTTGGGAACTCCTTGAGGCCAATGGTGAAAAAGTGAATATACAAGGATAAAACTACCAGGAAGCTATCTGAGAAACTGCTTTGTGATGTGTACCTTCATCTCACAGAGTTAAACCTTTCTTACCATTCAGCAGTTTGGAAACACTCTGTTGGTAGAATCTGTGAAGGGATATTTGAGAGAGCACAGATTCATATGGTGAAAAAGGAAATATATTCAGATAAAAAATAGAAATAAATTTCTGGGAAACTGCTTTGTGATACTTTCATTCATCTCACAGAGTTAAACATTTCCTTAGATTCAGCAGTTTTGAAGCACTGTTTTTTTTAGAATCTGCCAAGGGATATTTGGGAGCTCATTGAGTCCAAAGGCAAAAAGTGAATATCCAAGTGTAAAGACTAGAAGGAAGCTATCTGAGAAACTGCATTGTGATGTGTGCATTCATCTCACAGAGTTAAACTTTTCTTTTCATTCAGCAGTTTGGAAACACTGTTTTGGTAGAATCTGTGAAGGGATGATTTGGAGCTCCTTGAGACCTATGGTGAAAAAGGACATATCTTCAGAAAAACTAGAAAGAAGCTTTCTGACAAAATGCTTTCTGAAGTGTGAATTCCTCTCACAAGGTTAAACCTTTCTTTGGATACATCAGTTTTGAAACACTGTTTTTGTGAATTCCGTGAATGGATATTTTGGAGCTCATGGAGGCCGATGGTGAAAAAGTGAATATCCCAGGACAATAACTAGAATGAAGCTATCTGAGATTCATTAATGTGTGCATTAATCTTGCAGAGTTAAACATTTCTTTTCATTCAGCAGTTTGGAAGCACTGTTTTGAAGAATCTGCAAAGGTTTTTTTGGGAGCCAATTGTAGCCTATGGTGAAAAAGGAAATGTCTTCAGATAGAACCTAGAAATAAGCTTCTGGGAAACTTCTTTGTGATGTGTTCTTTCATCTCACAGCGGAAAACTTTTCTCTGGATTCAGCAGTTTGGAAGCTCTGTTTTTGTACAATCAGTGAAGGGATATTTGGGAGCTCATTGAGTCCAAAGGTGAAAAATAGAATATCTCAGGAAAAAAACCAGAAGGAAGCTATCTGAGAAACTGCTTTGTGATGTGTGCATTTATCTCACAGAGTTAAACCTTTGTTTTCATTCAGCACTTTGGGGACACTATTTTGGTGAAATCTGCAAAGGTGTATTTGGGAGCACAATCAGGCTCACGGTGAAAAAGGAAATACTTTCAGATAAGAGATAGAAATAACTTTCTGGGAAACTGCTTTGTGATGCGTCCATTCATCTCACATAGCTAAACCTTTCTTTATATTCAGCATTTTGGAAACACTTTTTTTTTATTATTATACTTTAAATTCAAGGGTACATGTGCACAACATGCAGTTTTCTTACATATGTATATATATATATGCCAAATTGGTGGTCTGCACCTATTCACTCATCATTTACATAAGGCATATTTCCTAATGCTATCCCTCTCCCATCCCCTTACCCCATGACAGGCCCTGGTGCGTGATGTTCCCCTTCTTGCGTCCATGTGTTCTCATTGTTCAATTCCCACCTATGAATAAGAACATGAGGTGCTTGGTGTTTTGTTCTTGCAATAGTATCCTGAGAATAATGGTGTCCAGCTTCATCCATGTCCCTATAAAGGACAAAAACTCATTCCTTTTTATGGCTGCATAGTGTTCCATGGTGTATATGTGCCACATTTTCTTAATCCAGTCTATCATTGAGGGACATTTGGATTGGTTCCAAGTCTTTGCTGTTGTGAATAGTGTCACTATAAACATATGTGTGCATGGTCTTTATAGCAGCATGATTTATAGTTCTTTGGGTATATACCCAGTAATAGGATGGTGGGGTCAAATGGTATTTCTAGTTCTAGATCCCTGAGGAATCGCCACACTGACTTCCGCAATGGTTGAACTAATTTACAGTCCCACCAACAGTGTAAAAGTGTTCCTATTTCTCCACATCCTCTCCAGCACCTGTTGTTTCCTGACTTTTTAATGATCACCATTCTAACTGGTGTTAGATGGCATCTCATTGTGGTTTTGATTTGCATTTCTCTGATGGCCAGTGATAATGAGCATTTTTTCATGTGTCTATTGGCTGTAGAAATGTCTTCTTTTGCGAAGTGTCTGTTCATATCTTTCACCCACTTTTTGCTGGGGCTGTTTGTTTTTTTCTAGTGAATTTCTTTGAGTTCTTTGTAGATTCTGGATATTAGCCCTTTCTCAGATGTGTAGATTGCAAAAGATTTCTCCCTTTCTGTAGGTTGCCTGTTCACTCTGATGGTAGTTCCTTTTGCTGTTTAATTAATTTTTCTATAAGGTGTAACGAAGGGATCCAGTTATGTCTTTCTACATTTGGCTAGCCAGTTTTCCCAGCACCATTTATTAAATAGGGAATCCTTTCCCCATTGCTTGTTTTTGTCAGGTATGTCAGAGATCATATGGTTGTAGATGTGTGGTATTATTTCGGAGGGCTCTGTTCTGTTCTGTTGCTCTATATCTCTGTTTTGGTACAAGTATCATACTGTTTTGGTTACTGTAACCTTGTATTATAGTTTGAAGTCACGTAGCGTGATGCCTCCAGCTTTGTTCTTTTGGCTTAGGATTGACTTGGCAATGTGGGCTCTTTTTTGGTTCCATATGAACTTTAAAGTAGTTTTTTCTAATTCTGTGAAGAAAGTCATTGGTAGCTTGATGGGGATGGCATTGAATCTATAAATTACCTGGGGAAGTATGGCCATCTTCATGATATTGAGTCTTCCTATCCATGAGCATGGAATGTTCTTCCATTTGTTTGTATCCTCTTTTATTTCATTGAGCAGTGGTTTGTAGTTCTCCTTGAACAGGTCCTTCATATCCCTTGTAAGTTGGATTCCTAGGTATTTTATTCTCTTTGAAGCAATTGTGAATGGGAGTTCACTCATGATTTGGCTCTCTGTTTGTCTGTTGTTGGTGTATAAGAATGCTTGTGATTTTTGCACATAGATTTTGTACCCTGAGACTTTGTTGAAGTTGCCTATCAGCTTAAGGAGATTTTGGGCTGAAACAATGGGGTTTTCTAGATATACAATCATGTCATCTGCAAACAGTGACAATTTGACTTCCTCTTTTCCTAATTGAATACCCGTTATTTCTTTCTCCTGCCTGATTGCCCTGACCAGAATTTCCAACACTATGTTGAATAGGAGTGGTGAGAGAGGGCATCCCTGTCTTGTGCCAGTTTTCAAAGGGAATGCCTCCAGTTTTTGTCCCTTCAGTATGATATTGGCTGTGGGTTTGACATAGATAGCTCTTACTATTTTGAGATACGTCCCATCTATACCTATTTCATTGAGAGTTTTTAGCATGAAGACTATAGAATTTTGTCAAAGGCCTTTTCAGCATCTATTGAGATAATCATGTGGTTTTGTCATTGGTTCTGTTAATATGCTGGATTACCTTTATTGATTTGAATATGTTGAACCAGCCTTGCATGCCAGGGATGAAGCCCACTTGATCATGGTTGACAAGCTTTTTGATCTGCTGCTGGATTTGGTTTCAGAGAATGTGCTGGATGATTTTTGCATCAATCTTCATTGGGGATATTGGTCTAAAATTCTCTTTTTTGTGTGTGTGTCTCTTCCAGGCTTTTTTATCAGGATGATGCTGGCCTCATAAAATGAGTTAGGGAGGATTCCCTCTTTTTCTATTGGTTGGAATAGTTTCAGAAGGAATGGTACCAGCTCCTACTTGTACCTCTGGTAAAATTAGACTGTGAATCCATCTCGTCCTGGACTTTTTTTGGTTGGTAGTCTATTAATTATTGCCTCAATTGCGGAGCCTGTTATTGGTCTATTCAGGGATTTAACTTCTTCCTGGTTTAGTCTTGGGAGGGTGTATGTGTCCAGGAATTTATTCATTTCTTCTAGATTTTCTAGTTTATTTGCATAGAGGTGTTTATAGTGTTCTTTGATGTTAGTTTGTATTTCTGTGGGCTTGGTGGTAATATACCCTTTATCCATTTTTATTGCATCTATTTGATTTTTCTCTCTTTTCTTCTTCAGTAATCTTGCTAGCAGTCTATCAATATTGTTGAACTTTTCAAAAAACCAGCTCCTAAATTCATTGATTTTTGAAGGGTTTTTTGTCTGTCTATTTCCTTCAGTTCTGCTCTGATCTTAGTTGTTTCTTGCCTTCTGCTAGCTTTTGAATGTGTTTGCTCTTGTTTCTCTGGTTCTTTTAACTGTGATGTTAGGGTGTCAATTTTAGATCTTTCCTGCTTTTCCTTGTGGGCACTTAGTGCTATAAATTTCCCTCTAAACACTGCTTTAAGTGTGTCCCGGAGATTCTGGTATGTTGTGTCTTTGTTCTCATTGGTTTCAAAGAACATCTTTATTTCTACCTTCATTTCATTGTATACCCAGTAGTCATTCAGGAGCAGATTGTTCAGTTTCCATGTAGCTAAACGATTTTGAGTTTCTTAATCCTGAGTCCTAGTTTGATTGCACTGTGGTCTGAGAGACAGTTTGCTTTAATTTCTGTTCTTTTACATTTGCTGAGGAGTGCTTTATGTCCAACTATGTGGTCAATTTTAGAATAAGTTTGAGGTGGTGTTGAATGTACATTCTGAATGTATACTCAATTAATTTGGGGTGGAAAGTTCTGTAAATGTCTATTAGGTCCGCTTGGTGCAGAGCTGATTTCAATTCTTGGATATCCTTGTTAACCTTCTGTCTCATTGATCTGTGTAATGTTGAGAGTGGGTGTTAATGTCTCCCATTATTATTGTGTGGAAGTCTAAGTCTCTTTTAGGTCTCTAAGGAGTTGCTTTATGAATCTGGGTGCTTCTGTATTGGGTGCATATATATTTAGCATAGTTAGCTCTTCTTGTTGAATGGATCCCTTTACCATTAAGTAATGGCCTTCTTTGTCTCTTTTGATCTTTGTTGGTTTGAAGTCTGTTTTATCAGAGACTAGGATTGCAACCCCTGCCTTTTTTGTTTTCTATTTGCTTGGTAGACCTTCTTCCATCCCTTTATTTTGAGCCTATGTGTGTCTCTGCACATGAGGTTGGTCTCCTGAATACAGCACACTAATGGTTCCTGACTCTGTATCCAATTTGTCAGTCTGTGTCTTTTAATTGGAGCATTTAGCCAATTAACATTTAAGGTTAATATTGTTATGTATGAATTTGATCCTGTCATTATGATGTTAGCTGGTTATTTTGCTGATTAGTCGATGCAGTTTCTTCCTAACATCGATGGTCTTTACAATTTGCCATGTTTTTGCAGTGGCTGGTAGTAGTTTTTCCTTTCCTTGTTTAGTGCTTCCTTCAGGAGCTCTTGTAGGACAGGCCAGGTGGTGAAAAAATCTCTCAGTACTTGCTTGTGTGTAAAGGAATATATTTCTCCTACCCTTAGGAAGTTTAGTTTGGCTGGATATGAAATTCTTTGTTGAAAATTCTTTTCTTTAAGAATGTTGAATATTGGCCCCCACTCTTTTCTTGCTTGTTGATTTTCTGCAGAGAGACCTCTGGGAAAAACTGTTATTTTAGAATATGCGAAGGAATATTTGAGAGCTCATTGAGTCCAAAGGCCAAAAAGTGAGAATCCAATGATAAAAACTAGTGGGATGCTATCTGAGTAAGGGATTTGTGATGTATGAATTAATCTTGCAGAGTTAAACCTTTCTTTGAATTCAGAGTTAAACTTTTGTTTTTATTTAGCAGTTTGGAAAAACTGTTTTGTTAAAACCTGTGAAGAGATACTTGGGAGCACATTGAGGCCTATTGTGGAAAAGGAAATATCTTCAGATAAAAACTGTAACTAAGCTGTCTGGGAAACTGCTTTGTGATGTGTTTTTCATCTCACAGAGTTAAACCTTTGGATTCACCAGTTTGGAAACACTGATTTGTGTAATCTGCAAAGGGATATTTGGGAGCTCATTGAGTCCAAAGGAAGAAAATCGAAGATCCCAGGTTAAAAACTAGCAGGAAGCTATCTGAGAAACTGCTTTGTTATGTGTGCATTCTTCTCACAGAGTTAAACCTTTGTTTTCATTCAGCAGTTTGGAAACACCGTTTTGGTAGAATCTGTGAAGGGATATTTTGGAGTGCATTGAGGCCTATAGTGAAAAATGAAATATTGTCATATGAAAACTAGAAAGTAACTTTCTGAGAAACTGCTTTGTGATGTGTGCATTCATCTCACAGGGTTAAATTTTTCTTTGGATTCAACAGTTTGATAACACTATTTTTGTCCATTCTGTGAATGGACATGTGGGAACTCATTGAAGTCTAAGGCAAAAAAGAGAATATCCCAGGATAAAAACTAGAAGGAAGCTAGGTGAGAGACCACTTTGTGATGTTTGCATTAATCTCACAGAGTTCAAACATTCTTTTCATTCAGCAGTTTGGAAACATTGTTTTGGCAGAATCTGCGAAGGGATACTTCGGAGTGCATTGAGGCCTAGGGTGAAAAATAAATATCTTCAGATACAAACTAGAAAGATGCTTTCTGAGAAGTGGCAATCACCTCACAGAGTTAAACGTTTCTCTGGATTCAGCAGTTTGGAAGCACTGTTTTTGTAGAATCTGAAAAGGGATATTTGGGAGCTCATTGAGTCCAAAGGTGAAAAACAAAATATCCTAGGGTAAAAACCAGAAGGCAGCTATCTGAGAAACTGCTTTGTGATGTCTGCATTCTTCTGACTGAGTTAAACCTTTGTTTTAATTCAGCAGCTTGGAAACACCGTTTTGGTAAATCTGAGAAGGGATATTTGGGAGTGCAGTGAAGCCTATGGTGAAAAATGAAATATCAACATATTAAAACTAGAAAGAAGCTTTCTGAGAAACTGCAATGTGATGTGTGCATTCATCTCAAAGAGTTAAATTTTTCTTTCTATTCAGCAGTTTGAAAACACTGTTTTTGTCCTTTCTGCAAATGGACATGTGGGAAGTCATTGATGCCAAAAGTGAAAAAGAGAATATCCCAGGATAAAAAATAGAAGGAAGCTAGGTCAGAAACCACTTTGTGATGTGAGCATTAATCTCTTAGAGTTACAACATTCTTTTCATTCTGCAGTTTGGAAACATTGTATTTTGTAGAACCTTCAAAGGGATATTTGGGTGAGAATTGAGGGTTATAGTGAAAAAAGAAATATCTTCAGATAGAAACTAAAAGAATCTTTCTAAGAAACTGCTTAGTGATATGTGCATCCATCTCACAGAGTTAAAACTATCTTTGGATTCAGCAATTTGGATACAATATTTTTGTCCATTCTGTGAATGCACATTTGGGAACACATTGAAGTCAATGGCAAAAAACAGAATATCCCAGGAAAAAAATAGACAGAAGCTATTTGAGAAACTGCTTTGTGATGTGTGCATTCATCTCAAAGAGTTAAACCTTACTTTCCATTCAGCAGTTTGGAAACACTGTTTTGATAAATTTGTGAAGGGATAGCTCAGAGCACATTCAGGACTATGGGTGAAAAAGGAAATATCTTCAGGTACAAACTAAAAAGAAGCTGTGATGTGTGCATTCATCTCCTAGAGTTAAAACTTTCTTTTCATTCAGCAGTTTAGAAACACTGTTTTGGTGGAATTTGCAAAGGGATATTTGGGAGCACTTTGAGTACTATGGTGAATAAGTAATATCTTCAGATAAAAACTAGAAAGAAGCTTAATGAAAAACTGGTTTGGGATGTGTGCACTCATCTCACAGAGTTAAATCTTTTTTTGGATTAAGCAATTTGGTAACACTGATTTTGTCCATTCTGCAAAATAACATTTGGGAGGTTATTGAGGATAAAGGCAAGAAAAGCAAATATACAAGGATAAAAACTAGAAGGAAGCTATTGGAGAAACTGCTGTGATGTGTGCATTCATCTCGCTGAGTTAAAATTGTCTTTTCATTCAGCAGTTTGGAAAAACTGTTGTTGTAGGATATGTGAAGGGATATTTGGGAGAGCTTTGAGGCCTATGGTGAAAAAGGAAATATCTTCAGATAAAAACTGGAAAGTAGCTCTCTGAGAAACTGCTTTGTGATGTGAGGATACATCTCACATTGTTAAAAGATTCTTTAGATTTAGCAGTTTGGAAAGACTATTTTTGAAATTCTGTGAAGGGATATTTGGGGGCTTATTGAGGCCAAAGGAGAAAAAGTGAATAACCTAGGATAAAAAGTTGAAGGAATCTATCTGAAAAAGAGCTTTGTGATGTGTGCATTCATCTCCCACAGTTAAACCTTCCTTTTCATTCAGCAGTTTGGAAACACTGTTTTTGTAGAATCTGCAAAGGGACATTTTGTAGGGCATTGAGGCCTGTGGTGAAAAATGAATTATCTTCAGAGAATAACTAGACAGAAGCTTTCTGAGAAACTTCTTTGTAATGTGTGCATTCATCTCAAGAGTTAAACCTTTCTTTGGATTCAGTAGTTTGGAAACACTGTTTTTGTAATTTCTGTGAATGGACATTTAGTAACTAATTGATTCCTATGGCAAAAAAGTGAATAGCACAGGATTAAAACTGGAAGGAAACTCTCTGAGAAATTGCTTTGTGATGTGTGTATTCATCTCACAGAGTTAAACTTTTATTTTCATTCAGCAGTTTGGAAACACTCTTTTGGTAGAATCTGTGAGGGGATATTTATGTGCACATTGAGGACTATGGCAAAAAATAATGTCTTCAGAAAAAAACTAGAAAGAAACTTCCTGAGAAACGGCTTAGTGATATGTGCATTCAACTCACAGAGATAAATCTTGCTTTGGATTCAGCTATTTGGAAACATTGTTCTTGTCCTTTCTGTGAATGGATATTTGGGAGCTCCTTAAGGCCAATGGCATAAAAGAGAATATCTCAGGATAAAAACTGCAAGGAAGCTATCTGAGAATCCGTGTTATGACACGTGCTTTCACAGGCAGAGTTAAACTTTTCTTTTTATTCAGAAATTTCAAATCACTGTTTTGGTAAAATCTGCAAAAGGATATTTGAGATCACATTGAGGTCTAAGGTGAAAAAAGAATTACCTTCAGATAAAAACTAGAGGCCGGGCGCGGTGGCTCACACCTGTAATCCCAGCACTTTGGGAGGCCGAGGCGGGTGGATCATGAGGTCAGGAGATCGAGACCATCCTGGCTAACAAGGTGAAACCCCGTCTCTACTAAAAATACAAAAAAAAAAAAATTAGCCGGGCGCGGTGGCGGGCGCCTGTAGTCCCAGCTACTGGGGAGGCTGAGGCAGGAGAATGGCGTTGAACCCGGGAAGCGGAGCTTGCAGTGAGCCGAGGTTGCGCCACTGCAGTCCGCAGTCCAGCCTGGGCGACAGAGCGAGACTCCGTCTCAAAAAAAAAAAAAAAAAAAAAAAAAAAAAAAAAAAAAAACTAGAAAGAAACTTTCTGAGAAACTGCTTTGTGATGTATGCATTCTTCATTCTTCTCACAGAGTCACACCATTCTTTGGATTCACCAGTTTGGAAACACTGTTTTTGTAGGATTGGCAAAGGGATATTTTGGAGCTCTTTGAGTCCAAAGAGGAAAAAGGAAATATCCCAAGATAAAAACTAGAAGGAAGCTATCTGAGAAAAAGATATGTGATGTGTGTATACATCTCACAGAGTTAAACATTTCTTTTCATTCAGCAGATTGGAAACACTGTTTTGGTACAATCCACAAAGGGATATTTGTGAGCACATAGAGGCGTATGGTGAAAAGGGAAATATCTTCAGATTAAATCCGGAAAGAAGCTTTCTGAGAAACTTCTTTGTGATGTGTGCATCCATTTCATAGAGTTAAACATTTCCTTGGAGTAAGCAGTTTGGAAAAACTGTTTTTTTTTACAATCTGCAAAGGGATATTTTGGAGCTCTTTGAGTCCAAAGAAGAAAAAGTGAATATCCCAGGATAAACACTAGAAGGAACTTATAAAAGAAACCCCTTTGCAATATGTGCATTAGTCTCTCAGAGTTAGATCTTTGTTTTCATTCAGCAGTTTAGAAACACTGTTTTCGTAGACCCTCCGAAGGGATATTTAGGAGCTCCTAGAGTCCAAAGGAAAAAAAAGGAATATACCAGGATAACAATTAGAAGAAATGTATCTGAGAAATCGCTTTGTGATGTGTGCAATCATTTCACAGAGTGAAGGTTTTCTTTGGATTCAGCAGTTTGAAAACACTGTTTTTGTCCATTCTACAAATGGACATTTACAACCTCATTGAGGCCAATGGCAAAAAAATGATTATCAGAAGACAATAACTAGAAGGAATCTATCTGAGAAACTGCTTTGTGATAAGGGTATTCATCTGGCAGATTTAAACCTTTCTTTTCATTCAGCAGTTTGGAATCACTCTTGTGGTAGAACGTGTGAAGAGATATTGGGGATCGCATAGAAGCTTATGCTGAAAAAGGAAATATCTTCAGATTTAAACTAGAAAGAAGCTTTCTGAGAAATTGCTTTTTGAAGATCACATTCATCTCACAGAGTCTTTGGATTCACACTTCTTTGGAATCAGCAGTTTGGAAACACTGTCTTTTGCCATTCTGTCAATGGACATTTGGGAGCTTAATTGTGAGAAAGATAATATTCTACGAAAAAAACTAGAAGGAAGCTATCTGAGAAACCACTTTGTGACTTTTGCATTCATCTTGCAGAGTTAAACCTTTCTTTTAATTCAGCAGTTTGGTAACACTGTTTTGGTAGAATCTGTGAAGGGATATTTGGCAGCAAATTGAGGCCTATGGTGAAAAAGGAAAATTTCTTCAGATAAAAACTAGAAAAAATGTTTCTGAGAAAATGCTTTGTGGTGTGTGTGTTCACCTCACAGAGTTAAACATTTCTTTGGATTCATGTATTTGGAAACACTCTTTTTGTTCGTTCGGCAAATGGACATTTGAAACTCATTGAGGCCAATGTTGAAAAAGTCAATATCCGAGGATAAAAACTACAAGGAAGTTATCTGAGAAACTGCTTTGTGAGGTGTGCATTCATTTCCTAGTGTTAAAACTTTCCTTTTATTCTGCATTTTGGACTCACTGTTTTGCAGTAACTGTGAAGTGAAATTTGGGAGCACATTGAGGTCTTTGATGATATAGGAAATATCGCCAGATAAAAACTAGAAAGAAGCTTTCTGAGAAACTGCTTTGTGATGTGTGCATTTATCTCACAGGCTTAAACGTCTTTGGATTCAGCAGTTTGAAAACACTCTTATTGTCCATTATGCAAATGGGCATTTTGTTCTCATTAAGGCCAATGGCAAAAAAGTGAATATCCCAGGATAAAATACAGGAAGGAAGCTATCTGAGAAATTGCGTTTTTACGTGTGCATTCATCTGTCAGGTGTAAACATTTCTTTTCATTCAGCAGTTTGCAAACACTGTTTTGGTAGAATCTGCAAAGGGATATATATATATATATTTAATTTTATTATTATGCTTTAAGTTTTACAGTACATGTGCACAATATGGAGGTTTGTTACATATGTATACATGTGTCATATCCGTGTGCTGCACCCATTAACTCGTCATTTAGCATTAGGTATATCCCCTAATGCTATTCCTCCCCCCTCCCCCCACCCCACAACCGTCCCCGGAGTGTGATGTTCCCCTTCCTGTGTCCAGGTGTTCTCATTGTTCCATTCCCACATATGAGTGAGAACATGTGGTGTTTGGTTTTTTGTCCTTGCAATAGTTAGCTGAGAATGATGGTTTCCAGTTTCATTCATGTCCCTACAAAGGACATGAACTTATCACTTTTTATGGCTGCATAGTATTCCTTGGTGTATATGCGAAGGGATATTTTTGAGCACAATGAGGCCTGTGGTGAAAAAGGAAATATCTTCAGATAAAAATAGTAAGAAGCTCTCTGAGAAACTGCTTTGTGATGTGTGCCTTCATCTCACAGAGTCATACGTTTCCTTGGATACATCTGTTTGGAAACACTGTTTTTGTCCATTCTGCAAATCGACATTTGGAAACCCATTGAGGCCAAAGGTGAAAAAATGAATATCCCAGGATAAAAACTAGAAGAAAACTATCTGAGAAACCATGTTGTGATGTAGGCATTCATCTTCTAAAGTTAAACCTTTGTTTTCATTCAGCAGTTTGGAAACACTGTTTTGGCTGAATCTGCAAAGGGATATTTGGGAGTGCATAGAGGCCTATGGTGAAAAAGGAAATATCTTCAGATAAAAACAAGAAAGAATCTTTTTGAGTAACTGCTTTGTGATGTGTGCATTCATCTCACAGAGTTAAACATTTCTTTGGATTCAGCAGTTTGTAAACATCGTTTTTTTCAATTCTGTGAGTGGAGTTTTTGTAAGTCATTGAGGTCAATGGTGAAAAAGCAGATATCCCTGGATAAAAACTAGAAGGAAGCTATCTGAGAAACTGAGTCATGATGTGTGCATTCATCTCTCACAGTTAAACCTTTCTTTGCATTCAGCAGTTTGGAAACACTGTTTTGGTGGAATCTGTAGCGGGAAATTTGGGAGCACATTGAGTCCTATGGTGAAAAAGGAATTATCTTCAGATAAAAATTAGAAAGAAGGTTTGTGAGTAACTGCTTTTGATGTCTGCATTCTTCTCACAGAGTTAAACGTTTCTTTGGATTCAGCAGTTTGGAAACACTGTTTTTGTCCATTCTGAGAATGGACATTTGGGAAATCATTTAGACCAATGGCAAAAAAGTGAATATCCCAGGATAAAAACTAGAAGGAAGCTATCTGAGAAACCTCATTGTGATGTGTGCATTCATCTCATAAAGTTAAACCTTTCTTTTCACTCAGCACTTTGGAAATACTGTTTTGGTAGAAACTGTGAAGGGATATTTGGGAGTGCCTTGAGGCCTATGGTGAAAAAGGAGCTATCTTCAGATAAAAACTAGAAAGAAGATTTCTGAGAAACTGCTTTCAATTTGTGTATTCTACTCACAGAGTTATATGTTTCTTTCAATTCATCTTTTTGGAAACAGCTTTTTTGTCCATTCTCTGAATGGACATTTGGGAACTCACTGAGGCCAATGGTGAAAAGGTGAATATCCCAGGACAAAAACTAGAAGGAGGCTATATGAGAAACCACTTTGTGATGTGTGCATTCATCTCTTAACCTTAAACCTTTCTTTTCATTCAGTAATTTGGACACAATGTATTGGCTGAATCTGTGAAGGGATATTTGGGAGTGCATTGAGACCTACGGTGAAAAAGAAAGTAAATTCAGATAAAAACTAGAAAGAATCTTTCTGAGAAACTGCTTTGTGATGTGTGCATTCATCTCACAGACTTAAACTTTTATTTGGATTCAGCAGTTTGGAAACACTGTTTTTGTCCATTCTGTGAATGGGCATTTGGGAGCTCATTGGGGCCAATGGCAAGACGTGAATATCCCAGTATAAATACTGGAAGAAAGCTATCTGAGAAACCTTGGTGTGATGTGTGCATTCATCTCCCAGAGTTAAACTTTTCTTTCCACTCAGTAGTTTGGAAACACTGTTTTGGTATAATCTGTGAAGGAATATTTGGGAGTGCATTGAGGCCTATGATGAAAAAGACAACATCTTAAGACAAAAACTAGAAAGAATCTTTCTGAGAAACTGCTTTGTGATGTGTGCATTCATCTCACAGACTTAACCCTTTCTTTAGATTCAGCAGTTTGGAAAGATAGATTTTGTGCATTCTGTGAATGGACATTTGGAAAATCATTGAGGCCAAGGGCGAAAAAGTGATTATCCTAGGATAAAAACTAGAAGGAAGCTATCTGAGATACTGCTTTGTGATGTGTGCATTTATCTCACACAGTTAAAGCTTTCTTTTTATTCAGTAGGTTTGAAAGGTTTTCTTTGGTTGAATCTGTGAAGGGATATTTAGGAGTGCTTTGAGGTCTATGGTGAGAAAGGAAATATCCTCAGAGAAAAAGTAGAAAGAGTATTTCTCAGAAACTGCTTTGCGATGTGTGCATTCATCTCACAGAATTAAACCTTTCTTTGGATTCAGCAGTTTGGAAACACAGTTTTTTTTCCATTTTGTGTATGGACATTTGGGAACTCATTGAGGCCAATGGCAAAAAAGTGAATGTCCCAGGATAAAAACTAGAAAGAAGCTATGTGAGACACTGCTTTGTGATATGTGCATTCGTTTCTAGAGTTAAACCTTTCTTTTCATTCAGCAGTTTGCAATCACTTTTTTTTCAGTATTTATGAAGAGATATTTGGGAGATCATTCAAGCATATGGTGAGAAAGGACACATCATCTGTTAAACACTAGGGGGAATCTTTCTGAGAAACTATTTTGTGATGTGTGCATTAATCTCACTGAGTTAATCCTTTCTTTTGATTCATATGTTTGGAAAAACCTTTTTTTTCCCCATTCTCTGAATGGACATTTGGGAACTTACTGTGGACAGTAGCAAAAAAGAAAAACCCCAGGATAAAAACTAGAAGGAATCTATCTTAGAAACTCCTTTATGATGTGTCCATTCATCTAACAAAGTGAAACTTTTCTTTTCATTCAGCAGTTTGGAAACACTGTGCTGGTAGAAACAATGAAGGGATATTTGGGAGCACTTTGAGGACTGTGGTGAAAAACGAAATATCTTCAGATGAAAACCAGAAAGAATCTTTCTGAGAAACTACTTTTTGATTTGTGCATCCATCTCACAGTTACACCTGTCTTTTGATTCAGCAGTTTGGAAACACTGTTTTTGTTCATTCTGTGAATAGACATTTGGGAACTCATTAAGGCCGATGGAGAAGAAGAAATATACCAGGATAAATACTAGAAGGAAGCTATCTGAGAAACCACCTTGTGATGTGTGCATTCATCTGTCAGAGTGAAAGCTTTCTTCTCACTCAGCAGTTTGGAAAGGGTGTTTCAGTAGAATGTTAGAAGAGATATTTGGGAGTGCATTGTGGCCTATGTTGAAAAAAGAATTATCTTCAGATAAAAACTAGAAAGAAGATTTGCTGAGAAACTGCTTTGTGATGTGTGCATCCATCTCACAGAGTTAAACATTTCTTTACATTCATCTGTTTGGAAACACTGTTTTTGTCCATTCTGCAAATGGACATTTGGGCACTCATTGAGGCCAATGGTGAAAAAGTGATTATCCTAGGATAAAAACTAGAAAGAAGCTATCTGAGAAACCACTTTTTGATGAGGGCATTCATCACCTAAAGTTAAACTCTTCTATTCATTCAGCAGTTTGGAAACACTGTTTTGGTAGAATCTGGGAATGCATGTTTCGGATCTCCTTGAGGCCTATGGTGAGAAAGGAAATATCTACACATAAAAACTAGAAAGAATCTTTCTGAGAAACCGCTTTGTGATCTGTGCATTCATCTCACAGAATTAAACTTTTCTTTGGATTCAGAAGTTTGGAAACACTGTTTTTGTTTGGAAACACTGTTTTTGTCCATTCTACAAAAGAACATTTGGGAACTCATGTAGACCAATGGAGAAAAAGTAAATATCCCAGGATAAAAACTACAAGGAAACTATCTGAGAAACCCTACTGTGATGTGCACATTCATCTCCTAGTGTTAAACCTTTCCTTTCATTCAGCAGTTTGGAATCACTGTTTTGCAGTATCTGTGAAGGGAAATTTGGGAGCACATTGAGGCCTTTGATGAAATAGGAAATATCTGCAGATAAAAACTAGAGAGAAACTTTCTGAGAAACTGCTTTGTGATGTGTGCATTCATCTTACAGAGTTAAACGTCTTTGGAGTCAGCAGTTTGGAAACACTGTTTTTGTGCATTCTGGAAATGGGCATTTCATTCTCCTTAAGGTCAAAGGCAAAAAAGTGAATATCCCAAGACAAATACTGGGAGGAAGCTATATGAGAAAACTCTTTGTGATATGTGCATTCAGAGTTAAAAATTTCTTTTCATTCAGCAGTTTCGAAACACTGTTTTGGTAGAACCTGTGAAGGGATATTTTTGAGCACATTGAGTCTTATGGTGAAAAAGGAAATATCTTAATATAAAAACTAGTAAGAAGCTTTCTGAGAAAATGCTTTGTGATGTGTGCCTTCATCTCACAGAGTTAAAGGTTTCCATGGATTCATCTGTTTGGAAACCCTGTTTTTGCCCATTCACAGAATGGACATTTGGGAACTCATTGAAGCCAAAGGTGAACAAGTGAATATCCCAGGATAAAAACTAGAAGGAAGCTGTCTGCGAAACCACATTGTGATGTGTGCATTCAGCACGGTGCTACAGTAACCAAAACAGCATGGTACTGTGACCAAAACAGAGATATAGACCAACGGAACAGAACAAAGGCCTCAGAAATAATACCACACATCTACAACCATGAGATCTTTGACAAACCTGACAAAACAAGAAATGGGGAAAGGATTCCCTATTTAATAAACAACGGTGTTGGGAAAACTGGCTAGCCATATGTAGAAAGCTGAAACTGAATCTGTTCCTTACACCTTATACAAAAATTAGTGCAGGATGGATTAAAGACTTAAATGTTAGACCTAAAGCCATAAAAGCCCTAGAAGAAAACCTAGGCAATACCATTCAGGACATAGGCATGGGCAAGGACTTCATATCTAAAACACCAAAAGCAACAGCAACAAAAGCCAAAATTGACAAATGGGATCTCATTAAACGAAGGATCTTCTGCACAGCAAAAGAAACTACCATCAGAGTGAACAGGCAACCTACAGAATGCAAGAAAATCTTTTCAGTCTACTCATCTGACAAAAGGCTAATATCCAGAATCTACAAAGAATTCAAACAAATTTACAAGAAAAAGACAAACAACCCCATCAAAAACTGGGTGAAGGATATGAACAGACACTATTTATGCAGCAAACAGACACATGAAAAAATGCTCATCATCACTGGCCATCAGAGAAATGAAAATCCAAACCTCAAAGAGATACCATCTGACACCAGTTAGAATGACAATTATTAAAAAGTCAGGAAATAACAGGTGCTGGAGAGGATGTGGAGAAATAGGAACACTTTTACACTGTTGGTGGGACTGTAAACTAGTTCAACCATTGTGGAAGACAGTGTGGCGATTCCTCAGGGATCTAGAACTAGAAATACCATTTGACTCAGCCATCCCATTACTGGGTATATACCCAAAGGATTATTAATTATGCTGCTATGAAGACACATGCACACATATGTTTATAGTGACACTATTCGCAACAGCAAAGACTTGGAACCAACCCAAATGTCCCTCAATGATAGACTGGATTAAGAAAATGTGGCACATATACACCATGGAATACTATGCAGCCATAAAAAAGGATGAGTTTATGTCCTTTATAGGGACATGGATGAAGCTGGTAACCATCATTCTCAGGAAATATTATCACAAGAACAAAAAACCAAGCACTGCATGTTCTCACTCATAGCTGGGAATTGAACAATGAAAACACTTGGACACAGGAAGGGGAAAAACACATGCTGGGTCCTGTCATGAGGTGGGGGAAGGGGGGAGGAAAACCATTAGGAGATATACCTGATGTAAATGATGAGTTAGTTGGTGCAGCACACCAACATGGTAAATGTATACACAAGTAACAAACCTGCATGTTGTGCACATGTACCTTAGAATGTAAAGCATAACAAAGAAAATAAAGAAAAGTTTAACTCAGTGAGATGAATGCACACATCACGACAGGGTTTCTCACATAGCTTCCCTCTAGTTTCTTGTTTTGCAGATAGCTTCCTTCTAGTTTTTATCCTGGGATATTTCTTTTTTGCCATAGGTCTCAATGAGTTCCAAAATGTCCATTCACAGAAAGGACAAAAACAGTGTTTCCAAACTGCTGACTCAAAAGAACGATTTAACTCTATGAGATGAATGTAAATATCCCAAAGCACTTTCTCAGAAACATTCTTTCTAGTTTATATCAGAAGATATTTCCTCTTTACCTTAGGCTGCAATGGGCTCCAAATAATCCCTTCACAGATTCTACCAAAACACTGTTTAAAACTGCTGAATAAAAAGACAGGTTTATCTCTAGGATATGAACGCACACATCACAAAGGAGTTTCTCAGATGGCTTCCTTCCAGTTTTTATCCTGGGAAATTCACTTTTCCGCCATTGGCCTCAATGAGTTCCAAATGTCCATTTGCAGAATGGACATAAACAGTGTTTGCAAACTGCTGAATGCATAGAAATGTTCAACTCTTTTAGATGAATGCACACATCACACGGCAGTTTCTCAGAAAGATTCTTTCTAGTTTTTATCTGACAATATTTGGTTTTTCCCCATAGGTCTCAAAGCGCTCCCAAATATTCCTTTGGAGATTCTACCAAAACAGTTTTTCCAAACTGCTGAATGATAAGAAAGTTTTACTTCTGCAAGATGAATGCACACATCACAGTGCAGTTTCTCACATAGCTTCCTTGTAGTTATTGTCCTGGGATATTTCCTTTTTCTCCTCTTGGGTCAATGAGCTCCCAAATGTCCATTTGCAGATTGGACAAAAACAGTGATTCCAAACTGCTCAATCAAAAGAAAGGTTTATCTGTTTCAGAAGAATGAACACATCACAAAGCAATCACTCAGAAAGCTTCTTTCTAGTTTTTATTTGAAGATTTTTCATGTTTCACCATAGGCCTCAAAGCACTCCCAAATACCCCTTCACAGATCCTACCAAAACAGTGTTTCCAAACTGCTGAATGAAAACAAAAATCAACTCTGCTAGATGAATGCACACATCACAAAGTAGTTTCTCAGATAGTTTCCTTTTTGTTTCTATCTTACAAAACCCATTTTTCACCATTGGCCTCAATGACCTCCCAAATGTCCATTCGCACAATGGACAAAAACATTGTTCCAAACTGCTGAATGCAAAGAAAAGTTTAACTATGTGAGAGGAATGCACACAACAGAAAGCAGTTTGTCAGAAATCTTTCAATGTATTTTTGGAAGTTATTTACTTTTTCACCACAGACCTCAATGTGCTCCTAAATATCCCTTTGCAGACTCTATGGAAACAGGGTTTTCAAACTGCTGAATTAAAAGAGAGATTTAACTCTAGGAAGTGAATGCACACATCACAAAGCAGTTTCTCAGATAGCTTGCATCTAGTATTTATCCTGGGATATTAGCTTTTTCATCATTGCCCCCTTGCAGAATGGACAAAAACAGTGTTTCAAACAGCTGAATAGAAAAAAAGGTTTAGTTCTGTGGGATGAATTCAATACATCACAAACCAGTTTCTCAGAAAGCTTCGTTCTTTTATTTGTTTGAAGATATTTCCTTTTTCACCGTAGGCCTCAATGAGCTCCCAAATATCCCTTCACAGATTCTACCAAAACAGTGTTTCCGAACTCCGGAATGAAAAGAAATTTTAACTCTGCAAGGTGAATGCACAAATCACACATGGTTTCTGAGATGGCTTCCTCCTAGATTTTAACCTTGGATATTTGCTTTTTTGTCATTGACCTCAATGAGCTCCAAAATGTCCTTTCACAGAATGGACAAAAACAGTGTTTCCAAACTGCTTAATCCAAAGAAAGTTTTAACTCTGGGAGAGGAATGCACAAATCACAAAGCAGTTTCTGAGACAGCTTCTTTCTACTTTTTATGTGAAGATATTTCTTTTTTCACTATAGGCCAAAATGTGCCCCCAAATATCCCTTTGCAGTTTGTACCATAATTGTTTCCCAAACTTTTGAATGAAAAGAAATGTTTAACTTTAGGAGATGAATCCACACATCAAAAAGCAGTCTCTCAGATAGATTCCCTCTAGTTTTTATTGTGGGATATTTGCTTTTACACCTTGGGCCTCAGTGAGCTCCCTCATGTTCATTCTCAGAATGGACAAAGATAATGTTTCCAAAACACTGAATCCAAAGAAAAGTTTAACTCTGTGAGCTGAGTGTACACATCACAAAGCAATTTATCAGAAAGGCTCTTTGTAGTTTTTATCAGAAGATAGTTACTTTTTCCCCATAGGCCTCAATGCACTCTTAAATATCCCTTCACAGGTTCTACCAAAACAGGGCTTCAAACTGCTGAATGAAAAGAAACACTAAATTCTACATGATGAATGCACACATCAAAAAGCAGTATCTCAGATAGCTTCCTTATAGTATTTATGCTGGAATATTCTGTTTTTCAACCTTGGCCCAAAAGAGTTCCCAAATTTCCATTTGCAGAATGTAGAAAAATTGTGTTTCTAAACTGGTGAAACTGGTGTTTCCAGAGAAATGTTTAACTCTCTGAGATGAATGCACATATCTCAAGCCGGTTTCTCAGAAACCTTCTTTCTTTCTTTTATCAGAAGATACTTAGTTTTTCACAATAGGCCTCAA
Organism: Homo sapiens; assembly: GCF_000001405.40. Classification (NCBI taxonomy): domain Eukaryota; kingdom Metazoa; phylum Chordata; class Mammalia; order Primates; family Hominidae; genus Homo; species Homo sapiens. Next base: position 46,175,247 of record NC_000005.10, read on the forward strand.
TGCACTCACAAATATCCCTACACACATTCTATGAACACAGTGTTTCCAAACTGTTGAAAGAAAAGAAAGGTTTTACTCTGTCATACGAATGTATACATCACAAAACACTTCCTCAGATAGTTTCCTTCTAGTCCTTATCGTAGGATATTCTCTTTTTTGACCTTGGCTGCAATGAGTTCCCAAGCGTCCATTCACAAAATGGACAAAAACAGTGTTTCCAAACTGCAGAATCCAAAGAAAAGTTTAACTCTGTGAGATGAATTGACACATCACAAAACAATTTCTCAGAAACTTCTTTCTAGTTTTTATCTGAAGGTATTGCATTCTTCACTATATGCCTCAATACACTCCCAAATATCGCTTCAAAGATTCTACCAAATATATGTTTCCAAACTGCTGAAGGAAAAGAAATGTTTAACTGCAAGATCAATGCACACATCAGAAAGAAGTTTCTCAGATAGCTTCCTTCTAGTTCTTATCCTGAGATAGTCTCTTTTTTGCCCTTGGCCTCAATGACCTCCCAAATACCCATTGGCAGAATAAAAAAAAATACAGAGTTTCCAAACTGCTGAATCCAAAGAAATGTTTAACTCTGTGAGATGAATGCACATATCTCAAACTAGTTTCTCAAAATCTTTCTAGTTTTTATCTGAAGCTATTTCATCGTTCAGCATAGGCCTCTAGGCACTCCAAAATGTTCTTTCTCAGATTCTGCCAAAGAGTCTTTCCAAACTACTGAATGAAAAAAAAGGTTTAACTCTGTTTGATGAATACACCCATCACAAAGCTGATTCTCAGATAGATTTCTTCTAGTTTTATCCTGGGATATTCCCTTTTTTGCAATTGGCCTCAATGAGCTCTGAAATGTCCATTCACAGAATGGACAATAACAGTGTTTTCAAACTGCTAAATAAAAACAAACGTTTAAATCTGTGAGTTGAAAGCACACATCACAAAGTGGTTTCTCAGAAAGCTGCTTTCCAGTTTTTATCTGAATATATTTCCCTTTTCACCAGAGGCCTCAATGTGCCTTAAAATATCCCTTCACAGATTGTACCAAAACAGTTTTTCCAAACTGCTGAATGAAAAGAAAGGTTTAATTTTCAGAGATGTATGCACCCACAACAAAGTGGTTTCTCAGATAGCTTCCTTCTAGTTTTTATGCTGGGATATTTGCTTTTTCACCTTTGGCCTCAATGAGTTCTTGAATGCCCATCCACAAAATGCACAAAAACCGAGTTTCCAAAGCACTGAATCCACAGAAATATTTAACTGCATGAGGGGAATGCACACATCACAAAGCAGCTCTCAGGAAGCTTCTCTGTATTTTTTATTTGAATATATTTCCTTTTTCACCATTGGCCTCAATGGGCTCCCAAATATCCCTTTGCAGATTCTAACAAAACAGTGTTTCCAAACTGCTGAATGAAAAAGAAAAGGTTTAACTCTAGGAGGTGAATGCACACATCAAAAAGTGGTTTCTCAGATTGCTTGCTACTAGTTTTTAACCTGGTATACTCATGTTTTCAACATTGGCCTCAATGAGTTCCCAAATGTCCATTCACAGAAGGGAAAAACCAGTGTTTCCAACCTGCTGAATCCAAATAAAGTTTTAACTCTCTGAGATGAAGGTATATATGACAAACCTGTTTCTCAGAAAGCTTCTTTCTTTTTTTATCTGAATATATTTCCTTTTTCACAGTAGGCCTCAGTGTGCTCCCAAATATCCCTTAGCAGATTCTACCAAAACAGTGTTTCTAAACTGCTGAATGAAAAAAAAAAGTTTAACTCTAGGAGGTGAATGAACACATCACAAAGTGGTTTCTCAGATTGCTTGCTTCTAGTTTTTATCCTGGGATATTCATGTTTTCACCTTTGGCCTCAATGAGTTTCCAAATATCCACTGATGGAAGGGACAAAAACAGTGTTTCCAAACTGCTGAATCAAAAGAAAGGTCTAACTCTGTGAGATGAATGCATATATGACAAACCTGTTTCTCAGAAAGCTCCTTTCTTTTTTTTACCTGAATATGTTTCCTTTTTCACAATAGGCCTCAATGTGCTCCCAAATATCCCTTCTCAGATTCTACCAAAACAGTGGTACAAAACAGGTTACTGAAAAGCAAGTTTTTATTTTGTGAGATAAATGCACCCATCACAAAGCACTTTCTCAGATACTTTCTTTCTAGGTATTACCCTGGGATATCCTTTTTTTTTTGTCATTGGCCTCAATGAGTTCCCAAATGTCCATTTACAGATGGATAAAAATTGTTTCTAAATTCCCGAATCCAAAGAAAGTTTTAACTCTGTGATATGAATGCACACATCACAGGGCAGTTTCTCAGGAAGTTTCTTTCTGGTTTTTATCAGAACGTATTTCATTTTTCACCATTGCCCTCAATGTGCTCCTAGACATCTCTTTGCAGATTCTACCAAAACAGTGTTTCCAAACTGCCAAATGAAAAGAAAGGTTTAACAGTGAGATGAATGCACACATCACAAAGAGGATTCTCAGATAATATCTTTGTAGATTTTATGCTGGGATATTCCCTTTTTCACATCTTGGGTCAAGGAGCTCCCTAATGTCCATTCGCAGAATGGACAAAAAGAATGTTTCCAAACTGTTGAATCCAAAGAAATGTTTATTTCTGTGACAAGAATGCACACATCATAAGGCCATTTTGTAGAAATCTTCTTTCTAGTTTTTGTCTGGAGATATTTCCTTTTTCACCATAGGACTCAATGTGTTCCCAAATATCCCTTTGCAGATACTACTAAAACAGTGTTTCCAAATTCCTGAATGGAAAGAAATTTTAACACTGTGAGATGAATGCACACAACACACATGGTTTTTCAGATACATTCCTTCTAGTTTTTATCCTTGGATAATCACTTTTTTGTCATTGACCTTAAAGAGCTCCCAAATGTCCATTCACAGAATGGTCAAAAAAAGTGTTTCCAAACTGCTGAATACAAAAAATATTTAACTCTGTGAGGTGAATGCACACATCACAAAGAAAATTCTCAGAAAGTTTCTTTCTACTATTTATCTGGTGATATTTCCTATTTCATCATAGGCTTCAATGGCTCAAGAATTTCCCTTTGCAGATACAGTAAAAACAGTGATTCCAAATTGCAGAATGAAAAGAAATGTTTATCTCTGTGAGATGAATTCACCTATGACAAAGCGCTTTCTCAGACAGCTTCCTTCTAGTTTTTATCCTGGGATATTCGGTTTTTCACCCTAAGCCTCAGTGAGCTCTCAAAAGTCCTCTCACAGAATAGAGAAGAAGAGTGTTTCCACACCGATGAATCAAAGAAAGTTTAACTCTGTGAGATGAATGCACACATCACAAAGCAGTTTCTCAGAAACCTTTTATCTAGTTTTATCTGAAGATATTTGGTTTTTCACCATAGGCCTCAATGTGCTTCCAAATATCCCTTCACAGATTTTACCAAAACAGTGTTTCCAAACTGCTGAACAAAAAGAAATGTTTTACTCTGTGAGATGAATGCACACATGAATAAGCCGTTTCTCAAATAGCTTCCTTCTAGTTTTTATCATGGGATATTCCCTTTTTCTCCGTTGGCCTCAATGAGCTCCAAAATGTCCATTCGCAGAATGGACAAAAACAGTGTTTCCAAACTGCTGAATCCAAAGAAACGTTTCTCTCTGTGAGATGAATGAACATATCACAGAGCATTTTCCCAGAAAGCTTCTTTCTAGTTTTTATCTGAAGATATTTCCTATCTCATCAAAGGCCTCAATGCACTCCCAAATATCCCTTGACAGATACTGCAAGAACAGTGATTCCAAACTGCTGTAGGAAAAGAAATCTTTAATTCTAGGAGACGAATGCACACATCAAAAATCGGTTTCTCTGATAGCTTCCTTCTAGCTTATATCCTGAGATTTTCTCTTTTTTGCCATGGGCCTCAATGAGTTCCCAAATGTGCATTCACAGAATGGACAAAATATGTGTTTCTAAACTGCAGAATCCAAAGAAATGTTTAACTCTGTGAGATGAATGCACACATTACAAATTTGTTTCACAGAAGGCTTCTTTCTAGTTTTTATCCAAAGTTATGTCCTATTTCAGTAAAGTCCTTCAAAGCACTCCAAAATTGCCCTTCACAAATGCTGAAAAAAAGTGATTTCAAACTACTGAATGAAAAGAAAGTTTTATCTCTGTGGGATGAATGCACACATCAGAAAGCAGTTTCTCAGATAAATTCCTTGTAGTTTTTACCCTGGGATATTCCCTTTTTCGTGATTGGCCTCAGTGATACCTAATGTCCATTCACAGAATGGATAAAAACGTTTCCAACTCCTGAATCCAAAGAAAGTTTTAACTCTGTGAGATGAATTCACACACCACAAAGCAGTTTCTCGGAAAATTTCTTTCATGTTTATCTGAATATATTTCCTTTCTCAACCTAGGCCTCAATGTGCTTCCAAATGTCCGTTTGCAGATTCTTCCAAAACAGTGTTTGCAAACTGCTGAATGAAAGGAAAACTTTAATTCTAGGACATGAATGCACACATCACAATACAGTTTCTCAAATACCTTCCTTCCAGCTTTTATCCTGGGATATTCAATTTTTTGACTTTGGCCTCGATGAGTTCCCAAGTGTTCATTCGCAGAATGGACAAAAAAAGTGTTTGCAAACTGCTGATTCCAAAGAATGGTGTACCTCTGTTATATGAATACACACACCACAAAGCGGTTTCTCAGAAACCTTCTTTCTAGTTTTTATTTGAAGATATTTCCTTTTTCATCAAATGCCTCACTGGGCTCCCAAATATCCCTTCGCAGATTCTACCAACATGGGGTTCCCAAACTGCTGAATGAAAAAAAATGTTTAAGTCTGCGAGATGAATGCATCCATACAAAGTGGTTTCTCAAATAGCTTCCTTCTGGTTTTGATCCTGGGATACTGCCTTTTTTGCCATTGGACTCCATGAGCTCCCAAATGTCCATTCACAGAATGCACAAAAACAGTGTTCCTAAACTGCTGAATCCAAAGAAATGCTTAACACATTGAGAAGAATGCACACCTCACAAAGCAGTTTCTCACAAAACTTCTTCCTAGGTTTTATCTGTATACATTTCTTTTCACCAAAGACCTCAATGTGCTCCCAAATATCCCTTCACAGATTGTAACAAAACAGTGTTTCCAAACTGCTGAGTGAAAAGAAAGCATTAACTCTGGGAGATGAATACACACCACAAAAAGTGGCTTCTCAGATAGATTCCTTCTTGTTTTTATCCCAGGATATTCTCTTTTTCAGCCTTGGTCTCAATGAGTTCCCAAACATCAATTCACAGAATGTACAAAAACAGTGTTTCCAAACTGCAGAATCCAAACTAATTTTGATCTCTGTGAAATGAATGCATACATCATAAATCAGTTTCTCAGAAAGCTTCTTTCTAGTTTTTATCTGAAGATATTTCCTTTTTCACCGTAAGCCTCAATGCACTCCCAAATATCCCTTTGCAGATATTGCAAAAACAGTGTTTCTAAACTGTTGAATGAAATGAAACGTTTACCTCTAGGAGACGAGTGCACACATCACATTGCAGTTCCTCAGATAGATTCCTTCCAGTTTCTATCCTTGGTAATTTGCATTGTACCCAAATGTCCATTCACAAAATGGACAAAAACAGTGTTTCTAAACTGCTGATTCCAAAGAAACGGTTAATTCTGTGAAATGAATGCAGAAGTCACAACGCAGTTTCTCAGAATGATTCTTTCTAGATTTTTTCTGAGTATATTTCGTTTTTCACCATAGGCCCCAATGTGTTCCCAAATATCCGTTTGCTGATTCTACCAAAACAGTGTTTCCAAACTGCTGAATGTAAAGAAAGTTTTAATTCTGTGAGATGACTGCACACATCACCAAGCAGTTTCTCAGATAGCTTCCTTCAAGCTTTTATAATCTGATATTTGCTTTTTCACAATTGGCCTCAATGAGTTCCGAAAAGTCCATTAGCAGAATGGACAGAAACAATGTTTCCAAACCACTAAATCCAAAGAAAGTTTTAACTCTGTGAGATGTATGCACACATCACAAAGCAGTTTCTCAGAAAGCTTCTTTCTAATTTTATCTGAAGATATTTCATTTTTCACCATAGGCCTCAATGTGCTTTGAAATATCCCTTCGCAGATTCTACCAAAACAGTGTTTCCAAACTGCTCAATGAAAAAAAAAGGTTTAACAGTCACATGAATGCACACATCACAAAGCAGTTTGTCATGAAGCTTCCTTATAATTTTTATCCTAGGATATTCTCTTTTTCGCCATTGACTTCAATGAGCTCCTACATGTCCATTTGCAGAATGGACAAAAACAGTGTTTCCAAACAACTGAATCCAAAGAAAAGTTTAACTCTTTGAGATGAATGCACACATCACAAAGCAGTTTCTCAGAAAGTTTATTTCTAGCTTTTATTTGAAGAAATTTCCTATTTCATAAAAGGCCTTAATGCACTCCCAATTTACCTTTGAAGATACTCCAAAAACAATGATTACAAACCGCTGAATGAAAAGAAAGATTTATCTCTGTGAGATGAATGCAGACATCACAAAGCCTTTTTTCAGATAGGGTCCTTCTAGTTTTTGTCCTGTAATATTATCTTTTTCACCCTTTGCCTGAATGAGTTCCCAAAAGTCCATTCACAGAATTGACAAAAACAGTGTTTCCAAGCTGTTGAATCCAAAAAATGTTTAACTCTGTGAGATGAATGCACATATCACATAGCACTTTCTCAAAAAGCTTCGTTCTTTTTTAATCTTAAAATATTTCCTTTTTTGCGATAGGCCTCAATTCACTCAGAAAGATTCTTCCTAGTTTTTATCTGAAGATCTTTCCTTTTTCACCAAAGGCTTCAAAGTGTTGCCAAATATCCCTTCACAGATTCTAAAAAGACAGTGTTTCCAAACTGCTGAATGAAAAGTTTAACTCTAAGAGATGAATAAACACATCAGAAAGTTGTTTCTCACATAGGTTCCTTCTAGTGTTTATCCTGTGATATTCACTTTTTCACCATTGGCCCCATTGATCTCTGAAACATCCATTCTCAGAATGGACAAAAACAGTGTTTCCAAAATGCTGAATTCAAAGAAAAGTCTAACTATGTGAGATGAATTCACTCATCACAAAGTGGTTTCTCTTAAATATTCTTTCTAGTTTTTATCTGAACATATTTCCTTTTTCACCACAGGCCTCAATTCTCTCCTAAGTATACCTTCACAGATTCTACCCATACAGTGTTTCCAAACTGCTGAATGAAAAGGAAGGTTTAACTTTAGGAGGTGAATGCACACATCACAAAGCAGTTCCTAAGGAAGCTTACTTCTACTTGTTAACCTGGAATATTCACTTTATCACCATTATCCTCAATGAGTTCCCAAATGTCCATTCACAGAATTGACAAAAACAGTGTTTCCAAACAGATCAATAAAAGGAAAGGTTTAACTCTGTAAGACGAATGCAAACATTAAGAAGTATTTTCTCAGAAAGCTTCTTTCTAGTTTTTATCTGAAGATATTCATTTTTCACCATAGGCCTAAATGCCCTGCCAAATTTCCCTTTGCAGATTCCACCAAAACGGTGTTTCCAAACTGCTGAATGAAAAGAAAAATTTAACTCCACAAGAAGAATGCACACATCACAACACGGTTTCTCACATAGCTTCCTACTAGTTTTTTTCCTGGGATATTTTCTTTTCTGCCATTTGCCTCAATGAGCTCCCAAATGTCTATTTGCAGAATGGACAAATGTAGTGTTTCCAAACTGCTGAATCCAAATAAATTTTAACTCTGTGAGAAGAATGCACACAATACAAATCAGGTTCTCAGAAAGCTTCTTATAGTTTTATCTGAAGATATTTTCTATTTCATCAAATGCCTCAAAGCGCTCCCAAATATTCCTTCATGGATACTGCAAAAAAAGTGATTCCAAACTGCTGCATGAAAAGAAAGTTTTAATTCAAGCAGACAAATGCACACATCACAAAACATTTTATCAGACAGCTTCACTCTAGTATTTATCCTGGGATATTTGCTTTTTCAACTTTGGCCACAATTACCTCCAAAATGTCCTTTCACAGAACGGACAAAAACAGTGTTTCCAATCTGCTGAATGCAAAGAAATGTTTAAGTCTGTGAGATGAATGCACACATCACAAAACAGTTTCTCAAATAGGTTCCCTCTAGTTTTTATCCTGGGATGTTCCTTTATTCTCCATTAACCTCAATGAGCTCCCAAATGTCCATTTACAGCATGGACAAAATCAGTGTTTCCAGACTGTTCAATCCAAAGAAATGTTTCACTCTGTGAGATGAATGCACATATCTCAAAGCAGTTTCTCAGAAAGCTTCTTTCTAGTTTTTATCTGAAGATATTTCATTATTCACCATAGGTCCCAAAGGCTAAGAAATATCCATTCGCAGATATTACCAAAAGCATTTCTTTGGATTCAGCTGTTTCATAATACTGTTTGAGAAAGTGCTTTGTGTTGCGTGCAAAAAACACTGTTTTCTTCCATTCTGCCAATGGACATTTGGGAGCTCATTGAGGCCAATGGTGAAAAAGCGAGTATCCCAGGATAAATACTAGAAAGAAACTATCTGAGAAACTGCTTTTTGAAGTGCACATTCATGTCACAGTGTTAAACTTTTCTTTTCATTCACCAGTTTGGAAACACTGTTTTGGTTGAGTCTTTGAAGGGATATTTCGAAGTACATTGAGGCATATTGTGAAAAAGAAATATCCTCAGATAAAAACTAGAAAAAACTTTCTGAGAAACTGCTTTGTGATGCATGCATTCATCTCACACAGTTAAAGGTCTCTTTGGATTCAGCAGTGTAGAAACACTGTTTTTGTCCATTCTGCGAATGAACATTTCAAAGCTCATTGAGGCCACTGGTGAAAAGGGCTAGTCCAGGATAAAAGCCAGAAGGAGGCTATCTGAGAAACTGCTTTGTGTTGTATGCATTCATCTCCAGAGTTAAACTTTTCTTTTCGTTCAGCAGTTTGGGAACTTTTTTTTAGTAGAATCTGCAAAGGGATGTTTGGGAGTGCATTGAGGCCTATGTTGAAAAACAAAATATCTTCAGATAAAAACTAGAAAGAAGCTTTCTGTGAAACTGCTTTACGATGCATCCATTCATCTCAAGAATTATAACTTTCTTTTGATTCAGCAGTTTGGAACCACTGTTTTTGTGAATTCTGCAAGTGGACATTTTGTAACTCATTGAGGCCAATGGTGAAAAAGCAAATATCCCACTATAAAAACAAGAAGGAAGCTATCTGAGGAACAGCTTTGTGATGTGTTCATTCAAGTAGCAGGGTTAAGCCTTTCTTTTCATTCAGCAACTTGGAAACACTGTTTTGGTAGAATCTGTTAAGGGATATTTTGGGGCACATTGAGGCCCATGGTGAAAAACAAAATAACTTCAGGTAAAAAATAGAAAGCTGCATTCTGGGAAACTGCTTTTTGATGTATGCATTCAACTCACAGAGTGAAACCTTTCTGTGGATTCAGCATTTTGGAAACACTGTTTTTGTCCAGTCTGCGAATGGAAAATTGGGAACACATTGAGGCCAAAGGCAAAAAAGCGAAGATCCTAGGAAAGAAATCTAGAAACAAACTGTCTGAGAAACCATTTTGTGATGTGTGCATTCATTTCCTAAGTTTTAACCTGATTTTTCATTCAGCAGTTTGGAAACACTGTTTTTGTCCATTCTGGGAATGGACATTCCAGAGCTCATTGACGCCAATGGCAAAAAAATGAGTGCCACAGCATAAATACTAGAAGGAAGCTTCTGATAAACTGCTTTGTGATGTATGCATTCATCTCACAGAGTTAAACTTTTCTTTTCATTCAACAGTTTGGAAACATTGTTTTGGTAGAATCTGTGAAGGGATATTTGGGAAGGCAGTGCGGTCTATGGTAGAAAAAGAAATATCTTTCAATAAAATATAGAAATAAGTTTCTGACAAACTGCTTTGTGATGTGTGCTTTCATCCAACAGACTTCAACGTTTCTTTGGATTCAGCAGTTTGGAAACACCGTGTTTGTGTATTCTGCAAATGGACATTTGGGAGCTCATTGAGGCCAATGGTGAAAAAGGGAATATCCCATGATAAAAACTAGAAGGAAGCTATCTGAGAAATGGCTTTGTGAAGTGAGGATTCATCTTCTAGATTTAAACCTTTCTTTTCATTCAGCAGTTTGGAAACACTGTTTTTGTAGTATCTGCAAAGGTATAATATGGAGCGCATTGAGGCCTATGGTGAAAAAGGAGACATCATCAGATAAAAACTAGAAAGAAGCTTTCTGAGAAACTGCTTTGTGATGTGTGCATTCATCTCACAGAGTTAAACCTTCCTTTGGATTCAGAAGTTTGGAAGAAGGGTTTTTGTCCATTCTGTGAAAAGACATTTGGGAACTCTTTGAGACCAAGGGCAAATAAGTGAGTATCCCAGGATAAAAACTAGAAGGAAACTATCTGGGAATCCGCTTTGTGAAGTGCGCATTAATTCCCTAGCATTAAAGCATTCTTTTCATTCAGCAGTGTGGAATCACAGTTTTTGCAGTATCTGCGAAGGAATATTTGGGAGCATATTGAGGCCTTTGATGAAATAGGAAACATCTTCAGATAAAAACTAGAAAGAAGCATTCTGAGAAACTGCATTGCAATGTGTGCATTCATCTCACAGAATTAAGTGTTCCTTTTTATTCAGCAGTGTGAAAACACTGTTTTTGTCCATTCTGCGAATGGGCATTAGAGAGCTCATTGAGGTGAATGGCAAAAAAGTGAATAACCCAGGATAAATAGTAGAAGGAAGCTGTATGAGAAACCGCGTTGTGATATGTGAATTCACCTCACAGTGATAAACTTTTCATTTCATTCAGCAATTTGGAAACACTGTTTTGGTAAAATCCACGAATAGATATTTCGGAGCACACTGAGGCCCCTAGTGAAAAAGGAAGTATCTTCACATAAAAACCAGAAAGAAGCTTTCTAATAAACTACTTTGTGATGTGTGCATTCATCTCACAGATTTAAATGATTCTTTGTATTCAACAGTTTGGAAACTCTCTGTTTGTTCATTCTGCGAAAGGACATTTCGGAGCTCACTGAAGCCAATGGCAAAAATTGGAGTATCCCAGGATAAAAACTAGAAGGAAGATATCTGAGGGACTGCTTTGTGATGTGTGCATTCATCTCCTAAAGTTAAACCTTCCTTTTCAGTCAGCAGCTTGGAATCACTGTTTTTGTAGAGTCTGCAAAGGGATATTTTGGAGCGCATTGAGGCCTAAGGGGAAAAATGAAATATCTTCAAATAAAACCTAGAAAGGAGTACTCTGAGAAACCACTTTGTGATGTGTGCATTCATCTCACAGATTTGAACGATTCTTTGGATTCAGCAGTTTGGAAACACTGTTTTTGTGCATTCTATGGATGGACATTAGGGAGTTTATTGAGGCCAAGGGTGAAAAAAGGAATATCCCAGTATAAAGACTAGAAGAAAGCTATCTAAGAAAGCACTTTCTGATATATGTATTCATCTCTCACATTTAAACCTTTATTTTCATTCAGCAGTTTGGAAACACTGTTTTGGTAGAATCTGCAAAGGGATCTTTGGGAGCGCATTAAGGACTATGATGAAAAAGGAAATATCTTCAGATAAAAACTGGAAAAATTTTTCTGAGAAACTGCTTTGTTATGTTTGCATTCAACTCACAGAGTTAAACCTTTCTTTGTATTCCTCTCTTTGGAAACACTGCTTTGTCCATTCTGCAAATGGACTTTTGGGAATTAATTTAGGCTCATAGCAAAAAATTGAATATCCCAGGATAAAAACTACAAGGAAGCTATCTGAAAAATCACTTTGTTATGTTTCCATTCATCTCCTAAACTTAAACCTTTCTTTTCATTCAGCAGTTTGAATACAGTATTTTGGTAGAATCTCCAAAGGGATATTTGGGAGTGCATTGAGTTCTATAGTAAAAAAGGAAACAACTGCAAAAAAAACTAGAAATAATGTTTCTGCAAAACTGCTTTGTGATAAGTGCATTCGTCTCACAGAGTTAAACATTTCATTGGATTCAGCAATTTGGAAACACTGTTTATATCCATTCTGTGATTGGACATTTGGAAACTCATTGACACCAATGTCAAAAAAGTGAATATTCCAGGATAAAAACTAAAAGGAAGCTATCTGAGAAATCGCTTTTTGATGTGGGCATTCATCTCCTAAAGTTAAGCGATTCTTTTCATTCAGCAATTTGGAGACACTATTTTGGTAGATTCTGCAAAGGGATATTTCAGAGGGTATTGTTGCCAATTGAGAAAAAGGAAATATCTTCAGTTAAAAAGTAGAAAGTATCTTTTTGAGAAACTCCTTTGTGATATGTGCACGCATCTCACAGAGTTAAACCTTTCTTTGGATTCATCAGTTTGGAAACACTGTTATTGTCCAGTCTGCAAATGGACATTTGGGAACTCATTGAGGCCAATGAAAAAAAAATTGTCTATCCCAGGATAAAAACTAGAAGGAAGATATCGGAGAAAGTTCTTTGTGATGTGTGCATTCATCTCACAGAGTTAAACCTGCCTTTTCATTCAGCGGATTGGAAACAGTGTTTTATTAGAATCTGTGAAGGGATATTTTGGAGCGTATTGAAGCCTATGGTGAAAAACAAAACATCTTCAGATGAAAATGAGAAAGAATTATGAGAAACTGCTTTATGATGTGTACATTCAACTCACAAAGTTAAAGCTTGCTTGGATTCAGCAGTTTGGAAACAATGCTTTTGTCCATTCTTTGAAAGGACATTTGGGAGCTCTTAGAGGCCAATGGGGAAAAAGCGAATATCCCAGTATAAAAACTAAAAGGTAACTAATGCAGAAACCCCTTTGTGATGTGTGCATTCTTCTCCTAGTGGTAAACTTTAGTTTCATTCAGCAGTTTCAAATCACTGTTTTTGCAGTATCTGCATAGGGAATCTTGGGAGGGCATTGAGGCCTTAGATGAAATAGCAAATAACTTCAGATAAAAAAGTAGAAAGAATCCTTCCAAGAAACTGCTTTGTGATGCATACATTCATCTCACAGAGTTAAACATTTCTTTGGATTCAGAAGTTTGGAAACACTGTTTTTGTCCATTTTTGCAAATGGATATTGGGGATCTCATTGAGGCCAATGGCAAAAAGTGAATAGCCCAGCATAAATACTAGAAGGAAACTCTCTGAGAAACCACATTGTGATGTGTGCATTCATCTCACAGAATTCAACCTTTCTTTTCATTCAGCATTTTGGAAACACTGTTTTGCTAGAATCTGTGAAGAGATATTTGGGAGTGCTTTGAGACCTATGGTGTGAAAGGAAATATCTTCAGATAAATACCAGAGAGAATCTTTCTGAGAAACCACTTTGTGATGTGTGCATTCATCTCACAGAGTTAAACCATTCTTTGGATTCAGCAGTTTGGAAACACTGTTTTTGTCCATTCTGTGAATGGACATTTTGGAACTCTTTCAGGCAGATACTGAAAAAATGAATATCCCAGGATGAAAACTAGAAGGAAGCTATCAGAGATAGTGCTTTGTGATGTGTGCATTCTTCTCCTAGGGTTAAACTTTTCTTTTTCACTCAGTAGTTTGGAAAGAGTGTTTTGGGAGAATCTGCAAATGGATACTTGGGAGTGCATTGAAGCCTACAGTGAGCAAGGATATATCTTCAGAGAAAAACTAGAAAGAATCTTTTGGGAAACTACTTTGTGATGTGTGCATTCATCTCACAGAGTTAAACCTTTCTCTTCATTCAGCAGTGTGGAAACACAGTTTTTGTCCATTCTGCGAATGGACTTTTGGGAACTCATTGAAGCCAATGGCGAAAAAGTGAACATCCCAGGATAAAAACTAGTAAGAAGCTTTCTGAGAAACCGTTTTGCAACATGTGCCTTCATCTCACAGAGTTAAATATTTCTTTGGATTCATCTCTTTGGAAATTTTCCTTTTTTCCATTGTGTGAATGGACATTTGGGAACCCTTTGGGGGCAATGGCAAAATGTGCATATCCCACGGTAAAAAAGAGATGTAGCTATCTGAGAAACCACTTTGTGATGTGTGCATTCATCTTCTAAAGTTAAACTTTTCTTTTAATTCAGCAGTTTGGAAAAACTGCTTTGGTATTATCTGCAAAGAGATATTTGGGAGCCCTTTGAGGCCTATGGCAAAAAAGGAAATATATTCAGATAACAACTAGAAAGAATCTTTCAAAGAAACTGCTTTGTGATGTGTTCATTCAGCTCACTGAGTTAAACCTTTCTTTGGATTCAGCATTTTTAAAACACTATTTTTGTCCATTCTGCGAATGGACATTTGGGAACTCATTGAGGCCAATGGCAAAAAAGCAAATGTCCCAGAACAAAAACTAGAAGGGAGCTACCCAAGAACCACTTTATGATGTGTGCATTCATCTCCTAGGGTAAAACCTGTCTTTAGATTCCGCAGGTTAGAATCACTGTTTTTGCTGTATCTGCGAAGGCATATTTGGGAGCTCATTGATGCTTATGGTGGAAAGGAAATATCTTCAGATAAAAACTAGAAAGAATCTTACTGAGAAACTGCTTTTTGATGTGTGCGTTCATCTCATAGTGTTAAATGTTTCCTTGGACTCAGCAGTTTTGAAAACACTGTTGTTGTCCATTCTGTGAAAGGACATATGGTAACTCATTATGGTCAATGGCAAAAAGCAAATATCCCAGGATAAAAACTAGAAGGAAGATATCTGAGAAACTGCTTTGTGATATGTGCATTCATCTAGCAAAATTAAACCTTAAGTTTCATCCAGCAGTTTGGAAATACTGCTTTTGTAGAATCTGTGAAGGGATATTTGGGATCACATTGAGGCCTAGGGTGAAAAAGGAAATATGTTCAGATACAAACTGGAAAGAAACTTTCTGAGAAGTTGCTTTGTGATGTGTGCATTCATCTCACAGAGTGAAACATTTCCTTTGCTTCATATGTTTGGAAACACTGTTTTTGTCCATTCTGCAAATGGACATTTTGAAACTCATTTAGGCCAATGGTGAAAAAATAAATATCCCTGGAGAAAAACTAGAGGGAAGCAATCTGAGAAACTGATTTGTGATGTGTGCATTCATCTCCTAAAGTTACACATTTCTTTTCATTCAGCAGCTTGGAAACACTGTTCTGGTTGAACCTGAGAAAGGATATTTGAAGAAAATTGAGGCCATTGGTGAGAAAGAAACTATATTCAGATGAAAACTAGAAAGAATCTTTCTGAAAAATTGCTTTTTGACGTGTACATTCATATCACAGAGTTAAAGTTTTCTTTCTATTCAACAGTTTGTAAACACTGTTTTTGTCCATTCTGTGAATGAACATTTTTGAGCTCATTGAGGCCAATTGTGAAAAGTGAATATCCCAGGATAAATCCTAGAAGGAAGCTTTCTGAGAAACCACGATATGATGTGTGCATTCATCTCGCATATGTAAACTTTTATTTTCACTCAGCAGTTTAGAAACACTGTTTTGGTAGAATCTGAGAAGGGATATTTGGGAGCACACTGAGGCCTATGGTGAAAAAGGAAACATATACAGATAAAAACAGTAAGAAATTTTCTGAGAAACTGGTTTGTGTTTTCTGTATTCATCTCAGAAATTTAAAAGTATCTTTGGTTTCATCTATCTGGAAATAACTGTTTCTGTCCATTCTGCAAAAGGACATTTGGGAACTCATTGAGGCACAGGGTGGAAAAGTGAATATCCCAGAATAAAAACTAGAAGGAAGCTATCTGAGAAACTGCTTTGTGATGCATGCATTCATCTCCTAAAATTAAATGTTGTTTCTTTTCACTTAGCAGTTTGGAAACACTGTTTTGTTTGATTCTATGAAGGGATATTTGGGAGTGCATTGAGGCCTATGGTGAAAAAGGAAATATCTTCAGACAAAAACGAGAAAGACTCTTTCTGAGAAACTGCTTTTTGATGTGTGCTTTCATGTCAGAGTTAATCCTTTGTTTTGATTCAGAAGTTGGGAGGCACTGATATTGTCCATTCTGTGAATGGACATTTGGGAACTCATTGAGGCCAACAGTGAAAAAGTGATAAAATCTAGAAGGAAGTTATATGAGAAAACACTTTGTGAGGTGTGCACTCATCTCCAGGAGTTAAACCTTTCTTTTCGTTTAGCATGTTAGAATCACAGTTTTTGCAATATCTGCGAAGGCATATTTGGGAGGGCATTGAGGTCTATGGTGAAAAAGGAAATATCTTCAGAGAAAAACTAAAAAGAAGCTTTCTGAGAAAGGACTGCTTTGGGACTGTTCATTCATTTCACAGAGTTATACATTCCTTTGGATGCAGCAGCTTCGAAACTATGTTTTTGTCCATTCTGTGAAAGGACACATGGGAACTCTTTGAGGCCAATGGCGAAAAACAGAATATCCCAGGATAAAAATTAGAAGGAAGCTATCTCAGAAACTGCTTAGTGATGTGTGTACTCATCTCGTAGAGTTAAACTTTTCTTTTCATTCAACAGTTTGGAAACATGGTTCTGGAAGAACCTGCAAAGGTATGTTTGGGAGCACACAGACACCTATTGTGACAAATGAAGTATCTTCAGAGAAAAACTAGAAAGAAGCATGCTGAGAAACTGCTCTGTGATGTGTGCATTCATCTCACAGAGTTAAAACTTTCTCTGGATTCAGCAGTTTGGAAACACTGTTTTTGTCCATTTTGCAAATGGACATTTTGCAACTCAGTCAGGCCAATGGCGATAAAACGAATATCCCAGGTTAAAAACTAGAAGCAAGCTATCTGAGAAATCGCTTTGTGAAGCACGATTTCATCTCCTAGGGTTACACCTTTCTTTTCTTTCGGCAGTTTGAAATCCCTGTTTTTGTAGAGTCTGCAAAGGGATATGTGGGAGCTCATTGATTACAAAGGCAAAAAAGGAA
The DNA here is from genome assembly GCF_000001405.40 of Homo sapiens. Lineage (NCBI taxonomy): Eukaryota > Metazoa > Chordata > Mammalia > Primates > Hominidae > Homo > Homo sapiens. The sequence goes on from NC_000005.10 coordinate 46,192,248, forward strand.
TATCTTAGAATAAAAACTAGAAGGAAGCTATCTGAGAAACCACTTTGGATGTGTGCATTGGTCTCCTAGAGTAAAACCTTTCCTTTCATTCAGCAGTTTGGAGAAACTGTTTTTGCAATATCTGCAAAGTGAAAAACTGTTTCCAATCTGCTGCATCCAAAGAAATGTTTGACTCTGTGAGATGAATGCACACATGATGAATCAGTCTCTCAGAAAGCTTCTTTCTAGTTTTTCTCTAAAGATATTTCCTTTCTCATCATAGGCCTCAATGCGCTCCCAAGTTTTTCTTCACAGATAATGCAAAAACAGTGATTTCAAACTGCCTGAATGAAAAGTAAGGTTTATCTCATGAGATGAATGTACACATCAAAATGCAGTTTCTCAGAGAACTTCTTTCTAGTTTTTATCTGAAGATATTTCCTTTTCCACCATAGGCCTCAATGCGCTCCCAAATATCCCTTCATAGATCCTACCAAAACAGTGTTTCCAAACTGCTGAATGAAAAGAAAGTTTTAACTCTAGGAGAGGAACGCACACATCACAAAGCAGTTTCTCAGATACGTTCCTTCTAGTTTTTATCCTGGGATATTCACTTCTTCGCCATTGGCCTCAGTGAGTTCCCAAATGTCCATTCAAAGAATGGACAAAAACAGTGTTTCCAAACTGCTGAATCTAAAGAAAGGTTTATCTTTTCTAGTTGAATGCACACACTAAAAAGCAGTTTCTCAGAAATCTTCCTTCTAGCTTTTATCTGAAGATAATTCCTTTTTCACCATAGGCCTCAAAGTTCTCCCAAATATCCTTTCACAAATTCTACAAAAACAGTGTTTCTAAACTTCTGAAAGAAAAGTTTAACTCTGTGAGATGAATGCACACACCACAACGCTGTTTCTCAGATTGCTTCTTTCTGGTTTTGATCCTGGGATATTCACTTTTTCACAATTGGCCTCATTGATATCCCAAATGTCCATTCACAGAAATTACAAAAACAAACTTTCCAAACTTCTGAATGCAAAGAAATGTTTAACTCTTTTTGATGAAGGCACACATCACAAGGCACTTTCTTGGAAAGATTCTTTCCAGTTCTTATGTGATGATATTTCCTTGTTCACTCAAGAGCTCATTATGCTTCCAAATATCCATTCGCAGATCCTACCAGAAAAGTGTTTCCAGACTGGAGGAGCCAAGATGGCCGAATAGGAACAACTCCAGTCTACAGCTCCCAGCATGAGCAACGCAGAAGACAGGTGATTTCTGCATTTCCATCTGAGGTACCAGGTTCATCGCAGTAGGGAATGCCAGAGAGTGGGCACAGGTAAGGCATGCACCGTGTGCTAGCAGAAGCAGGGTGAGGCATTGTCTCACTCGGGAAGTGCAAGGAGTCAGGGAGTTATCTTTCCTAGTCAAAGAAAGGGGTGACAGATGGCACCTGGAAAACTGGGTCACTCCAACCAGAATAATGCGCTTTTCTGATGGTCTTAAAAAATGGTGAACCAGATTATATCCCGCACCTGGCTCAAATGGTCCTAGGCCCATGGAATCTCGCTGATTGTTAGCACAGCAGTCTGAGATCAAACTGCAAGGTGGCAGTGAGGCTGGGGGAGGGGCACCCACTATTGCCCAGGCTTGCTTATGTAAACAAAGCAGCTGGGAAGCTCAAAATGGGTGGAGCCCACCACAGCTCAAGGAGGCCTGCCTGCCTCTGTAGGCTCCAACTCTGGGGGCAGGGCTCAGACAAACAAAAACACAGCAGTAACCTCTGCAGACTTAAAAGTCCCTGTCTGACACCTTTGAAGAGAGCAGTAGTACCCCCAGTATGCAGCTGGAGAACTGAGAACGGGCAGACTGCCTCCTCAAGTGGGTCCCTGACCCCTGCCCCCAAGCAGGATAACTGGGAGGCACCCCCAGCAGGGACAGACTGACAGCACACACGGCCGGGTACCCCAACAGACCTGAAGCTGAGGGTCCTGTCTGTTAGAAGGAAAACTAACAAACAGAAAGGACATCATCCACACCAAAAACCCATCTGTACATCACCATCATCAAAAACCAAAAGTAGATAAAACCACAAAGATGGGGAAAAAACAGAGCAGAAAAACTGGAAACTCTCAAAAGAAGAGGACCTCTCCTCCTCCAAAGGAATGCGGTTCCTCACCAGCAACAGAACACAGCTGGATGGAGAATGACTTTGATGAGCTGAGAGAAGAAGGCTTCAGACGATCAAATTACTCCGAGCTACGGGAGGTCATTCAAACCAAAGGCAAAGAAGTTGAAAACTTTGAAAAAAATTTAGAAGAATGTGTAACTAGAATAACCAATACAGAGAAGTGCTTAAAGGAGCTGATGGAGCTGAAAACCAAGGCTCGAGAACTACGTGAAGAATACAGAAGCCTCAGGAGCCGATGTGATCAACTGGAAGAAAGTGTATCAGCGATGGAAGATGAAATGAATGAAATGAAGCAAGAAGGGAAGTTTGGAGAAAAAAGAATAAAAAGAAACGAGCAAAGCCTCCAAGAAATATGGGTCTATGTGAAAAGACCAAATCTACATCTGACTGGTGTACCGGAAAGTGACGGGGAGAATGGACCCAAGTTGGAAAACACTCCACAGGCTATTATCCAGGAAAACTTGCCCAAACTCACAAGGCAGGCCAATATTCAGACGCAGGAAATACAGAGAATGCCACAATGATACTCCTCAAGAATAGCAACTCCAAGCACATAATTGTCAGATTCACCAAAGTTGAAATGAAGGAAAAAATATTAAGGGCAGCCAGAGAGAAAGGTCGGGTTACCCTCAAAGGGAAGCCCATCAGACTAACAGCAGGTCTCTCGGCAGAAACTCTACAAGCCAGAAGAGAGTCTGGGCCAATATTCAACATTCTTAAAGAAAAGAATTTTCAACCCAGAGTTTCATATCCAGCCAAACTAAGCTTCATAAGTGAAGGAGAAATAGAATCCTTTACAGACAAGCAAATGCTGAGAGATTTTGTCACCACAAGGCCTGCCCTAAAAGAGCTCCTGAAGGAAGTGCTAAACATGGAAAGGAACAACCGGTACCAGCTGCTGCAAAATCATGCCAAAATGTAAAGACCATCGAGACTAGGAAGAAACTGCATCAACTAACGAGCAAAATAACCAGCGAACATCATAATGACAGGAACAAATTCAAACATAAGAATATTAACTTTAAATGTAAATGGACTAAATGCTCCAATTAAAAGACACGGACTGGCAAATTGGATAAAGAGTCAAGACCCATCAGTGTGCTGTATTCAGGAAACCCATCTCACATGCAGAGACACACATAGGCTCAAAATAAAAGGATGGAGGAAGATCTACCAAGCAAATAGAAAACAAAAAAAGGCAGGGGTTGCAATCGTAGTCTCTGATAAAACAGACTTTAAACCAACAAAGATCAAAAGAGACAAGGAAGGCCATTACATAATGGTAAAGGGATCAATTCAACAAGAAGAGCTAACTATCCTAAATATATATGCACCCAATACAGGACAAACCAGATTCAAAAAACAAGTCTCGAGTGACCTACAAAGAGACTTAGACTCCCACACAATAATAATGGGAGACTTTAACACCCCACTGTCTACATTAGACAGATCAACAAGAGAGAAAGTCAACAAGGATACCCAGGAATTGAACTCAGCTCTGCACCAAGCGGACCTAATAGACATCTACAGAACTCTCCACCCCATATCAACAGAATATACATTTTTTTCAGCACCACACCACACCTATTCCTAAATTGACCACAAACTTGGAAGTAAAGCTCTTCTCAACACATGTAAAAGAGCAGAAATTATAACAAGCTATCTCTCAGACCGCAGTGCGATCACACTAGAACTCAGGATTAAGAATCTCACTCAAAACCGCTCAACTACATGGAAACTGAACAACGTGCTCCTGAATGACTACGGGATACATAACGAAATGAAGGCGGAAATAAAGATGTTCTTTGAAACCAACGAGAACAAAGACACAACATACCAAAATCTCTGGGACGCATTCAAAGCAGTGTGTAGAGGGAAATTTATAGCACTAAATGCCCACAAGAGAAAGCAGGAAAGATCCAAAATTGACACCCTAACATCACAATTAAAAGAACTAGAAAAGCAAGAGCAAACACATTCAAAAGCTAGCAGAAGGCAAGAAATAACTAAAATCAGAGCAGAACTGAAGGAAATAGAGACACCAAAAACCCTTCAAAAAATTAATGAATCCAGGAGCTCGTTTTTTGAAAGGATCAACAAAATTGATAGACCGCTAGCAAGACTAATAAAGAAAAAAAGAGAGAAAAATCAAATAGACGCAATAAAAAATGATAAAGGGGATATCACCACTGATCCCACAGAAAAACAAACTACCATCAGAGAATACTAGAAACACCTCTACGCAAATAAACTAGAAAATCTAGAAGAAATGGATAAATTCCTCGACACACACACTCTCTCAAGACTAAACCAGGAAGAAGTTGCATCTCTGAATAGACAAATAACAGGAGCTGAAATTGTGGCAATAATCAATAGCTTAGCAACCAAAAAGAGTCCAGGACCAGATGGATTCACAGCCGAATTCTACCAGAGGTATAAGGAGGAACTGGTACCATTCCTTCTGAAACTATTCCAATCAACAGAAAAAGAGGGAATCCTCCCTAACTCATTTTATGAGGCCAGCCTCATCCTGATACCAAAGTCTAGCAGAGACACAACCAAAAAAGAGAATTTTAGACCAACACCCTTGATGAAAATTGATGTAAAAATCCTCAATAAAATACTGGCAAACCGAAACCAGCAGCACATCAAAAAGCTTATCCACCATGATCAAGTGGGCTTCATCCCTGGAATGCAAGGCTGGTTCAATATACGCAAATCAATAAATGTAATCCAGCATATAAACAGAACCAAAGACAAAAACCACATGATTATCTCAACAGATGCAGAAAAGGCCTTTGACAAAATTCAACAACCCTTCATGCTAAAAACTCTCAATAAATTAGGTATTGATGGGATATATCTCAAAATAATAAGAGCTATCTATGACAAACCCACAGCCAATATCATACTGAATGGGCAAAAACTGGAAGCATTCCCTTTGAAAACTGGCACAAGACAGGGATGCCCTCTCTCACCACTCCTATTCAACATAGTGTTGGAAGTTCTGGCCAGGGCAATCAGGCAGGAGAAGGAAATCAAGGGTATTCAAATATGAAAAGAGGAAGTCAAATTGTCCCTGTTTGCAGACGACATGATTGTATATCTAGAAAACCCCATTGTCTCAGCCCCAAATCTCCTTAAGCTGATAAGCAACTTCAGCAAAGTCTCAGGTTACAAAATCACTGTACAAAAATCACAAGCAATCTTATACACCAACAACAGACAAACAGAGAGCCAAATCATGAGTGAACTCCCGTTCACAATTGCTTCAAAGAGAATAAAATACCTAGGAATCCAACTCACAAGGGATGTGAAGGACCTCTTCAAGGAGAACTACAAACCACTGCTCAAGGAAATGAAAGAGGACACAAACAAATGGAAGAACATTCCATGCTCATGGGTAGGAAGAATCAATATCGTGGAAATGGCCATACTGCCCAAGATAATTTACAGATTCAATGCCATCCCCATGAAGCTACCAATGACTTTCTTCACAGAATTGGAAAAAACTACTTTAAAGTTCATATGGAACCAAAAAAGAGCCCTCATCTCCAAGTCAATCCTAAGACAAAAGAACAAAGCTGGAGGCATCACACTACCTGACTTCAAACTATACTACAAGGCTACAGTAACCAAAACAGCATGGTACTGGTACCAAAACAGAGATATAGATCAATGGAACATAACAGAGCCCTCAGAAATAATGCCGCATATCTACAACTATGTGATCTTCAACAAACCTGAGAAAAACAAGCAATGGGGAAAGGATTCCCTATTTAATAAATGGTGCTGGGAAAACTGGCTAGCCATATGTAGAAAGCTGAAACTGGATCCCTTCCTTACACCTTACACAAAAATCAATTCAAGATGGATTAAAGACTTAAACATTAGACCTAAAACCATAAAATCCCTAGAAGACAACCTAGGCATTACCATTCGGGACATAGGCATGGGCAAGGACTTCATGTCTAAAACACCAAAAGCAATGGCAACCAGAGCCAAAATTGACAAATGGGATCTAATTAAACTAAAGAGCTTCTGTACAGCAGAAGAAACTACCATCAGAGTGAACAGGCAACCTACAAAATGGGAGAAAATTTTCGCAACCTACTCATCTGACAAAGGGCTAATATCCAGAATCTACAATGAACTCAAACAAATTTACTAGAAAAAAACAACCCCATCAAAAAGTGGGTGAAGGACATGAACAGACACTTCTCAAAAGAAGACATTTATGCAGCCAAAAAACACATGAAAAAATGCTCACCATCACTGGCCATCAGAGAAATGCAAATCAAAACCACAATGAGATACCATCTCACACCAGTTAGAATGGCAATCTTTGAAAAGTCAGGAAACAACAGGTGCTGGAGAGGGTGTGGAGAAATAGGAACACTTTTACACTGTTGGTGGGACTGTAAACTAGTTCAACCATTGTGGAAGTCAGTGTGGAAATTCCTCAGGGATCTAGAACTAGAAATACCTTTTGACCCAGCCATCCCATTACTGAGTATATACCCAAAGGACTATAAATCATGATGCTATAAAGACACATGCACACGTATGTTTATTGTGGCATTATTCACAATAGCAAAGACTTGGAACCAACCCACATGTCCAACAATGATAGACTGGATTAAGAAAATGTGGCACATATACACCATGGAATACTATGCAGCCATAAAAAATGATGAGTTCATGTCCTTTGTAGGGACATGGATGAAATTGGAAATCATCATTCTCAGTAAACTATCACAAGAACAAAAAACCAAACACCGCATATTCTTACTCACAGGTGGGAATTGAAAAATGAGAACACACGGACACAGGAAGGGGAACATCACACTCTGGGGACTGTTGTGGAGTGGGGGGGAGGGGGGAGATATGGCTTTGGGAGATATACCTAATGCTAGATGGCAAGTTGATGGGTGCAGCGCTCCAGCATGGCACATGTATACATATGTAGCTAACCTGCACATTGTGCCCATGTACCCTAAAACTTAAAGTAAAATAATAATAAATAAAAAAAGAAAAGTGTTTCCAAAGTGCTGAATGAAAAGGAAGGTTTATGTCTATGAGATGAATGCACACATCATAAAGTGATGTCTCAGATAGCTACCTTCTAGGTTTTATCCTGGGGTATTCCCTTTTTCACTTTTATCCTCAGTGAACTCCCAAATGTCTATTCACAGAATAGATAAATTGGTGCTTCCAAAATGCTGAATCTAAAGAAAGGTTTAAATTCGTGAGTTAAATGTACACAACAGAAAGCACTTTCTCAGAAATATTCTTCCTACCTTCTATCTGAAATTATTTCCTTTTTCACCATAGACCTGAATGCAGCCAAAAATATCCCTTCACAGATTCTACCAAAACAGTGTTTCCAAACTGAAGGATGAAAAGAATGGTTTAACTCTAGGAGGTAAAAGGACACATCACAAAGTGGTTTCTCAGATAGCTTCTGTCTAGGTTTTACTCTGGGATATTTGCTTTTTTGCCGTTGGCCTCAATGAGTTCCCAAATGTCCATTGGCAGAGTCAAAAAAGAAAAAAACTGTTTTTCCAAACTCCTAAATCCCAAGAAAGTTTTAACTCTGTGAGATGAATGCACACATCACAAAGCAGTTTCTCAGAAAGATTTTTTCTAGTTCTTATCTGAAAGTGTTTCATTTATCACAGTAGGCCTCAGTTTGCTCCCATATATCCCTTTGAAGATTTTACCAAAACAGTGTGTCCAAACTGCTGAATTGAAAGAAACGTTTAACTTGGCGAGATGAATTCACACATCACAACGTGCTTTCTCAGATAGCTTACTTCTAGTTTATATACTGGGATATTAGCTTTTTTGCCATTGACCTCAGTGAGCTCCCAAATGTCCATTCAAGAGACAAAAACAGTGTTTCCAAACTACTGAATCCAAAGAAACGTTTAACTCTGTGAGATGAATGCAAACAACACAAGGCAGTTTCTAGAAATCTTCTTTCTAGTTTTTATCTGAAGCTATTTCTTTTTTCACCATAGGCCCCAATGTGCTTGTAAATATCCCTTCCAAGATTCGACAAAAACAGTGTTTCCAAACTGCTGAATGAAAAGAAAGGTTTAACTCTAGAAGGTTAATGCACTCATCCCAACCAGTTTCTCAGATAGCTTTATTCTAGCTTTTAATCCTTGGATATTTGCTTTTTCTCCATTGACCTCAGTGAGTTCCCAAATGTCCATTCGCAGAATGGACGAAAACTGTGTTTCCAAACTGGCTGAATCCAAAAGAAGGTTTAACTCTGTGAAATAAATGCACACATCACAAAGTAGTTTCTCAGAAAGCTTCTTTCAACTTATTATCTGAAGATAATGCATTTTTCACCATAGGCCTCAAAGAGCTCCTGAATATCCCTCTGCAGATTCTACCAAAACATTGTTTCCAAACTACTGAATGAAAAGAAAAGTATAACGTTGCAGGATGAATGCACATGTCACAAACACTTTCTCACATAGCTTCCTTGTAGTTTATATCCTGGGATATTTGCTTTTCCACCATTGATGTCAATGAGCTCCTAAATGTCCAATTGCAAAATGGACAAAAACAGAGTTTCCAAAGTGTAGAAACCATGGAAACGTTTAACTCTATGAGATAAAGGCACACATCACAAAGCAGTTTCTCAAAAAGTCTCTTTCTAGGTTTTATCTGAATATATTTCCTTTTTCACCATAGACCTGATTGCTCTCCCAAATGTCCCTTCACGGATTCTATCAAAAGAGTGCTTCCATACTGCTGAGTGAATGGAAAGGTTTAACTTAAGGGGATGAAAGCACACCTCACAAACAGTTTCTCAGGTAGCTTCCTTCTAGTTTTTATCCTGGGATATTTTCTTTTTTGCCATTGGACTCAATGAATTTCCAAGTGTCCATTCACAGAATGGATAAAAACAGTGTTTTTAAACTGTTGAATCAAAACAAACGTTAACTCTGTGAGACGAATGCACACATCACAAAGCAGTTTTTCAGAAGTATTCTTTCTAGTTTCTATGTGAAGATATTTCCTTTTTCACCATTGGACTCAATGCCCTCCAAAATATCCCTTAGCAGATTCTACCAAAAGAGTGTTTCCAAAATGCTGAATGAAGAGAATGGTTTAACTCTAAGAGATTAATGCACACTTCAAAAAACTATTTCTCAAATAGCTTCCTTCAAGCTTTTATCCAGGAATCACTGTTTTTGAAGTATCTGCAAAGGGAAATTTGGGAGCACATTGAAGTCTTTGATGAAATAGGATATATCTTTAGATAAAAACTAGAAAGAAACTTTCTGAGCAACTGCTTTGTGATGTCTGCATTCATGTCACCATTCAATGTCTTAAACATTTCTTTGGATTCAGGAGTTTGGAATCACTGTTTTTGTGCATTCTGCAAATGGACAATTCAGAGCTCACTGAGGCCAATGGCAAAAAAGGGAATATCCCAGGATAAATACTAGAAGGAAACTATCTAGAAAACTGTGTTGTGATATTTGCATTCATCTCGCAGATTTAAACATTCCTTTTCATTCAGCAGTTTGTAAATATGGTTTTGTTAGAACGTGCAAAGAGATACATGAGCACACATTGAAGCCTATGGTGAAAAAGAAAATATCTTGAGATGAGAACGAGAAAGAAGCTTTCTGAGAAACTGCTTCATGATGTGTCCATTCATCTCACAGAGTTAAACCTTCCTTTGGGTTCATCTGTTTGGTAACACTGCTTTTGTCCATTCAGTGAATGGACATTTGTGAACTCATTGAGGCCAAAGGCCAAAAAGTGAATATCCCAGGATAAAAACTTGAAGGAAGCTATCTGAGAAACCGTTTTGTGATGTGTGCATTCTTCTCCTAAATTTAAACATTTATTTTCATTCAGCATTTTGGAAAAACTGTTTTTGTAGCATTTGCAAAGGTATTTTTCAGAGCACATTGAGGTCTATGGCGAAAAAGGAACTATATTCACATAAAAAGTAGAAAGAATCTTTCTGAGGCCAATGGCCAAAAAGTGAATACCCCAGGATAAAAACTTGAAGGAAGCTATCTGAGAAACTGCTTTGTGATGTGTGCATTCTTCTCCTAAATTTAAACGTTTATTTTCATTCAGCATTGCAAAGGTATTTTTCAGAGCACATTGAGGCCTATGGTGAAAAAGGAACTATATTCACATAAAAACTAGAAAGAATCTTTCTGAGAAACTGCTTTGTGATGTGTGCATTCATCTCACAGGGGTAAATTTCTTTGGATTCAGTAGTTAGGAAACACTGTTTTTTGTCCATTATGTGAATGGACATTTGGGAGCTCATTGAAAACAATGGTGACAAAAGGGAATATCCCAGGTTAAAACCTAGAAGAAAACTATCTGAGAAACAGCTTTGTGATGTGTGCATTCATCTCAGAGAGCTAAGCCTTTCTTTTCATTCAGCAGTCAGGAAACACACTTTCAGTAGAATCTGCAATGGGATATTTTGGAGTGCATTGAGGTTTTGATGATAAAGGCAATATCTTCAGATAAAAACTAGAAAATATCTTTCTCAGAAACTGCTTTGTGATGTGTGCATTCTCTAACAGAGTTAAAAGTTTCATTGTATTCAGCAGATTGTAAACACTGTTTTTGTTCATTTGGTGAATGGGCATTTGGAAGCTCTTTGAGGACAAGGAGAAAAAGCGAGTATCCCAGCTAAATACTAGGAGGAAACTATCTGAGAAACCAATTTGTGATGTGTGCATTCTTCTTTTGAAGTTAAGCATTTCTTTTCATTCAGCAGTTTGGTAACACTGTTGTGATAGAATCTGCAAATGTATATTTGGGAGTGCATTGAGGCCTATGGAGAAAAAGGAAATATCTTCAAATATTCTTTCTCAGAAACTGCTTTTTGATGTGTGCATTCTCTAACAGAGTTAAACGTTTCTTTGGATTCAGCAGATTGTAAACACTGTTTTCATCCATTCTGCGAATGGACATTTGGTAGTTCATTCAGGCCAATACCGAAAAAGGGAATATCCCAGGATAAAAACTAGAAGGAAGCTCTCTGAGACACCACTTTGTGATGTTTGCATTCATCTGGCAGATTTAAAACTTTCTTTTCATTCAGCAGTTTGGAAACACTATCTTGGTAGAATCTGCAAAGGCATTTTTGGGAGCACATTAAGGCCTATGGTTAAAAAGGAATTATCTTCAGATAAAAATTAGAAGGAATCTCTCTGAGAAACTGCTTTGTGATGTATGCATTCATCTCACAGAGTTATAAATTTTTTGATTCATCATTTTGGAAACACTGTTTTTGTCCATTCTGTGAATGGACATTTGGGAACTCAATGAGGCCAAAGGTGAAAAAGCAAATATCCCAGGATAAAAACTAGAAGGAAGCTATCTGAGAAACCACTTTTTGATGTGTGCATTCCTCTCCTAGAGTTAAAATTTTCTTTTCCTTCAGCAGTTTGTATCAATTTCTTTGCAGTTTCTGGGTAGGGAAATTTGGAAACACTTTGAAGCCTTTGATGAAATAGGAAATATCTTCAGATAAAAACTAGAAAGAATCTTTCCAAGATACTGCTTTTTCATGTGTGTATTCATCTCACAGAGTTAAAAGTTTCTTTGGATTCAGCAGTTTGGAAACACTGTTTTTGTTCATTCTGTGAATGTACACTTGGGAACTCATAGAGGCCAATGGTGAAAAAGCAAATATCCTAGGATAAATAATAGAAGGAAGCTATCTGAGAAACTGCGTTGTGATGTGTGCATTCATCTCACAGAGGTAAAACTTACTTTGGATTCTGCAGTTTGGAAACACTTTTTTGACGCCTTCCTTGAGTGGATGTTTGGGACCTCATTGAGGCCAATGGTGAAAAAGTGAATATCCCAGGATAAAAACTAGAAGGAAGCTAGCAGAGAAACCGTCATGTGATGTGTGCATTCATCTTGCAGAGTTAAAACTTTCTTTTCATTGAGCATATTGGAAACACTCTTTTGGTTGAATCTCAGAAGGGATATTTGGGAGCACACTGAGGCCTGTGGTGACAAAAGAAATATTTTCAGATAAACCCTAAAAAGAAGCTTTCTGGGAAACTGCTTTGTGATGTGCACATTATTCTCATGGAATTATACTTTACTTTGGATTCAGCAGTTTGGAAACAGTGGTTTTGTCCGTTCAGCAAATGGACATTTGTGAACTCATTGAGGCCAATGGTGAAAAAGTGAATAACGCAGGATAACAACTAGAAGTAAGCTATCTGAATAACTGCTAAGTGATGTGTGCATTCATCTCCAAAATTTAAACTTGTCTTTTCATTCAGCAGTTTGGAAACACTGTTTTGGTAGCATCTGATAAGAGATATTTGTAAAAACATTGAGGCTTATGGTGAAAAAGGAAATATCTTAAGATAAAAACTGGAAAGTAGCTTTCTGGGAAATTGCTTGGTGATGTGTACATTCATCTCACAGAGTTAAAACTTTCTTTGGACTCAGCAGTTTGGAAACACTCTTTTTGTCCATTCTGTGAGTAGACATTTGGGAACTCATTGAGGCCAAAGGAAAAAAAGCAAATATCCCAGGATAAAAACTAGAAGGAAGATATCTGAGAAAACACTTTGTGATGTGTGCATTCATCTCCTAGAGTTAAAACTTTCTTTTAATTCCAGAGTTTATAATCACTGTTTTTGCAGTATCTGTGAAGGGAAATTTGGGATTTCATTGAGACCTTTGATGAAATAGGAAATAGCTTCAGATAAAACTAGAAAGAAGCTTTCTGAGAAACAGCTTTTTGATGTGTGCTTTCATGTTACAGAGTTAAACCTTTCTTTTTATTCAGCAGTTTGGAAACACTGTTTTTGTCCATTCTGTGAATGCACATTTGGGAACTCATTGAGGACAATGGTGAAAAAGCGAATATCCCACAATAAAAACTAGAAGGAAACTACCAAAGAAACCTCTTTGTGATGTGTGAATTGATCTCTTAGACTTAAAACTTTCTTTTCATTTAGCATTTTGGAATCACTGTTTTTGCAGTATCTGCATAGGGAAATTTGGGAATGCCTTGTGGCCTTTCATGAAATAGGAAATATCTTTGGATAAAAACTAGAAAGAATCTTTCTGTGAAAGTGCTTTGTGATGTGTGCATTTATCTCACAGAGTTAAATGTGTCTTTGGATTCAGCATTTTGAAAACACTGACTTGTCCATTCTGAGAATGGACATTCGAGAACTCCTTGAGGCCAAAGGCTAAAAAGTGAATATCCCAGGATAAATACTAGAAGGAAGCAATCAGAAACTGCTCTGTGATGCGTGCATTCATCTTGAAGAGCTACAACTTTCTTTTCATTCAGCAGTTTGGAGACACTGTTTTAGTAGAATCTGCAAAGGGATATTTGGGAGTGTATTGTTGCATATGAGGCAAAAGGAAACATCTTCTTATAAAAAGTAGAAAGAAGCTTTCTGAGAGACTACTTTGTGATGTGATGTGTGCATTCATCTAACAGAGTTAAACCTTTCTTTGGATTCAGCTGTTTGGAATCACCATTTTTGTCCATTTTGCATATGGACATTTGGGAGCTCATTGAGGCCAAATGTGAAAAAGTGAACATCCCAGGATAAAAACTAGAAGGAAGCTTTAAGAGCAACTGATTTGTGATTGTGCATTCATCTCACAGATTTAAATGCCTCTTTGGATTCAGCAGTTTGTAAACACTGTTTTTATCCATTCTGCGAATGGACATTTTGGAGCTCATTGATGCCAAGGGTGTAAATGCAAATATGTCACTATTAAAACTAGAAGGAAGCTATCTGAGAAGGCGCTCTGTGATATGTCCATTCATCAGGTAGAGAAATAAACCTTTCTTTTAATTCAGCAGTTTTAAAACACTATTTTGGTGGAATCTGCAAATAAATATTTGGGAAAGCAATGAGGCTTATGATGAAAATGGAAATACCTTCAGATAAAAACTAGAAAGAAGCTTTCTGAGAAACTGCATTGTGATGTGGGTATTCATTTCACAGAGGTAAACCTTTCTTTGGATTCTGCAGTTTGGAAACACGGTTTTTGTCTATCTGTGAATGGACATTTCAGAGCTGATTGAGGCCAATGGTGAAAAGGCGAATATCCCAGGATAAAAACTTGAAAGAAGCAATCCGAGAAACCGCTTTATGATGCATGCATTCATCTTGCAGAGCTAAAACTTTCTTTTCATTCAGCAGTTTGGAAGCACTGTTTTGGCAGTATCTGCAAAGGGATATTTTGGAGCATATTTTTGCCTATGGGGAAAAAGCAAATATCTTCAGGTAAAAACTAGAAAGAAGCTTTCTGAGAAATTGGTTTGTGATGTGTGCATTCATCTCACAGTGTTAAAAGTTTTTCTGGGCCGGGCGCGGTGGCTCACACCTGTAATCCCAGCACTTTGGGAGGCTGAGGTGGGCGGATCACGAGGTCAGGAGATCGAGACCATCCCGGCTAAAACGGTGAAACCCCGTCTCTATTAAAATACAAAAAATTAGCCGGGCATAGGGGCGGGCGCCTGTAGTCCCAGCTACTTGGGAGGCTGAGGCAGGAGAATGGCATGAACCCAGGAGGCAGAGCTTGCAGTGAGCCGAGATCCCGCCACTGCACTCCAGCCTGGGTGACAGAGCGAGACTCCGTCTCAAAAAAAAAAAAAAAAAAAAAAAAAGTTTTTCTGGTTTCATCAGTTTGTAAACACTGTTTTTCTCCAACCTGCAAATGGACATTTGGGAGCTCACTGGGGCCAATGGCGAAAAAGTGAATATCACAGAATAAAACCTACAAGGAAACTATCTGAGAAACTGCTCCGTGATATATGCATTCATCTCCTACAATTAAACGTTTCTTTTCATTCAGCAAGTTCGAAACGATCTTTTTAGAATCTGCAAAGTTATATTTGGGCTCACATTGAGTCTTATGGTAATAAAGGAAATACCTTCAGACAAAATCTAGAAAGAATCTTTCTGAGAAACTGCTTTGTGATGTGTGCATTCATCTTAAAGACCTAAACCTTTCTTTGGGTTCAGCAGTTTGGAAACACTGTTTATTAAATAATTTGAATGGACATTATGGAGCTCCTTGAGGTCATTATCAACAAAGTGAATATCCCAGGATAAAAACGAGAAGGAAGTTATCTCAGAAACCGGTTTTGGATGTGTCCATTCATCTCACAGACTTAAACTTTTCTTTTCATTCAGCAGTTTGGAAACTCTGTTTTGGTAAAATCTAAGAAGGAATATTTGGGAGTGCTTTGAGGCCTATGATGAAAAAGGAAATATCTTCAGATGAAAACTAGAAAGATGTTTTCTTAGAAACTGTTTTGTGATGTTTTAATTCATCTGACAGTTAAACCTTTCCTTGGATTCAGAAGTTTGGAATCACTGTTTTTGTCCATACTGCAAATGGACACTTGGGAGCTCATTGAGGCAAAGATGAAAAAGTGAATATCCCAGGATGAAAACTAGAAGAAAGCTATCTGAGAAATTGCTTTGTGATGTGTGCATTCATCAGGCAGTGTAAAAGTTTCATTTCATTCAGCAGTTTGGAAACACAGTCTTGGTAGAGTCTGCAAAGGGATATTTGGGAGCACATTCACACCTATGGTGATAAAGTAAATATCTTCAGATAAAATCTAGAAATAAGCTTTCTTGGAAACTGCTTTAAAATGTGTTCATTCATCTCACAGAGTTAAACGTTTCTTTGGATTCAATAGTTAGGAAACACTTATTTTGTCCATTCTGTGAATGGACATTTGGGAGCTCATTGAGGCCAATTTCGAAAAAGTGAATATCCCAAGATAAAAACTAGAAGGAAATTATCTGAGAAACTGCTTTGAGATGTGTGCATACATCTCCCAGAGTTAAAAGTTTCTTTGGATTCAACAGTTTGGTAAAACTGTGTTTGTCAAATGTGAGAATGGACATTTCAGAGCTCATTGAGGCCAATGGAGAAAAAGGGAATATCCCAGCATAAAAACTAGAAGAAAGTTATCAGAGAAACAACTTCATGATGTGTGCATTCATCTTGTAGAGTTAAATCTTTCTTTTCATTCATCAGTTTGGAAATGCTGTTTTGGCATGCTCTGTGAAGGAATATTTGGGAGCGCGTTGAGGCCAATGGAGAAAAGGGAAATACCTTCAGATAAAAACTAGAAAGAAGCTTTCTGAGAAACTGCTTTGTGATGTGTGCATTCATCTCACAGATTTAAACCTTTCTTTGGATTCAGCATTTTGGAAATACTGTTTTTGTCCATTCTGTGAATGGACACTTGGAACTCTTTAAGGCCAATGGCGAAAAAGGGAATATTCCAGGAAAAAACTAGAATTAAACTATCAGAGAAACTGCATAGTGATGTGTGCATTCATCTGGCAGTTTTAAACTTTTATTTTCACTCAACAGTCTGGAAACCCTGTTATATTTGAATCTATGAAGGGATATTTGAGAGCACATTGAGGCCTATGGTGAAAAAGGAAATGTTTTTCAGGTGAAAACTAGAAAGAAGCTTTCTGAGCAACTACTTCATGATGTGTGCATTCATCTCACAGAGATAAGCTATTGTGTGGAGTCAGCAGTTAGGAAACACTGCGTTTGTCCATTCTGTGAATGGACATTTGGGAGCTCATTGAGACCAATGGTGAAAAAGTGAATACTCCAGGATAAAAACTAGAAGAAAGCTATCTGAGAAACCGCTTGGTGATGTGTGCATTCATCTCACAGAGTGAATCCTTTCTTTTCATTCAGCAATTTGGAAACTCTGTTATGGTAGGACCTGCGAAGGTATATTTGGTAGCACATTGAATCCTATGGTGCAAAAGGAAATATTTTCAGATGAAAACTAGAAGGAAGCTTTCTGAGAAACTGCTTTGAGATGTTTGCATACATCTCACAGAGTTAAAACTTGCTTTGGATTCAACAGTTTGGAAAAACTGTTTTTGTCCTATCTGAGAACCGACATTTCAGAGCTCATTGAGGCCAATGGAGAAAATTTGAATATCCTAGGATTAAAACTAGAAGGAAGCTATCAGAGAAACCAGTTTGTGATGCATGCATTCATCTCACAGAGCTAAACCTTTCTTTTCATTCGTCAGTATGGAAACACTGTTTTGGTAGGATCTGTGAAGGGATATTTGGGAGCATATTGAGGCCAATGGTGAAAAACTAAATATCTTCAGATATAAGCTAGAAAAAAAGCCTTCTGAGAAAGTTCTCTGTGATGTGTGCATTCAACTCACAGAGTTAAACCTTTCTTTTGATTAATCAGTTTGTAAATGCTGTTTTTGTCCATTCTGCAAATGGACATTTGGGAACTCATTGAGGCCAATGGTAAAAAAGTGAATATCTCTAGATGAAAGCTAGAAGTTAGCTCTCTGGTAAACCATTTTATGATATGTGCATTTGTCTCCCAGAGGTAAACTTTTCTTTTCATTCAGCAGTTTGGAATCACTGTTTTTGCAGTATCTGCAAAGGGAAAGTTGGGAGTGCATTGAGGCCTTTGAAGACATAGGAAATATCTTCAGATAAAAACTAGAAAGAAGGTTTCTGTGAAACTGCTTTGTGATGTTTGTGTTCATTTCCCAGACTTAAACATGTCTTTTTATACAGCATTTTGTAAACACTGTTTTTGTCCATTCTGGGAATGTACATTTTGGAGCTCATTGTAGCCAATGGTAAAAAAAAGCGAATATATTAGGATAAAAACTAGAAGGAATCTATCTGAGAAACTGCTTTGTGATCTGGGCATTCTTCTCCTAGAAGTAAACCTTTCTTTTCATTCAGCACTTTGGATACACTGTTTTGGTTGAATCTGCTAAGAGATATTTGGCAGCATAATGAGGTCTATGGTGAAAAATGAAATATCATCAGATAAAAACTAGAAAGAAACATTCTGAGAAACAGCTTTGTGATGTGCACATTCATCTCACAGATGTAAACATTTCTTTGGATTCATCATTTTGGAAACACTGTTTTTGTCTTTCTGTGAATGGACATTTGGGAGCTCATTGAGGCCAATGGCGAAAAAGTGAATATCCCAGGATAAAAACTAGAAGGAAGCTATCTGAGAAACCGTTTCGTGATGTGTGCATTCATCTTCTAGAGTTAAACCTTTCTTTTCATTTAGCCGTTTGGATACACTGTTTTGGTAAAATATGTGAAGGGATACTTGGGAGGGCTTTGAGGCCTATGGAGTAAAAGGAAATATCTTCAGATAAAAACTAGAAAGACGTTTTCTGAGAAACTGTGTTTTGATGTCTGCATTCATCTCACAGATTTAAAACTTTCTTTGGATTCATCTGTTTGGAAACACTGTTTTTATCCTTTCTGTGACGGGACATTTGGGAACTCATTGAGGCCAATGTCTAAAAAGAGAACATCCCTGGATAAAAACTAGAAGGAAGCTATCTGAGGACCCGCTTTGAGATATGTGCATGTATCTTGCAAATTTAAAGCTTTCTTATCATTCTGCAGTTTGGAAACTTTGTTTTGGCATAATCTGGGAAGTGATATTTGGAGCTTCTTGAGGAATATGGTGAAAAAGGAAATATCTTCCGATGAAAACTAGAAAGACTTTCTGAGAAACTGCTTTGTGAGGTGTGCGTTCATCTCACAGAGTTAAAACTTTTTTTAGATTCAGCAGTTTGCAAACACTGTCTTTGATCATTCTGCAAAAGGACATTTGGGAACTCATTGAGGTCAATGGTGAAAAAGTGAATATCTCAGGATAAAAGCTAGAAGGAAACCATCTGAGAAACCACTTTGTGATTTGTGCATTCATCTCACAGAGTTAAACTTTTCTTTTCATTCAGCAGTTTGGAAACACTGTTTTGGTATAATATGCATAGGTATATTTTGGAGCTTATTAAGACCTATGGTGAGAAAGGAAATATCTACAGATAAAAGAAGAAAGAAGCTTTCTGAGAAACTGCTTTGTGATGATTCATTCATCTCACAGAGTTAAACTTGTCTTTGGATTCAGCAGTCTGGAAACACTGCTTTTGTCCATTCTGCAAATGGAAATTTTGGAACGCATTGAGGCCAATGGCGAAAAAGCAAATATCCCAGGATAATAACAAGAAGGAAGCTATAGGAGAAACCGTTTTATGATATAGGCATTCGTATTCAAGAGTTAAAACATTCTTTTCATTCAGCAATTTGGAATCACTGTTTTTGCAGTATTTCCAAAGTGATATTTGAAAGCACGTTGAGACCTTTGATGAAATAGGAAATATCTTCATGTAAAAACTAGAAAGGAGCTTTCTGAAAAACTGCCCTTTTGATGTATGCTTTCGTCTCACAGACTTAAACATTTCTTTGGATTCAGCAGTTTGCAAACACAGTTTTTGTTCATTCTTGTAATGGACATTTTGTTGCTCAGTCAGGCAAATATCGAAAACCTTAATATTCCTGGATAAAAACTAGAAGGAAGCTATCTGATAAACCGCTTTGTGATGTGTGCATTCATCTCCTAGACATAAAACTTTTCTTTTCATTCAGCACTTTGGAATCAATGTTTTTGCAGAATCTCTGAAGGGAAATTTGGGAGCATTTTGAGGCATTTGACGAAATACAAAATAACTTCAAATAAAAACTAGAAAGAAACTTTCTGAGAAACTGCTTTGTGATGTGTTCATTCATCTCACAGAGTTAAAACGTTCTTTGGATTCATCTGTTTGGAAACATTGATTTTGTCCATTCTGCAAATGGACATTTGGAACTCATTGAGGCCAATGGTGAAAAAGAGAATATTCCAGGATAAAAACTAGAATTAAACAATCAGAGAAACCGTGTTGTGATGTGTGCATTCATCTCCTAAAGTTAAACTTTTCTTTTCATTTACCAGTTTGAAAACACCGTTTTGGTAGAATCTGTGATGGGATATTTGGAGCATATTGAGGAATAAGTTGAAAAAGGAAATATATTCAGATAAAACCAGAAAGAATCTTTCTGAGAAACTGCTTTGTGATGAGTGCATTCCTCTCATAGAGTTAAAACTTTCTTTGGATTCAGCAGTTTGCAAACACTGTATTTGTCCATTCTGTGAATTGACTTTTGGGAACTTATTGAGGCCAAAGGTGAAAAAGCTCATATCAGGGGATAAAAACTAGAAGGAAGCAATCTGAGAAACAGCTTTGTGACTTGTGCATTCATCTCACAGAGGTAAAGATTTCTTTTCATTCAGCAGTTTGGAATCACTGTTTTTGCAGAATCTGCAAAGGGAAATTTGGGAGTGCATGGAGGCCTTTAATGAAACAGGAAATAAATTCAGATAAATCCTAGAAAGAAGCATTCTGAGAAAGAGCTTTGTGATGTATTCCTTTATCTCACAGAGTTTATCATTTCTTTGGACTCAGCAGCTTGGGAACACTGTTTTTGTCCATTTGACAAATGGACATTTGGAAGCTCGTAAAGGCCAAAGGCAAAAAAGGGAATATCCCATGATAAATACTAGAAGGAAGATATCTGAAGAACCTCTTTACGATGTGTCTAGTCATCTCTCAGAGTTACATTTTCTTTTAATTCAGCAGTTTGGAAACACCGTTTTGGTACAACCTGTGAATTGATATTTGGGAGCACATTGAGGCATAAGGTGAAAAAGGAAGTATCATCTTCAGATAAAAACTAGAAAGTTTTCTGAGAAATTGCTTTGTGATGTCCGCATTCATCTCACAGAGTTAAACGTTTCTTTGGATTCAGCAGTATGGAAACACTGTTTTTGTCCATTTCACGAATGGACATTTTGTAGCTCATTGAGGCAAATGGCAAAAAAGGGAATATCCCAGTATAAAAACTAGAAGGAATCTATCTGAGAAACTGCTTTATGATGAGTGCATTCGTCTCCTAGAGTTAAAAATTTCTTTTCATTGAGCAGTTTGGAAAAACTGTATTGATAGTATCTGTGAAGGGATGTTTTGGAGCACATTGAGGCCAAAGGAGAAAAAAAAAATACCTTCAGATAAAAACTATAAAGAGTCTTTCTGAGAAACTGTTTTGTGATGTGTGCATTCATCTCAAAGAGTTAAAGATTTCCTTGGATTCAGCTGTTTGGAAAGACTGTTTTTGTCCATTCTGTGAATGGACATTTGAAACTCTTTGAGGCCAATGGCAAAAAAGTGAATATCCCAGGTTAAAAAGTAGCAGGAAGCTATCTGGGAAACTGCTTTGTGATGTGTGCAGTCATCTCCTGGAATTAAAATTTTCTTTCCATTCAGCAGTTTGGATTCACTCTGTTTGAAGTATCTGTCAAAGGAAATTTGGGAGTGAATTGATTTCTTTGATGAAATAGGAATATCTTCAGATACAAACTGGAAAGAAGCCATCAGTGAAGTTGCTTTGTGATGGGTTCATTCATCACAGAGATTTAAAAATTCCTTTGGATTCAGCAGTTCATAAACACATTTTTTGTCCGTTCTGTGAAAGGACACTTGGGAACTCATTGAGGCCAATGGTGAAAAAGTGAATATCCTAGGAAAAATACTAGAACGAAATCATCTGAGAAACTGTGTTGTGAAGTGTGCATTCATCTCGCAGTGTTAAACTTTGGCTTTCATTCAGAATTTTGGAAAC
Source organism: Homo sapiens (assembly GCF_000001405.40). NCBI lineage: Eukaryota > Metazoa > Chordata > Mammalia > Primates > Hominidae > Homo > Homo sapiens. The sequence goes on from NC_000005.10 coordinate 46,213,978, forward strand.
AGTGTTTGGGATGAATCCTCAAAGGGATATTTGGGAGTGTATTGAGGCCTATGGTGAAAAAGAAAATATCTTCAGATAAAAACTAAAAAAAAAGCTTTCTCAGAAACTGCTTTTTGATGTGTGCATTCAACCCAAAGAGTTAAACTTTTCTTTGGATTCAGCAGTTTGGAAACACTTTTTGTCCATTCTGCAAATCTACATTTGGGAACTCATTGAGGACAAGGGCGATAAAGTGAATATCCCAGGATAAAACCTAGAAAGAAGCTGTCTGAGAAACCGCTTTGTGATATGTGCATTCATCTCCTAATGTTAAACCCTTCTTTTCATTCAGCAGTTTGGAGTCACTGTTTTTGCAGTATCTGTGAAGGGAAATTTGGGAGGTCATGGAGGCCTTCTATGAAATAGGAAATTTCTTGAGAAGAAAACTAGAGAGAATCTTTCTGAGAAACTACTTTGTGATGTGTGCACTCATATCACAGAGTTAACTGTTTCTTTGGATTCAGCAGCTTTGAAACACTGTTTTTGTCCATTCTACGAATGGATATTTCAGAGCTCATTGAGGCCAATGTCAAAAAAGCAAATATCCCAGGGTAAATACTAGAAGGAAGCTATCTGAGAAACCACGTTGTGATGTTTGCATTCATCTCACAGAGTTAAACATTTCTTTTAATTCAGCAGTTTAGAAACACTCTTCTTTTGGAATCTGTGCAGGGATACTTGGGAGTGCATGGAGGCCTATGGTAAAAGAAAAAATATCTTGAGAGAAAAACTGGGAAGTAGCATTCTGAGAAACTGCTTTGTGATGTGGGGATTCCACTCAAAGAGTTAAAATTTTCTTTTGATTCAGCACTTTGGAAACACTGTTTTCATCCATTCTGAAAATGAAAATTTTGTAACTCACTGATTCTAACGTCAAAAAAGCAAATATCCCAGTATAAAAATTAGAAGGAAGCTATCTGAAAAAACGCTTTGTGATATGTGCATTCATCTCCTAGAGTTAAAATTTCTTCCCATTCAGCAGTTTGTAATCACTGTTTTTGCAATATCAGTGAAGTGATGTTTGGGAGTGCATAGAGGCCTTTGATGAAATAGGAAATATCTTCAGATAAAAACTAGAAAGGAGCTTTCTGAGAAACGCTTTGTGATGTGTGCATTCATCTCACAGACTTAAACATTTCTTTGGATTCAACAGTTTGGAAACACTGTTTTTGTCCATTCTGTGAATAGACATTTGGATGCTCATTGAAGCCAATGACAAGAGAGTGAATATCCTAGAATCAATACTAGAAGGAAGCTATCTGACAAAACGCGTTGTGATGTGTGCATTCATCTCACTGATTGAAACTTTTCTTTTTATTCAGCAGTCTGGAAACATTGTTTTGCTAGAATCTGCGAAGGGATATTTGGGAAACCATTGAGGCCTATAGTGAAAACATAAATATCTTCAGATAACAAATAGAAAGAAGCTTTCTGAGAAAGTGCTTTGTCATGTGTGCATTCATCTCACAGAGTTAAACCTTTCTTTGGATTCAAGAATTTGGAATCACTTTTTTTGTCCATTTTGCAAAAGGACATTTGTGAAATCATTGAGGATTATGGTGAGTAAATGAATATCCCAGGGAAAAACTAGAAGGAAGCTATCAGAAAAACCGGTCTGTGATTTGTGTATTCATCTCCTAAAGTTAAAACTTTTTTTAATTCAGCAGTTTTAAACACTGTTTTGGTAGAATCTGCAAAGGGATATTTGGGAGTGCACTGAGGCCTATGGTGAAAAAGGAAATATGTTCAATTAAAAACTAGAAAGAAGATTTTTGGGAAACTGCTTTGGGATGGGTGCATTCATCTCAAAGAATTAAAACTTTCTTTTGATTCACCAGTTTGGAAACACTCTTTTTGTCCATTCTGTGAATGGACATTCGGGAACTCATTAAGGCCAATGTCGAAAAAGTGAATATCCCAGGATAAAAACTAGAAGAAAATTATCTGAGAAACGACTTTGAGATCAGTGCATTCATCTCCTAGAGTTAAAACTATCTTTTCATTCAGCAGTTTGGAATCACTGTTTTTGCAGTATCTGTGAAGGGAAATTTGGGAGCGCATGGAGGCCTTTGATGAAACAAGAATTATCTTCAGAGAAAAACTAGAAAGAAGCTTTTTGAGAGGCTGCTTTTTGATGGGTGCATTCATCTCACAGAGTTGAACGTTTCTTTGGACTCAGCAGTTTGGAAACACTGTTTTTCTCCATCTGCAAATGGACATTTGGGAACTCATTGATACCAATGGCCAAAAAGTGAACTTACCAGCATAAAAAAATAGAAGGAAGCTATCTGAGAAACCGCTTTGTGTTTTGTGCATTCATCTCCTAGAATTAAACCTTTCTTTTCATTCAGCAATTTGGAATCACTTTTTTTGCAGTATCTGTGAAGGGAAATTTAGGAGCACATTTAGGCCTTTGGTGAAATATGAAATAAATATCTTCTGATAGAAACTAGAAATAAGCTTTGTGAGAAACTGCTTTGTGATGTGCACATTCACATCACAAATGTTTGAATTCATATTTGGGAGAGCATTGAGGCTGATGGTGGAAAAGAAAATATCTTCCGATAAAAACTAGAAAGAAACTTTATGAGAAACTGCTTTGTGGTGTGTGCATGCATCTCACAGAGTTAAACCTTTTTTGGATTCAGCAGTTTGGGAACACTGTTTTTGTCCATTCTGTGAATAGACATATGGGATCTCATGGAGGCCAATGACAAAAAGTGAATATCTGAGGATAAATAATAGAAGGAAGCTATCTGAGAAACTGCACTGTGATGTGTGCATTCATCTTGCAGAGTTACACTATTAATTCAGCAGTTTGGAAACACTGTTTTGATAGAATCTGCAAAGGGGTATTTGTGAGTGCATTGAGGCCAATGGTGTAAAAGGCAATATCTTCAGATAAAAACTTGAAAGAATCTTTCTGAGAAACTGCTTTATGATGTGTGCATTCACCTCACAGAGTTAAACCTTTCTTTTGATTCAGCATTTTGGAAAAACTGTATTTTTTTCATTCTGTGAATGGACATTTGGGAACTCTTTGAGGTCAATGGTGAAAAAGGGAATATATCAGGAAAAAATTTAGAAGCAAGCTATCTGAGAAACCTGTTTGTGGTGTGCACATTCATCTCCTAGAGTTAAAACTTTTAATTCTGTCAACAGTTTGGAATATCTGTTTTTACAGTATCTCTGAAGGGATATTTGGGAGAGTTTTGAGGCCTTTTATGAAATAGGAAACATCTTCAGATAAAACCTAGAAAGAAGCTTTCTGAGAAATTGCTTTGTGATGTTTGCATTCATTTCATAGAGTTAAACGTTTCTCTGGATTAAGCAGTTAGGTAATAATTTTTTATTCCATTCTGAGAATGGACATTTTGGAACTCATTGGGACCAATGGTGAAAAAGCAAATATCCCAGGATAAAAACTAGAGGAAAGCTTTTTGAGAAACCACTTTGTGATGTGTGTCTTCATCTCACAGAGTTACACCTTTCTTTTTCCTCAGCAGTTTGGAAAACCTGTTTTGGTAGAATCTGCAAAGAGATAATCGGAGTGCATTGAGGCCTATGGTGAAAAATGAAATAAATTCAGAAAAAGCTAGAAAGAAGCCTTCTGAGAAGCTGCTTTGTGATGTGCACTTTCTTCTCACAGAGTTAAAACTTTCTTTGGATTCAGCAGTTTGGGAACACAGTTTGTGTCCTTTCTGCGAATGGACTTTTGGGAACTCTTTGAGGCCAATGGCATAAAAGAGAATATCCCAGGAATAAAACTAGAAGGAAGTTCTCTGAGAAACTGCCCTGCAATGTATGCATTCATATCCTAAATTTAAACCTTTCCTTTCATTCAGCGGTCTGGAAACACTGATTCTGTAGAACCTGCAAAGAGATATTTGGCAATGCATTGAGGCCTACAGTGAAAAGGGAAATACCTTCAGGTAAAAACCAGAAAAAATATTTCTGGGAAACTGCTCAGTGATGTGTGCATTCATCTCCTAGAGTTAAACCTTTCTTTTAGTTCAACAGTTTGGAATCACGTTTTTTGCAGAATCTGTGAAAGGAAATTTGGGAGAGCTTTGTGGCCTTTGATGAAATAGGAAATATGTTCAGATAATAACAAGAAAGAAACTTTCTCAGAAACTGCTCTGTGATGTGTGCATTCACCTCACAGAGTTAAACGTTACTTTGGATTCAGCAGTTTGGAAATGCTGTTACTGTCCATTCTGCAAATGGACATTTCTGAACTCTTTGAGGCCAAAGGCGAAAAAGCAAATATCCCAGGATAAATACTAGAAGGAAGCTATCAGAGAAACCACGTTGTGATGTGTGCATTCATCTCACAGAGTTAAACTTTTTATTCAGCAGATTGGAAATACTGTTTTGCTAGAATCTGCAAAGGGATATTTGGGAGTGCCTTGAGGCCTATAGTGAAAAAGGAAATATCTTCAGATAAAAGCTAGAAAGAAGCTTTCTGAGAAACTGCTTTGTGATGTGTGCATTCCTCTCACAGACTTAAAAATTTCTTTGTATTCAGCAGTTTAGAAACACTGTTTTTGTCCATTCAGCGAATGGACATTTGGCAACTCATTGAAGGCAATGGCGAAAAAGTCAATATCCCAGTATAAAAACCAGAAGGAAGCTATCAAAGAAAAAGCTTTGTGATGTGGGCATTTTTCTCCTAGAGTTAAAACTTTCTTTTCATAGTGCATTTTGGAATCACTTGTTTTGCAGTATCAGTGAAGGGAATTAAGGAGCACATTCAGGCCTTTGACAAAATAGGAAACATCTTCAGTTAGAAAGAAGAAATAAGCAGTCTGAGAAACAGTTTTTGAATGCTTGCATTCAACTCACAGATTAAACTTTTCATTGGATTCAGCAGTTTAGAAACCTTTTTTTGTCCATTTTGTGAATGGACATTTAGGAACTCATTGAGACCAGTGGCAAAAAAGGGAATATCCCAGGATAAATGCTAGAAGGATGCTATCTGAGAAAACGAATGGTGATATGTGTATTCATTGCACAGAGATAAACTTTTGTTTTCATTCAGAAGTTTGGAATCACTTATTTTGCTATATCTACAAAGGGAAATATGGGAGCACATTGAGGCCTTTGATGAAATAGGAAATATCTTCAGATAAAAACTTTGAAGAAACTTTCTGAGAAACTGATTTGTGATGTTTGCATTCACTTCAGATACTTAAGCATTTCTTTGAATTCAGCAATTTGGAAACACTGTTTTTGTCGATTCTACGAATGGACATTTGGGAGCCCATTGAGGCCAATGGCAAAAAAGTGAATATCCCAGGATAAAAACTAGAAGGAAGCTATCTGAGAAACCACATTGTGATGTTGCACTCATCTCACAGAGTTAAACTTTTCTTTGGATTCAGCAGTTTGGAAAAAATGTTTTTGTCCATTCTGCAAATGGATATTTGGGAGCTCATTGGGGCCAAATGAGAAAAAGTGAATATCCTAGGATAAATACTAGAAGGAAGCTCTCTGAGAAGCTGCTTTGTGATGTGAGCATTTATCTCACAGAGTTCAACATTTATTTTCGTTCAGCAGTATAGAAACACTGTTTTGGTAGAACCTGCAAAGGGATATTTGGGAGACCATTGAGGCCTAAGGTGAAAAAGGTAATATCTTCAGATAAAAATTAGAAAGAAGCTTTCTGAACAATGCTTTGTGGTGTGTGCATTCATCTCACAGAGTTAATCTTTTCTTTGGATTCAGCTGTTTGGAAACACTGTTTTTTCCATTCTGCAAATGTACATTACAGATCTCCTTGAGTCCAGTAGCAAAAAAGCAATTATCCCAGGATAAAAACGAGAAGGAAGCTATCTGAGAAACTGCCCTGTTATGTGTGCATTCATGTCACAGAGATAAACCTTTCTTTTCTTTCGGCAGTTTGGAATGAATTTTTGCAGTATCTGTGAAGACAAATTTGGGAGCGTGTAGAGGCCTTTGATGAAATAAGAAGTACTTTCAGAACAAAACTTGAAAGAAGCTTTCAGAGAAATTGCCTTGAGATGTGTGCATTCACAACACAGACATAAACATTTCTTTCAATTCAGCATTTTGGAAAGACTGTTTTTGTCAATTCTGTGAAAGGACATTTCGGAGTTCATTGAGGCCTATGATAAACTGACTATCCCAGGATAAATACTAGAAGGGAGCTAACTTAGAAACCATGATGTGATGTGTGAATTCATCTCACAGAGTTAAACTTTTCTTTTCTTTAGCAGTTTATAAACACTGTTTTGGGAAAATCAGCAAAGGGATATTTTGTAGCGCATTGATGCCTATGGGGAAAAATAAAATATATTCAGATAAAATCTAGAAAGAAACTTTCCTAGAAAATGCTTTGTGATGTATGCATTCATATCACACAGTTAAAACTTTCTTTGGATTTAACATTTTGGTAAAACTGTTTTTGTCCTTTCTGCGAATGGACAACTGTGAACTCATTGAGGCAAATGGTGAAAAAGTGAATTTCCCAGGTTAAAAACTAGAAGGAAGCTGTCTGGGAAAAGGCCTTGAAATGTGTGGATTTATATCCTAGAGTTAAACTTTTCTTTTCATTCAGCTGTTTGGAAACACTGTTTTGGTAGAATCTGAGAAGGGATGTTTTGGAGCCCATTCAGGCCAATGGTGAAAAATGAAATATGTTCAGATAAAAACTAGAAAGAAGCATTCAGAGAAACTTCTTTGCGATCTGTGCATTCAACTCAAAAAGATAAACGTTTCTTTGGATTCAGCAGTTTGAAAACACTGTTTTTGTCCGTTCTGTGATAGGACACTTGGGAACTCGTTGAGGCCAATGGCAAAAAAGTGAATATCCCAGGAAAAAAACTAGAAGGAAGCTATTTGAGAAACTGCTTTGTTACGTGTGCATTTGTCTCCTACAGTAAAACTTTTCTTTTCATTCAGCAGTTTGGAATCACTATTTTTGCAGTAACTGCAAACGGAAATTTCAGAGCACAATAAGGCCTTTGAAGAAATAGGGAATATCTTCAGATAAAAACAAGATAAAAGCTATGTGTGAAACTGTTTTGTGATGCATGCATTCATCTCACAGAGTTAAACTTCCTTTCTTTTCATTCACCAGTTTGGAAACACTGTTTTGACTGATAAAAGCTAGAAAAAAGCATTCTGAGAAACTGCTTTGTTATGTGTGAATTCAACTCACAGAGTTAAACCTTTTTTTGGATTCAGCCATTTGGAAACCCTGTTTTTGTCCATTCTGTGAATGGACGTTTGTTAACTCATTGAGGCCAAGGGTGAAAAAGTGAAAATCCCAGAATACAAACTGGAAGGAAGCCGTCTGAGAAACCGCTTAGTGATGTGGGCATTCGTCACCTAGAGTTAAAACTTTCTTTTCATTCAGGAGTTTGGAATCACAATTTATGCAGTATCTGTGAAGGGAAATTTGGGAGCGCATTGAGGCCTTTGCTGAAATAGGAAATTTCTTCAGACAAAACCTAGACAGAAGTATTCTGAGAAACTGTGCTGTGATGTGTGCATTCAATTCACAGAGTTAAAACTTTCTTTGGATTAATCAGTTTGGAAACATTGTTTTTGTCCATTCTGTGAATGGACATTTATTAACTCATTCAGGCCAATGGCAAAAAAGTGAAAATCCCAGGATAAAAACTAGAAGGATCAATCTGAGAAAGCACTTGTGAAATGTTCATTAATCTCACAGAGTTAAACGTTTCTTTGGATTCAGCAGTTTGGAAACACTGTGTTTGTCCTTTCTGTGAATGGACATTTGGGAGCTCATTGAGGCCAATGGCAAAAAAAAAAAAAAAAAATCCCAGGATAAATAGTAGAAGGAAGCTAAGTGCAAAACCACGTTGTGATGTGTGCAGTTGTCTCCTAGAGTTCAACCTTTCTTTTCATTCAGCAGTTTAGAATCACTGTTTTTGGAGTATCTGTGAATGGATTTTTTTAGAACGCATTGATGCCTTTGATTAAATATGCAATATCTTCAGATAAAAACTAGAAAGAAGCTTTCTGAGAAACTGTTTTTTGATGTGTGCATTCCTCTCACCAGGTTAAACGTTTCTTTGGATTCAGCAGTTTGGAAAAACTGTTTTTTTTTCCATTCTGTGAATGGACATTTGGGAACCCATTGAGGCCAAAGGCAAAAAAGTGAATATCTGAGGGTAAAAACTAGAAGGAAACTATCTGACAAACCACTTCTTGATGTGTGCATTGATGTCCTAAACTTAAACTTTTCTTTTCATTCAGCAGTTTTGATTCACTGTTTTGGTAGAATCTGTGAAGGGATATTTGGGAGCATTTTGAGGTCAATGGTGAAAAAGGAAATATCTTCATATAAAAACTAGAAAGAAGCTCAATGAGAAGCTGCTTTGGGATGTGTGCATTTATCTCATGTAGTTAAGCCTTTCTTTAGATTCAGCAGTTTGGAAACACTGTTTTCTTAGAATCTGCAAAGAGATATTTATTAGTGAATTGAGGTCTAAAGTGAAAAAGCAAATATTTTCAGATAAAAACTAGAAAGAAGCTTAATGATAAACTGGTTTGGGATACGGGCATTCATCTCACAGAGTTAAACCTTTCTTTGGATTTAGCAGTTTGGTAACACTGTTTTTGTCCATTCTACAAATGGACATTTGGGAGATCATGGAGGCCAAAGGCGAAAAAGAGAATATCCCAGGATAGGAACTAGAAGGAAGCTATTTGAGAAACTGATTTGTGTTGGGTGCATTCATCCCACAGAATTAAACCTTCCTTTTCATTCAGCAGCTTGGAAACACTGTTTTTGTAGGATCTGCAAAGGGATATTTGGTAGTGCATTGAGGTCTCTGTTTAAAAAGGAAATATCTTCAGATAAAAACCAGAAAGAAACTTTCTGAGAAACCACTTTGTGAAGTGTGCATTCACCTCACAGACTTAAACCTTTCTTTGGAATCAGCAGTTTGGTAACACCATTTTTGTCCATTCTGTGAATGGACATATGGGAGATCATTGAGGTCAATGGCGAAAGTGTGACTATCCTAGGATAAAAACTAAAAGGAATTTATCTGATAAACAGATTTGTGATGTGTGTATTCATCTCACAGAGTTAAACCTTTCACTCCATTCAGTAGTTGGGAAACACTGTTTTCTTAGAATCTGCGAAAAGATATTTGGTAGCACATTGAGGCCTATAGTGAAAATGGAAATCTCTTTAAATGAAAACTAGAAAGAAGCTTAATGAGAAACTGCTTTGGGATGTGTGCATTCATGTGACAGAGTTAAACCTTTCTGTTAATTCATCAGTTTGGTAACACTGTCTCTGTCCTTTTGTGAACGGACATTTTGGAGCCCATTGAGGCCAGTGGTGAAAAAGAGATTACCCCAGGATAAAAGCTTGAAGGAAGCTCTCTAAGAAACTGCTTTGTGATGTGTGCATTCGTCTCAGAGAGTTAAACCTTTCTTTTCATTCAGCAGTTTGGAAAAACTGTTTTGTAGAATCTGCAAAAGGTTATTTGACAGTGCACTGAGGCCTATGGGGAAAAAGGAAGTATCTTCAGATATAAATTAGAAAGAAGATTTCTGAGAAATTGCTTTCTGATGTGTTCATTCACCTCACAGCATTAAACATTTCTTTGGATGCTTCTGCTTGGAAACACTGTTTTTGTCCATTCTGTAACTGAATATTTGGGAGCTCCTTGAGGCCAGTGGTGAAAAAGCAAATATCCCAGGATAAAAACTAGAAGCATGTTATCTGTGAAACTGATTTGTGATGTGGGCATTCATCTCACAGACTTAAAAGTTTCTTTCAATTTAGTGGTTTGGAAACACTGTTTTCTTAGAGTCTGTGAAGAGGTATTTTGTAGCGCAATGAGGCCTACAGTGAAAAAGGAAATATCTTCACATAAAAAGTATAAAGAACCTTTCTGTGACACTGCTTTGTGAAGTGTATATTCATCTCACAGAGTTTAGTCTTTCTTTGTATTCAGCAGTTTGGTAACACTGTTTTTCTCCATCCTGCAAATGGACATTTGGGAGCTCATTGAAGTCAATGGCAAAAAAGAGATTATCCCAGGTTAAAAACTAGAAGGAATATACCCGATAAAATGCTTTGTGATGTGTCCATTCCTCTCACACTGTTAAACCTTCCTTTTCATTCAGCAGTTTGGAAAAAGGGTTTTTATTTTTTTTATTATTTTTATTTATTTATTTATTTATTTACTTATTTATGTATTTATTTTTATTATTATACTTTAAGTTTTAGGGTACATGTGCACATTGTGCATGTTAGTTACATATGTATACATGTGACATGCTGATGTGCTGCACCCACTATCTTGTCATCTAGCATTAGGTATATCTCCCAATGCTATCCCTCCCCCCTCCCCCCACCCCAAACAGTCCCCAGAGTGTGATATTCCCCTTCCTGTGTCCATGTGATCTCATTGTTCAATTCCCACCTATGAGTGAAAAAGGGTTTTTATAGAATCTTTGAAGGGATACTTGTCGGCACATTGAGGCCTATGGTGAAAAAGCAAATATCTTCAGATGAAAACTAGAAAGAATCATAATTAGAAACTGGTTTAGGGATGTATCCATTCATCTCACAGAATTAAACCTTTCTTTGGATTCAGCAGTTTGGAAATACTGCTTTTGTCCAATCTGCAAATGGGCATTAAGGACCTCATTAAGGCCAGTGGTGAAAAAGCAAATATACCAGGTTAAAAACTAGGAGAAAGTTACCTGAGAAACCACTTTGTTTGTGTGCATTCATCTAAAAGAGTTAAACCATTCTTTTCATTCAGCAGTTTGGAAACACTCTTTTCTTAGAAACTGAGAAGAGTTATTTAGTAATGCATTGAGGCCTGTGGTGAAAAAGGAAATATATTTGGATAAAAACTACAAAGAAGCTTTCTAAGATACTGATTTGTGAAGGAACCATTCATCTTACAGAATTAAACCTTTCTATGGATTCAGCAGTTTGGAAACACTATTTTTTCCATTCTGTGAATGGACTTTTGAGAGCTCATTTGAAGCCAAGGGCAAAAAAGGAAATATCCCAGGATAAAAATTGGAGGCACGTTATCTGAGAAACTGATTAGTGATGTGTGTATTCATCTCACAGAGTTATACTTTTCTTTTAACTCAGCAGGTTGCAAACGAAGTTTTGGTAGAATATTTGGAGGGATATTTGGGAGTGCTTTGAGTCCTATGGTGAAAAGGGAAATATCTTCAGATAAAAACTAGAAAGAATCAATCTGAGAAACTACTTTGTGATGTGTGCATCCATCTCACAGAGTTAAACATTTCTTTGGATTCGGTAGTTTGGAAACACTATTTTTGTCCATTCTGCAAATGGACATTTAAGAGCTCTTTGAAGCCAATGGCGAGAAAGTGAATATCCCAGGATAAAATCTGCAAGGAAGCTATCTGAGAAACCGTTTTTTCATGTGTGCATTCATCTCCTAGGGTTAAACATTTATTTTCATTCAGCAGTTTTGAATCACTGTTTTGTAGTATCTGCAAGGGAAATTTGGGAGCGAATTGAGGCCTTTGATAAAATAGGAAATATCTTCACATAAAACCTGTAAATCTTTCTCAGAAACTGCTTTGTGATGTGGGCATTCATCTCACAGAGTTAAACATTTCTTTGGATTCAGCAGCTTGGAAGCACTGTGTTTGTCCATTCCGTGAATGGACATTTGGGAGCTCATTGAGGCCAATGGCAAGAAAAGGAATATCCCAGGATAAAAAACTAGAAGGAAAGTATCTGAGAAACTGCTTTTTTATCTGTGCATTAATATTGAAGAGTTAATCATTTCTTTTCATTCAACAGTTTGGAAAGACTGTTTTGGTAGAATCTGTGAAGGGGTATTTGGGAGCATATTGAGGCCTATGGTAAAAAAAGGAAATACCTTCAGAGATAAACTAGAATAAATGTTTCTGACAAACTAAGTGGTTTGTGAGGTTTGCATTCATCTCACAGATTTAAACGTTTGTTTGGATTAATCTGTTTGGAAACACTGTTTTTGTCCATTCTGGAATGGATATTTGGGAGCTCAATGAGGCTAATGGTGAAAAAGCGAATATCCCAGGATAAAAAATAGAAGGAAGCTATCTGAGAAACCACTTTGTGATCTGTGTATTTGTCTCCTAGAGTTAAAACTTTCATTTCATTCAGCAGTTTCAAATCACTGGTTTTGCAGTATCTGCACAGGGAATCTTAAGTGCACATTGAGGCCTTTGATGAAATAGAAAATACCTTCTGATAAAAGCTAGAAATAAGCTTTCTGAAAAACTGTTTCATGTTGTGTGCATTCATCTCACAGAGTCATACGTTTCTTTCAATTCAGCAGTGTGGACACACTCTTTTTGTCCATTCTGCGAAAGGACAGTTTGGAACTCATTGAGGCCAAATGCAAAAAAGTGAATATCCCAGGCTAAAAAAATAGAAGGAAGCTATTGGAGAAACTGCTTTGTGATGTCTGCATTCATGTCCTAAACTTAAAGCTTTCTTTTCATTCAGCAGTTGGGAAAGACTGTTTTCATAGAACCTATGAAGGGATATTTGGGAATGCATGGAGGCCTATGTTGAAAAAAGAAATTATCTTCAGAGAAAAACTAGAACACATTTTCTAAGAAACTGTTTCAGGATGTGTGCATTCATCTCACAGAGTTAAATGTTACTTTGGATTAATTTGTTTGGAAACACTGTTTTTTATCCATTCTGTGAATGGACATTTGGGAACTCAATGAGGCCAAAGGAGAATAAGTGCTTATCCAGGATAAAAAGTAGAAGGAAGCTATCTGAGAAACTGCTTTGTGATTTGTACACTCATATTGCAGAATTAAACATTTCTCTGAATTCAGTGATTTGGAATCACCACTTTGGTAGAATCTGTGAAGGGATATTTGGGAGCACATTGAGGCCTATAGTGAAAAAGGAAATATCTTCATATAAAAACTAGAAAGAATCTTTCTGAGAAACTGCTTTCTGATTTGTGCATTCACCTCACTGAGTTAAACCTTTCTTTGGACTCAGCAGTTTGGAAACACTATTTTTGTCCATTCTGTGAATGGACATTGGAACTCTTTGAAGCCACTGGTGAAAAAGCGAATATCCCATGATAAAAACTAGAACAGAGCTATCTGAGAAACTGCTTTATGATGCATGCATTCATCTCCTAAAGCTAAACCTTTCTTTTCATTCAGCAGTTTGGAATCACTGTTTTTGCAGTATCTCTGAAGGGGTATTTACGTGACCATTGAAGCCTATGGTTAAAAGGGAAATAACTTCAGATAAAAACTAGAAATAATCTTTCTCAGAAACTATTTTGTAATGTGTGCATTTAACTTACAGAGTTAAAGTTTTTTTTATATTCAGCAGTTTAGAATTACTGTTATTGCAGTATCTATGAACGGATACTTGGGAGTGCGTTGAGGCCTACGGTAAAAAGGAAAACATCCTCAGAGAAAAACAAGTTAGAATCTTTCAGAGAAACTGCTTTGTGATGTGTGCATTCATCTCAAAGAGTTAAAATTTCTTCTTATTCAGCTGTTTCAAAACTCTGGTTTTGTCCATTCTGCTAATGGACGTTTGGAAACAAACTCATTGAGGCCATTGGCGAAAAAGAGTATATCCCAAGATAATAACAAGAAGGAAGCTGTCTGAGAAAGTGCTTTGTGATGTTTGCATTCACCTTACAGAGTTAAACCTTTCTTTTCATTCAGTAGTTTGGAAGCACTGTTTTGATAGAATCTGTGAAGGGACATTTGGGAGCACCTTGAGGCCCATGGTAAAAAATGAGATAGCTTCAGATAAAAACAAGAAATAAGCATTCTGAGAAACTGCTTTGTGACGTGTGCATTCAAGTCTCAGTGTGTAGACTTTCTTTGGATTCAGCAGTTTGAAAACACTGTTTTGGTCCATTCTGAAAAGGACATTTGGGAGCCCTTTGAGGTCAATGGGGAAAAAGTGAATATCCCAGGATAAACCTAGAAGAAAGCTATCTGATAAACTGATATGTGATACGTGCATTCATCTCACAGAGTTAAACTTTTCTTTTCACTCAGCAGTTTGGAAATATTGTTTTGGTGTAATCTGTGAAAGGATATTTGGGAGTGCTTTGAGGCTGACGGTGAAAAACGAAATATTTTCAGATAAAAACTAAAAGGAATCTTTATGAGAAATTTCTTTGTGATGTGTGCACTCACCTCACAGAGTTAACCCACACTTTGGATTCAGCAGTTTGGAAACTGTTTTTGTGCATCCTGTGAATGGACATTTGGGAACTACTTGAGGCAAATGGCATAAAAGGGAACATCCCAATATAAAAAGTAGAAGGAAGTTATCTGAGATAGCGCTATGTGTTGTGTGCATTCATCTCTCAGAGTTAAACTTTTTTTACTTCAGCAGTTTGGAAGCACTTTTTTGGTAGAATCTGTGGAGGCATATTTGGGAGAAACTTGAGGCCTATGGTGAAAAAAAAAATCTTCTGAAAAAAACTAGAAAGAAGCATTTTGAGAAACTGCTTTGTGACAAGTGCATCAACTCAAATAATTAAACCTTCCTTTGGATTCAGCAGTTTGGAAAAACTATTTTTGCCCATTCTGTGAATGGAAATTTGGGAACTCATTAGGCCAATGGTGAAAAAGTGATTATCCCAGGATAAAAAATAGAAGGAGGCTATATGAAAAACTGCTTTGTGATGTTGGCATCCATCTCCTAAAGTTAAACTCTTCTTTACATTCAGCAGTTTGCAAACACTATTTTAGTAGAGACTTTGAAGGGATATTTGGGGGCGCATTGAGGCCTACAGTGAAAAAGGAAATATCTTCAAATAAAAACAAGAAAGAAGCATTCGGGGAAACTGCTTTGTGATGTGTGCATTCACTTACAGAATTAAAACTTTCTTTGGATTCGTCTGTTTGGAAACACTGTTTTTGGCCATTCTGTGATGGACGTATGGGAACTCCTTGAGGCCAATGGCGAAAAAGTGAATATCACAGTATAAAAACTAGATGAAGCTATCTGAGACAGCACATTGTGATGTGTGTATTCATTTTGCAGTGTTAAACTTTTCTTTTCATTCACCATTTTGGAAACACTGTTTTGGTTGAATCTGCAAAGTTAGGTTTGGGAGTGCATTGAGGCCTATGGTGAAAACGGAAATACCTTCAGATAAAAACTAGAAAGTAGCTTTCTAAGAAACTACTTTGTGATGTGTGCATTCATCTCACAGAGTTAAACGTTTCTTTGCACTCAGCAGGCTGGAAACACTGTTTTTGTCCAATCTGCAAATGGGCATTAGGGAGCTCACTGAGGTGAAAGGCAAAAAAGAGAATATCCCAGGATAAATAGTAGAAGGAAGCTATCTGAGGAACCATTTTGTGATGTGTGTATTTGTCTTGCAGAGTTAAACCTTTCTTTTCATTCAGCAGCTTGGAAACACTGTTTTGGTAGAATCTGCCAAGGGATATTTGGGATCACATTGAGGCCTATTGTGGAAAAGGAAATATCTTCAGATAAAAACTTGAAAGAATCTTTCTGAGAAACTGCTGCGTGATGCATGCATTCATCTCACAGAGTTAAAACTTTGTTTGGATTTGTCCGTATGGAAACACAGTTTTTGGCCATTCTGCAATGACAATTGGGAACTCCTGAGGCCAATGGTGAAAAAGTGAATATCACAGGATAAAAACTAGAATGAAGCTATCTGAGACACTGCATTGTGATGTGTGTATTCACTTCACAGTTTTAAAGTTTTCTTTCTTTTCCTTCACCATTTTGGAAACACTGTTTTTGTTGAATCTGTGAAGGGGTATTTGGGATCACATTGAGGCCTACGATGAAAAAGGAAATACCTTCAGATAAAAACTAGAAAGTAGCTTTCTGAGAAACTGCTTTGTGACGTGTGCATTCATCTCACAAAGTTAAACGTTTCTTTGCATTGAGCAGTCTGGAAACATTGTTTTTGTCCATGCTGAGAATGGACATTAGGGAGCTCATTGAGGTGAATGGCAAAAAAGTGAATATCCCTGGATAAATAGTAGAAGGAAGTTATATGAGAAACCATTTTGTGATGTGTGTATTCATCTCTCAGAATTAAATCTTTCTTTTCATTCAGCAGTTTGGAAAGACTGTTTTGGTAGAATCTGTGAAGGGTATTTGGGATCACATTGAGGCCTATGGTGAAAAATGAAATATCTGCAAATAAAAAATAGAAAGAAACATTCTGATAAACTGGTTTATGGTGTGCGCATTTATCTCACAGATTTAAACCTTTCTTTGGATTCAGCAGTTTGGAAACACGATTTTTGTCATTTGGGAACTCATAGAGGCAAAAGGCAAAAAACCGAATATCCCAGGAAAGATACTAGAAGGAAGCTATCTATCTGAGAAAATGCATCGTGAAGTGTGCATTCATCTCAGAGAGTTAAGCCTTTCTTTTCATTCTGCAGTTTGGAAACACTATTTTGGTAGAATCTCCAAAGGGATATTTGAGAGTGCATTGAGGCCTATGGTGAAAAATGATATGTGTTCAGATAAAAACCAGAAAGAAACTTTCTGAGAAACTGCTTTGTGATGTGTGCATTCATCTCACAGGTTTAAATGTTTCTTTGGATTCAGCAGTTTGGAAACACTGTTTTTTTTCCATTCTGCAAGTGGACATTTTGGAGCTAATTGAGGCCAATGGCCAAAAAGCGAATATCCCAGAGTAAAAAACTGGAGGACGGTATCGGAGAAACTGCCCTCTGATGTGTGCATTCATCTCAAATTGTTAAACATTTCTTTTCATTCAGCAGTTTGGAAACACTGTTTTTTTAGAATATGCAAAGAGATAATTTGTAGCTCATTGAGGCCTAACGTGAAAAAGGAAATATCTTCAGATAAAAACTAGAAAGAAGCTTTCTGAGAAACTGCTTTGGGATGAGTGCATTCATCTTACAGAGTTAAAGCTTTCTTTGGATTCAGTAGTTTGGAAACACTGTTTTTTTAGAATCTGTGAAGAGATATTTTGTAGTGCATTGAGGCCTATGATGAAAAACGAAATATCTTCAGATAAAAACAAGAAAGAACCTTAATGAGAAACAGGTTTTCAATGTGTGCATTCATCTCACAGAGTTAAACCTTCCTTTGGATTCAGCAGTTTGGAAATACTGTTTTTGTCCATTCTGTGAATGGACATTTGGGAGCTAATTGAGGCCAATGGCAAAAAAGGGAATATCCCAGGGTAAAAATTGGAGGAAGCTATCTGAGTAACCGCTTTGTGATGTGTGCATTCATCTCTTAGATTTAAACCTTTGCACTCATTCAGCAGTCTGGAATCAGTGTTTTTGCAGTATCTGTTTAGGGAAATTTGGGAGGCCATTGAGGCTTTTGATGAAATAGGAAATATCTTCAGATAAAAACTAGAAAGAATCTTTCTGAGAAACTACTTTGTGATGTGTACATTCATCTCACAGAGTTCAATCTTTCTTTTGATTCAGCAGATTGGAAACACTGTTTTTGTCCATTCTGTGAATGGACATTCAGGAACTCATTGAGGCCAACGGTGAAAAAGTGAATATTCCAGGATGCAAACTAGAAGGAAGCTATCTGAGAAACGGCTTTGTGATGATGTGTGCATTCATCTCCTAGAGTTAAACATTTCTTTTTCATTCAGCTGTCTGGAATCACTCTTTTTACAGTATCTGCATAGGGAAATTTAGGAACCCATTGAGGCCTTTGATGAAATAGGAAATATCTTCAGATAAAAACTAGAAAGAAGCTTTCTGAGAAACTGCTTTGTGATGTGTGCATTCATCTCACAGAGTTAAAAGTTTCTAAGGATTCAACAATTTGGAAACACAGTTTTTGTCCATTTTTCCTATGGATATTTGGGAGCTCATGGAGGCCAATGGTGAAAAAGGAAATATCCCAGGTAAATACTAGAAGGAAGCTATCTGAAAAACGGCATTGTGTTGTGTGCTTTCATCTCTGAGTGTTAAACTCCTTTTTCATTTAGCACTTTGGAAACACTGTTTTGGTAGAATCTGCGAAGGGATATTTGGCAGTGCCTTGAGGCCAATGGTGAAAAAGGAAATATCTTCAGATACAAACTAGAAAGAAGCTTTCTGAGAAACTGTTTTGTGATCTGTGCATACATCTCACAGAGTTAAACGTTTCTTTGGATTCAGCAGTTTGGAAATACTGTTTTTGTTTTTTCTGCAAGTGGATATTTGAGAGTTCATTGAAGCCAATGCTGAAAAAGGCAATATCCCAGGATTAAAACTAGAAGGAAGGTATCTGAGAAACCCCTGTGTGATGTGTGCATTCACCTCCTAAATTTAAAACTTTCTTTTCTTTCAGTAGTTTGGAAATATGTTTTGGTAGAATATGTGAAGGGATATTTTGGAGTGCATTGAAGCCTAGGGTGAAAAAATATAGCTTCAGAAAACACTAGAAATAATCTTTCTGAGAAACTGCTTTCTGATGGGTGCATTCATCTCACAATGTTAAAACTTTCTTTGGATTCAGCAGTTTGCAAACATTGTTTTTATCCATTCTGCGAATGGACATTTGAGAACTCGCTGAGACCAATGGTGAAAACTTGAATAATCCAGCATAAAAACTAGACAGAACCTATCTGAGAAACTGCTTTGTGATGTGTGCATTCATCTCCTACATTTAAAGCTTTCTTTTCATTCGGCAGTTTGGAATCACTGTTTTTGCAGTATCTGTGAATGGGAGTTTGGGAGTGCATTGGGCCTTTGATGATATAGGAAATATCTTCAGATAAAAACTAGACAGAAGTTTTCTGAGAAACTGCTTTGTGATGTGTGCATTCATCTCACAGAGTTAAACATTTCTTTCAATGCAGCAGCTTGGAAACACTGTTTTTGTTCATTCCACAACTGGACATTTGGGAGCTCATTGAGTCTAATGGTGAAAAAGAAAATATCCCACTTTAAATACTAGAAGGAAGTTATCTGAGAAACCGTGTTGTGAGGTATGCATTCATCTCACAGACTTAAACTTTTCTTTTCATTCAGCAAATTGGAAACAGTGTTTTTGTAGAATCTGAGAAGGGATATTTTGGAGTGCATTGCGGCCTGTGGTGAAAAATGAAATACCTTCTATTATAAACTAGAAAGAAATGTTCTGAGAAAATGCTGTGTGGTGTGTGCATTCATCTCACAGAGTTAAACCTTTCTTTTGATTCAGCAGCTTGGAAACACGGTTTTTGCCTGTCCTGCAAATGGACATTTTGGAACTCATTCAGGTCAATGGGAAAAAAGTGAATATCCCAGGATAAAAATTAGAAGGAAGCGATCTGAGAAAGCACGTTGTGATGTGTGCATTCATCTCACAGAGGCAAACTTTTCTTTTCAGTCAGCAGTTTAGAAACACTCTTTTGGTAGAATCTGCAAAGGGATATTTGGGAGCGCACTGAGGCCTGTGGTGAAAAATGAAATATATTCAGATAAAAAGTAGAAAGCTTTCTGAGAAACTGCTTTGTGTTGTCTGCATTCATCTCCCAGAGTTCAAAGTATCTTTGGAGTCATCTATTTGGAAACACTTTTTGTCCATTCTGCAAATGGACATTTGGGAACGCATGGAGGCCCATGGTGAAAAAGTGAATATTCCCGAATAAAAACTAGAAGGAAGCTACCTGAGAAAATGCTTTGTGATGTGTCCATTCATCTCCTAAAGTAAGTTAAAACGTTATTTTCACTTAGCAGGTTTGGAAACACTGTTTTTGTTGACTCTGTGAAGGGATATTTGGGAGTGCATTGAGGCCTATGGTGAAAAAGGAAATATCATCTTCAGATAAAAAATAGAAAGAATCTTTCTGAGAAACTGCTTTTTGATGTGTGCATTCATATCAAAGATTTAAGCCTTTCTTTTGATTCAGCAGTTTGGAAACACTGTTTTTGTCCATTATTCAAATGGACATTTTGGAACTCTTTGAAGCCAATTGTGAAAAAGTGAATATCCCAGGATAAAAACTAGAAGGAAGTTATCTGAGAAACCGCATTGTGTTGTGTGCATTCATCTCCAAGAGTTAAACTTTTCTTTTCATTCAGCAGGTTGGAATCACAGTTTTTGCAGTATCTGTGAAGGCATATTTGGGAGCGCATTGAGGCTTGTGGTGAAAAAGGAAATATCTTCAGAGAAAAACTAGAAAGAATCTTTCTGAGAAACTGCTTTGTGATGTGTGCATTCATCTCACAGAGTTAAACGTTTCTTTGGGTTCAGCAGTTTGGAAACAATGTTTTTGACCATTCCTTGAAAGGATATATGAGAACTCCCTGAGGCCAAAGGCGAGAAAGCAAATATCCCAGCTTAAAAAGTAGAAGGAAGCTACCTGAGAAACTACTTAGTGATGTCTGCATTCATCTTGAAGAGTTAAACTTTTCTTTTCATTCAACAGTTGGGAAACACAGTTCTGATAGAATCTGTGAAGGGATATTTGGGAATGCATAGAGGCCTATTGTGAAAAACAAAATACCTTCAGAGAAAAACTAGACAGAAACATTCTGAGAAACTTCTTTGTGATTTGTGCATTCATCTCACAAAGTTAAAACTTTCTTTGGGTTCAGTGGTTTGGAAACACTGTTTTTGTCCATTCTGTGAATGGACATTTCAGAACTCATTGAGGCCAACAGTGAAAAAGCAAATATACCATAATCAAAACTAGATCCAACCTATCTGAGAAACTGCTTTGTGATGTATGGTTTCGTCTTTTAGTGTTAAACTTTTGTTTTCTTTCAGCAGTTTTAAATCACTGTTTTAGTAGAATCAGCAAATGGATATGTGGGAGTTCATTGAGTACTAAGGCAAAAACAAATATCGCAGGATAAAAATTAGAAGGAAGCTATCTGAGAAACCACTTTGGATGTGTGCATTCCTCTCCTAGGGTAAAACCTTTCTTGTCATTCAGCAGTTTGGAGACAATATTTTTGCACTATCTGCAAAGGTAAATGGTGTTTCCAAACTGCTGAATCCAAAGAAATGCTTAACTCTGTGAAATGAATGCATGCATCATGAATCAGTCTCTCACGAAGTTTCTAGTTTTTCTCTAAAGATATTTCCTTTTTCACCATACATCTCAAAGTGCTCCCAAATTTTTCTTCACAGATAATGCAAGAAAAGTGATTTCAAACTGCTGAATGAAAAGCAAGTTTTATGTATGTGAGATGAATTCACACATCACAAAACTGTTTCTCAGAAAGCTTCTTTCTAGTTTTTATCTGAAGATATTTCCTTTTTAACCATAAGCTTCAAAGTGTTCCCAAATATCTCTTCATAGGTCCTGCCAAAACATTGTTTCCAAACTGCTGAATGAAAAGAAATGTTTAACTCTAGGAGATGAATGCACCCATCAGAAAGCAGTTTTTCAGATAGCTTCCTCCTAGTTTTTATCCTGGGATATTCGCTTCTTTGCCATTGGCCTAAATAAGTTCCCAAATGTCGATTCACAGAAAGGACAAAACAGTGTTACCAAACTGCTGAATCCAAAGAAAGTTTTAACTATGTAAGATGAATGCACACATCACAGAGCAGTTTCTCAGAAAGCTTCTTTCTAGTTTTTATCTGAAGATATTTCCTTTTCCACCATAGGCCTCAAAGTGCTCCCAAATGTCCTTTCACAGATTCTACCAAAACATTGTTTCCAAACTGCTGAAAGAAAATTTTAACTTTGTGTGACGAACGCACACAACCCAACATGGTTTCTCAGATAGCTTCCTTCTAGTTTTTATCCTGGGATATTCACTCTTTCACCATTGGTGTCAAAGATCTCCCAAATGTCCATTTGCAGAATTTATGAAAACGAACTTTTGAAAATGCTGAATGCAGAGAAAAGTTTAACTCTGTTTGATGAATGCACACATCACAAGGCAGTTTCTCAGAAAGCTTCATTCAAGTTCTTATCTGAAGATATTTCCTTATTCACCAGAGACCTCAATACACTCTCAAATATCCCTTTGTAGATTCTACCAGAACAGCGTTTCCAAACTGCTCAATGAAAAGAAAGGTTTATCTCTATGAGATGAATGCACACATCACAAAGTGATGTCTCAGATAGATTCCTTCTAGATTTTATCCTGGGATATTCTCTTTTTCACATTTATCATCAATGAGCTCCCAAATGTCTACTCACAGGATGGAAAAATCAGTGTTTCCAAAATGTTGAATCCTAAGAAAGTTTTAAATCCATGAGATAAATGCATACAACACAAAGCAGTCTCTCAGAAAGATTCTATTTTCTATCCGAAGATATTTCCTTTTACACCATAGGCCTGAATGCGCCCCCAAATATCAGTTTGCAGATTTTACCAAAACAGTGTTTCCAAACAGCTGAATGAAAACAACGTTTTAAATCTAGGAAATGAAAGCACACATCACAGAGCAGAGTCTCAGATAGCTTTCTTCTTCTTTTTATCCTGGGATATTTGCCTTTTTGCCATTGGCCTCAATGAGAACCCAAATGTCCATTTGCAGATATGGAAAAAACTGTTTTTCCAATCTCCTGAATCCATAGAAAGGTTTACATCTTTGATATGAATGCACACATCACAAAGCAGTTTCTCAGAAAGATTCTTTCAAGTTCTTATCAGAAGATATTTCATTTTTCACTGTAGGTCACAATTTGCTCCCAAATATCCCTTTGCAGATTCTACCAAAACAGTATTTCCAAACTGACGAATTAAAAGAAATGTTAAACTTGGTGAGATGAAAGCATACATCACAAAACCCTTTCTCAGATAGGTTACTTGGAGTTTTTATCCTGGGATATTCGCTTTTTCACGATTGACCTCATTGAGCTCCCAAATGTCCATTAAAGGGACAAAAACAGTGTTTCCAAACTGCTGAATCCAAAGAAACGTTTAACTCTGAGATGACTGCACACATCACAAAGCAGTCTCTCAGAAAGCTTATTTCTAGTTTTTATCTGAATATATTTCCTTTTTCAAAATAGGCCCCAATGTGCTTCCAAATATCCCTTCCCAGCTTCTACCAAAACAGTGTTTCCAAATTGCTGAATGAAAAGGAAGTTTTAACACTATAAGAATAGTGCACACATCACAAAGCTGTTTCTCAGGTAGCTTCCTTCTAGTATTTATCCTGGGATATTTGCTTTTTCTTCCTTAGCCTCAATGAGTTCCCAAATGTGCATTTGCAGAATGGACGAAAACAGTGTTTCCCAACTCCTGAATTCAAAAGAAGGTTTAATTCTGTGAAATGAATGCACACATTACAAAGCAGTTTCTCAGAAAGCTTCTTTCAACTTTTTATCTGAGAATACTTCCTTTTTCACTGTAGGCCTCAAAGCACTCCCAAATATCCCTTTGCAGATTCTACCATACATTGTTTCCAAAGTGCGGAATGAAAATAAAAGTTTAAATTTGCAAGATGAATGCACGTATCACAAAGCACTTTCTCAGATAGCTTCCTTGTTGTTTACATCCTAGGATACTTGCTTTTTTGCCATTAACTTCAAGGAGCTCCCAAATGTCAAATTGCAGACTGGACAATAACAGCGTTTCCAAATTTTAGAATCCAAAAAAACGTTAAAATCTGTGAGATGAAGGCTCACATCACAAAGCAGTTTCTCAGAAAGCTTCTTTCTAGTTTTTATCTGAAGATATTTCCTTTTTCACCACAGGCCTGAATGCTCTCCCAAATATTCCTTTGAAGATTCTACCAAAACATTGTTTCCAAACTGCTGAATGAAAGGAAAGTTTTAACTTAAGGAGATTAATGCACACGTCACAAATAGTTTCTCACATAGCTTCCTTCTAGATTTATCATGGGAGATTTGCTTTTTTGCCATTGGCTTCAATGAGTTTCCAAACGTTCATTTGCAGAATTGACAAAAACAGTGTTTCTAAACTGCAGAATCCAAAGAAAAGTTATCTCTGTGAGATGGGTGCACACACCACAAAGTAGTTTGTCACAAAAATTCTTTCTAGTTCCTATCTTAAGATAATTACTTTTTCTCCATTGGCCTCAATGCGCTCCAAATTATCCCTTCACAGTTTCTGCCAAAACAGTGTTTCCAAACTGCTGGATGTAAAGAAAGTTTTAACTCTAGGAGATCAATGCACACATCACAAATTGGTTTCTCAGATTGCTTCCTTCAAGATTTTATCCTGGGATATTTGCTTTTTCACCTTTTGCCTCAATGACTTCCCAACTATCCATTCACTGAAAGGACAAAAACAGTGTTTCCAAACTGTTGAATCCAAAGAAAGGTTTAATTCTGTGAGATGAATGCACATATCACAAAGCAATTTGTCAGAAAGTTTCTTTCTAGTTTTTTTCTGAAGATATTTCATTTTTCAAGATAGGCCTCAATGCACTCCCAAATATTCCTTTGGAGATTCTACAAAAACAGTGTTTAAAAACTACTGAATGAAAAGAAAGCTTTCACTTTGTGAGATGAATGCACACATCACAAAGCACTTTCTCAGAGAGCTTCCTTCTAGTTTTCATCCCAGGATATTCACCTTCTCACCCCTGGCCTCAATGACCTCCCAAATGTCCATTTGCAGAATGGAGAAAAATAGTGCTCCCAAACTGCTGAATCCTAAGAAACGTTTAATTCTGTGATATGAATGCACAAATCACAAAGCGGTTTCTCAAAAAATTTCTTTCTTTTTTTATCTGAAGATATTTCCTTTTTCAGCAGAGCCCTCAAAGCACAATGAAACATCCCTTCGCAGATTCTACCAAAACACTGTTTCCAAACTGCTTAATGTAAAGAAAGGTTTAACTCTAGATGATGAATGCGCACATCACAAAGCAGTTTCTCAGACAGCTTCCTTCTAATTTTCATCCAGGGATATTCACTTTTTTGCCATTGGCCTCAATGAGTTCCCAAATGTCCATTCGCAGAAAGGACAAAAACAAAGTTTCCAAACTGCTGAATCCAAAAAAAAGTTTAAGTTTGTGAAATGAATGCACCCATCAAAAAGCAGGTTCTCAGAAAGTTTCTTTCTAGTTTTTATCTGAAGATATTTCATTTTTCACCAAAGGCTTCAATGCGATCCCACATACCTGTTCACACATTCTACCCTAACAGTGTTTCCAAACTGTTGAATAAAAAGAAATGTTTAACTCTGTGAGATGAATGCCCACAAAACAACACGGTTTCTCAGGTAGCTTCTTTTAGTTTTTATCCTGGGATAATCCCTTTTCTACCATTGACCTCAAAGAGCTCCAAAATGTCCATTCTCAGAATAGACAAAAACAGTGTTTCCTAACTTCTCAATCCAAAGAAATGTTTAACTCTGTGAGATGAATGTACACATCACAAAGCAATTTCTCACAAAGCCTCTTCCTGGTTTTTATCTGAAGATATTTCCTTTTTCACTATAGGCCTCAAAGGGCTCCCAAATATACTTTTAAAGATTCTACCAAAACAGTGTTTCCAAACTGCTGAATGAAAAGACAGGTTTAACTCCAGGAGATGAGTGTACACATCACAAAGCAGTTTCTCAGATAGCTTCCTTCTAATATTTAGCCTGGGATATTCCCTTGTTTGCCATTGGCCTCAATGAGTTTCCAAATGTCCATTGGCCTCAATGAGTTTCCAAATGTCCATTAGCAGTGTTTCCAAACTGCTGAATCCGAAGAGAGGTTTAACTCTGTGAGATGAATGCACACATCACAAAGCAGTTCTTCAGAAAGCTTCTTTCATGTTTTTATATGAAGATATTTCCTCTTTCACCAAAGGCCTCAAAGTGCTCCCAAAATTGCATTCACAGATACAGCAAAAACAGGGATTACAAACTGCTGAATGAAAATAAACGCTTATCTCTATGAGGTCAATGCACACATCACAAAGTGGTGTGTCAGATAGCTTCCTTCAAGTTTTTATCCTGTGGTATTCTCTTTTTCGCCTTTGGCTTCAATGAGTCCCAAATATCCATTTGCAGAATGGGCAAAAAAAGTGTTTCCAAATTGCTGAATCCAAAGAAAGGTTTAAATATGAGAAATAAATGCTAACAACACAAGGCCATTTTTCAGAAACATTCTTTCTAGTTTCTATTGGAAGATATTTCCTTTTCCATCAAAGGCCTCAATGTGCTCCCAAATATCCCTTCACAAATTCTACCAATCAAGTGTTTCCAAACCATTGATTCAAAAAAGGCTTAATGCTAGGAGATGAATGCACACATCACAAAGTGGTTTCTCAGGTAGCTTCCTTCCAGTTTTCATCCTGGGATATTCACTTCTTCACCACTGACCTCAATGAGTTCCCAACTGTGCATTCACAGAATGGACAAAAAACAGTGTTTCCAAGTTGATGAGTCCAAAGAAAGTTTTAAATCTGTGAGATGAATGCACACATCACAAAGCAGTTTCTCAAAAACCTTCTTTCAAATTTTTATCTGAAAATATTTCCTTTTTCACCAGAGACCTCAAAGCGCTCCCAAATATCCCTTCACAGATTCTGCCAAAACACTTTCCAAACAGCTGAATGAAAAGAAAGGTTTAACTCTAGGAGCTGAATGCACACATCGCAAAGCTGTTTCTTAGATAGCTTCCTACTAGTTTTTACCCTTGGATACTCACTTTTTTGCCATTGACCTCGATGAGTTCCCAAATGTCCATTAGCAGAATTGACAAAAACAATCTTTCCAAACTGCTGAATGCAAAGTAAGATTTAACTCTGTGTGGTGAATGCACACATCACAAAGCCATTTCTCAGAAAGCTTCTTTCTAGTTTATATCTGAAGATATTTCAATTTTTGCCATAGGCCTCAATGTGCTCCCAAATATCCCTTCGCAGATTCTACCACAATAGTGTTTCCAAACTGCTGAATGAAAAGAAAAGTTAAATCTGTGGTTAAATGCACACATCACAACACGGTTGCTCAGATAATTTCCTTCTAATTTTTATCCTGGGATATTCCTTTTTTCACCATTGGCCTCTATGAGCTCCCAAATGTCCATTCGCAAAATGGACGAAAACAATATTTACAAACAACTGAATGCAAAGAGAAGTTTAAGTATATGGGATGAATGCACACATCACAAGGCGGCTTCTCAGAAAGCTTCTTTCTAGTTTTTATCTGAAGATATTTGTTATTTCATCAAAGACCTCAATGCGCTCCCAAATATCCCTTTGCAGATACTAGCAGAACAATGTTTCCAAACTGCTGAATGAAAAGAAAGGTTTGTCTCTGTGAGATGAATTCCCACATCAGAAAGCGGTTTCTCAGATAGCTTCCTTCTAGTTTTTATAATGTGATATTCTCTTTTTCATCCTTGGCATCAATGATTTTCCAAATATCCATTTGCAGAATAAACAAAAACAGTCTTTCCAAACTGCTGAATCCAAAGAAATTTTTAACACTGTGAGATGAATGCACATATCTCAAACCAGTTTCTCAAAATCTTCTTTCTAGTTTTTATCTGAAGTAATTCTCTTTTTCTCCATAGGCCCCTATATGCTCCCAAATATTCTGTCACAGATTCTACCAAAAGAGTGTTTCCAAACTGCTGAAAGAAGAGAAAGGTTTCATTCTGTGACATGAATGTGGACATCACAAAGTGGCCTCCCAGATAACTTTCTTCTAGTATTTATCCTGTGATATTCCCTTTTTTGACAATGGCCTCAAGGAGCTCCTAAATGTACATTCACAGAATGGACAAAAGCAGTGTTTTCAATCTCCTAAATCAAAACAAACGTTTAACTCTGTGAGATGAAAGCAAACATCACAAAGCAGTTGCCCAGAAAGCTGCTTACTAGTTTTTATCTGAAGATATTTCCCTTTTCAGCAGAGGCCTCAATGTGCCTTCAAATATCCCATCACAGAGCGTACCAAAAGAGTCTTTCCAAACTGCCCTATAAAGAGATGTTGAAATCTAGGAGATGAATGCACACATAACAAAGTGGTTTATCAGATAACTTCCTTCTAGTTTTTATCTTGGGATAGTCCCTTTTTTGCCTTTGTCCTCAATAAGCTCCTAAAGGTCCATTCGCAGAATGGGCAACAACAATTCAACAATTGTATCCAAATTGCTGAATCCAAAGAAAGTTTTAATCTGTGAGATGAATGCACACCTCACAAACCAGTTTCTGAGAAATCATCTTTCTAGTTTTTACCTGAGGATATTTCCTATTTCATCAAAGGCCTCAGTGTGCTCAAAAATTTCCCTTTGCTGACACTGCAAAAACAGTGATTCCAGACTGCTGAATGAAAAGAAACTTTCATCTCTGTGAGATGCATGCACCCAACACAACATGATTTCTCATATAGCTTCCTTCGATTTTTTGTCCTGGGATATTCCCTTTTCTGCCATTGACCTCAATGAGCTCCCAAAAGTCCATTTGAAGAATGGACAAAAGCAGTGTTTCCAAACTGCTGAATGCAAAGAAAATTTTACCTCTGCAAGATGAATGCACACATGATGAAGCAGTTTCTCAGATAGCTTCCTTCTAGTTTTCATCCTGGGATATTCGCTTTTTTGCCATTGGCCTCGGTGAGCTCCCAAATGTCCATTTGTAGAATGGACAAAAACTGTGTTTCCAAACTGGTGAATCCAAAGAAAGTTTTAATCTGTGAGATGAATGCACACATCACAAATCAGTTTCTGATAAATCTTTCTAGTTTTTACCTGGAGATATTTCCTATTTCATCAAAGGCCTCAATGTGCTCACAAATTTCCCTTTGCCAATACTGCAAAAACAGTGATTCCAAACTACTGAATGAAAAGAAATGTTTTTCTCTGTGAGATGCATGCACCCATCACAACGTGAATTCTCTGATAGCTTCCTTCTTTGTTATCCTGGGATATTCCTTTTTTTGCCATTGACCTCAACGAGCTCCCAAAAGTCCTTTCAAAGAATGGACAAAAGCAGTGTTTCCAAACTGCTGAATGCAAAGAAACGATTAACTCTATGAGATTAATGTACACATCACAAAGCAATTTCTCAGAAGTTTTCTTTCTAGTTTTTATCTGAAGATATTTCCTTTTTCAATATAGGCCTCAGTGTGCTCCCAAATTTTCCCTTCACAGATTCTACCAAAAGAGTGTTTCCAAACTGCTGAACAAAAACAAAGGTTAAACTCTGTGAGATGAAAGCCCACATCAGAACACGGTTTCTAAGATACCTTCTTTCTAGTTTTTATCCTGGGATATTGGCTTTTCTGCCATTGGCCTCAATGAGTTCCCAAATATCCATTTGCAGAATGGACAAAAACAGTGTTTCCCTACTGCTGAATCCAAAGAAAGTTTTAACTCTGTGAGATGAATGCACACACCACAAAGCAGTTTCTTGGAAAGCTTCTTTCTATTTTTATCTGAAGATATTTCCTTTTTCATCAAAGCCTCAAAGTGCTCCCATATTTCCCTTCGCAGATACTGCAAAAACAGTGATTCCAAACTGCTGAAGGAAAAGAAGGATTTATCTCTGCAAGATGAATGCAGACATCACAAAGTGGTTTCTCAGATACTGTCCTTCTAGTATTTAACCTGGGATATTCTCTTTTTTGCCCTTGGTGTCAATGAGTTCCCAAATGTCCATTCTCAGAAGGGACAAAAACAGTGTTTCCAAACTGGTGAATCCAGAGAAATGTTTAACTCTATGAGATAAATGCACGTATCAAAAATCAGTTTCTCAGAAAGCTTCTTTCTTTTTTTTATATGAAGTTATTTCCTTTTTCACAATAGACCTCAATGCACTCAGAAAGCTTCTGTCTGATTTTTATTTGAAGATATTTCGTTTTTCACCACAGGCTTCAATGCACTCCCAAATATCCCTTAGCAGATTCTACCAAAAAATTGTTTCCAAAGTGATGAATGAAAAGTAAGGTTTAACTCTGTGAGATGAAGGCACACATCACAAAGCAGTTTCTCAGAAAGCTTTTCTCTAGTTTTTACCTGGAGATATTTGCTTTTCCACCATAGGCCTCAATGCTCTCCAAAATAACCCTTCACAGACTCTGCCAATTGTGTGTTTCCAAAAGGCTCCATCAAAGGAAAAATTTATCACTGTTAAGTGAATGCACACATCACAAATCAGTGTCCCTTAGAAAGCTTCTTTCCAGTTTTTATCAGAAGATATCTCCTTTTTCACCATAGGCCTCTTTGCACTACTTAATATCACTTCACAAATTGTACAAAAATATTGTTTCCAAACAACTCTAAAAAAAGAAATGTTTAACTCTGTGAGATGAATGCACACATCACAAAGCAGTTTCTCAAAAATCTTCTTTCTAGTTTTTATCTGAAGATATTTCCTTTTTAACCATGGGCTTCAATGTGCTCCCAAATATCACTTTGCAGATTCTACAAAAACAGTGTTTCTAAAAGGATCAGTCAAAAGAAAGTTTGAACTCTGTGAGATGAATGCAGATTTCACTGAGCAGTTTCTGAGAAAGCTTCTGTCTACTTCTTCTCTGATGATACTTCCTTTTCTGCTGTAGACCTCAATGCACTGCTAAATATCCCTTTGCAGATTCTACAAAAACAGAATTTCCAAACTGTTCCATTAAAAGAAGGACTTAAGTCAGAGAGATGAACGCATACATCAAAAAGCAGTTTCTCATTACACCTTTTTCCAGTTTTTAACTGCAGATATTTCCTTTTTCATCATAGGCTTTTCTGAGCTATGTAATATCGCCTTGCAGATTACCCAAAAACAGTGTTTCCAAACTGTTCCATCAAATGAAAGGTTTAACTCTGTGCAATGAATGCACACATCACAAAACAGTTTCTCAAAAAGCTTCTTTCTAGTTTTAATCCATAGTTATTTATTTTTTTACCATAGGCTTCAATGCTTTCCCCATACACCATCTCAGATTCTACAAAAACAGTGTTTCCAAACTGGGCAATAAAAAATAACTTTAACTCTGTGAGATGAATGCACTCAAGTTTCTCAAAAAGCTTCTGTCTTATTTGTATCCAAAGATATTTCCTTTTTCACTATAGGCCTCAATGTGCTCCTAAATATAACTTTGCAGATTCTACAAAACAGTGTTTCCAAACATATCAATCAAAAGATATGTCTAACTCTATGAAAAGAATGCCCACATCACAAAGCTGTTTCTCAGAAGCTTCTTTCCAGTTTTGATCTGAAGACGTTTCATTTTTCAGCATAGGCCACTTTATGCTAATTATTGTCACTTTGCAGTTCATCCAAAATGTGTTTCCAAAGTGCTCTATCAAAAGACAGGTTTAGCCCTGTGAGATGAATCCACACATCACAAAGCAGTTTTTCAGAAAGCTTCTTTCTAGTTTTTATCCGAAGATAATTCATTTTTGAATGTAGGCTTCAATGTGCTCCCAGATATCCCTTTGCAGATTCCTGAAAAACAGTGTTTCCAAAAGTCTCAATCAAAATAAAGGTTTAACTCTGTGAGATTAATGCAGACATTGCAAAGCTGTTTCTCATAAAGCTTCTGTCTAGTTCTTCTCTGATGATATTGCCTTTTCCATGATAGGCCTGAATGTGCTGCCAAATATCCCTTCACAGATTCTACAATAAAAGAGTTTTCAAAGTGCTCCATCAAAAAAAGGACTTAAATCTGTGAGATGAACGCACACATCAGAAAGTAGTATCTCATAACGATTCTTTCCAGATTTTATGTGAAGATATTTCCTTTTTCATCATAGGCTTTTTGAGCTACCTAATATTGCTTTGCAGATTACACAAAAACAGTGTTTGCAAACTGCTCAGTCTAATGAAATGTTTAACTCTGTGAGATGAATGTACACATCAAAATGCAGTTTCTCAAAAAGCTTCTTTCTAGTATTTATCTGAAGATATTTCCTTTTTCATCATAGGCCTAACTGCACTTTCAAATATCCAATTGCAAATTCTACTTAAAGAGTGTTTCCAAACTGCTCAATCAAAAGAAATATTTAAATCTGTGTCAAGAATGCACACATCAAAGAGCTGTTTCTTAGAAAGCTTTTTGTATTTTTTACCAGAGTTTATTTCCTTTTTCAATGTAGGCCTCATTACACTCCCAAATATTCCTTCAGCGATTCTACAAAAACAGTTTCCGAACTGTTCCATCAAAACAAGGACTTAAATCTGTGATATGAATGCACACATTAGAAAGCAGTTTCTCATAACGCTTCTTTCCAGTTTATATCTAAAGATACTTCCTTTTTCAGCATGGGCCTTTTTGTGCTACCTAACATCACTTTGCAGATTACACATAAACAGTGTTTCCAAACTGCTCAATCAAAAGCCACGTTTAACTCTGAGAGGTGAATGCACGCATCACAAAGCAGTTTCTCAAAAATCTGCTTTCTAGTTTTTATCCGAAGATATTTCCTTTATCACAATTGGCTTCAACATGCTCCCAAATATCCCTTTGCAGATTCTACAAAAACAGTGTTTCCAAACTGCTCAATCAAAAGATAGGTTTAACTATGTGAGTTGAATGCACACTTCACAAAGCGGTTTCTCCAACAGCTTTTTTCCAGTTTTTACCCAAAGTTATTTCCCTTTTCACCATAGGCCACAGTGTGCTCCCAAATATCCCTTTGCAGATTCTACAAAAACAGTGCTTCCAAACTGCTCAATCAAAAGAAAGGTTTAACTCTGTCAGTAGAATGCACATGTCACAAAGCAGTTTCTCAGATAGATTATGTCTAGGTCTTCTCTGAAGATAATTCCTTTTCAAACATAGGCTTGAGTGCACTCCAAAATATACCTCTTCAGATTCTATAAAAATATTGCTTCCAAACTGTTCCATCAAAAGAAGAATTTAATTCTCTGAGGTGAATGCATAAATCAGAAAGCAGTTTGCCATAACACTTCTTTCCAGGTTTTATCTGAAGTTACTTCCTGTTTCACAATAGGCTGTTTTGTGCTACTTAATATCTTTTCACAGATTTTTCAAAAAGAGTATTTCCAAAGAGCTCAGTCAAAAGAAAAGTTTAACTCTGTGAGATGAATGCACATATCCAAAGCAGTTTCTCTAAAAGCTTCTTTCTAGTTTTTATCTGAAGTTATTTGCTTTTTCACCGTAGGCCTTGTGTGCTGCCAAATATCCCTTTGCAGATTCTACAAAAACAGTGTTTCCAAACTACTCAATCAAAAGAAAAGTTTAACTCTGTGAGAAGAATGCACACATCACACAACTGTTTCTCAGAAATATTCTTTCTAATTTTTATATTGAGATATTTCCTTTTTCACTGTAGTCCTCAATGCATTCCCTAATAATTCTTCACAGATTCTGAAAAAAGGGTGTTTCCAAATGGCACCATTAAAGGAAAAATTTATCAGTGTGAAATAAATGCCAACATCACAAATCAGTGTCTCAGAAAGCTTCTTTGTAGTTTTTATCTGATGACATTTCCTTTTTCACTGTAGACATCAGTGCACTCCAAAATATCCCTTTGCAGATTCTACAAAAACAGTGACTCTGAGCTGCTCAATCAAAAAAAACACGTTTAATTCTCTGAGAAGAATGCCCACATAGCAAAGCAGTTTCTCATAAAGCTTCTTTCTAGTTTTTAACTGAAGTTATTTCCTTTTTCACCAAAGGTGTCATGTTCTCACAAGTATCCCTTCACAGATTCTGCAAAGTGTTTCCAAATTGCTCAATCAAAAGAATGGTCTAACTGTGTGATATGAATGCACACATCAGAAAGCAGTTTCTCTGCCAGCTTCTGTCTAGTTCTTACCTGAAGATATTTCCTTTTCCACCATAGGCCTCAATGTGCTCCCAAATATCCCTTCGCAGATTCTACAAAAACAGTATTTCCAAACTGTTCCAACAAAAGTAGGACTTAACTCTGTGGGATGAACGTACTCATCAGAAGGCAGTTTCTCATAACTCTTATTTCCAGTTTTTATCTGAAGATATTTCCCTTTTCACCATATGCTTTTGTGCTAACTAATATCACTTCGCAGATTATATAAAAACAGAGTTTCCAAACTGCTCAGTGAAAAGAAAGGTATAACTCTGTGAGATGAATGCACACCTCAGAAAGCAGTTTCTCAAAAAGGTTCTTTCCAGTTTTTATCTGAAGATATTTCCTTTTCACCTTTGGCCTATCTGTGCTTTCAAGTATCCCATTGCAGATTTTATAAAAATAGTGTTTCCAAACTGCTCAATTAAAAGAAAGATTTAAATCTGTGAGAAGAATACACACATCACAAAACGGTTTCTCAGAAAGCCTCTTGGTAGTTTTTTTTCCAAATTCATTTCCTTTTTCATTATAGACCTCAATGTGCTCCCATATATTCCATTGCAGATTCTACCAGAAGAGTTGTTTGAAACTTCTCTGTCAAAAGAAAGGTTTAACTCTGTCACATAAATGCACACATCACAAAGTAGTTTCCCAGAAAGCTTCTTTCTAGTTTTTTTCTGGAGATATTACCTTTTTCACTGTAGGCCTCAAAGAGCTCCCAAATAACCCTTCACAGATGCTGCCAAAAGTGTTTTTCCAAATTGTGCCAGCAAAGAAAAGATTTAACACTGTGAAATGTATGCAGAAATCACAAATCAGTGTCTCAGAAAGATTCTTTCCAGTTTTTATTTGAAAATATTTCGTTTTTCACCATAGGCCTCTTTGCACTAGCTAATATCACTTTGCTGATTATACAAAAGCAGTGTTTCCAAATTGCTCTATATAAAAGAAAGGTTTAACTCTGTGAGATGAATGCACACATCAGAAAGCAGTTTCTCAAAAAGCTCCTTTCTAATTTTTAATGGAAGATAATTCCTTTTTCACCATACCCTTCTATGCGATCCCAAATATCCCTTTGCAGATCCCACAAAAACAGTGTTTCCAAACTGCTCAAACAAAAAAAAGGTTTAACTCTGTGAGTTGAAGGCACATATGTGAAAGAATGTTCTCAAAAAGCTTCTTTCTAGTTTTTATCCTAAGATATTTCCTTTATCACCTTAGGCTTCAATGCGCTCCCAAATATCCCTTTGCATATTCCACAAAACCAGTGTTTCCAAACTCCTCAATCAAAAGAAAGGTTTACCTTAACTCTGTGAGATGAATGCACACATCACAAACCAGTTTCTCAGAAAGCTTCTATCTAGTTCTTCAATGAAGATACTTCCTTTTCCACCTTAGGCCTCAATGCGCTCCAAAATTTTCCCTTGCAGATTCTACAAAAACACTGTTTCCAAATTGTTCCATCAAAAGAAGGACAACTCTGTTAGATGAATGTACAGATCAGAAAGCAGTTTCTCATAACACTTCTTTCCTGTTTTTATATGACAATAGTTCCTTTTTCACCATAGGCTTTTTTGTGCTACCTAATATCGCTTTTTAGATTATACAAAAACAGCGTTTCAAAACAGCTCAGTCAAAGGAAAGATTCAAATCTGTGTGGTGAATGGACACATCAAAAAGCCATTTCTCAACATGCTTCTATTTTTATCCAAATATATTTCCTTTTTCTCCATAGGCCTGAGATAAGTTCTGGCTAGTTATTCTCTGAAGATATTTCCTTTATCACCATAGGCTTCAATGGGCTGCCAAATATTCCATTGCAGATTCTACAAAAAGACTGTTTCCAAACTGCTCAACAAACAGTGTTAAATTTGTGAGTTGAAGGCACATATCACAGAGCAGTTTCTCAGATAGCTTCTGTCTAGTTCTTCTCTGAAGATATATCCTTTTCCACCATAGGCCTCAATACGCTCACAAATATCCCTTCACAGATTCTATGAAACTGTTTCTGAACTCTTCCTTCAGAAGAAGGATTTATCACTGTGAGATGAACACACACATCAGAAAGCAGTTTCTCTTAATGCTTCTTTCCAGTTTCTATCTGAAATTAATTCCTTCTTCACCATAGGACTTTTTGCGTTACTTAACATCAATTTGCAGATTATACAAAAACAGTGTTACCAAACTGCTCTGTCAAAAGAAAAGTTTGACTCTTTGAGATGAATGCATATATCACAAAGCAGTCTCTCAACATCTTCTTTCTAGTTTTCACTCTAAGATATTTCGTTTTTAACCATAGGCATCTGTGGGCTCCCAAATATCCCTTTGCAGATTCTACAAAAACTGTGTTTCCAAACTACTAAATTCAAAGAAACATTTAACTTTGTGAGAAGAACACACACATCACAAAGAGATTTCACAGAAAGCTTCTTTATAGTTGTTATCTGAAGTTATTTCCATTTTCACCATAAGCCCCATGCACACCCAAATATCCCTCCACAGATGATTGTACAAAAACAGTGCTTCCAAACTGCTCCATCTAAAGAAGGACTTTGTGAGATGAATGTACACATCAGAAAGCAGTTTCTCATAACGCTTCTTTACAGTTTTTATCTGTAGATATTTCCTGGTTCACCTTAGGCTTTTTTGTGCTTCCTGATATTGCTTCTCAGATTTTGCAATAACAGTGTTTCAAAATTGCTCCATTAATAGAAAGTTTTACCTCTGTGAGATGAATGCCCACTTCACAAAGCAGTTTCTCAAAAAGCTTCTTTCTAGTTTATATCCGAAGATATTTCCTTTTTCATCATAGGCCTTGTGCGCTCCCTAATATCCCCTCACAGACTGTACAAAGCAGTGTTTCCAGACTGCTCATTCAAACTGAATGTTAACTCACTTCACTAAACAGTTGCTCAAAACTTCTTTGTAGTTTTCATCCAAGGATATTACCTTTTTCAACATAGGCCTCAATATGCTCCCAAATATACTTTTGCAGACACTACAAAAACAGTGTTTCACAACTGCTCAATCAAGAGAAAGGTTTAACTCTGTGAGATGAATGCACACATCTGAAAGCAGTTTCTTATAATGCTTCTTTCCAGATTTTATCTGAAGAAATTTCCTTGTTCAACATAGGCCTTTTGTGTTACCTAACATCAATTCACAGATGATAAAAAAGAGTACTTCCAAACTGCTCCTTCAAAATAAAAGTTTAACTCTGTGAGATGAATGCATCCATCACAAAGCAGTTTCTCAAGAGCTTCCTTCTATTTTTTATCAGAATATATTTCATTTTTCACCAAAGGCATCAGTGTCTCCCAAATGTCCCTTTGCAGATTCTAAATAAACAGTTTCCAAAATGATCTATCCAAAGAAACTTTTATCTGTGAGAAGAATGCATACATCACTGAATGATATCTCAGAAAGCTTGCTTCTATTTTTTATCTGAAATTATTTCCTTTTTCACCATAGGCCTCATGTGCTCCCAAATATCCATTCGCAGATCCTACAAAAACAGTGTTTCCAAGCTGATCAATGAAAAGAAAGGTTTAACCCCGTGAGGTGAATGCACACATCACAAAGCAGTTTCTCAGAAAGCTTCCTTCTAGTTTTTATCCGAAGATATTTCCTTTTTCACCATAGGTTTCAAAGCACTCCAAAATATTCAATTGCAGATTCTACAAAAAACAGTGTTTCCAAACTGCCTAATCAAAAAGCATGTTTAACATCATGAGTTGAAAGCACACAACACCAAGCAGTTTTTCAAAAAACTTATTTCTATTTTTTATCCAAGATAATCACTTTTTCACCATAGGACACTGTGTGCACCAAAATATACCTTTGCAGATTCTAGAAAAACAGTGTTTTGAAACTGCTCTTTCAAAAGAAAGGTTTAACTCTGTGAGAGGAATGCACACATCACAAAGCAGTTTCCTGGAAAACTTCTGTCTAGCTCTTCTCTGAAGATATTTCATTGCTCACAATAGGCCTCAGGGCGCTCCCAAATATACCTTGGCAGATTCTACAAAAACAGTGTTTCCAAACTGCTCAATCAAAAGAAGAGTCTAACTCTTTGAGATGAATGTATACATCACAAAACAGTTTCTCAAAAAGTTTCTTTCTAGAATTTTTATCTGAAGATATTTTCTTTTCCAGCATAGGCATCAGTGGACTCCCAAATATCCCTTTGCAGATTTTACAAAAACACAGTTTCCAAACTGCTCAATCAACAGAAACGTTTAACTCTGTGAGAAGAATACACACAACAAAAGTGGTTTCTCAGAAAGTTTCTTTCTAGTTTTTATCTGCAATTATTTCCTTTTCCACAATTGGCCTCACGGGCTGCAAAATATCCCTTTGCAGATTTTTCAAAAACAGTGCTTCCAAGCTGCTCAATCAAGAGAAGGTTTTAACTCTGTGAGAAGAATGCACCGATCACAAAGTAGTTTCTCAGAAAACTTCTTTCTAGTTTTTATTTAAAGTTATTTCCTTTTTCACCATTGGCTTTGTGCGCTCCCAAATATCCCTTTGGAGATTCTGCAAAAACATTGTTTCCAAACTGATCAATCGAAACAGAAGTTTAAAACTGTGAGACGAATGCAGACTTCACAAAGCAGTTTGTCAAAAAGCTTCTTTCTAGATTTGATCCAAATGTACTTCCCTTTTCACCATAGGCTTCCATGCACTCCCAAATATCCCTTCACGGATTCCACAAACACAGTGTTTCCAAACTGCTCAATCAAAACAAAGGTTTCAGTCTGTGACATGAATGTACACATCACAAGGCAGTTTCTCAGAAAGCTTCTGTCTATTTCTTCTCTGAAGATATTTCCTTTTCCACCATAGGCCTCTAGATGCTCCCACATATCCCCTCCTAGATTCTACAAATACAGTGTTTCTACACAGTTCCATTGAAAGAAGGACTTAACTGTGTGAGACAAATGCACACATCGAAAGCAGTTTTTCATAACGCTTCTTTCCATTTTTTGTATGAAGATATTTCCCTGCTCACCACAGGCCTTTTTGCACTACCTAACATCGATTTGCTGATTATACATAAACAGTGTTTCCAAACTGTTCAGTCAAAAGAAAAGTTTAACTCTGTAAGATCAATGCATCCATCATGAAGCAGTTTCTCAAAGAGCTTCTTTCTAGTTTTTATCTGAATATATTTGCATTTTCACCACAGGGGTTCTTGAGCTACTTGACCTACCTTTGCAGATTTTGCAAAAGCTGTGTTTCCAAACTTCTCAGTCATGAGAAAGGTTTAAATATGTGAGATGAATGCACACATCAAAAAGCAGTTTCTCTGAACCCTTCTTTCTAGTTTTTAATCAAGTTATTTCCATTATCACCATAGGCTTCATTGCACTGCCAAATATCCCTTCACTGATTACATAAGAACAGTGTTTCCAAACTGCTCAGTCAAAAACAGGTTGAACTCTGCAATTGGAACACACACATTACAAAGCATTTTCTCAAAAATCTTCTGTCTAGTTTATATCACAGGATATTTCTTTTATCACCTTAGGTTTCTATGCACTCCCAAATATCCCTTTGCAGATTCTACAAAACCAGTGTTTCCAAATGGTTCAGTCAAAATAAAGGTTTAAGTCTGTGAAATGAATGCACACATCACAAAGCAGTTTCTCAAATAGGTTCTTCCTAGGATTTCTCCAAAAATATTGTAATAATACTCTTCAAAGTGCTCTGAAATATCCCATCACAGAATCTACAAAAGCAGTGTTTCCAAACTGCTCAATCAAAAACCTGGTTTAACTCTGTGAGATGAAGGCACACAACCCAAAGCAGTTTCTCAGAAAGCTTCTGTCCAGGTCTTCTTTGAAGTTATTTTCTTGTCCACTATAACCCTCAATGAGCTTCCAAATATACCTTCACAGATTCTATAAAAACAATGTTTCCCAACAGTTCTATCAAAACAAGGATTAACTCTGTGAGATGAACACAGACATCAGAAAGCATTTTCTCATAACACTACTTTCCAGTTTTTATTTGAAGATATTTCCTGTTCAGAGTAGGCCTTTCTGCACTATGTAACATCGCTTTGCAGATTGTACAAACAGTTTTTCCAAACAGCTCAGTCAAATAAAGGTTTAACTCTGTGAGAGGAATGCACACATCACAAAGCAGTTTCTCAGAAAGCATCAGTCTAATTCTTCTCTGAAGATATTTCCTTTTCCACCATATGCCTCAATGTGCTCCCAAATATCCCTTTGTAGATTCTACAAAAACAGTGTTTCTAAACTCCTCCAAGGAAAAAAGGACTTAATTTTCTGAGATGAACGCTGACATCAGAAAGCAGTTTCTCATAAAGCTTCTTTCCACTTTTTATCTGAAATCATTTCCTTTTTCACAGTAGGCTTTTTTGTGCTTCCTAATATCGCTTCACAGATTTTGCAAAAACCGTGTTTCCAAACCACCAAGTCAAAAAAATGTTTAACTCTGTGAGATGAATGCACACATCACAAAGCAGTTTCTCAAAAAGCTTCTTTCCAGCTTTTATCTGAACATACTTCCTTTTTCAACAGAGGCTTCAAAGTGCTCCCAAATATCCCTTCACAGATTCTATGAAAACAGTGTTTCCAAACTGCTCAGTCAAAACAAAGGTTTAACTCTGTGAGATAAATTCAAGCATCTCAAAGCACTTTCTCAGAAAGCATCTGTCTAGCTCTTCTCTGAAGATATTTCTTTTTCCACCATAAACCTTAATGCACTCTGAAATATCCCTTTGAAGAATCTACAAAAACAGTGTTTCCAAACTACTCAATCAAAAAAGAGGTTTAACTCTGTGAATTGAATGCACACCTCACAAAGTAGTTTCTCAAAAATCTTCTTTCTAGTTTTTTTCCAAAGATGTTTCCTTTTTCACCATAGGCCTCAGTGCACACCAAAATATACTTTTGCATATTCTACAAAAACCGTGTTTCCAAACTGCTCAATAAAAAGAAATCCTTAACTCTGTGACATGAATGCACATATCATAAAGCAGTTTCTCAGATAGCTTATGTCAAGTTCTTCTCTGAAGATAATTCCTTTTCCTCCTGAGACCTAAATGCACTCTCAAATATCCCTTCACAGATTTTATAAGAACAGGGCTTCCAAACGGTTCCATCATAACTAGGATTTAACTCTGTGAGATGAACAGACATATGACTAAGCTGTTTCTCATTGCGCTTCTTTCCAGTTTTTATCTGAATATTGTTCCATGATGACCTTAGGCCTTTTTTCTCTACAAAACATCGCTTTACAGGTTATACAAAGACAGTGTTTCCAAACTGTTCTGTCAAAATAAAAGTTTAACTCTGTGAGATGAATGCATACGTTACAAAGCAGTTTCACAAAACTGTCTTGTTCATTGTTATTGGAAGATATTTCCTTTTTCACCATAGGCATCAGTGTGCTTCGAAATCTCCCTTTGCAGATTCTAGAAAAACAGTGTCTGCAAGCTGATCAATCAACAGAAACGTTTAACTTAGAGAGAAGAATGCAGACATCACAAAGTGGTTTCTCAGAAAGCTTCCTTCTAGTTTTTATCTGAAGTCATTTCCTTTTTCACCATAGGCCCTGTGTGCTCCCAAATATCCCTTTGCAGATTCTACAAAAACAGTGTTTCCAAACTGTTCCATCAAAAGGAAGTTGTAAGTCTGTGAGATGAATGCACACGTCACAAAGCAGTTTCTCAGGGAGCAACTGTCTAGTTTTTCTCTGAAGTTATTTCCTTTTCCACCATAAGTGTTAATTCACTCCCAAATATCCCTTCATAGATACTACAAAACCAGTGTTTCCAAACTGTTCCATCAAAAGAAGGACTTAACTCTGTGAGATGAACTTACACATCAGAAAGCAGTTTCTCATAACACTTCTATTGAGTTGTTATATGAAAATATGTCCATCTGAAGATATTTCCTTGTTCACCATAGGCTTTTTTACACTACAAAATATTGCTTCACAGATTTTGCACAAACAGTGTTTCCATCTGCCCAGTCATATGAAAGGTTTCACTCCATGAGATGAATACACACATCACAAAGCAGTTTCCCAAAAATCTTCCTTCCAGTTTTTATCCAAAAATATTCCATTTATCACCATAGGCTTCAATGCGCTCCCAAATATCCTGTCGCAGATCCTACAAAAACAGTGTTTCCAAACTGCTCAGTTAAAATAAAGGTTTAACTCTGTGAGATAAACACACACATCACAAAGCAGTTTCTCAGATTGTTTCTGTCTAGTTCCTCACTGAAGATATTTCCTTTTCCACCATAGGCCTCAATGCACTCCAACATATCAATTTGCTGATTCTATTAAAAAGTTGCTTCTGAACTGTTCCATCAAAAGAAGGATTTAACTCTGTGAGATGAATGTGCATATGAGAAAGCTGTTTATCATATCTCTTCTTTCCAGTTTTTATCTGAAGTTATTTCCTTCTTCATCATAGGCCTCATGAGCTCCCATATATCTCTTCACAGATTCTACAAAAACAGTGTTTCCAAACTGATCAATCAAAAGAAAGGTTTAACTCTTTGAGATAAATGCAGACATCACTAAGCAGTTTCTCAAAATGCTTCTTTCTAGATTTTATCAGAAGATATTTCCTTTTCCACCATAGGGCTAACAGTGCTTTCCAATATCCCACTGCAGATTCTACAAAAACAGTGATTCCAAACTCCTCAATCAAAAGATAGCTTTCAGTCTCTGAGAAGAATGTACACTTCACAAAGTGGTTTGTCAGAAATCTTCATTCTGAGAAAGTTGTTATCTGTAGGCATTTCCTTTATTTACAATAGGCCTCAGTGCCTTACCAAATATCCTTTCACAGATTCTACTAAAACAGCATTTCCAAACTGCTCAATCAAAACAATCTTTTAACTTTGTGACAAGAATGCACACATCACAAAGCAGTTTCTCAGAAAGATTCTTTCCAGTTTTTATACAAAGGTATTTCCTTCTTCACCATAGTCTTCAATGCTCTCCCAAATATCCCTTTGCTGATTGTACAAAAAGAGTGTTTCAAAAATGCTCAATCAAAAGAAACTTTATCTCTGTGAGATAAAAGCACACATAAAAACCCAGTTTCTCAGAAAGCTTCTGTCCAGTTCTCTCTGAAGATATTTCCTTTTCCAGCATAGGACTCAATGCCCTGCCAAATATCCATACACAGGTTCTACAAAAACAGTGTTTCCAAACTGTTCAACCAAAAGAAGGACTTAACTCTGAGATGGATGCACACATAAGAAATCAGTTTCTCATGGAGCTTCTTTACAGTTTTCATCTGAAGGTATTTCCTTCTTCACTGTAGGCTTTTTTGTGGTACCAAATATTGCTTCACAGATTTTTGCAAAAACAGAGTATCCAAAGTGCTCAG
The DNA here is from genome assembly GCF_000001405.40 of Homo sapiens. Classification (NCBI taxonomy): domain Eukaryota; kingdom Metazoa; phylum Chordata; class Mammalia; order Primates; family Hominidae; genus Homo; species Homo sapiens. The sequence continues at coordinate 46,257,030 of NC_000005.10, forward strand.
TCAAAAGAAAGTTTTGACTCTGTGAGATGAATATATGCACCGTAGGCATCAGTGTTCTCCTAATTATCCCTTTGCAGATTCTATAAAAACAATGTTTCCAACCTGCTAAATCAAATAAAGGTTTAATACTGTTAGAACAATGCACACCCCACAAAGGGATTTCTCAGAAGCTTCTTTCTAATTTTTATCTGAAGTTATTTCGTTTTTCACCATAGGCCTTGTGCGTTCCCCAATATCCTTTTGCAGATTGTACAAAAACAGTGTTTCCAAGCTGACCAATCAAAAGAAAGTTTTAACTCTGTAAGATGAATTCACACATCACAAAGCAGTTTATCAAATGGCTTCTTTCTATTTTTTATCCGAAGGTGTTTCCTTTTTCAGCATAGTACTCAATGTGCTCCCAAATATACCTGTGCAGGTTCTACAATAAAAGTGTTTCCAAATTGCTCAATCAAAAGAAACGTTTAACTCTGCGAGATGAATTCAGGCATCACAAAGCAGTTTCTCAGATAGCTTCTGTCTAGTTCTTCTCTGAACATATTTCCTTTTCCACAGTAAGCCTCAATGCACACCCAAATATCACTTCACAGACTCTATGAAAACATTGTTTCTGAATTGTTCCCTCAAAAGAAGGATTTAACTCTGTGAGATGAACGCACACTTTGGAAATCAGTTTCTCATAACTCTTCTTTACAGATTTTATCTGAATATATTTCCTGGTTCACTGGAGGCTTCTTTTGCACTACCTCACGTCGCTTCACAGATTATACAAAAATAATGATTACAAACTGATCATTCCAAAGAAAGGTTTAACTCTATGAGATGAATGCACACATCACAAAGTCATTTCCCTAAAACATTCTTTCTAGTTTTTATCTGAAGATATTTCCTTTTCCACCATAGGCATCAATGCACTCCCAAATATGCCTTTGCAGATTCTACAGAAACAGTGTTTCCAAACTGCTCATTCAAAAGAAACATTTAACTTTGTGAGAACAATGGACACATCCCAAAGCAGTTTCTCAAAATCTTCTGTCGAGTTCTTCTCCGAAGATAATTTCTTTTCCGCCATAGGCCTCAAATTGCTCCCAAATATCCCTTCACAGATTCTACAAAAACAGTGTTTCCAAACTGTTCCATCAAAAGAAGGACTTATCTCTGTGAGATGAACACACACTTCAGAAAGCAGTATCTCATAACGCTTCTTTCCAGTTTTTATCTGAACATATTTCCTTCTTCACCATTGGCTTTTTTGCGCTTCCTAATAATGTTTCACAAATCTTGCAAGAAGAGCGTTTCCAAACTGCTCAGTCAAAGGAAAGTTTTAACTGTGTGAGATTAATGCACACATCACATAGCAGTTTCTCTAAAATCGTCTTTGTAGTTTTTATCTGAAGATATTTCCTTTTTCACCATAGGTCTCAGTGTGCTCCGAAATACACCTTTGCAGATTCTACAAAAACAGTGTTTCCATACTTGTCAATCAAAAGAAAGGTATAATTCTGTGAGATGAATACACACTCACAAAGCAGTTTCTCAGATGTTTTCTCTCTAGTTCTTCTCTGAAGATATTTCCTTTTCCACTATAGGCCTCAATGTGCTCCCAAATTTTCCTTTGCAGATTCTGTACAAACTGTGTTTCTGACCTGTTCCAGTGAAAGAAGAATTTACCTCTGTGAGGGGAACACAAACATCAGAAATCAATTTCTCATAATGCTTTTTTGCACTTTTTATCTGAAAATACCCCTTGTTCACCATAGACCTTTTTCCACTACCTAACATTTCTTTGCAGATTATACAAAAACAGTGTTTCCCAACTGCTCATTGAAAGGAAAGTTTAACTCTGTGAGATGAATGTGTACATCACAAAGCAGTTTCTCAGAAAGCTTCTTTCTAGGTTTTATCTGAAGTTATTTCCTTTTACACCGTAGGCCTCAATGTGCTCCTAAATATCCATTGGCAGATTCTGCAAAAATATTGTTTCCAAACTGTTCAATCAAAAGTAATGTTTAAAGTTGAGAGAAGGTTGTACACATCACAAAGCAGTTTCTCAGAAAGCTATTGTCTAGTTCTTCTCTGAAGATATTTCTTTTTTGACCATAGGCCTCAACACTCTCCATAATATCCCTTCACAGGTTCTACAGAAACAGTGTTTCTAAGCTGCTCAATCAAAGAACAGGTTTACCTCTGTGATTTGAATGCAAACATCACATAGCAGTTTCTCCAAAATTGTCTTAGTAGTTTTTATCTGAAGATTTTACTTTGTCACCATAGGCCATAGGCTACAGTGCACTCCCATATATTGCAGCTTCTACAAAAACGGTGTTTCCATATTCCTCAATGAAAAGAAAAGTTTAACTCTGTGAGATGAATACACATCACATAGCAATTTCTCAGATAGTTTCTGTCTAGTTCTTCCCTGAAGATATTTCCTTTCCTTCATAGGCTTCAATGCGCTCCCAAATGTCCCTTCACAGATTGTGTAAAAACAACAGTGTTTCCAAACTGTTCAATGAATAGAAGGACTTAACTCTGTGAGATGAACACACTCATGAGAAAGCAGTTTCTCATAAGGCTTCTTTGCAGTTTTTATGTAAAGATATTCCTTGTTCAACATAGACCTCTTTACACTACTTAACATTGCTTTGCAGATTATACAAAAACAGTGTTTCCCCACTGCTCAGTCAAAGGAAAGTTTAAGTCTGTGAGATGAATGCATACAACACAAAGCAGTTAATTAAAAAGTTGTTTCTAATTTTTATCTGAAGATATTTCCTTTTACAGCATAGGCCTCAGCGCACTCCCAAATATCCCTTTGCAGATTCTGCAAAAAGAGTGTTTCCAAACTGCTCAATCAAAAGTAACATTTAGCTTAGTGAGAAGATTGCACACATCACAAAATGGTTTCTCAGAAAGCTTTTTCTAGTTTTTATCTGAAGATAATTTTTTTCAAAAGAGGCTTCTTGTACGCCAAAATATCCCTTCACAGATTCTACAAAAGCAGTGATTTCAAACTGATCAATCAAAAAACAGGTTTAACTGTGTTTGATGAATGCACACATCACAAAGCAGTTACTCAGAAAGCTTCTGCCTAGTTCTTCCCTGAAGATATTTCCTTTATTATCTTAGGCTTCAATGCACTCTCAAATATCCCATCACAGATTCTACAATAACAAACACTGTTTCCAAACTGCTCCATCAAAAAAGAGTGTTAACTCTGTGAATTGAATGCACATATCACAATGTAGTTTCTCAAAACTTTTCTTTCTAGTTTTATCCGAAGATATTTCCTTTATCATCGTAGACCACAGGGTGCTACAAAATATACCTTTGGAGATTCTACAAAAACAGTATTTCCAAAATGCTCAATCAAAAGAATGGTTTAACTCTGTGAGATGAAGGCACATGTCACAAGGGAGTTTCTCAGATAGCTTCTGTCTCCTTCTTCTCTGAAGTTATTTCCTTTTCCATCATAGACCTCAATGTGCTGCCAAATATCCCTTCACAGATTCTTTAAAAAGAGTGTTACCAAACTGTTCCATGAGAAGAAGGATTTAACTCTGTGAGATGAATGCACACATCAGAAAACAGCTTCTCATAACACTTCTTTCCAGTTTCCATCAGAAGATATTTCATTGTTAACCACAGGGCTTTTTGCGATACCCAACATCACTTTGCAGATTTTACAAAAAAAGTGTTTCCAACGTGCTCAGTCAAAAGAAAAGTTTAACTCAGTGAGATGAATGCATACATCACAAAGCTGCTTCTCAAAAAGCTTCTTTCTCGTTTTTATCTGAACATATTTCTTTTTCACCATAGGCATCAGTGCACTCCAAAATATCCCTTTGCAGAAACTACAAAAACAGTGTTTCTGAACTGCTCAATGAAAAGAAACGTTTAACTCTGTGAGAAGAATGCACATATCACAAAGCAGTTTCTTAGAAAGCTTCTTTCTAGTTTTAATCTGAAGTTATTTTCTTTTTCACCATAGGCCTCGTTCACTCCCAAATACCCCTTAGCAGTTTCTACAAAAACATTTTTTCCAAACTGATCAATAAAAACAATGTTTTAACTCTGTGAGTTGAATGCACACATCACAAATCAGTTTCTCATAAAAATTGTTTCCAGTTTTTATCTGAATATATTTCTTTTTTTACCATAGGCTTTTTTGTACTACCATTTATCCCTTCACAGATTTTGCAAAAACAGTGTTTCCAAACTGTTGAGTGGAAAGAAAAGTTTAACTCTGTGAGATGAATGCATACATCACAAAGCAGTTTCTCAAAGAGCTTCTTTCTAGTTGTTATCTGAAGATATTTCCTTTCTCACAATAGGCATCAGTGTGCTCTGAAATATCCTTTGCAGTTTCGAGAAAAAGAGTGTTTACAAAGTGCTCAATCAAAAGAAATGTGTAACTCTGTGAGAAGAATGCACACATCACAAAGCATTTTTTCAGAAAGATGCTTTCTAGTTTTTATTTGAAGTTATTTCCTTTTTCACCATGGCCCTCATGCTCCCACAAACATCCCTTCACAGATTCTACAAAAACAGTGTTTCCAAACTGCTCAGTTGAAAGAAAAGTTTAACACTCTGAGGTGAATGCATACATCACAAAGCAGTTTCTCAGAAATCTTCTTTCTGGTTTTTATCCAAAGATAATTCCTTTTTCACTATAGGCTTCAGGGCACTCCCAAGTATCCCTTTGCAGATTCTATATAAACAGTATTTCTGAACTGTTCCATCAAAAGAAAGATTTAATTCTGTGAGATGAATGCACACATCACAGTTTCTCTAAAAACTTCTTTCTAATTTGCATCCAAAATTATTTCCTTTATCACCATTGGCTTCAATGCGCTCATAAATATCCTGTCTCTTATCCTACAAAAACCATTTCCAAACTGCTCAATCAAAAAACAGATTTATCAGTGAGTTGAATGCACACATCACAAAGCAGTTTCTCAAAAATCTTCTTTCTAGATTTTATCCAAAGTTATTTCCTATTTCACCTTTGGTTTCAACACTCCCAAATATCCCATCACAGATCCTACAAAAACAGTGTTTCCAAACTGCTCAATCAAAAGAAACGTTTAACTGTGTGATAAGAATGCACACCTCACAAACCAGTTTCTCATAATGCTTCTTTACCGTTTTTATATGAAGATATTTCCTTGTTCTGCACTATTTAATATCACTTTGCAGATTTTGCAAAAACAGTGTTTTGAAACTGTTCCATCAAAAGAAGTTTAACTCTGTGGGCAGAATGCACACATCACAAAGCAGTTTCTCAAAAAGCCTCTTTCTGGGTATTATCTGAATATATTTCCTTTATTGCCATGGGCTTCAATGCGCTCCAGAATATCCCATCTCAGATTTTATAAATACAGTGTTTCCAAACTGCTCAATCAAAAAACAAGTTTACTTCTCTGAGTTGAATGCACCCATTGCAAAGCAGTTTCTCATAAAGCTTTTTTTCTAGTTTTTATCTGAAGATATTTCCTTTTTCACCACAGACTTCAATGTGCTCCCAAATATCCCTTTGCAGACTCTACAAAAACTGAGTTTACAAACTTTCGATCAAAAGAAGGACTGAACTCTGTGAGCTGAATGCATACATCAGAAAGTAGTTTCTCATTACACATCTTGTCAGTTTTTATCTGAAGATTTCTTTTTTCACCATAGGTTTTTTTGCACAAACAAATATTGCTTTGCAGATTATGCAAAAACAGCATTTCCAAACTACTCAGTCAAAAGAAAAGTTTAAGTCTGTGAGTTGAATGCACACATCCAAAAGCAGATTCTCAAATCCTTCTTTCTAGTTTTTATTCAAAGGTATTTCCTTTTCCACCATATGCCATTGTGCATTCTCAAATATATATTTGAAGAGTCTACAAAAACAGTTTTTCCAAACTGCTTAATCAAAAGAAAGGTTTGACTCTCTGGGGTGAATGCACAGATCAGAAAGAAGTTTCTCAAGTACCTTCTGTCTAGTTTTTCTCTGAAGATATTTCCTTTTTCATGATATTTTTCAATGCACTCCCAAATATCCCTTGGCAGATTCTACAAATACAGTGTTTCCAAACAGATCCATTAAAGGAAATGTTTAACACAGTGAGATGAATGCACACATCACAAAGCAGTTTCTCAGAAAGCTTCATTCTAGTTTTTGTATAGAGATAATTCCATTTTCACCATAGGCCTCAATGCGCTCTGAAATATCCCTTTGCAGTTTATACAAAAAGAGGGTTTACAAACAGCTCCATCAAAAGAAGGGTTTAATTCTGTGAGAATGAATGCACACATCAGAAACTAGTGTCTCAGAAAGTTTCTTTCTACTTTTTGTCTGAAGTTATTTCCTTTTCACCATAGGCCTGAAAGCGCTCCCAAATATGGCTTCACAGATTCTACAAATACTGTGTTTTCAAACTGCTCTTTCAAAGGAAAAGTTGAAATCTGTGTAATGAAGGTATACAACAAAAAACAGTTTCTCAGAGAGCTTCTTTTTAGTTTTTTTCTGAAGATATTTCTCTTTTCACCACAGTCCTTAATGCATTCCCCAAATATCCCTTTGCAGATTCTACAAAAACAGTGATTCCAAACTGCTCCATCCAAAGAAAGTTTTATCTCTGTGAGATGACTGCACACATCACAAAGCAGTTTCTCAGAAAGCTTCTTTCTATTTTTTTGATGATATTTCCTTTTTTCACATTAGGCCTCAATGCACTCCCAAATATCCCTTTGCGGATCCTACAAATACAGTATTTCCAACCTGCTCCATCAAAAGAAAGTTTTAAATCTGTCAGATGAATTCTCACAGCACAAAGAAGTTTCTCAGAAAGATTCATTCTTGTTTTTGTCTAGAGATATTTCCATTTTCACCATAGGCCTCAACACATTCTGAAATATCCCTTATCTGAAGATATTTCTTTTCAACATAGGCTTCATTGTGTTCCCAATTACCGTTTTGCAGATTCTACAAAAACACTGTTTCCAAACTGCTGCACCAAAAGAAGATTTAACTCTGTGAGATGAAAGAACACATCACAAAGCAGTTTTTCAGAAAGCTTCTGTCTGGTTTTCATCTGAAGATATTTCCCTTTTGACCATAGGCCTGAGAGTGCTCCCAAATATGTCTTCACAGATTCTACAAATACAGTGTTTTCAAATGGCTCCTTCAAAGGAAATGTTTAACACTTTGAGATGAATGGACACATCAAAATGCAGTTACTGATGAAGCTTCTTTCTAGCTTTTCTCTGAAGTTATTTCTCTTTTCACCACAGGCATAAATGCAGACCCAAATATCCTTTTGCAGATCCTACAAAACCATTGATTCCAAACTGCTCCACCAAAAGAAAAGTTGTTTAATTCTCTGAGATGAATGTGCACACCACAAGGCAGTTTCTCAGAAAGTTTCTTTCTAGTTTTTATCTGAAGATATTTCCTTTTTCACACTAGGCCTCAATGTGCTCCAAAATATCCCTTGGCAGATTCTACAAATACAGTGTTTCCAAACTGCTCATCAAAAGAAAGGTTTAACCCAGTGAGATGAATGCAGACAGCACAGAGTAGTTTCTCAGAAAGCTTCATTCTAGCATTTGTATAGAGATAATACCATTTTCACTATCAGCCTCAATGAACTCTGAAATATCCATGAGCAGTTGATACAAAAACAGAGTTTACAAACAACTCCATCAAAAGAAATTTTTAACTCTGTGAGAATGAATGCACATGTCACAAAGTAGTTTCTCAGAAAGTTTCTTTCTAGTTTTTCTCTGAAGATATTTCGTTTTCACCACAGGACTCAATGTGATCCTAAATATACCTTCACCATTTATACAAAAATAGTGTTTACAAACTAGTCCATCAAAAGAAAGTTTTATCTCTGTGAGATGAAATCACACATCACAAGGCAGTTTCTCAGAAAGCTTCTGTCAAGTTTTTATCTGAAGATATTTCCCTTTTCACCATAGGCCTGAAAGTGCTCCAAAATATGGCTTTGTAGATTCTACAAATACAGTGTTTTCAATCTCCTCCTTCAAAGGAAATGTTTAACTCTGTGAGATGAATGGACACATCACAAAGCAGTTTCTCAGAAAGCTTCTTTCTAGTTTTTCTCTAAAGCTATTTCCTTCTTCACTATAGGCCTCTATCTCTCCCAAATATAACTTCTTCACAGATTCTGCAAATACAGTGTTTCCAAGTTGTTTAATCAAAAGAAATGTTTAAATCTGTCAGATGAATTCTCACATCACAAAGCAGTTTCTCATAAAGCTTCATTCCAATTTTTGTCTAGAGACATCTCTATTTTCACCACAGGCCTCAATGCACTCTGGAATATACCTTCACAGTTTATACAGAAACAGGTTTTACAAACAGCTCCATCAAAAGAAATGTTTAACTCACTGAAATGAATGCACACGTCACAAAGCAGTTTCTCAGAAAACTTCTGTCTAGTGTTTACCTGAAGATGTTTCCCTCTTCAGCTTAGGCCTGAAAGTGCTCCCAAATATGGCTTTGAAGTTTCCATAAATACAGTATTTTTAAACTGCTCCTTCAAAGGAAAGGTTGAACTCTGTGAGATGAATGGACACATCACAAAGCAGTTTCTCAGAAAGCTTTTTGTAGTTTTTCTCTGTATATATTTCTCTTTTCAAAGCAAGACTTAATGTGCTTCCAAATATCCCTCCGCAGATTCTACAAAAACAGTGATTACAAACTGCTCTATCCAAAGAAAGGTTTAACTCTGTTAGATGAATGCAGACATCACAAAGCAGTTTCTCACAGAGTTCATTCTAGTTTTTGTCTAAAGGTATTTCCATTTTCACCATAAGCTTCAATGTGCTCTGAAATATCCCTTTGCAGTTTATACGAAAACAGGGTTAACAAACTTCTCTCTCGAAATAAAGGTTTAATTCTGACAGATGAATGCACACATTACAAAGCAGTTTCTCAGAAAGTTTCTTTCTAGTTTTTCTCTGAAGATATTTCCTTTTAACCACAGGATTCAATGAGCTCCAAAATATCCCTTGGCTGATTATAAAAACCAGTGTTTGCAAACAACTACTCCATCAAAAGAAAGGTTTAAATCTGTGAGATGAAAGCACACATCACAAAGCAGTTTCTCAGAAAGCTTCTGTCTAGTGTTCATCAGAAGATATTTCCCTTTTCACCACAGGCCTGAAAGTGCTCCCAAATATGGCTTCGCATATTCTGAAAATACGGTGTTTTCAAACTGCTCCTTCAAAGGAAAGGTAAAACTCTGTGAGATGAATGCACACATCACAAGGGAGTTTCTCAGAAAGCTTCTGTCTAGTTCTTCCCTGAATATATTTACTTTTCCAACATAGGCCTCAATGCACTGCCAAATATCCCTGCACAGATTCTACAAAAACATTGTTTTCAGAATGTTTCATCAAAAGAAAGACCTAACTATGTGAGATGAATGCACACATCAGAAAACAGTTTCTTATAACGCTTCTTTCCAGTATTTATCTGAAGATATTTCCTTTTTTACCATGGGTTATTTGCATTACCAAATATTGCATCACAGATATTGCAAAAAGTGTGTTTCCAAACTGCTCAGTCAAAAGAAAGGTTGAAGTCTTTTAGATGAATGCAGACCTCCAAAGCATTTTCTCAAAACGCTTCTTTCTAGTTTTTATCTGAAGATATTTCTTTTTTCACTTCAGGCTTCAGTGCAATCCCAAATATACCTTTGCAGATTATACAAAAACAGTGTCTCCAAACTGCAAAATCAAAGGAAGGTTTACCTCTGTGAGGTGAATGCACACATCACAAAGAAGTTTCTCAAAAAGCTTCCTTCTAGTTTTCTCCGAAGATATTTCCTTTTTCACCACTGGCATCATTGCACTCCCAAATATCTCTTAGCAGATTCTACACAAACAGTGTTTCCAAACTGATCACTCAAAAGAAACTTTTAAATCTGTGAGTAAAATGCACCCATCACAAAGCAGTTTCTCAGAAAACTTCTTTCTAGTTTTCATCTGAATTTATTTCCTTTTTCAACATAGGATTTATGCATTCTCAAATATCTCTTTGCAGATGCTACAAAAAAAGTGTTTCCAAACTACTCAATGAAAAGAAAGGTTTAACTCTGTCAGACGAATGTACACATCACAAAACTGTTTCTCAGAACGTTTCTTTCTAGGTGTTTTCTGTAGATATTTCCTTTTTCGTCACAGGCCTCAGTGTGCTCACAAATAACTCTTTGCACTTTCTGCCAGAAGGGTGTTTCCAAACAGCTCCATCAAAGGAAAGATTTAACACTGTGAAATGAATGCACACATCTCAAATCAGCATCTCAGAAAGCTTCTTTCTAGTTTTTTTAAATTATACTTTAAGTTTTAGGGTACATGTGCACAATGTGCAGGTTAGTTGCATATGTATACATGTGCCATGTTGGTGTGCTGCATTTTATCTGATGATATTTCCTTTATCACCACAGTCCTCTTTGTATTACATAATATCCTTTCACAGATGCTATAAAAACAATGTTTCCAAACTCCTCAATCAAAAAACAGGTTTAACTCTGTGAGTTCAATGCACACATGACAAATCAGTTTCTCAAAAAGCTTCTTTCTAGTTTTTATCTGAAGATATTTCCTTTATCACCTTAGTCTAAAATGCACCTCCAAATATCCCTACGCAGATTCTACAAAAACCGTGTTTCCAAACTGCTCAATCAAAAGAAAGTTTTAACTCTCTGAGATGAATGCACCCATCACAAAGCAGTTTCTCAGATTGATACTGCCTAGTTCTTCTCGAAAGATATTTCCTTTCCTCCATAAGGCTCAATGCACTCCTAAATATCCCTTCACAGACTCTATAAAAACAGTGTTTCCAAACTATTCCATCAAAAGAAGGATTTAACTCTGTGAGATGAACACACACATCAGAAAGCAGTTTCTTATAACGCTTCTTATCAGTTTTTATCTGACAATATTTCCTTGTTCACCATAGGCTTTTTTGCAATAACAGATATTGCTTTGTAAATTTTGCAAAAGCAGTGTTTCCAAACTGCTCAGTCAAAAGAAAGGTTTAACTCTGTGAGATGAATGCACACATCACAAAGCAGTTTCTCAAAACCTTCTTTCTAGTTTTTATCTGAAGATATTTCCTTTATCACCATAGGCTTCAATGCACCCCCAAATATCCTGTCGCACATTCTACATAAACAATGTTTACAAACTACTCCATCAAAAAGCAGGTTCAACTCTGTGAGTTGAAAGCCCACATCACAAAGCAGTTTCTCAAAAAGCTTCTTTCCTGTTTTATATGAATATATTTCCTTTTTCACCATAGTCCTCAGTGCACTCTCAAATATACCTTTGCAGATTCTACAAAAACAGTGTTTCCAAACTGCTCAATCAAAAGAAAGGTTTAACTCTGTGAGATGAATGCACACATCACAAAGCAATTTCTCAGAAAGCTTCCGTCTGGTTCTTATTTGAAGATATTTCCTTTTCCACCATAGGCCTCAATATGATCCCTTATATCCTTTCACGGATTCTATAAAAACAGTGTCTCTGAACTTTTCCAAAAAAAGAAGGATTTACCTCTGTGGGATAAATACACACATCAGAAAGTAGTTTCTCATAATGCATCTTTCCAGTTTTTATCTGTAGATATTTCATTGTTCACAGTAGCTTTTTTACACTACCTAATATTACTTCACAGATTTTGCAAAAACAGTGTTTCCAAACTGCTCAGTCAAAAGAAAGGTTGAACTCTGTAAGATGAATGCATACATCACAGAGCAGTTTCTCAAAAAAATTTTTAGTATTTATCCAAACATATTTCCTGTATCACCTTAGTCCTCAATGCACTTGAAAATATCTCATCGCAGATTTTACAAAAACAGTGTTTCCAAACTGCTCTATCAAAACAAAGGTTTAACTCTGTGCGATGAATGCACACATCACAAAGCAGTTTCTCAGAAAGCTTCTGTCTAATTCTTCTCTGAAGATATTTCCTTTTCCACCATAGTCGTCAATGCGCTCCCAAATATCCCTTCACAGATTCTACAAAAACAGTGTTTCCAAACTATTCCATCAAAAGAAGGACTTAACTCTTTGGTATGAATGCACACATGCAAACGCAGTTTCTCAAGACGCTTCTTTCCAGTTTTTATCTGAAGTTATTTTTTCTTTCTCAACATAGGCATTTTTGCACTAACAAATATTGCTTCACAGATTATACAAAAATAGTGTTTCCAAACTGCTCAGTCAAAAGAAAGATTTAACTCTGTGGATGAATAGACACATCACAAAGTAGTTAGTCAGACAACTTCTTTCTCATTTACATCCAAATATGTTCCCTTTTCTACATAGGACTAACTGTTCTTTCAAATATCCCCTTGCAGATTTTACAAAAACGTGTTTCCAAACTGCTAAATCAAAAACCAGGTTTAATTATGTGAGTTGAACACACACATCACAAAACAGTTTGTCAAATAGCTTCTTTCTAGTTCTTATCCGAAGATATTCCCTTTTTACTCACAGGCCTTAGTGAGCTCCCCCATATCCCTTTGCAGATTCTACAAAAATAGTGTTTCCAAACTGCTCAATCTAAAGAAACGTTTAATTCTGTGACAAGAATGCACACGTCAAAAAGCGGTTTTTCAGAAGGCTTCTTTCTAGTATTTATCTGAAGTTATTTCCTTTTTCACCTTAGGCCCTGGACACTCCAAAGTATCCCTTTGCAGACTGTACAAAAACAGTTTTTCCAAACTACTTAATCAAAAGAAGGTTTAACTCTGTGAGATAAATGACACATCACAAAGCAGTTTATCAGAAAGCTTCTGTCTAGTTCTTGTCTGAAGATATTTCATTTTCCACAAGAGGCCTCAATGGGTTCCCAAATATCCGTTCACAGTTTCTACAAAAACAGTTTTTCTGAACCTTTCCATTCAAAGAAGGACTTAACTCTGTGAGATGAATGCACACATCATAAAGCAGTTTTTCATAACTCTTCTTTCCAGTTTTTATCTGAAGATATTTCCATTTTCAGTATAGGCTTTTTTGCGCTACCAAATATCACCACACAGATTTTTGAAAAATAGTGTTTCCATACTCCTCAGTCAAAAGAAATGTTTAAATATGTCAGATGAATGCACACATTGAACGCAGTTTCTCAAAAATTTTTTTCCAGTGTTTATCTGAATAATTTTCCCTTTTCACTATAGGCCTCCGTAAGCTCCCAAATATATCTTTGCAGATTCTTCAAAAGCAGTGTTTCCAAACTGCTCAAACAAAAGAAAGTTTTAACTCTGTTATATGAATGCACACTTCTAAAAGCAATTTCTCCAATAGCTTCATTCTAGTTCTTCTCTGAAGATATTTTCTTTTTCACCCTAGGCCACAATACACTCCCAAATATCCCTTCACTGAATCTATAGTCTGACAAAGGGCTAATATCCAGAATCTACAGTGAACTCAAACAAATTTACAAGAAAAAAAACAAAAAAAAACCATCAAAAGTTAGTGAAGGTTATGAACAGACACTTCTCAAAAGAAGACATTCATGGAACCAAAAGAAGCATGAAAAATGCTCTTCATCACTGGCCATCAGAGAAATGCAAATCAAAACCACAATGAGATAACTTCTCACACCTGTTAGAATGGCGATCATTAAAAAGTCAGGAAACAACAGGTGCTGGAGAGGATGTGGAGAAATAGGAACACTTTTACACTTTTGAAGAGACTGTAAACTAGTTCAACCTTTGTGGAAGTCGGTGTGCCAATTCTTCAGGGATCAGAACTAGAAATACCACTTGACCCAGCCATCCCATTAGTGGGTATATACCCAAAGGATTATAAGTCATGCTGCTGTAAAGACACATGCACACGTATGTGTATTGTGCCACTATTCACAGCAGCAAAGACTTGGTACCAACCCAAATATCCAACAATTGTAGACTGCATTAAGAAAGTGTGGCACATATATACACCTTGGAATAATATGCAGACATAAAAAACGATGAATTCATGTCCTTTGTAGGGACATCGATGAAGCTGGAAACCATCATTCTCAGCAAACTATCACAAGGAGAAAAAACCAAACACTGCATGTTCTCACTCATAAGCGGGAATTGAACAGTGAGAACACATGGACACAGGGAGGGGAACATCACACACTGGGACCTGTTGTGGGGTGGTGGGAGGGGGGAGGGATAGTATTAGGAGATATACCTAACATTAAATGAAGAGTTAATGGGTGCGGCACACCAACCTGGCACATGTATACATATGTAACAAACCTGCACATTGTGCACATGTACCCTAAAATTTAAAGTATAAAAATAAGAAAAAAAAAAACAGTGTTTCTGAACTGTTGATTAAAAGAAGGATTCAGCTCTGTGAGAAGAATGTACACATCAGAAAGTAGTTTCTGTGAACACTTCTTTTCAGTTTTTTCTGAAGATATTTCCTTCTTCAACATAGGCCTTTTTGCACTACAAAATATCACTTCACAGATTATACAAAAACTGTGTTTCCAAACTGCTCACTCAAAAGAAATACTTAACTCTGTGAGATGAATGCAAACAGCAAGAAGCAGTTTTCTCAAAAAGCTTCTTTCTAGTGTTTATCTGAAGATATTTCCATTTCGCCATTGGCTTCAGGGTGGTCCCAAATATTCTTTAGAGATTCTACAAAAACAGTAAGTCCAAACTCTTTAATCAAAAGAAACGTTTAACTCTTTGACAAGAAAGCACACATCACAAAACAGTTCTCAGAAAGCTTCTTTCTAGTTTTTATCTGAAGTTATTTGATTTTTAACCAAGGCCTCACATGCTCCCAAATATTCATTCGGAGATTCTACAAAAACAGTGTTTCCAAACTGATCAATCTAAGAACTGATTAATTCTGTGAGATGAAAGCAAACATCTCAAAGCAATTTCTCAAACAGTTTCTTTGTAGTTTTTACCCAAAGATATTTCCTTTTTCACCATAGGCATCAATTTGCTCCCAAATATCCCTTTGCAGATTCTACAAAAAGAGTGTTTCCAAACTGTTCCAGAAAAAAAAGGACTTACCTCTGTGAGATGAATGCACATATAATAATGCAGTTTCTCATAATGCTTCTTTCCAGTTTTTTTCTGAAGATATTTCTTTTATCAACATATGTATTTTTGGGCTAACAAACATCACTTTGCAGATTATACAAAAACAGTGTTTCTAAACTGCTCAGTCAAAAGAAAGTGTTAACTCTGTGAGACGAATGCACATATCAGAAAGCAGTTTCTCAAAAAAATTCTTTCTAGTTTATATCCAAAGATATTTCCTTTTCCAGCATAAGCCCCAATCTGCTCTGAAATACCCCTTCACAGATTCTACAAAAAGAGTGTTTCCAAACTGCTCCATCAAAGGTAGGATTTCACTCTGTGAGATGAACACACATATCAGAAAACAGTTTCTCACAATGCTTCTTTCCACTTTTTATCTGAAGATACGTCCATGCTCACCATACGCCTCTTTAGGCTACCTAACATCACTTCACAGAATATACGAAAACAGTGTTTCCAAACTGCTCAATCAGAAAAAAAGTTTAATTCTGTTAGATGAATGCATGCATCACAAAGCAGTTTCTCAAAAAGCTTCTTTCTAGTTTGTATCTGAAGATATTTCCTTATTCACAATAGGCATCCATGTGCTCCCAAATATCCCTTTGCAGATTCTACAAAAACAGTGTTTCCAAACTGCTCAATCAAAAGCAACATTTAACTCTGTCAGAAGAATGCAGACATCACAAAGCAGTCTCTCAGAAAACTTCTGTCGAGTTTTTATCTGAAGATATTTTCTTTTTCAACATAGGACTCAATGTGCAAAAAAATACATGCGCTCACAAATATCAATTTGCAGATTCTACAAAAAAGTATTCCAAACTTCTCAATCAAAAAACAGATTTATCTCTATCAGTTGAATGCACACATCACAAAGCAGTTTCTCAGATAGCTTCTATCTTGTTCTTCTCTGAAGATATTTTCTTTTCCACCACAGGCCTCAATGTGCTCCCAAATATCCCTTTGTAGATTATGTAAAAACATTGTTTCTGAACTCTTCCATCAAAATAAGTACTTAACTCTGTGAGATGAATTCACTCTTTAGAAAGCAGTTTCTCACAACGTTTCTTTCCAGTTTTTATCTGAAGATATTTACTTTTTCAGCACAGGCTTTTTGTGCTCCCTAACATCACTTCGTAGATTACACAAAAACAGTGTTTCCAAAGTGCTCAAACAAAAGCCACGTTTAACTCTATGAGATGAATGCACACATCACAGAGAGGTTTCTCAAAACGCATTTTTGTAGTTTATACCGAAAGATATTTCCCTTTTCACCATAGTCCTTATTGCACTCCCAAATGTACCTTTGCAGATTCTACAAAAACTGTGTTTCCAAACAGCTCCATTAAAAGATATGTTTAACTCTCTGGGATGAATGCACATGTGACAAAGCAGTTTCTCAGGCAGTTTATCTCTTTCTTCTCTGAATATATTTCCTTTACACCATAAGTCTCAATGTGCTCCTAAATATCACTTTTATAGATTCTATTAAAAACAGTGTTTATGAACTGTTCAGTCAAAAGAAGGCTTTAACACTGTGATGTAAAAACAAACTTCAGAGAGCAGTTTCTCATAACGCTTCATTCCAGTATTTTTTTCTGAAGATATTCATCATAAGCCATTTTGTGCTAACATTGCTTCACAGATTATACTTAAACAGTGTTTCCAAACTGCTCAATCAAAAGAAACGTTTAAATCTATGAGAAGAATACATACTTCACAAAGTCATTTCTCAGAAACTTTCTTCTTTTTATCTGAAGTTATTTACTTCTTGATTATAGGCCTTGTGCTCTCTGAAATATCCCTTCACAGATTCTGCATAAACAGTGTTTTCAAACTGATCAATCAGAAGAAAGTTTTAACACTGTGAGATGAATGCACACATTACAAAGCAGTTTCTCAGATACATACTGTCTAGTTCTTCTCCAAAGTTATTTCCCTTTACACCATAGGCTTAAGTGCACTCTCAAAAATCCATTTGCAGACTGTATAAAAACAGGTTTCTGAAATGTTCCATCAAAAGAAGGACTTAACTCTGTGAGATGAATGCACACATCAGAAAGTAGTTTCTCATAATGTTTCCAGTTTTTATCTGAAGATATTTCCCTGTTCACCATAGGCCTTTTTGTGCTACCTAACATCACTTCACAGATTATAAAAAAACAGTGTTTCCAAACTGCTCAGTCAAAAGGAAAGTTTAACTCTGTGAGATGAATGCATACATCACAAAGCAGTTTCTCAATAAGCTTCTTTCTAGTCTTTACCAAAGATAATTCCATTTTCACTGTAGGCAAATGTGTGCTCTCAAATATCCCTTTCCAGATTCTACATAAAGAGGGTTTCCAAACTGCTCAATGAAAAGAAACTTTTAGCTCTGTAAGAAGAATGCATAACACAAAGTGATTTTTCAGAAGGGTTCTTTCTAGTTGTTATCTGAAGTTATTTCCTTTTTCAACATAGATGTCATGTGCTCCCAAATATTGTTTTGCAGATTCTACAAAAACAATGTGTCCAAACTGATCAATCAAAAGATAAGTTTAACTCTGGGAGATGAATGCACACATCACAATGCCATTTCTCAAAGTTTCTTTCTAGTTTTTATCCGAATATATTTCCTTTTTCACCATAGGCTTCATGGCTCTCTGAAATATCCCTTCGCAGATTCTACAAAAACAGTGTTTCCAAACTGCTCAATCAAAAGAAAGGATTAACTATGTGATATGAATGCACACATCACAAAGCAGTTTCTAAGAAAGCTTCTCTCTAGTTCTTCTCTGAAGACATTTCATTTTCCACCATAAGCCTAAATGCACTCCCAAATATCCCATAGCAGATTCTACAAAAACAGTGTTTCCCAAGTGTTCAATCAAAAAACAGGTTTAACTCTGTGAATTGAACAGACACATCACAAAGCAGTTGTGAAAAACCTTCTTTCTAGTTTTTATCCGAAGGTATTTCTTTTTCCCCCATAGGCCTCAGAGTGCTACAAAATATACCTTTGCAATTTCTACAAAAGCAATGTTCCAAACTGCTTGGTCAAAAGAAAGGCTTAACTCCGTGACATGAATGTCCACATAACAAAGCAGTTTCTTAGATAGCTTCTTGTAGTTCAATTCTCTAAAGATATTTCCTTTGCCATGATAGTCTTCAAAGTGCTCACAAATATTCCTTCACCAACCCTATAAAAACAGTGTTTCCAGACTGTTCCATCAGAATAATTATTTAACTATGTGAAATGAAAGCACACATCATAAAGCAGTTTCTCATAATGCTTCTTTCCAGTTTTTATCTGAAGATATTTCCTTCCCCATGATAGGCCTTTCTGCACTACTAAATATCTGTTTGCAGATTACACAAAAACAGTGTATCCAAACTGCTCAGTAAGAAGAAAAGTTTAACTGTGTGAGAAGAATGCGTGCATCACAAAGAAGTTTCAGAAAGCATTCTGTCTAGTTTTTATCCGAAGATATTTCCTTTTTCACCACAGGCATCAGTGCACTTCCGAATATCCCTTTGCAGTTTATAGAATAACAGAGTTTCCAAACTGCTCAATAAAAAGAAACGTTTACATCTGTGAGATGAAAGCACACATCACAAAGAAGTTTCTCAAACAGCTTCTCTCTTGTTCTTCTCTGAGGATATTTTCTTTTCCACCATAGGCCTCAATACACTCCCAAGTATCCCTTCACAGATTCTTCAAAAACAGTGTTTCCGAACTGTTCCATCAAAAACAGGACTTAACCCTGTGAGAGGAAAGCACAGACAAGAAAGTGGTTTCTCATAAAGCTTCTTTCCAGTTTTTATCTGAAGAGATTTCCTTTTTCACCATAGACTTTTTTGCCCTACCTAATATCACTTGGTTGATTTTGCAAAAACAGTGTTTTGAAACTGCTCAGTGAAAAGAAAGGTTTAACTCTGTGAGATGAATGCACACATCAGAAAGCAGTTTCTCATAACGCTTCTTTTTAGTTTTATCCTATTTCCTTTATCTCCATAGGTTTCAATGTGTTGCCAAATATCCTGTTGCAGATTCTCCATAAACAGTGTTTCCAAGCTGCTCAATCAATAAACAGGTTGAACCCTGTCAGTTGAACACACACATCGCAAAGCCATTTCTCAAAATCTTCTTTCTAATTTTTATCCAAAGGTATTTCCTTTTTCACCATAGGCCTCAGTGCACTCCTAAATATAACTTTGCAGATTTTACAAAAACATTGTTTCCAAACTGCTCAATGAAAAGAAAGTTTTAACTCTGTGAGACAAATACACACATTACAAAGCAGTTTCTCAGAAAGTTTCTTTGTAGCTTTTATAGGGAGATATTTCCTTTTTCATCATAGGCTTCAATGTGCTCACATATAACATTTTGCAGCTTCTGCCAAAAGGTTGTTTTCATAGGGACCCATCAAACGAAAAATTTTACACTGTGAAATGAAAGCAAACATCAAAACCCAGTTTCTCAGAAAGCTTCTGTCTAGTTCTTCTCTGAAGATATTTCATTTTCCACCATAGGCCTCAGTGCACTCCCAAATATCCCTTTGCAAATCCTACAAAAACAGTGTTCCCAAACTGTTACATCAACAGAAAAAATTAACTCTGTGAGACACTCTGTGAAACACTCTGTGAGAAAGACTTAACTCTGTGAGAACACCCACATCAGAAAGCAGTTTCTCATAATGCTTCTTTTCAGTTTTTATCTGAAGATATTTCCTTGTTCACCATGGACGTTTTTGCACTACAAACATTGCTTCACAGTTTTTGCAAAAACAGTGATTCCAAATTGCTCAGTCAAAAGAAAGGTTTAACTCTGTCAGATGAATGCACACAGCACAAGGAAGATTCTCAAACAGCTTCTCTTTTGTCCTTCCCTGAAGATATTTCCTTTTCCACCATAGGCCTCAATACATTCCCAAGTATCCCTTCACAGATTCTTCAAAAACTGTGTCTCCAAACTGTTCCATCAAAAGCAGGAGTTCACCCTGTGAGAGGAAAGCACACCAGAAAACAGTTTCACATAAAGCTTCTTCTTTCCAGTTTTTATCTGAAGAGATTTACTTTTTCACCATGGGCTTTTTTGCGCTAACTAATAACGCTCGTAGATTTTGCGAAAACAGTATTTCCAAACTGCTCAGTGAAAAAAAAGGTTTAACTCTGTGAGATGAATGCACACATCACAAAGCAGTTTCTCAAAAAGCTTCATTCTGATTTTATCTGAAGATATTTCCTTTATCACAATAGGCTTCAGTGCACTCCTAAATATCCCATTGCAGATTCTACAAAAACAGTGTTTCCAAACTGCTGAATCAAAAATCAGGTTTAATTTCGTGAGTTGAATGCACACAATACAGAGCAGTTTCTCAAAAAATTTCTATCTAGTATTTATCCGAAGATATTTCCTTTCTCACCATATAAATCAGTGTGCTCCCAAATATCCATTTGCAAATTCTACAAAAACAGTGTTTACAAAGTGTTCATTCAAAAGAAAAGTTTAACTCTGTGAGAAGAATGCACACATCACAAAGCAGTTTCTCAGAAAACTTCTTTCTAGTTTTTATCTGAAGTTATTACCTTTTTCACCATAGGCCTCATGTGCTGTCAATTATCCCTTCACAGATTCCATAAAAACAGCATTTCCAAACTGATCAATCAAAAGAAAATTTTAACTCTCTGAGAGGAATGCACACATCACAAAGTGGTTTCTCTGAAAGTTTCTTTCCAGTTTTTTTCCAAAGGTATTTCCTTCATCAGCATAGGATTCAATGCTCTCCTAAATATCCCTTCGCTGATTCCACAAAAACAGTGTTTCAAAACTACTCACTCAAAAGGAACTTTTAACTCAGTGAGATGAATGCACACATCAAAAATCAGTTTCTCAGAAAGCATCTTTCTAGTTCTTCTCTGAAGGTATTTCCTTTTCCACCATATGCCTCATGGGCTCACAAATATCACTTTGCAGATACTACAAAAACAGTTGGCCCAAACTGTTCCATCAAAAGCAGGTCTTAACCGTGTGAGAGGAACACATACACCAGAAAGCCATTTCTCATAAAGTTTCTTTTCAGTTTTCATCGGGACAGATTAACTTTTTCACCATAGGCTTTTTTGTGTTACCTAATATTGCTTCGCAGATTTGGCAAAAACAGTGTTTCCAAACTGCTCAGTGAAAAGAAAGGTTTACCTCTCTGAGATGAATGCACACATCACAAAGCAGTTTCTCAAAAAGATTACTTCTGGATTTATCTGGAGATATTTCACTTATCACCCTAGGCTTCAATGCACCCCTAAATATCCCATCACAGATTCTACAAAAACAATGTTTCCAAACTACTCAATCAAATATCAGGTTAAAATCTGTGAGCTGAATGCACACATCACAGAGCAGTTTCTCAAACACTTCTTTTTAGTTTTTATCCAAAGATATTTCTGTTTTCAGCAGGAGCCTCAGTACACTCCCAAGTACAACTTAGCAGGTTCTACAAAAACAGTGATTCCAAACTGTTCAATCAAAAGTAAGGTTTAACTCTGTCAGATGAATGCACACATCACAAACCAGTTTCTCTGACAGCTTCTGTCTACTTCTTCTCTGAAAATATTTCCATTTCCACCATAGGACTCAATGTGCTCCCAAATATCCCTTCGCAGTTTCTATAAAAACCGTGAGTCTGGACACTTCCATCAAAAGAAGGATTTAACTCAGTGAGATGAATGCACATATGAGGAAGCAGTTTCTCATAACGCTTCTTACCAGTATTTATCCAAAAACATTTCCTTGTTCCCGCTAACCTTTTTTGTGCTATTTAATACCAATTAGTGGATATTGCAAAAACAGTGTTTCCAAACAGCTCTGTGAAAACAAAGGTTTAACTCTGTGAAATGAATGAATACTTCACAAAGCAGTTTCTCAAAGAGTGTCTTTCTGGTTTTTATCTGAAGATATTCCCTTTTTCACCATAGACCTCAGTGTGCTCCCAAATATCCCTTTGCAGATTCTAGAAAAACAGTGTTTCCAAACTGCAAAATCCAAACAAATTTTAAATCTGTGAGAAGAATGCACACACCACAGGGTGGTGTCTCAGAAAGCCTTTTTGGCCAAAGTTATTTCCTTTTTCACCACAGGCCTCATGCACTCCCAAATATCCCTTTGCAGATTGTACAAAAACAGTGTTTCCAAACTCATTAATCAAAAGAAAGGTTTAACTCTGTGAGATGAAAGCAAATATCACAAAAGAGTTTCTCAAATGCATACTTTCTAGTTTTTATCTGAAGATATTTCCTTTTTCACCATAGTCTTCTATTACTACCAAATAGCTCTTTGGCTATTTTACAAAAACAGTTTTTACAAACTGCTCTATCAAAAGAAAGGTTTAACACTGTGAGATGAATGCACAAATCAAAAAAGAGTTCCTCAGAAATCTTCAGTCTGGTTCTATTCTGAAGATATGTCTTTTTCCACCATATTCCTCAATGCACACCAAAATATCTCTCACAGACTCTGTAAAAACTTGGATTCTGAAAACTTCCATCAAAAAAAGGATTGAACTCTGTGAGAAGAACGCACATATTAGAAAGCAGTTTCACATAACGCTTCTTTACAGTTTTTATGTGAATATATTTCCATGTTCACCATAGGCCTTTTTGCCCTACTTAACATCACTTTGCAGATTTTCCAGAAACAGTGACTCCAAACTGATCATTCAAAAGAAAGGCTTAACTCTGTGACATGAATGCACACATCACAAAAGAGTTTCTCAAAAAGCTTCTTTCTAGTTTTTATCAGAAGATATTTCCTTTTCACCATAGGTGTCAGTGCACTCCAAAATATCCCTTTGCAGATTCTACAGAAACAGTGTTTCCAAACTGCTCAATCAAAAGGAACATTTAATTTTATGAGAAGAATGCACACATCACAAAGCAGTTTCTCATGATCTTCTGCTGAGATCTTCTCTGAGGATGTTTCCTTTTCCACCATAGGCCTCAATGTGCTCCCAGATATCCCTTTGCAGATTCTACAAAAATGTTTCCACACTGCTCACTCATAAAATAGGTTTAACTCTGTTATTTGAATGCACACATCAAATAGCTGTTTCTCAAAAATCTTCTTTGTAGTTTTCATCTGAACACATTTCCTTTTTCACCATAGGCCTCAGTGAATTATAAAATATCCCTTTACAGATTCTACAGAAACAGGGATTCCAAAGTGCTCAATCACAATAAACTTTTAACTCTTTGAGATGAAAGCACATATCACAAAGCAGTTTCTTAGAAAGCTTCAGTCTAGTTCTTCTCTGAAGATATTTCATTTTGCACCATAGACTTCAATGAAATCCCAACTATCTCTTCTTGGATTCTACAAAACCGTGTTTCCAAACTGCTCAATCAAAAGAAAGGTTTAACTCTGTGAGTGGAATGCACACATCACAAAGCAGTTTCTCAAAAATCTTCTGTCTACTTCTGTGAAGATATTTCCTTTTCCACTATACACATCTATGCACTCACAAGTATTCCTTTGCAGATTGTACAAAAACAGTGTTCCAAATTATTCCATCAAAATAAGGAATTTACTCTGTGATTTGAACACGCATATAAGTAAGCAGTTTCTCATGACAATTCTTTCCAGGTTTTATCTGAAGATATTTACTTTTTCACTGTAGGCTTTTTTGCACTACTTAATATCGCTTTGCAGATTTTTCAAAAACACTGTTTCCAAACCGCTCAGTCAAAAGAAATGTTTTACTCTGTGAGATGAATGCACACATCAGAAAGCAGTTTCTCAAAAATCTTCTTTCTAGTTTGCATCGTAAGATATTTCCTTTTTCAGCATAGGCTTCAGAGCGCTCCCAAATATTCCTTCGCAGATTCTGCAAAAAGAGTGTTTCCAAAGTGCTCAATAAAAAGAAAGGTTTAAGTCTGTGAGAAGAATGCACACATCTCAAAGCAGTTTCCCAGAAAGCTTCTGTTTAGCTCTTCTCTGAAGATGTTTCCTTTTCCACCATAGGCCTCAACACATTCCCAAATATCCCTTCGAAGATCCTACAAAAGCAGTGTTTCCAAACTACTCAATCAAAAAACAGGTTTAACTCTGTGAATTGAATGCACTCATCACAAAGTAGTTTCTCAAAAATCTTCTTTCTAGTTTAGTTTTTTTCCTAAGATACTTCCTTTTTCACCACAGGCCTCAGTGCACTCCCAAATATACCTTTGCAGATTCTACAAAAACAGTGTTTCCAAACTGCTCAATTAAAAGAAATGCTTAACTCTGTGAGATGAATGCACACATCACAAGGCAGTTTCTCAGATAGCTTCTATCTAGTTCTTCTCTGAAGATATTTCCTTTTCCACCTTAGATCTCAATGCACTCACAAATATTCCTTCACAGATATTATAAAAACAGTGTTTCCAAACGGTTCTATCAAAACAAGGATTTAACACAGTGAGATGAACACATATGAAGAAGCTGTTTCTCATAGTGCTGCTTTCCAGTATTTATCGGAACTACGTTCTTTGTTCTTTGTTCAGCGTAGACCTTTTTGTGCTATGTTCTATGTTCTTTGTTCAACACAGGCCTTTTTGTGCTACCTAACATCACTTCACAGATGATACAAAAACAGTGTTTCCAAACTGCTCTGTCAAAAGAAAAGTTTAACTCTGTGAGATGAATGTGTACATTGCAAAACAGTTTCTCAAAGAGCTTCTTTCTAGTTTTTATCAGAAGATATTTCCTTTTTCACCATAGGCATCAGTGTGCATCAAAATCTCCCATTGTCAGATTCTACAAAAACAGTGTTTCCACACTGTTCTATCAAAAGAAAGATTTAATTGTGTGAGATGAATGCACTCATCCTGAAGCAGTTTCTCAGAAAGCATCTGTCTAGTTTTTCTCTGAAGTTATTTCCTTTTCCACTGTGTCAATGTGCTCCCAAATATCCCTTCATAGATTCTACAAATACAGTTTTTGCAAACTGTTTCATTAAAAGAAGAACTTAACTCTGTGAGATGAACTGACACATCACAAAGCTGTTTCTCATAATGCTTCTGTCCAGTTGTTTTATGAAGATATTTCCATCTGAAGATATTTCCTTGTTCACCATAGGCTTTATTGCACTACATAATATCGCTATGCAGATTTTGCAAAAACAGTGTTTCCATCTACTCAGTCATATGTAGGGTTTCACTCCATGAGATGAATGCACACATCACAAAGCAGTTTCTCAAAATTCTTCTTTCTAGTTTTTGTCTGAAGATATTTCCTTTATTACCATAGGTTTCAATGCCCTCCCAAATATCTGGTTGCAGATCCTAGAAAAACAGTGTTTCCAAACTGCTCCATCAAAAAGCAGATTTAACTCTGTCAGTTGAACGAACATATCACAAAGCAGTTTCTCAAACAGATTCTTCCTAGTTTTTATCTGAAGATATTTACTTTTTCATCATAGACCTCAATGCACTCCCAAATATACCTTAGCAGATTCTACAAAAACAGTGTTTTGAAGCTGCTCATAAAAAGAAAGGTTTAACTCTATGAGAAGAAAGCACTTATCAGAAAGCAGTTTCTCAGATATATTCTGTCTAGTTATTACAAAATATCCCTTCACAGATTCTAGAAAATAGTGTTTTCAAATTGCTCAATCAAAAGAAAGTTTTAACTCTCTAAGGTGAATGCACTCTTTACAAAGCAGTGTCTCAGAAAGCTTCTTTCTTGTTTTTATCTGGAGATATTTCCTTTTTCACCATAGGCCTCAATGAGTTCCCAATTAACCCTTCAAGACTCTGCCAAAATGGTGTTTCCAAAGGGCTCCATTGGAGGAATATTTAACACTGTGAAATGAAGGCACACATCAGAAACCTTCTTTCTGTCTCAGAAACCTTTCACATTTTAATCTGAATATATTTCCTTTTTCACCATACGCCTCAATGTGCTCCCTAATATCTCTGAACAGATTCTATAAAAACAGTGTTTCTGAACTGTCCCATCAAAAGAAGTATTTAACTCTCTTAGATGAATTGACACATCAGAAATCAGTTTTTTGTAACGCTTCTTTCAAATTTTTATCTGAATATCTTTCCTTGTTCACCATAGGCATTTTTGCACTTTCAAACATCGCTTCGCAACTTATTCAAAAACAGTGGTTCTAAACTGCTCACTCAAAAGTTTACCTCTGTGATGTGAATGCATATATTGTAAAGCAGTTTCTAAAAATGCTTCTTTCTAGTTTTTATTCGAAGATATTTACTTTTTCACCATAGGCATCAGTGCGTTCCCAAATATCCCTTTGCAGATTCTACAAAAACAGTGTGTCCAAACTGCTCAATCAAAAGTAACGTTTAACTCTGTCAGAAGACTGCACACATCACAAAGCAGACTTTCAGATAGCTTCTTTCTAGTTTTTATCTGAAGATATTTCCTTTTCCACCATAGGTCTCAATGCACTACCAAATATCCCTTTGCAGTTTCTATAAAAACAGTGTTTCCGACCTCTTCCATCAAAAGAAGCATTTACCACTGTGAGATGAATGCACACATCAGAAAGCAGTTTCTCATAATGCTTCTTTCTCGTTATTATCTGAAGATATTTCCTTGTTCACCATAGGCCTTTTTGTCCTGCCTATCATTGCTTTGCAAATTCTAGAAAAACAGTGTTTCCAAAATGCTCAATCAAAAAAAGGGTTAACTCTGTGAGTTGAATGCACACATCACAAAGAAGTTTCTCAAAAAAACTCCTTTCTGTTTTTTATATGGAGATATTTCCTTTTTCACCATAGGCCTCAATGAACTCCCAAGAAACCCTTCGCAGACTCCACCAAAAGGGTATTTCCAAATGGCTCCATCAAAGGAAAGATTAACTCTGTGAAATGAAGGCACA
Organism: Homo sapiens; assembly: GCF_000001405.40. Lineage (NCBI taxonomy): Eukaryota > Metazoa > Chordata > Mammalia > Primates > Hominidae > Homo > Homo sapiens. The sequence goes on from NC_000005.10 coordinate 46,283,971, forward strand.
CATCACAAATCAGTGTCTCAGAAATTTCTTTCCGGGTTTAATCTGAAGATATTTCCTTTTCAACCATAGGCCCCAGTGTGCTCCCAAATATCCCTGCACAGATTCTATAAAAACAATGTTTCCAAACTGTTCCATTAAAAGCCGTTTTTAACTCTATTAGATGAATACACACGTCAGAAATCAGTTTCTCATAGCAGTTCTTGCTAGTTTTTACATGAAGATCTTTCCTTGTTTACCATAGGCATTTTTGTGCTTTCAAACTTTGCTTTGCAGATTATACAAAAACAGTGTTTACAAACTGCTCAACCAAAAGAAAGGTTTAACTCTGTGAGATGAATGCACACATCTCAACGCAGTATCTCAGAAAACTTCTGTGTAGTTCTTCACTGAAGATACTTCCTTTTCCATCGTAGGCCTCAATGGGCTGCCAAATCTCCCTTCACACATTCTACAAAAACAGTGTTTCCAAACAGTTCCATCAAAGAAGGAATTAACTCTGTGAGATAAACACACATATGAAGAAAGCAGTATCTCATAATGTTTCTTTCCCATTTTTATCTGAAGATATTTACTTTTTCACCATGGGCTTCTTTGTGCTACCTAATATTGCTTTGAATGTTTTGCAAAAACAGTGTTTCCAAACTTCACAGTCAAAAGCAAGGTTTAACTCTGTGAGATGAATGCACACATCACAAAGCAATTTCTAAAAAAGTTCTTTCCTGTTTTTATACAAAGATATTTCCTTTTTCAGCATAGCCTCTGTGTGCTCCTAAGTATAGAGCTGCATTTCTATAAAAACAGTGTTTCCAAACTACTCAATGAAAAGAAAGGTTTAACTCTCTCAGATGAATGCAAACATCACAAAGCAGTTTCTCAGATAGCTTCTGTCTAGTTCTTCTCTGAAGATATTTCCTTTTCCACTGTAAGCATCGTGCTCCCATATATCACTTCACAGACTCTATAAAAACAGTGTTTCCAAGTTGTTGCATCAAAAGAAGGATTTAACGCTGTGAGACGAATGCTCACATCAGAAATCAGTTTCTCATAAGGCTTCTTTCCAGTTTTTATCTGAAGATATTTCCTTGATCACCATAGGGCTTTTTGTGCTACCAAACATCACTTTGCACATTAAACAAAAACAGTGTTTCCAAACTGCTCAGTCAGAAGAAAAGTTTAACTTTGTGAGATAAATGCACACATCACAAAGCTAAAAATCGTCTTTCTAGTTTTTTTCTGAAGATATCTATTTTTTCAAAACAGGCCTCGATGCTCTCCCAAATATATCCTCACAGATTCTACAAAAACAGTGTTTCCTAAAGGCTCAGTCAAAAAATGTTTCACTCTTTGTCATGAATGACGTTATCACAAAGAAATTTCTCAGAATGCTTCTGCCTATTTCTTCTCTGGCAATATTTCCTTTCCACCATAGGCCTCAATATGTTGCCAAATATCCCAACGCAGATTCTACAAAAACAGTTTCTTTCTTTTTCTGCTAGTTAATAATGCTTTGCAAATTACACAAAACAGTGTTTTCAAACTGCTCAGTGACATGAAAGGTTTAGCTCTGTGAGATGAATGCACACAACAAAAAGCAGTTTCTCAGAAAGCTTCCTTACAGTTTTAATCCAAAGATATTTCCTTTTTCACCATAGTCCTAACTGTTCTTTCAAATATCCCATTGCAGTTTCAACAAGAACAGTGTTTCCAAACTGCTCAATAAAAAGAATGGTTTAAATCTGTGATAAGAATGCACACATCACAAAGTGGTTTCTCAGAAAGCTTTTTGTATTTTTGAACCGAAGGAATATTTCCTTTTTCACCATAAGCCTCAGGGTGCTCCAAAATATCCCTTTGCAGATTCTGAGAAAACAGTGTTTCCAAACAGTTCAATCAAAAGAAAGGTTTACATCTGTCAGATGAATTCACACGTTACAAAGCTGTTTCTGAGAAAGCTTCTTTCTAGTTTTTATCTAGATATTTTTACTTTCTCACACTAGACCTCAATATGCTCCCACATAACCCTTAGCAGATTCTGCCAGAAGGGTGTTTCCAAATGGCTTGATCAAAGAAAAGACTTAACAGTGTGAAATGAATGAACACACAGCAAATCAGTGTCTCAGAAAGCTTCTTTCCATTTTTAATCTGAAGATATTTCCTTTTTCACCATAGGCCTTTTTATGCTATTTAATATCACTTTGCAGATTATAAAACAACAGTGTTTCCAAACTGCTTAGTCAAAAGAAAGGTTTAACTCTGTGAGATGAATGCATACATCACAAAACAGTATCTCAAAAAGCCTCTTTCTAGTTTTTACCACAGATATTTCCTTTATCACCATGTGCTTCAATGCACTCCCAAATATCCCGTTGCCAATTCTACAAAAACAGTGTTTGCAGACAGCTCAATCAAAAAAAGTTTTAAAACTGTGAGTTGAATGCACACATCACAAAACAGTTTCTCAAAATTTTTCTTTCTAGTTTTATCCAAAGATATATCCATAGGACTCAGTGAACACCCAAATATACCTGTGCAGAATCTACAACATATCCTTTTTCAACATAGGCTTCAATGTGCTCCGAAATATCAATTTGCAGATTCTACAAAAACAACATTTCCAAAATGCTCAATAACAAGAAAGGCTTAACCCTGTGGCTCGAATGCATACATCACAAAGCTGTTTTTCAGATATCTTCTCTCAAGTTCTTCACTGAAAATATTTCCTTTTCCACCATAGACCTCAATGCACTCTCAAATCGCAGATTTTAAAGAAACACTGTTCCTGAACAGTTCCATCAAAAGAAGGATTTAACTCTGTGAGATGAATGCACACATCAGAAAGCAGTTTCCCATAAAGCTTCTTTCCTGTTTTTATCTGATGATATTTCCTTGTTCACCATAGTCCTTTTGACACTACATAACATCGCTTCATGGATTATACTAAAACAGTGTTTCCAAGATTCTCAGACAAAGGAAAGGTTAATTCTGTGAGATGAATGCATACATCAAAAAGCAGTTTCTCAAAAAGATTCTTTTTAGTTTGTATCCAAAGATATTTCCTTTTACACAATAAGCTTCAGGACACTCCAAAATATCCCTTCATAGATTCTATATAAAGAGAATTTCCGAACTGTTCCATCAAAAGAAGGATTTAACTCTCTGAGATAAATGCACAAATGAGAAAGCAGTTTCTCATAAAGCTTTCTTCCAGTTTTTATCTGAAGATATTTCCTTTTCCACCATAGGCCTCAATGCACTCCCAAATATGACTTCACAGATTATACAAAAACAGTGTTTCCAAAATCCTCAGTCAAAAGTAAAGTCTGTGAGATGAATGCATACATCACAAAGCTGTTTCTCAAAAAGGTTATCTCTTGTTTTTATCCAAAGAAATTTCCTATTTCAACATAGGCATCAATGCACTCCTGAATATCCTGTTTCAGAGTCTACAAAGCAGTTTTTCCAAAGTGCTCATCTAAAGAAACTTTTAACTATGTGAGAAGACTGCACACTTCACAAAGTGGTTTCTCAGAAAGGTTCCTTCTATTTTTTATCTGAAGCTATTTCCTTTTTCACCATAAGCCTTATGTGCTCTGAAATATCCTTGAGCAGATTCTATAAATACACTGCTGGCAAACTGATCAATCAAAAGAAAGTTTTAACTCTGTGAGTTGTATGCACACATCACTAATCAGTTTCCCAAAACCTTCTTTCTAGTTTTTATCTGAAGATATTTCCTTTTTCACCATAGGCTTCAACACGCTCTGAAATATCCCTTCTCAGATTCTACAAAGAAAGTGTTCCCGAACTGCTCTATTAAAAGAAAGTTTTAACTCTGTAAGAAGAATGCACACAGCATAAAGCAGTTTCTCAGAAAACTTCTGTCTAGTTCTTCTCTGAAGGTATTTCCTTTTCCGTGCATAGGCCTCAATGCACTCCCAAATATCCCTTTGCAGATTCTAGAAAAACAGTGTTTGCAAACTGTTCCATGAAAAGAAGGAATTAACTCTTTGAGATGAACTCACAAATCAGAAAGCAGTTTCTCATAACGCTTCTTTCCAGTTTTTGTCTGAAGATATTTCCTTTTTCACCATAGGCTTTTTTGCACTACGTAATATCACCTTGCAGATTACATTAAAACAGTGTTTCCAAACTGCTCTATGAAAAGAAAGGTTTAACTCTGTGAGATCCATGCACATATCACAAAGCAGTTTCTCAAAAAGATTCTTTCTAATTTTTATCCATAGTTATTTCCCTTATCACCAAAGTCTTCAATGCACTCCCAAATATCCCTTCGCAGATTCTACAAAAACAGTGTTTCCAAACTGCTCAATCAAAAAACAGAATTAACTCTGTGAGTTGAACACACACATCACAAAGCTGTTTCTCAAAAAGCTTATTTCTAGTTTTTATCTGAAGATATTTCCTTTTTCACCATATTCCTCAGTGTGCTCCCAAATATCCTTTTGCAAATTCTACAAAAACAGTGTTTCCAAACTGTTCAATAAAAAGAAACGTTTAACTCTGTGAGAAGAATGCACACATCTCAAAGCATTTTTTCAGAAATATTCTTCCTCTTTTTTATCTGAAGTTATTTCCTTTTTCACCATAGCCCTCGTGTGCTCCATAATATCCCTTTTCAGATTCTGCAAAAACGGTGTTTCCAAAGTGATGTATCAAAAGAAAGTTTTAACTCTGTGAGATGAATGCACACATCACAAAGCAGATTCTCAGAAAACTTTTTTCTAGTTTTGATCTGGAGATATTTCCTTTTTCATTATAGGCCTCCATCCGCTACAAAATAACACTTCACAGATTCTGCCCAAAGGGTTTTCCAAATGCCTCCATCAAAGGAAAGATTACTACTGTGAAATGAATCCACACATCACAAATCAGTGCCTCAGACAGCTTCTTTCCTCTTTTTTATATGAAGATAATTCCTTTGTCACCACTGGCTTTTTTGTGCTACTTAATATCACATCGCAGATTATACAAAAACTGTATTTCCAAACTGCTCTATCAAAATAAAGGTTTAACTCTGTGAGATGAATGCAGAGATCAGAAAGCACTTTCTGCAAATGCTTATTTCTAGTTTTTATCTGAAGTTATTTCCCTTTTCTCAATAGGCTTCAATGTGCTCCCAAATATCCCTTTGCAGATTCTACAAAAATCAGAGTTTCCAAGCTGCTCAATCAAAAGTAAGGTTTAACTCTGTGAGATGAATGCACACATCACAAAGCAGTTTCTCAGAAAGCTTCTGGCTAGTTCTTCTCTGAAGTTAATTCCCTTTCCACCATAGGCCTCAATATACTTCTAAATATCCCTTCACAGATTCTACAGATACAGTGTTTCCAAAGTGTTCCAGCAAAAGAAGGACTTGACTGTGTGAGATGAAAGCACACACTAGAAAACAGCTTCTCTTAACTATTCTTTCCAGTTTTTATCTGAATGTATTTTTTCACCATAGACTTTTTTGTACTATCTAATATTACTTCACAGATTTTTCAAAAACTGTGTTTCCAAACAGCCCAGTCAAAAGAAAGATTTAACTCTGTGAGATGAATGCACACATCACAAAGCAGTTTTTCAAAAAGCTTCTGTCTAGTTTTTATCCAAAAATATTTCCATTATCACCATAGGCTTCTATGCACTCCCAAATATCTCATTGCAGATTCTACAGTGTTTCCAAACTGATCAATCAAAAGAGAGGTTTAACTCTGTGAGGTGAATCCACACATTATAAAGCAGTTTCTCAAAAAGGTTTTATCTAGTCTTTATCTGAAGATACTTCCTTTTATACCACAGGCCTCAGTGCACTCCAAAATAACCCTTTGCAGATTCCACAAAAACAGTGTTTCCAAACTGCTCAATCAAAAGAAAACTTTAACTCTGTGAGGTGAATGCAAACATCAGAAGGCACTTTCTCAAAAACATCCTTTCTAGTTTTTATCCAAAGATATTTCCTTTTTCACCATAGGCTTCAATGCTCTCCCAAATATCCCTTTGCAGATTGGAAAAAAAGAAACAGTGTTTCCAAACTACTCAGTCAAAAGAAAGTTTTAACTCCCTGAGATGGATGCACACACGAAAAGGTAGTTTCTCAAAAGGTTTCTTTCTAGTTTTTATCCAAAGGTACTTTCTTTTTAACCGTAGAATTAAGCACTCTCATATATTCCGTCACAGATTCTACAAAAAGTGTGTTTCCAAAGTCCTCAATCAAAACAAGAGCTTAACTCTGTGAGATGAATGCACACATCAGAAAGCAGTTTATCAGGTAGCTTCTGTCTAGTTCTCCTCTGAAGATATTTCCTTTTCCATCATAGGCCTCAATGCACTCCCAAATGTCCCTTCACAGATTCTATAAAAACAGTGTTTCTGAACTGTTCCATCAAAAGAAAGATTGAACTCTGAGAGATGAACACACATATCAGAAAGCAGTTTCTCATAACGCTTCTTTCCTATTTTCATCTGAAGAAATTTCCTTGTTCACCATAGGCCTTTTGGTGGTACCTAACATTGCTTCACAGATTATACAAAAACAGTGTTTCCAAACTGCTCAGTCAAAAGAAATGTTTAGGTCTGTAAGATTAACGCATATATCACAAAGTATTTTCTCAGAAAACTTCTTTCTAGTTTTTATCCGAAGATATTTCCTTGATCACCATAGGTTTCAATGTACTCTAAAATATCCCATTGCAGATTGTACAAAAACAGTGTTTCCAAACTGTTCCAAAGAAAGAAGGACTTAACTGTGAAATGAAAGCACACATCAGAAAGAAGCTTCTCATAATGCTTCTTTCCAGTTTTGATCTGAAGATATATTCTTGTTCACCATAGGATATATTGTGCTGCCAATTAACACTAAGCAGCTTTTGGAGAAACAGCATTTCCAAACTGCTCAATCAAAAGAAAAGTTTAATTCTGTGAGATAAATGTAACCATCACAAAGTAGTTTCTCAAAAAGCTTCTTTCTACTTTTTATCTGAAGATATTTCCTTTTTCACCGTAGGCATCAGTGCACTCCAAAATATCCCTTTACAGATTGTGCAAAAACAGTGTTTTCAAACTGCTCAATCAATACAAATATTTACCTCTGTGAGAAGAATGCACACATCACAAAGCAGTTTCTCAAAAACCTTCTTTCTAGTTTTTATCTGAAGGTATTTCCTTTTTCACCATAGGCATCAGTGCACTCCTAAATATCCCTTTGCAGATTCTACAAAAGTAGCATTTCCAAACTGATCAATCAAAAGAAAGGTTTAACTCTATGAGATGAATGCACATATAAGAAAGCAATTTCTCAAAAAACTTCTTTTTAGTTTTTATCCAAAGTTATTTCCTTTTCATCATAGACTTCAATGCACTCCCAAATATCCCATCACAGATTCTACAAAAACATTGTTTCCAAACTGTTCAGACAAAAAACAGATTTAACTGTGTGAGTTGAATGCATACATCACAAAGCAGTTTCTCAAAAATCTTCTTTCCATGTTTTATCCAGAGATATTTCATTTTTCAACATAGGCCCTATGACACTCCCAAATATACCTTTGACGTTTTTACAAAAACTGTTTCCAAATTGCTCAATCAAAAGAAAGGTTTAACTCTGTGAGAGGAATGCACACATTGCAAACCAGTTTCTCAGATAGTTTCTTTCTTGTTCTTCACTGAAGGTATGTCCATTTACATCATGGGTCTCAATGCACTATGAAAAATCCCTTAGCAGATTCTATAAAAGAGTGTTTCCAAACAGTTCCATCAAAAGACTGATATAACTCTGAGATGAATGCACACATCAGAAAGCTGTTTCTAACAACTCTTCTTTCTAGTTTTTATCTAAAGATATTCCCTTGTTCATCATAGGACTTTGTGAGCAACTTACCATCGCTTCACAGATTATACAAAAATATTGTTTCCAAACTGCTAAGTCAAAAGAGAGGTTTAACTTTGTGAGATGAATGCATACATCCCAAAGCAGTTTCTTAAAAAGCTTCTTTCTAGTTTTTATCTGAAGTTATTTCCTTTTTCACCATGGGCCTCCATGGCTCCCACGTATCCCTTTGCAGCCTCTACAAAAACAGTGTTTCCAAACTGCTCAATCAAAAGCAACGTTTAACTCTCTCAGAAGACTGCACACATCACAAAGCAGTTTCTCAGAAACGTTCTTTCCAGTTTTTATCTGAAGTTATTTCCTTTTTCACCATAGGCCATGTGAGCTCCAAAATATCCCTTCACATATTTTACAAAAACTGTGTTTCCTAACAGATCAGTCACAAGAAGGTTTTAACTCTGTGAGATGAATGCACACATCACAAAGAAGTTTTTCAAAAAGCTATTTTCTAGTTTTTCCTTTTTCACCAAAGGCATCATTGCACTCCTAAATATCCCATTGTAGATTCCACGTAAACAGTGTTTCCAAACTGCTCAAGCAAAAGAAAAGTTTAACTCTGTGAGAAGAATGAACTCATCTCAAAGTGGTTTCTCTGAATGTTTTGTTCTAGTTTTTATCTGAAGTTATTTCCTTTTTTGCCATAGGCTTTGTGCGCTCCCAAGAATCCTTTCACAGATTCCTCAAAAACTGTGTTTCCAAACTGATGAGTCAAAAGAAAGGTTTAACTCTGTGAGATGAATGCACACGTCACAAAGCAGTTTCTCAAAATGTTTCTTTGTAGTTTTTATCCAAAGATATTTCCTTTTTCACCAGTCTTCAATGCGCTCCAAACTATCCTTTGACAGATTCCACAAAAGCAGTTTTTCCAAACTGCTTAATCAAAGAAAAATTTTACTCTGTGAGATGAATGCTTACATCACAAAGAAGTTTCTCAGATAGCTTCTGTCTAGTTCTTCTCTGAAGATATTTCCTTTTCCATCATAGGCCTCAAAGCACTCCCAAATATCCCTTTGCAGAGAGTATAAAAACAGTGTTTCCAAACTGTACCATCAAAAGAATGATTTAACTCTGTGAGAAGAATGCCCACCTCAGAAAGCAGTTTCTCATAAAGCTTCCTTCCAGTTTTTCTCTGAAGATATTTTCTTCTTCACCATGGGCCTTTTTGTGCTACATGTCATCGCTTGGCAGATTATACAAAAATAGTGTTTCCAAGCTACTCATTCAACAGAAAAGTTTAAGTCTGTGAGATGAATGCACATATCACAAAGCAGTTTCTGAAAACGCTGCATTCTAGTTCTTATCAAAAGATATTTCCTTATTCACCATAGGCATCATTGTGCTCCAAAATATGCCTTTGCAGATGCTACATAAGATGTGTTTCAAAAGTGCTCAATCAAAAGAAACATTTACCTCTGTGAGAAGAATGCTCTCATCACAAAGCAGTTTCTCAGAAAGCTTCTATCGAGTTCTTATCTGAAGTTATTTCCTTTTTTCACGACAGGCTACATGTGCTCCCAAATATCACTTCACAGATTCTACAAAAAAAGTGTTTCCAAACTGATCAATCAAAATAAATATTTAACTCTGTAAGATGAATGCACATAACACAGAGCAGTTTCTCAGAAAGCTTCTTTCTAGTTTTTATCTGAAGTTTTTTTATCACCATAAAGTTAAATGTGCTCCAAAATATCCCATTGCAGATGCTACAAAAACACTGTTTCCAAACTGCTCAATCAAAAAACAGGTTTATCTCTATGAGCTGAATGCATGCATCACAAACCTGTTTCTCAAAAAGCTTCTTTCTAGTTTTTATCTGAAGATAATTCCTTTTGCACCATAGGCCTCAGTATGCTCCCAAATATCCTGTCACATATTCTACAAGAACAGTGGTTCCAAACTATTCCATCAAATGAAAGACTAAACTCTGTGAGATGAATGCACACATCAGAAAGCAGTTTCTCATAAGGCTTCATTCCAGTTTTTCTCTTATTTCCATTTTCACCATAGTCCTATTTGCACTACCAAAGATAGCATCACAGATTATACAGAAATACTGTTTCCAAACTGCCAAATCAAAAGAAAAGTTTAACTCTGTGAGATGAATGTATACATCCAATGCAGTTTCTCAAAGAACTTCTTTCTATTTTTTATTTAAAGATATTTCCTTTTTCTCCATAGGCTTCCATGCAGTCCCAAATATGCCTTCGCAGATTCTAGAAAAACAGTGTTTCCTGAAAGGTTTAACTCTGTAAGATGAATGCACACATCACAAAGTAGTTTCTCAGAAAGCTTCTGTCTAGTTCTTCTCTGAAGATATGTCCTTTTCCACCATAGGCCTCAATGCACTCCCAAATATCCATTCACAGATTATACAATTACAGTGTTTCCAAATTGTTCCATCAAAAGAGGGACTTAACTCTGTGAGATGAATGCACACATAAGAAAACAGTTTCTCATAACACTTCTTTCCATTTTTTATCTGAAGATATTTCCATGTTCACCATAGGCTTTTTGCACCACCCAATATTTCTTCCCAGATTTTGCAAAAACAGTGTTTCCAAACTACTCAGTCAAAAGAATGGTTTAAATCGGTGATGTGAATGCACTCATCACAAAGCCATTTCTCAAAAAGTTTCTTTCTACTTTTTTCCCAAAGATAATTCCTTTATAACCATAGGCTTTAAGGTACTCCCAAATATCCCTTTGCAGACTCTAAACAAACAGTGTTTTCCAAATGCACAATCAAAAAACAGTCTTAACTCTGTGAGTTGAATGGTGGCATCACAAAGCAGTTTCTCAAAAGGATTCTTTCTAGTTTTTATCTGAAGATATTTCATTGTTGACCATAGGCCTCAGTGCACTTCCAAATATACATTTGCAGATACTTCAAAAACAGTGTTTCCAAACTAATCAATCAAGGGAAACATTTAACTGTGTGAGATGAATGCACACATCACAAAGCAGTTTCTCAGATAGCTTCTTTCTTGTTCTCCCTGAATATATTTCCTTTCCCACCATAGGCCTCAAAGCACTCCCATATATGCCTTTGCAGATTCTATAAAAGCAGTGTTTCTGAACTGTTCCATCCAAAGAAGTATTTAATTCTGTGAGATTAATGTACACATCAGAAAGCGGTTTCTCATAACGTTTCTTTCCAGTTTTTATCTGAAGACATTTCATTGTTCACCATTGGCCGTTTTCTGTTACCTAACATTGTTTCACAGATCATACAAAAACAGTGTTTCCAAAATGCTCAGTCAAAAGAAAATTTTAACTCTGTGAGATGAATGCATACATCACAAATCAGTTTCTCAAAAAGCTTCTTTCTACTTTTTATCCAAAGATATTTCCTTTATCCTCATAGGATACAGTGTGCCCCCAAATATCCCTTTGTAGATTCTACAAAAACAGCGTTTCCAAACTGCTTAATTAAAAGAAATGTTTAACTGTGTGAGAAGAATGCAAGCATCAGAAAGTTGTTACTCAGAAAGCTTCTTTCTAGTTTTCATCTGAACTTATTTCCTTTTTTACCGTAGGCCACGTGCTATCCCAAATAAACCTTCACAGATTCTACAAAAATAGTGTTTCCAAACTGATCAATGAAAAGAAAGGTTTAAATCTATGAGATGAAAGCACACATCACAAAGCAGTTTCTCAAAAATCTTCTTTCTAGTTTTCATCCAGAGATATTTCCTTTATCACCATAGGCTTCAATGTGTTCCCAAATATCCCTTTGCAGATTCTACAATAACAGTGTTTCCAAAGTGCTCAATTAAAAGAAAGGCTTAACTCTATGAGATTAATGCACACCACACAAAGCAGTTTCTCAGCTTCTGTCCTGTTCTTATCTGAAGATAATATATTTTCCACAATAGGCCTCAATGTGCTCCCAAATATCCCTTTGCAAAATCTACAAATCAGTGTTTCCAAACTGTTCCATCAAAACAAGGACTTCACTCTGGGAGATGAAGCCACATATCAGATAGCAGTTTCTCACAACACTTCTTTCCACTTTTTATCTGAAGATATTTCCTTTTTTACCATAGGCTATTTTGCAGTAGATAATATCTCTTTGCAAATTACACAAAAACAGTGTTTCCAAACTACTCAGTCAATAGAAATGTTTAATTCTTTGAGATGAATGCACTCATCATGAAGCAGTTTCTCATAATTCTTCTTTCTAGTTTTTATCCATATATATTTCCTTTTTCACCATAGGCATAAATGTGCTTTCAAATATCCCATTGCTGATTCTACAAAAACAGTTTTTCTAAACTCCAGAATGAAAACAAAGTTTTAAATCTGTGAGAAGAATACATACATCCAAAAGCAATTTCTCAGAAACCTTCTTCGAAGTTTTTATCTGAAGTTATTTCCTTTTTCATCCTTGGGTCAGTGCAATCCCAAATATCCCTGGCAGATTCTACCAAAACAGTGTTTCCAAACTGCACAATCAAAAGAAAGGTTTAAATCTGATGGATGAATGCACAAATCACAAAGCAGTTTCTCAGAAATATTCTTTCTTGGTTTTATCTGGAGATATTTCCTTTTTCACCATAGGCCTCGATTCACTCCCAAATAACTCTTTGCAGATCCCACCAAAAGTGTTTTTCCAGATGGCTCCATCCAAGGAAAGATTTAACTCTGTGAAATGAATGCACATCTCATAAATCAGTATCTCAGAAAGCTTCTTTCCAGTTTTTATCTGAAGATATTTATTTTTACTCCACAGGCCTCTTTGAGCAACAAAATATCACTTTGCAGGTTATACAAAAACAGAGTTTCTAAACTGTTCTATCAAAAGAAAGGTTTACCTCTGTGAGATGAATGCACACGTCACAAAGTAGTTTGTCAGAAAGCTTGTTTCTAATTTTAATCTGGAGATATTAACTTTTTCACCATAGGCCTCAATTCGCTCCCAAATAACCCTTTGTAAATTCTTCCAAAAGGGTGTTTCCAAATGGCACGATGAAGGGAAAGATTGAACACTGTGAAGTGTATGCAGCCATCACAAATAAGTGCCTCAGACAGTTTCTTTCCAGTTTTTATCTGTAGATATTTCCTATTTCACAATAAGCCTCTTTGCGCTACTAAATATCACTTCGCAGATTATACATAAACAGTATTTCCAAACTGCTCTATCAGAAGAAAGGTTTAATTCTGTGAGATGAAAGCACACATCAGGAAGCACATTCTCAGAAAGCTTCTGTCAAGTTCTTCTCTGAACTTGTTTCCTTTTCCACCATAGGCCTCGATGCACTCCCAAATATGACTTCGCAGATTCTACAAAAACAGTGTTTCCAAACTGTTTCATCAAAAGAAGGTCTTAATTCTGTGAGATGAACACACACATCAGAAGGCAGTTTCTCATAACACTTCTTTCTGCTTTTTATCTGCAAATGTTTCCTTTTTCACCACAGGCTTTTTTCTGGTACCTAATATTGCTTTGGAGATTTTGCAAAAGCAGTGTTTCCAAACTGGTCAGTCAAAAGAAAGGTCACACCGTGAGATGAATGCACACTTCACAAAGCAGTTTCTCTAAAAGCTTCTTTCCAGTTTTTTTCCAAAGATATTTCCTTTACCACCATAGGCCTCAAGGTGCTCCCAAATATCCTGTTGCAGATTCTACAAAAACAGTGTTTCCAAACTACTCAATCAAAAAACAGTTTTAACATTGTGAGTTGAATGCACACATCACAAAGCAGTTTCTCAAGTAGCTTCTTTGTAGTTTTTATCTGAACATAATTCCTTTTTCATGATAGGCCTCGTGGATTCCCAAATAATCATTCCAGATTCTACAAAAACAGTGTTAACAAGCTGATCAATGAAAAGAAAGGTTTAACTCTTCAAGATGAATGCACACATCACAAAGCAGTTTCTCAAAATGCTTATTTCTAGCTTTTTTCTGAAGATATTTCCTTTTTCACCATAGGTTCCTGCACTCCCAAGTATGCCTTTGCAGATTCTACAGAAACAATTTTTTAGAACTGCTCAATCAAAAGAAAGATTTAACTCTGTAAGATGAAAGCTGACATCACAAAGCAGCTTCTCAGAATGTTTCTATCTAGTTTTTCTCTGAAGTTATTTCTTTTTCCACCATAGGCTTCAATGCCTTCCCAAATATCCCTTCACAGATTCTACAAAAACAGTGTTTCCAAACTTCTATGAAAAGAAGGACTTACCTCTGTGAGATGAATGCACACATTGGAAAGCAGTTTCTCATAACACTTCCTTGCAGTTTTTTTCTCAAGGTATTTCTTTGCTCACCATAGGTCTCACGTACTCCCAAATAATCATTCCAGATGCTACAAAAACAGTGTTTCCAAACAGATCAATGGAAAGAAAAGTTTAACTCTGCGAGATGAATGCACACATCACAAAGCAGTTTCTCAAAAAGCTTATTTCTAACTTTTTTCTGAAGATATTTCCTTTTTCACCATAAATTCATGCACTCCCTAATATGCCTTCGTGGATTCTACAAAAACAATTTTTCAGAACTGCTCAATCAAAAGAAAAGTTTAACTCTGTGAGATGAATGCTGACATCACAAATCAATTTCTCAGAATGTTTCTGTCTAGTTTTTCTCTGAAGTTATTTACTTTTCCACCATAGGCCTCAATGCACTCCCAAATATCCCTTCACAGATTCTACAAAAACAGTGTTTCCAAACTGTTCTATCAAAAGAAGGACTTACCTCTGTGAGATGAACGCACACATCCAGAAGCAGTTTCTCATACTGCTTCCTTGCACTTTTTATCTCAATGTATTTCCCTGCTCATCACAGGCCTTTTGCACTACCTAACATCTCTTTGCAGATTATACAAAAACAGTGTTTCCAAACTGATCAATCAAAAGACTTTTTTAACTCTGTGAGATGAATACACACATCATGGTGTAACTCTGTGAGATGCATGCACTCATCACAAAGCAGTTTCTCAGAATGCTTCTGTCTAGTTTTTTTCTCTTAAGATATTTCCTTTTCCACTGTAGGCCTCAATGCACTCCCAAATATCCCTTCACAGATTCTACAAAAGCAGTGCTTCCAAACTGTTCCATCAAAAGAAGGACTTAACTTTGAGGGATGAAAGCACACATCAGAAAGCAATTTCTCATAATGCTTCTTTCCACTGTTTGTCTGAAGATACTTCTTTTTTCACCATAGGCTTTTTTGTGCTACCTAATATCACCTCACAGATTTTGCAAAAACAGAGTTTTCAAACTGCTCAGTCAAAAGAAAGGTTTAACTTTGTAAGATGAATGCACACATCACAGATCAGTTTCTCAAAAAGCTTCTTTCTAAATTTTACGAAGATAGTCCCTTTCAATAAGCCTAATGCATTTTCAAATATCTCATTGTAGATTTTACAAAAGCAGTGTGTCCAAACTGCTCAATCAAAAACAGGTTTAACTCTGTGAATTGAACACACACATCACAAAGCAGTTTCTCCAAAACCTTCTTTCTAGTTTTCATCTGAAGATATTTCCATTTTAACCATAGCTTTCTATGAGCTCTGAAATATCCCTTTGCAGATTCTACAAAGCAAAGTTTCCAAACTCTTCAATCAAAAAACAGGTTTAACACTGTGAGTTCAATGCACACAAGGCAAAGCAGTTTCTCAAAAACTTCTTTCTAATTTTTATCCGAAGATATTTTCTTTATCACCTTAGGCTTCAATGCACTCCCAAATATCCCTTTGCAGATATTCCAAAAACAGTGTTTCCAAACTCCTCAATCAAAAGAAAAGTTTAACTCTCCGAAATGGAGGCACCCATCACAAAGAAGTTCCTTGTCCACCATAGGCCTCAGTGAGCTCCTAATTGTCCCTATGCAGGCTCTGTAAACATAGTGTTTCCAAAGTGTTCCATCAAAAGAAGGATTTAACTCTGTGACATGAATTCACACATCAGAAAGCAGTTTCTTATAACACTTCTTTCCAGTTTTTATCTGAAGATATTTCCTGGTTCACCATAGTCTTTTTTGCAATAACACATATAGCTTTGTAAATTTTGCAAAAACAGTGTTTGCAAACTGCTCAGTCAAAAGAAAGCACTAACTCTGTGAGATGAATGCACACATTACAAAGCAGTTTCTCAGAAAGTTTCTCTCTAGTTTTTGTAGAAAGATATTTCCTTTATCACCATGGGCTTAAATGTGCTCCCAAATATCCCATGGCAGATTTTACAAAAATAGGGTTTCCAAACTGCTCAATCAAAAAACAGGTTTAACCCTGTGATTTAAATGCTGACATCACAAAGCAGTTTTTCAAAAAGCTTCTTTCCTGTTCATCCAAAGATATTTCCTTTTTCACTGTAGTCCTCAGTGCACTCCCAAACCTACCTTTGCAGATTCTACAAAACAATGTCTCCAAACTACTCTATAAAAATAAAGGTTTAACTGTCAGATGAATGCACACATCACAAAGCAGTTTCTCTGATGGCTTCTGTCTAGTTCTTTTCTAAATTATTTCTTTTTACACCATAGGCCTCAATGCACTCCCAAATATGCCTTCACAGATTCTATGAAAACAGTGTTTCTGAGCTGAACCATCAAAAGAAGCATTTAACTCTGCGTGATGAACACACATCAGAAAGCAGTTGCTCATAACGCTTCTTTCCAGTTTTTATCTAAAGATATTTCCTTGCTCACCATAGGACTTTTTGCACTACAAACATCCCCTCACAGATTATACAAAAACAGGGTTTCTAAACTGCTCAGTCAAAAGAAAAGTTTAACTATGTGAGATGAATGTGTACATCACAAAGCAGTTTCTCAAAAAGCTTCTTTCTAGTATTTTTCTGAAGATATTTCCTTTTTCGATACTGGTATCAGTGCACTCCCAAATATCCCTTTGTGGATTCTTCAAAAACGGTTTTTGCCAACTGCTCTATGAAAAGAAAGTTTTAACTCAGTGTGATGAATGCACACACCACACATTTCTCATAAATATTCTGTCTAGTCCTTATGTGAAGATATTTTCTTTGCTCCCAAGTATCCCTAGCAGATCCTAGAAATGCAGTGTTTACAAAGTGCTCAATCAAAAGAAATATTTAACTCTGTGAAAAGAAGCACACATATCTAGTTTTTATCTGCAGTTAGTTCCTTTTTCACCATAGTCCTTGTGCCCTCGCAAACATCCCTTCACAGATTCTACAAAAACAGTGTTTCCAAAAAGATAATTCAAAAGAAAGTTTAAGCTCTGTGAAGTGAATACACACATGACAGAGCAGTTTCTCAGAAAGCTTCTTTCTAGCTTTTCTCTGAAGGAATTTTCTTTTTCAATATAGGTATCAGTGTGCTCCCAAATATCCCTTTGCAGATTCTTCAAAAACAGTGTTTCCAAACTGCTCTATTTAAAGAATGTTTTAACTCTCTGAGATGAATGCACACATCATGAAGCAGTTTCTCATAAATGTTCTGTCTAGTTCTTAGGAGAAGATATTTCCTTTTCCACCATAGGCCTCAATGCACTCCAAAATATCCCTTCACACATTCTGCAAAAGCAGTGTTACCAAATTGTTCCATCAAAAGTAGGACGTAACTCTGTGAGATGAACTCACCCATCAGAAAGTAGTTTCCCATAACGACTCTTTCCAGGATTTAGATGAACATATATACTTTTTCACCATAGGTTTTTTGTGCTACCTAATATCACTTCACAGATTTTGCAAAAACAATGTTTCCAAACTAGTGAGTGAAAAGAAAAGTTAAACTCTGTGAGATGAATGCATACATCACAAAGCAGTTTCTCAAAAAGTTTCTTTCTAGTGTTTATCTGAAGATATTTCCTTTTTCACCATTGGCATCAGTGTGCTCCTAAATATCCTTAGCAGATTCTAGAAACACATTGTTTACAAAGTTCCTAATCAAAAGAAACCTTTAACTCTCTGAGAAGAATGCACACATCACAAAGTGTTTTTCAGAAAGCTTCTTTCTAGTTTTTATCTGAAGTTATTTCCTTTTTCACCATAGGACTCCTGCCCTCACTAACATCCCTTTGCAGATTCTACAAAAACAGTGTTCCCAAAAAGATAATTCAAAAGAAATTTAAACCCTGTGAGGTGAATGCACACATCAAAGAGCAGTTTTTCAAAAAGATTCCTTCTAGTTTTTATCTGTAGGTATTTCCTTTTTCAACATTGGCTTTAATGTGCTCCCAAATATCCCTTCGGAGATTCTGGAAAAACAGTGTTTCCAAACTGCTAAATCAAAAGAAAGTTCTACCTATGTGAGATGAATGCACACATCACAAAGCAGTTTCCCAGAAAACTTCTGTCTAGTTCTTCCCTGAAGATATTTCCTTTTCCACTGTTGGCCTCAATGCACTCCCAAATATCCCTTCACATATCCAAAAAAAAAAAAAAAAAAAAAAAACAGTTTTTCCAAACTCTTCCATCAAAAGAGGGACTTAACTCTGTGGGATGAACACACACATCCAAAAGAAGTTTCCCACAATGCTTCTTTCCAATTTTTATCTGAACATCTTTCCTTTTTCGCCATAGATTTTTAGGCACTACATTATATCACTACACAGATTTTACAAAAACAGTGTTTCCAAACTGCTTGGTCAAAAGAAAAGTTTAACTCTGTGAGATGAATGCACACATCACAAAGCAGTATCTTGAAAGCCTTCTTTCTAGTTTTTATCCAAAGATATTTCCTTTATCACCTTAGGCTTCAATGTGCTCGCAAAAATCCCATGGCAGACTCTACAAAAACAGAGTTTCCAAACTGCTCAATCAACAAACAGGTTTAACTCTGTGAGTTGAACCCACACAATACAAAGCAGTTGCTCAAAAAGCTTCTTTGTAATTTTTACATGAAGATATTTCCTTTATCATCTTATGTTTATTTCTGCTCTGATGATATTTCTTTTTCCATCATAGGCCTCTATGCTCTCCCAAATATCCTTTCACTAATTCTATAAAAACAGTGTTTCTTGACTGTTCCATCAAAGAAGGATTTAACTCTGTGAGGTGAATGCACTCATCAGAAAGCAGTTTCTCATAACTCATCTTTCCGGTTTTTTCTGAAGATATTTCCTTGTTCACCATAGACCTTTATGTGCTACCAAAAATCGCTTTGCAGATTATACATAAAGAGTGTTTCCAAACTGCTCAGTCAAAAGAAAGGTTTAACTCTGTCAGATGAATGCATACATGACAAAGCAGTTCCTCAAAGTGCTTCTTTGTAGTTTTTATCCAAAGATATTTCATTTTTCACCATGGGCATCAGTGCAATACCAAATATCCCATTGCAGATTCTAGAAAAACAGTGCTTACAAAATACTCAATCAAAAGAAATGTTTAACTTGGCAAAGATAATGCACACATCACAAAGCAGTTTCTCAGAAAGCTTCTTTCTATTTTTTATCTGAAGTTATTTTTCACCTTAGGCATTGTGGGTTCACAAATATCCCTTCACAGATTGTAGGAAAACAGTGTTTCTGAACACTTCCATAAAAAGTAGGATTTACTTCTTTGAGATGAATGCACACATCACAAAACACTTTCTCAAAAAGCTGCTTTCTAGTTTTGATCCGTAGATGTTTCCTTTATCACTAGAGACTTCAATGTGCTCCCAAACATGCCTTTGCAGATTCTTCAAAAACAGTGTTCCCAAACTGCTCAGTGAAAAGAAAGGTTTTTTTCTGTTAGACGAGTGCTCACATCACAAAGCAGTTTCTCAGAAAGATTCTTTCTAGTTTTTGTCCTATTTCTTTTATCACCATAGGCTTCAGTGTTCTCCCTAATACATCACTAAGCAGATCGTACAAAATCATTGTTTCCAAACTGCTCAAACAAAAATTCAAAAACAGGTTTAGTTCTTTGAGTTGAAGGCACACATCACAAAACAGTTTCTCAAAAAGCTTATTTCTGGTTTTTATCTAATGATATTTCCTTTTTCACCATAGGCCTCAGTGCTCTCCCAAAGGTATGTTTTCAGATTCTACAAGAACAGTGTTTCCAAACTGCTCAGCCAAAGAAAGGTTTAACCTTGTGAGAGGAATGAAAACATCATAAAGCAGTTTCTCAGATACCTCCTGTCTATATCTTCTCTGAACATATATCCTTTTCTACCATTAGGCCTCAATGTGCTCCCAAATATCCCTTCGCAGATTCTATAAAAACAGTGTTTCCAAACTATTCCATCAACAGAAGGATTTAGTTCTGTGGGATGAATGCACAAATCAGAAAGCAGTTTCTCACAACCCTTCTTTCCAGTTTTTTTCTGAAGTTAATTCCTTGTTCATCATAGGCCTTTTTGTGTAAGAAAACAATGCCTCACAAGTTGTACAAAAAGAGGGTTTCCAAATTGCCCCATCAAAAGAAAAGTTTAATTGTGGGAGTTGAGTGCTTACATCACAAAGGAGTTGCACAGAAAGCTTCTTTCTAGTTTTTATACAAAGATATTTCCTTTTTCACCATTGGCATCAGTTCACTCCCAAATACCCCTTTGCAGATGCTACCAAAACAGTGTTTCCAAACTGCTCAGTCAAAAGAAATGTTTAAACCTGTGAGATGAATGCACACATCACAAAACAGTTTCTCAAAAAGTCTCTATCTAGTTTTTTTCGAAGTTATTTCCTTTTACAACATAGGCATCTGTATGCTCCCAAATTTCCCTTTGCAGATTCTGCAAAAATAGTGTTTCAAAACTGCTCAAACAAAATAAATATTTAACTCTGTGAGAACAATGCACCCCTCACAATGTGCTTTCTCAGAAGGCTTCTTTCTAGTTTTTATCTGAAGTTATTCCCATTTTCACCATAGGCATCAATTCGCTCCCAAATATCCCTTTGCAGATTCTACAACAACAGTGTTTCCAAACTGCTCAAACAAAAAAAAAGGTTTAAATCTGTGAGCTGTATGCACACATCACTAAGAGGTTTCTTAGAAAGCTTCTGTCTAGTTCTTCTCTGAAGATATTTCTGTTTCCACCATAGGCATCAATGTGCTCTCAAATATCCCTTCGCAGATTGTAGAAAAACAGTGTTTCAAAACTGTTCCATCGAAAGAAGGACTTATCTCTGTGAGATGAACGCACACATCAGAAAGCAGTTTCCCATAATGATTCTTTCTAGTTTGTATCTGAAGATATTTCCTTATTCACCATAGGCTTTTTATCCTACCAAATGTTACTTCACAGGTTCTGCAAAAACAGTGTTTACAAACTGCTTGGTCAAAAGAAAGGTTTAACTCTGTGAGATGAAGGCACACATCACAAAGCAATTTCTCCAAAACCTTCTTTCTAGTTTTTATCTGAAAAATATTTCCTTTATTACCATAGGCTTCAATGTGCACCAAAATATCCCATTGCAGATTCTACAAAAACACTGTTTCCAAACTGCTCAATCAAAAAACAGGTTTAATTCTGTGTATTGAATGCACACATCACAAAGCAGTTTCTCAAAATGCTTCTTTCCACTTTTTATCTGAAGGTATTTCCTTTTTCACCAAAGGCCTCAGTGCACTCCCATTTATCCTTTTGCAGATTCTACAAAAACAGTGTTTCCAAACACTTCAATCAAAAGAAAGGTTTAATTCAGTGAGATAAATGAACACCTAACAAAGCAGTTTCTCATTTAGCTTCAGTCTAGTTCATCTCTCAAGATATTTCCTTTTACACCATAGGCCTCAATGAGCTCCCAAATATACCTTCACAGATTCTATAAAAACTGTTTCTGAACTGTTCCAACAAGAGATCCATTTAACTCTGTGAGGTGAATGAACATATCAGAAAGCAGTTTCTCTTAACGTTTCTTTCCAGTTTTTATCTGAAGGTATTTCCTTCTTCACAACAGGCCTTTTTGTGCTGTGAAACATTGCTTCACAGATACAACAAAAACAGTGTTTCCAAACTGCTCAGTCAAAAGAAAGGGTTATCTCTGTGATCTGAATGCACACATCAAAAGTAATTTCTCAAAAAAACTTCTTTCTAGTTTTTATCTGAAGATAATTCCTTCTTCACCATAAGTGTCATGCACTCACAAATATCCTTATGCAGATTCTCGAAAAACAGTGCTTCCAAACTAGTCAATTGAAAAAAAGGTTTTACTCTGTGAGACGAATTCACACATCACAAAGCAGTTTCTCATAAAGCTTCTTTATAGTTTTTATCCAAAGATATTTCCTTTTTAGTAAAAGGCTTCAATGCACTCCCAACTATCCCTTTTTGGATTCTACAAAAACAGTGTTTCCAAATTGATCCATCAAAAGAAAGGTTTAACTCTGTCAGATGAATGCACACATCACAAAGTAGTTTCTCAGAAATCTTATTTCTACGTTTATCTGAAGATATTTCTTTTCACCACGGGTGTCAATGTGCTCCCAAATATCCCTTCACAGATTCTACAAAAACAGTGTTTCCAAACTGCTCAATCAAAAGAAACTTTTAAATCTGTGATGAGAATACATGGATCACAAAACTGTTTCACAGAAGGCTATTTGGCAGTATTTAATCTGAAGGTATTTCCTTTTTCCCCATAGGCAACATGGGCTCACAAATATCCTTTCACAGATTCTACAAAAACAGTGGTTCCAAACTGCTGTATCAAAAGAAAGATTTAATTCTGTCAGATGAATGCACACATCACAAAGCAGTTTCTCAGAAAGTTTCTGTCTAGTTCTTTTCTGAAGATACTTCCTTTTCCACCATAGGCCTCAAAGCACTCCCAAATATCCCTTCACAGATTCTACAAAAACAGTGTTTTCAAACTGTTCTATCAAAAGTGGTACTTAACTCTGTAGGATGAACACACACATCAAAAATAAGTTTCTCACAATGCTTCTTTCCAGGTTTTATCTGAAGTTATTTTTTCTTTATCAACATAGGCATATTTGCACTAATTAATATCGCTTCACAGATTATACAAAAACAATGATTCCAAACTGCTCAGTCAAATAAAGGTTTAAACCTGTGAGATGAATACACAGATCACAAAGCAGTTCTCATAGCCTTCATAACTCTGTGATAAGAATGCAGACATCACAAAGTGGTATTTCAAAAGCTTTTTTGTAGTTTTTATCCAAAGACATTTCCATTTTCAACAGAGGCTTTAATGCACTCCCAAATATCCCTTTGCAGATTCCACAAAACAGTGTTTCCAAACTGCTCAATCAAAAGAAATGCTTAACTTTGTGAGATGAATGCACACATCACAAAACTTTCTCACATACCTTCTGTCTAGTTTTTACCCTAAGATATTTCCTTTACAACAATAGGCTTCAATGTGCTCCCAAATATCACATCGCAGGTAGTACTAAAACACTGTTTACGCACTGGTCAATCAAGTGACAGGTTTAAATTGGTGAGTTGAATGCACACAATAAAAAACAGTTTCTCCAAAAGCTTCTTTCTAGTTTTTATCCAAATAATTCATTTTTCACCATAGGCCTCAGGGTGCTCCCAAATATACCTTTACAGATTCTACAAAAACACTATTTCCAAACTGCTCAATCAAAAGAAAATTTAACTATGTGAGAAGAATGCACACATCACAGGGTGGTTTCTTGGAAATCTTCTTTCTAGTTTTCATCTGAAGTTATTTCCTTTTTCACCATAGACCTCAGGCACTCCCTAATATCCCTTCACAGATTCTACAAAAGCAATGTTTCCAAACTGATCAATCAAAGGAAAGATTTAACCAAGTGAGATGAATGCACACATCACAAAGCAGTTTCTCAAAAACCTTTTTCTAATTTTCATCTGAAGATATATGCTTTTTCACCATAGGTTTCTGAGCGTTCCCTAATATCCCTTCGCAGATTCTATAAAAACAGTGTTTTTAAACTGCCCAATCAAAAAACAGTATTATCTCTGTCAGTTGAATGCACACATCACAAAGCAGTTTCTCAAAAACAGTTCTTTCTAGTTTTTATCTGAATATATTCCATTTTTACCCTAGGCCTCATGGCTCTCTCAAATATACCATTGCAGATTCTACAAAAACAGTGTTTCCAAATTGCTCAATCAAAGGAAAGGTTTAACTCTGTGAGATGAACGCACACATCAGAAAGACATTTCTCTTAAAGTTTCTTTCCAGTTTTTATCTGAAGATATTCCTTGTTTACCATAGGCTTGTGTTCACTACCAAATATTGCTTTATAGATTTTGCAAAATCAGTGTTTCCGAACCACTCAGTCAAAAAAAATTTTTAACTCTATGGGTTGAAATCACACAACACAAAGGAATATCTCAGATAGCTTCTGTTTAGTTCTTCTCTGAACATATTTCCTTTTCCACCATAGGCCTCAATGTGCTCCCAAATATCCATTCGCATATTTCACAAAAACAGTGTTTCAAAACTGTTCCATGAAAGGAAGCAGTTGACTCAGAGATGAACGCACACATCACAAAGCAGTTTCTCATATAGGTTCTTTCTACTTTTTATCTGAAGATATTATCTTTTCCACCATAGGCCTCAGTGTGCTCCCAAATATAACTTGCAGATTCTAAAAACCCATTGGTTCCAAATGGATCAATCAAAAGAAAGGTTTAACTCTGTTACATAAATGCAGACATCTCAAAGCAGTTTCTCTAAAAGTTTCCTCCTAGTTTTTATCTGAATATATTTTCTTTTTCACCCTAGGCTTCAAAGATTTCCCAAATATCCCTTTGCAGATACTACAAAACCAGTGTTTCCAAACTGCTCAATCAAAAGAAAGGTTTAACTCTGTGAAACAAATGCACACATCACAAAGAAGATTCTCAGAAAGTTTCTGGTTAGTTCTTCTCTGAAGATATTTCCTTTTCCAAAATAGGCCTCAATTCACTCCAGAAGATCCCTTCACAGATTCTATAAAACAGTGTTTCCAAACTGTTCCACAAAAGAAGGACTTATATCTGTGAGATGAGCACACACATCAGAAAGCAGTTTCTCATAACAGTTCTTTCCAGTTTTTACCTGTACTTATTTTCCTCATCGACATAGGCATTTTTGTGCTACGAAATATGGCTTCACAGATTATACAAAAACAGTGATTCTAAAATGCTCAGTCAAAAGAAAGGTTTAGCTCTGTCAGATGAACACACACAGAACAAAGCTGTTTCTCAAAAAAGTTCTTTCTAGTTTATAACTGAAGATATTTCCTTTTTCACAAAAGTCCTAACTGCGCTTTCCAATATGCCACTGCAAATCATACAAAACCAGGTTTCCAAGCTGCTCAATGAAAAAACAGGTTTAACTCTATGAGTTTAATGCAGACATCACAAAACAGTTTCTCAAAAGGCCTTTTTCTGGTTATTTTCCAAAAATATTTCCTTTTTCAATATAGGCAACACTGAGCTCCCAAATATCCCTTTGCAGATTCTACTTAAACACTGTTTCCAAACTACTCAATCACAAGAAACATTTAACTCTGTGAGTAGAATGCACACATCACAAAGTGGTTTCTCAGAAAGCTTCTTTCTAGTTTTTATCTGAAGTTATTTCCATTTACAACGTTGGACTCATATGCTGCCAAATATTCCTTTGCAGATTCTACAAAAACAGTGTTTCCAAATGGACCAATCAAAAGAAAGGTTTAGCTCTGTGAGATGAATGCAAACATCACAAAGCAGTTTCTCAGAAAGCTTCTTTCTAGTTTTTATCCAAAGATATTTCCTTTTTCACCCCAGGCTTCAATGTGCTCCCAAATATCCCCTCATGCATTCTACAAATGAACAGTGTTT
Source organism: Homo sapiens (assembly GCF_000001405.40). Lineage (NCBI taxonomy): Eukaryota > Metazoa > Chordata > Mammalia > Primates > Hominidae > Homo > Homo sapiens. The sequence goes on from NC_000005.10 coordinate 46,309,530, forward strand.
CCAAACTGCTCAGTGAAAAGAAAGGTTTAACTCTGTGAGTTGATTGCACACATCACAAAGCAGTTTCTAAGAAAGCTTCTGTCTCCTTCTTCTCTGGAGGTATTTCCTTTTCCACCATAGGCCTCAATGCTCTCCCAAATATTCCTTCACATATTCTACAAAAACAGTGTTTCCAAACTGTTCATTCAAAAGGCGGACTTAATTCAGTGAGATGAATGCACACATCAGAAAGCAGTTTCTCACAGCTCTTCTTTCCATTTTTTATCTTAAGATATTTCCTTTTTCACCATAAACTTTTTTGCGCTACAAAATACAGGTTCACAAATTTTGTCAAAATAGTGTCTCCAAACTGTCAGTCAAAAGAAAGGTTTAACTCTGTGAGATGAATGCACACATCACAAAACAGTTTCTCAAAATGGTTCTTTCTATTTTTATCCTAAGATATTCCCTTTTCACCATTGGCCTCTGTCCACTACCAGATGGAACTTCATAGATTAGACAAAAACAGTGTTTCCAAACTGCTCAAGCAAAAGAAAGGTGTAACTCCGCGACCTGAATGTTCACATCAAAATGCAGTTTCTCAGATAGATAGGTTCTGTCTAATTCTTCTCTGAATATATTTCCTTTTCCACCATAGGCCTCAATGTGCTCCAAAATATGCCTTCCAGATTCCATAAAAAGAATGTTTCCAAACTGTACCATTAAAAGAAGGGTTTATCTCTGTGAGATCAATGCACACACAGCAGTTTCTCATAACTCTACTATCTAGTTTTTGTCTGGAGACATTTCCTTTTTCAACATCGGCCTTTTTGTGATACCTAACATCCCTTCACAGAATATACAAAAACAGTGTTTCCAAACTGCTCTGTCAAAAGAAAAGTTTAACTCTGTGTGATTACTTCATACATCACAAAGCAGTTTCTCAAAAAGCTTCCTTGTAGTTTTTATCCAAAGATAGTTCCTTTTTCACCATAGGCTTCAGTGTGCACCAAAATATCCTTTTGCACATTCTACAAAACAGTGTTTCCAAGCTGCTCAATCAATGGAAACTTTTAACTGTTTGAGAAGAAAGCACACATCACAAAGCAGTATTTTAGAAAGCTTTTTTCTAGTTTTTATCTGAAGATATTTTCTTTTTCACCATAGACATCAATGCGCTCCAAAATACCCCATCGCAGAATCCACAGAAATAGTGTTTCCAAAGTGCTCAATCAAAACAAAGGTTTAACTCTGTTGGATAAATGCACATATCAGAAAGCACTTTCTCAGAAAGATTCTTTCTAGGTTTTATCTGTAGATATTTCCTTTCTCACCGTAAGCCTCAATGTGCTCCAAAATAACGATTCGCAGATTCTATGAAAAGGCTGTTTCCAAACGGATCCATCAAAGGAAAGATTTAACACTGTGAAATGAATGCACACATCACAAATCAGTCTCTCAGAAAGCTTCTTTCCAGTTTTTATCAGAAGACATTTCCCTTTTCAAAATATAGGCCTTCTTTGTGCTACATAATATCACTTTGCAGGTTATACAAAAACATTGTTCCCAAACTGCTCAGTCAAAAGAGAAGCTTCACTCTGTCAGATGAATGCAACCATCACAAAGCAGTTTCTCAAAAACTTCTTTCTAGTTTTTATCCACGTATATTTTATTTTTCACTGTAGGCCACAATGCCCTCACAAATATCCCTTTGCAGATTCTACAAAAACAAAGTTTCCAAACTGCTGAATCAAAAGAAAGGTTTAACTCTGTGAGATGAATGCACACATCACAAAGCAGTTTCTCTGAAAGCTTCTATCTAGTTCTTCTCTGAAGATATTTTATTTTTCACCACAGGCTTCAATGCACTCCCAAATATCCCTTTGCAGATTCTACAAAAACAGTGTTTCCAAACTGTTCCAGAGGTAAACCTGTTTGTTTTTTGATTGAGCAGTTTGGACACAGTGTATTTGTGTAACCTGCTTTGGGATATTTGGGAGTGCATTGAGCCTATGGTGATAAAGGATATACACATGGATAAAAACTAGAAAGAAGCTTGTAGATAAACTGCTTTGTGACGTGCGCATTCATCCCACAGAGTTAAACCTTTCTTTTGATAGAGCAGTTCGTACTCACTGTTTTTGTAGAGTCTGCAAAGGTATATTTGGGAGCGCATTGAACCCAATGGCGAAAAAGGAAATATCTTCAGATAAAAACAGATAAGAAGCTTTCTGTGAAACAGCTTTATGATGTGTGCATTCATCTCAGAGAATAAAAGCTTTTTTTTATTGAGCAGTTTGTAAACACTGTTGTTGTAAAATCTCTGTAAGGATACATGGGAGCGGATTGAGACTTATGGTGGAAAAGGAAATATCTTCTGATAAAAACTAGAAAGAAGCATTCTGAGAGACTGCTTTGTGACACGTTCACTCACTTCACTGAGTTAAAACTTTCATTTGATTGAGAAGTTTGGAAACATTGCTTTTGTAGAATTGCCATGACATTTCTGAGTGCTGGGAAACTTTTGAGAGCATTGAGGCCAATGTTGAAATAGGAAATATATTCAGATAAAAACTAGAGAGAAGCTTTCTGAGAAACTCTTTTGTGATGTGTGAATTCTTCTCACACATTTAAAACTTTCGTTTGATTCAGCAGTTTGGAAACACTGTTTTTGTAGAATCTGCAATGGTATATTTTGGAGTGCATTGAGGCCTACTGTGGAAAAGGAAATATTTTCAGAGAAGACGTAGATAGAAGCTATCTGAGAAACTGCTTTGTGATGTGTGCATTCATCTCAGAGTTAAACCATTCTTTTGATTGAGCAGCTTGGAAACACAGTTTTGTAGAATCTTCCAAGGGATATTTTGGAACTCACGTGGCCTATGGTGAAAAAGGAAATAACTTCAGATAACAACTATAAGGAACCATTCTGAGGAACTGCTGTGTGATGTGTGCATTGTCCTCACTCAGTCAAATTGTTCTTTCATTTGAGCACTTGGAAACACTGTTTTGGTAGAAATTGTGAAGGGATATTTGGGAGCACACCGATGCCTATGATGAAAAAGGAAATAACTTTGGATAAAAACTACAAGAACCTTTCTGAGAAACTGCTTTGTGATGTAGGCATTCATCTCAGAGAGTTAAATTTTTCTTTTGGATGAGCAGTTTGGAAACACTCTTTTTGCATAATCTGCAAAGTGATATTAGGTAGCACAAAGAGGCCAGTGGTGAAAAAGGAAATATCTTCAGAAAAAATTGGAAATAAGCGTTATGAGAAACTGCTTTCTGATGTGTGCATTCGTCTGACAGAGTTAAGTCCTTCCTTTGATGGAACTCTTTGGAAACACTGATTTTATATAATCTGTGAAGCAATATTTTGTACAGCAAAAAGGCCTGTGGAGAACAAGGAAATTTCTTCAGATACAAAATGGAAGGAAGCTTTATGAGAAACTGATTTCTGATGTGTGTGTTCATCTAACAGAGTTAAAGCCTTCTTTTGATGGAACAGTTTGGAAACACAGTTTTTATAGAATCTGTGACGGGATATTTGGGAGAGCTTTGAGGCCTATGGTGGAAAAAGAAATATATTCAGGGAAGAACTAGACAGAAGCTATCTGAGAAACTTATTTGTGACATGTGCGTGTATCCCACAGAGTTAAACCTGTCTTTTGATTGAGCAGTTTGGACAAACAATTTTGTAGTATCTGCAAAGGTATATTTGGGAGCGCATTGTAGCCTCTGTTGAAAAAGGAAATACCTTTGGATAAAAACTAGAAAGAATGTTTTTGAGAAACTGATTGATACATGATGTGTGCATTCATCTCACAGAGTTAAACTTTTCCTTTGATAGAGCAGTTTGGAAATTCTGTTTTTGAATAATGTGCAAAACGATGATAAGTAGCTCAAAAAGGCCTACGGTGAACAAGGAAATACATTCAGATAAAAACTTTGAAAAAACTTTAGAAGAATATATAACTAAAATAACCAATAAAGAGAAGTGCTTAAAGGAGCTGATGGAGCTGAAAACCAAGGCTCAATAAGTACGTGAAGAATGCAGAAGCCTCAGGAGCCAATGCGATCAACTGGAAGAAAGGGTATCAGCAATGGAAGATGAAATGAATGAAATGAGGCGAGAAGGGAAGTTTAGAGAAAAAAGAATAAAAAGAAATGAGCAAAGCCTCCAAGAAATATGGGACTATGTGAAAAGACCAAATCTACGTCTGATTGGTGTACTTGAAAGTGATGGGGAGAATGGAACCAAGTTGGAAAACATGCCGCAGGATACTATCCAGGAGAACTTCTCCAATCTAGCAAGGCAGGCCAACATTCAGATTCAGGAAATACAGAGAACGACACAAAGATACTCCTCGAGAAGAGCAACTCCAAGACACAGAATTGTCAGATTCACCAAAGTTGAAATGAAGGAAAAAATGTTAAGGGCAGCCAGAGAGAAATGTCGGGTTACCCTCAAAGGGAAGCCCATCAGACTAACAGCGGATCTCTTGGCAGAAACCCTACAAACCAGAAGAGAGTAGGGTTCAATATTCAACATTCTTAAAGAAAAGAATTTTCAACCCACAATTTCATAGCCAGCCAAACTAAGCTTCATAAGTGAAGGAGAAATAAAATACTTTACAGACAAGCAAATGCTGAGAGAATTGTCACCACCAGGCCTGCCCTAAATGAGCTCCTTAAGGAAGCACTAAATATGGAAGGGGAAAACCGGTACCAGTCACTGCAAAGTCATGGCAAAATGTAAAGACCATCGAGACTAGGAAGAAACTGCATCAACTAATGAGCAAAATAACCAGCTAACATCATAATGACACGATCAGATTCACACATAACAATATTACCTTTAAATGTAAATGGGCTAAATGCTCCAATTAAAAGACGCAGACTGGCAAAATGGATAAAGAGTCAAGACCCATCAGTGTGCTGTATTCAGGAAACCCATCTCACATGCAGAGACACACATAGGCTCAAAATAAAAGGATGGAGGAAGATCTACCAAGCAAATAGAAAACAAAAAAAGGCAGGGGTTGCAATCCTAGTCTGTGATAAAACAGACTTTAAACTAACAAATATCAAAAGAGACAAAGAAGGCCATTACATAATGGTAAAGGGATCAATTCAACAAGAAGAGCTAACTATCCTAAATATATATGCACACAATACAGGAGCACCCAGATTCATAAAGCAAGTCCTGAGTGACCTACAGAGAGACTTCGACTCCCACGCATTAATAATGGGAGACTTTAACACCCCACTGTCAACATTAGACAGATCAAAGAGACAGAAAGTCAACAAGGATACCCAGGAATTGAACTCAGCTCCGCACCAAGCGGACTTAATAGACATCTACAGAATTCTCCACCCCAAATCAACAGAATATACATTTTTTTCAGCACCACACCACACCTATTCCAAAATTGACCACATACTTGGAAGTAAAGCTCTCCTCAGCAAATGTAAAAGAACAGAAATTATAACAAACTATCTCTCAGACCACAGTGCAATCAAACTAGAACTCAGGATTAACAATCTCACTCAAAACCGCTCAAATACATGGAAACTGAACAACGTGCTCCTGAATGACTACTGGTTACATAATGAAATGAAGGCAGAAATAAAGATGTTCTTTGAAACCAATGAGAACAAAAGCACAACATACCAGAATCTCTGGGACGCATTCAAAGCAGTGTGTAGAGGGAAATTTATAGCACTAAATGCCCACAAGAGAAAGCAGGAAAGATCCAAAATTGACACCCTAACATCACAATTAAAAGAACTAGAAAAGCAAGAGCACACACATTCAAAAGCTAGCAGAAGGCAAGAAATAACTAAAATCAGAGCAGAACTGAAGGAAATAGAGACACAAAAAACCCTTCAAAAAAATTAGTGAATCCAGGAACTGGTTTTTTGAAAGGATCAACAAAATTGATATACTGCTAGCAAGACTAATAAAGAAAAAAAGAGAGAAGAATCAAATAGACACAATAAAAAATGATAAAGGGGATATCACCACCGATCCCACAGAAATACAAACTACCATCAGAGAATACTACAAACACCTCTACACAAATAAACTAGAAAATCTAGAAGAAATGGATAAATTCCTCGACACATACACTTTCCCAAGACTAAACGAGGAAGAAGTTGAATCTCTGAATAGACCAGTAACAGGATCTGAAATTGTGGCAATAATCAATAGCTTACCAACGAAAAAGAGTCCAGGACCAAATGGATTCACAGCCGAATTCTACCAGAGGTACAAGGAGGAACTGGTACCATTCCTTCTGAAACTACTCCAATCAATAGAAAAAGAGGGAATCCTCCCTAACTCATTTTATGAGGCCAGCATCATTCTGATACCAAAGCCAGGCAGAGATACAACCAAAAAAGAGAATTTTAGACCAATATCCTTGATGAACATTGATGCAAAAATGCTCAATAAAATACTGGCAAACTGAATCCAGCAGCACATCAAAAAGCTTATCCACCATGATCAAGTGGGCTTCATCCCTGGGATGCAAGTCTGGTTCAATATTCACAAATCAAGAAATGTAATCCAGCATATAAACAGAGCCAAAGACAAAAACCACATGATTATCTCAATAGATGTAGAAAAAGCCTTTGAAAAAATTCAACAACCTTCATGCTAAAAAGTCTCAAAAAAATTAGGTATTGATGGGACGTATTTCCAAATAATAAGAGCTATCTATGACAAACCCACAGCCAATATCATACTGAATGGGCAAAAACTGGAAGCATTCCCTTTGAAAAGTGGCACAAGACAGGGATGCCCTCTCTCACCACTCCTATTCAACATAGTGTTGGAAGTTCTGTCCAGGGCAATCAGGCAGGAGAAGGAAATAAAAGGTATTCCATTAGGAAAAGAGGAAGTCAAGTTGTCTCTGTTTGCAGACGCCATGATTGTATATCTAGAAAACCCCATTGTCTCAGCCCAAAATCTCCTTAAACTGATAAGCAACTTCAGCAAAGTCTCAGGATACAAAATCAATGTACAAAAATCACAAGCATTCTTATACACCAATAACAGAAAAACAGAGAGCCAAATCATGAGTGAACTCCCATTCACAATTCCTTCAAAGAGAATAAAATACCTAGGAATCCAACTTACAAGGGATGTGAAAGACCTCTTCAAGGAGAACTACAAACCACTGCTCAAGCAAATAAAAGAGGATACAAACAAATGGAAGAACATTCCATGCTCATGGGTAGGAAGAATCAATATCATGAAAATGGCCATACTGCCCAAGGTAATTTACAGATTCAATGCCATCCCCATCAAGCTACCAATGCCTTTCTTCACAGAATTGGAAAAAACTACTTTAAAGTTCATATGGAACCAAAAAAGAGCCCTCATCGCCAAATCAATCCTAAGCCAAAAGAACAAAGCTGGAGGCATCACACTACCTGACTTCAAACTATACTACAAGGCTACAGTAACCAAAACAGCATGGTCCTGGTACCAAAACAGAGATATAGATCAATGGAACAGAACAGAGCCCTCAGAAATAACACCGCATATCTACAACTATCTGATCTTTGACAAACCTGAGAAAAACAAGCAATGGGGAAAGGATTCCCTATTTAATAAATGGTGCTGGGAAAACTGGCTAGCCATATGTTGAAAGCTGAAACTGGATCCCTTCCTTACACCTTATACAAAAATCAATTCAAGATGGATTAAATACTTAAACGTTAGACCTAAAACCATAAAAACCCTGGTAGAGAACCTAGGCATTACCATTCAGGCCATAGGCATGGGCAAGGACTTCATGTCTAAAACACCAAAAGCAATGGCAACAAAAGCCAAAATTGACAAATGGGATCTAATTAAACTAAAGAGCTTCTGCACAGCAAAAGAAACTACCATCAGATTGAACAGGCAACCTACAAAATGGGAGAAATTTTCGCAACCTACTCATCTGACAAAGGGCTAATATCCAGAATCTACAATGAACTCAAACAAATTTACAAGAAAAAAACAAACAACCCCATCAAAGAGTGGGCGAAAGACATGAACAGACACTTCTCAAAAGAAGACATTTATGCAGCCAACAGACACATGAAAAAATGCTCATCATCACTGGCCATCAGAGAAATGCAAGTCAAAACCACAATGAGATACCATCTCACACCAGTTAGAATGGCAATCATTAAAAAGTCAGGAAACAACAGGTGCTGGAGAGGATGTGGAGAAATAGGAACACTTTTACACCGTTGGTGGGACTGTAAACTAGTTCAAGCATTGTGGAAGTCAGTGTGGTGATTCCTCAGGGATCTAGAACTGGAAATACCATTTGACCCAGCCATCCTATTACTGGGTATATACCCAAAGGACTATAAATCATGCTGCTATAAAGACACATACACATGTATGTTTATTGCGGCATTATTCACAATAGCAAAGACTTGGAACCAACCCAAATGTCCAACAATGATAGACTGGATTAAGAAAATGTGGCACATATACACCATGGAATACTATGCAGCCATAAAAAATGATGAGTTCATGTCCTTTGTAGGGACATGGATGAAATTGGAAATCATCATTCTCAGTAAACTATCACAAGAACAAAAAACCAAACACCGCATATTCTCACTCATAGGTGGGAATTGAACAATGAGAACACATGGACACAGGAAGGGGAATATCACACTCTGGGGACTGTTGTGGGGTTGGGAGAGGGGGAGGGATAGCATTGGGAGATATACCTAATGCTAGATGACGAGTTAGTGGGTGCAGCACACCAGCATGGCACATGTATACATATGTAAGTAACCTGCACAATGTGCACATGTACCCTAATACTTAAAGTATAATAAAGAAAAAAAAATTTCCTGCTAGTTTTTATCCGAAGGTATTACCTTTTTCATGAAAGGCCTCACTGCACACCCAATTTTGCCTTTGCAGATTCTACAAAAAGAATGTTCCCAAACTGCTCAACCAATAAGGAGGTTTAACTCTAGAAGAAGAATGCGCACATGTCAGAGCAGTTTCTCAGAAAGCTTCTTTCTAGCTTTTATCAGAAGATATTTGCTTTGTCAGCAGAGGACTCATTGTGCTCAAAAATATATCTGCACTCACAAATATCCCTTTGCAGATTCTACAAAAACAGCATTTCCAAAGTGATCAATCAAAAGAAAGTTTTAACTCTTTCTATTTTCTATGTGAATATAATTCCTTTTGCCCTGTAGTCTTCAATGTGCTCCCAAATATCCCTTTACAGATTCTACAAAAACAGCATTTCCAAACTGCTCAGTGAAAAGAAAGTTGTAACTCTGTAAGAAGAATACACATATCACAAAGCAATTTCTCAGAAAGCTTCTGTATAGTTATTCTCTGAAGATATTTCCTATTCCACATTAGGCCTCAATGCGCTGCCAAATATCCTTTTGCAGTTTCTACAGAAACAGTGTTTGCAAACTGTTCCATCAATACAAGGACTTAAATCTGTGGGATGAATGCACATATCAGAAAGCAGTTTCTCATGAGGTTTCTTTCCAATTTTTATCTCTAGATATTTCCTTGTTCACTATAGGCTTTTTGAGCTACCAAATATTTCTTCGCAGAATTTGCAAAAACAGTGTTCCCAAATTCCTCAGTCAAAAGAAAGGTATAACACTTTGAGATGAATGCACACATCACAAAACAGTTGCTCAAAAATCTTCTTTCTAGTTTTTATCTGAAGATATTTTCGTTTTCACCATTGGCTTCAATGTGTTCCCAAATATCCCATCGCAGATTCTACATAAACAGTGTTTCCAAACGGATAAATCAAAAGAAAGCTTTAACTGTGATATGAATGCACACATCACAAAGTACTCTCTCAAAAAAATTCTGTCTAGTTTTTATCTGAAAATATTTCCTTTTCAACTCTAGGCCTCAATTCTCTCCCAGATGTCCCTTTCCAGATTCTACAAAAACAGTGTTTCCAAACTGCTCAGTGAAAGGAAAGCTTTAACTCCATGAGATGAATGCAAATATCACAAAAAATTTCCCCAGAGGGCTTCTTTCTACTTCTTCTCTGATGATACATCCTTTTTCACCATAGGCCTCAATGCACTCCCAAATATTCCTTGGCAGATTCTACAAAAAGAGTGTTTCCAAAATTCTCAATCAACAGAAAGGTTTAACTCTGTGAGTTGAGTGCACACATCCCATAGCAGTTTCTCAAAAAGCTTCTTTGTAGTTTTTATGTGAAGATATTTCCTTTTTCACCATGTGAAATATGTGAAGATATTTCCTTTTAGGCACTGAAAAATATACCTTAGAAGATTCTACAAAAAGATTGTTTCCAAACTGTTCCATCAAAAGAAGGACTTAACTCTGTGAGACGAATGCAGAAATAAGAAAGCAGTTTCTCATAACTCTTCTTTCCAGTTTTATCTGAAGGTATTTCCTTCTTCACCATGGGCTTTTTTGTGCTACCTAACATCGCTTCCCAGATTTTGTCAAAACAGTGTTTCCAAACTGCTCAAAAGAAAGGTTTAAGTCTGCTCAAAAGAAAAGGTTTACCTCCGTGAGATGAATGCACACATCACAAAGCTGTTTCTCTGAAATATTCATTCTCATTTTTTATTGGAGATATTTCCTTTTTCAACGTAGGCTTCAATGTGCTCCCAAATATCCCTATGCAAATTCTATAAATACAGAGTTTATGAAGTGTTCCATCAAAAGAAGGATTTAACTTTGTGAGATGCACACTTTCCAGTGAGAATGCAGAATTTCCAGTTTTTATCTGAAACTATTGCCTTGTTCACCACAGGCCATTTTGTGCTACCTGGGATCACTTTGCAGGTTATACAAAAACAATGTTTCCAAACTGCTCAGTCAAAAGAAAAGTTTAACTTTGTGAGAGGAAGGCAAACATCTCAAAGCAGTTTCTCAAAAAGCCTTTTTCTTCTTTTTCTCTGAAGAAGATATTTCCCTTTTCACCATAGGCCTCAGTGCACTCCCAAATATCCCCTTGCATATTCTACAAAACCAGTGTTTCCAAACAGCTCAATCAAAAGAAACATTTAACACTGTGAGAAGAATGCACACATCACAAAGCGGTTTCTCAGAAAGCTGCTTTCTAATTTTAACCTATGGTTATTTCCTTTTTCATGTTAGGCCAGGTACATTCCCAAATATCACTTTGCAGATTCTACAAAAACAGGGTTTCCAAACTGATCAACCAAAAGAAAGGTTTACCTCTGTGAGGGAAATGCACACATCACAAAGCAGTTTCTTAAAAAGCTTCCTTCTAGTTTTTATCTGTACCTATTTCCTTTTTCATCATAGGCTTCAATGCACTCCCAAATATCCCTTCGTAGATTCTACAAATACAGTGTTATCAAACTGCTCAATCAAAAGAAAGATTTAATTCTGTGAGACGAAGGCACTTTTCAGAAGGCAGTGTCTCAGAAAGCTTCTGCCTACTTCTTCTTTGAAGATATTTCCCTTTCCAACATAGGGCTCAATGCACTCCCAAATATCACTTCACAGTTGCTACAAAAGCAGTTTTTCCAAACTGTTCCCTCAAAAGAAGGACTTATCTCTATGAGACGATTGCAGATATCAAAAAGCAGTTTCTCATAACGCTTCTTTCCCATTTTTATCTGAATATATTTCCTTGTTCACCATAGGCCTTTTGCACTACCTAATCTCACTTGGCAGATTACAGAAAAACAGTGTTTCCAAACTGCTCAGTCAAAAGAAAGCTTTAACTCTGTGAGATGAATGCATCCATGCTTCAGCAGTTTCTCAAAGAGCTTCTTTCAACTTCTAATCCAAAGATATTTCCTTTTTCACCAAGGCATCAGTGCACTCCAAAATATCCCTTTGAAGATTCTATATAAAGAGTGTTTCCAAACTGCTCAACCAAAGACCTGTTTAACTCTCTGAGAAGAATGCACACATCACTATCCAGCTTCTCAGAAAGGATCCTTCTGGTTTTTTGCTGAAGTTATTTCCTTTTTCAATATAGGCCCCTTGTGCTCCCAAATATCCCTTTGAAGATTCTTGTAAAACAGTGTTCCCAAACTAATCAATCAAAAGAATGCACACATCATAAAGAAGTTTCTCAGAATGCTTCTGTGTAGATTTCATATGAAGATATTTGCTTTTCCACTGCAGTCCTCAAAGTGCTCCAAAGAGCCATTTGCAGATTTAGAAAAACAGTGTTTTGAAACTGCTCAATCAAAAGAAAGTTTCAACTATGTGAGATGAATGCACACATCACAAAGAAGTTTCTCAGAATGCTTCTTTGTAGTTTTTATGTGAAGATATTCCTTTTCCACAATATACCTCAAAGTGCTCCAAATATCCACTTGCAGATTGTACAAAAAGAGTGTTTCAAAACTGTTCAGTCATGAGATAGCTTCAACTCTATGAGTTGAATGCACACATCATGAAGAAGTTTCTCAGAATCCTTCTGTGTAGTTTTTATTTGAAGACATTTCCTTTTCCACCACAGGCCACAAAGGGCTCCAAATAACAACTTGCAGATTCTAAAAAAAGGGAGATTCAGACTGCTCAATAAAAAGATATGTTCCACTCTGTGAGTTGAATGTACACATCACAAAGAATTCCTCAGAATGCTTCTGTGTAGTTTTTATGTGAGGATATTTCCATTTCAACCATAGGCCTCAAAGTGCTCCAAATATCCACTTGCACATTCTACAAAAAGAGTGTTTCAAAACAGCTCAATCAAAAGATAGGCTCAACTCTGTGAGATGAATGGACACATCACAAAGAAGTTTCTCAGAATGCTTCTGGTGCAGTTTTTATGTGAAGACATTTCCTTTTCCACAATAGGCATCAAAGCCCTCCAAATATCTACTAGAAGATTCCACAAAAAGAGTGTTTCCAAACTGCTCAATCAAAAGAAAAGTTCAACTCTGTGAGATGAATGCACACATCACAAAGAAGATTCTAAGAAAGTTTCTGTATAGTTTTTATGTGAAGATATTTCCTTTTCCACCATAGTCCACAAACAGCACCAAATATCCAGTTGCAGATTCTACAAAAAGAGAGATTCAAAACTGCTCAATCAAAAGATAGGTTCAACTCTGTGAGTTCAATGCACACATCACAAAGAAGTTTTTCAGAATGCTTCTGTTTAGTTTTTATGTGAGGATATTTCCTTTTCCACCATAGACCTCAAACGCCCCAAATATTCACTTGCAGACTCTGCAACGAATGTTTCCAAACTTCTCAAACAAAAGAAAGGTTCAAATCTGTCAGATGAATGCACACTCGAAAAGAAGTTTCTCAAAATGCTTCTGTGTAGTTTTCATGTGAAGATATTTCCTTTTCCACGACAGGCCTCAAAGCGCTCCAAATATCCATTTGCAGATTCTACAAAAAGAGTGGTTCAAAACGGCTCAATCATAAGATAAGTTCAACTCTGAGAGTTGAATTCACACAACACAAAGAAGTTTCTCAGAATGCTTCTGTGTAGTTTTTATGTGAAGATATTTCCTTTTCCACCATAGGCCGCAAAGGGCTCCAAATATCCACTTGCAGAACCTACAAAATGAGAGATTCAAAACTGCTGAATCAAAAGAAATGTTCAACCCTGCAAGATGAATGCACACATAGCAAAGAAGTTTCTCAGAATGCTTCTGTGTATATTTTACGGGAAGATATTTGCTTTTCCACTGTACACCTAAAAGCACTCAAAATATTCACTTGCATATTATACAAAAAGAGACGTCCAAAACAGCTCAATCAAAAGAAAGTTTCAACCCTGTGAGATGAATGCACACATCACAAAGAATTTTGTCAGAATATTTCTATGTAGTTTTTATGTGAAGTTATTTCCTTTTCCACATCAGGCCTCAAAGCGCTCCAAATAGCCAATTGCAGATTATACGAAAACAGTGTTTCAAAACTACGCAATCAAAAGAAAGGTTCAACTCTGTGAGATGAATGCACACATCACAAAGAAGTTTCTCATAATGCTTCTGTGTAGTTTTTATGTGAAGATATTTCCTTTTCCACGATAGGCATCAAAGTGCTCCAAATATCCACTTGCAGATTCTACAGAAAGAGTGGTTCAAAACTGCTCAATCATAAGATAGGTTCAACTCTGTGAGTTGAATGCACACATCACAAAGAAGTTTTTCAGAATACTTCTGTGTACTTTTTATGTGACGATATTTCCTTTTCCACCATAGGCCACAAAGGGCTCCAAATATCCACTTGCAGATGGTACAAAAAGAGAGATTCAAAAGTACTCAATCAAAAGATAGGTTCCACTCTGTGAGATGAATGCACACATCACAAAGAACTTTCTCAGAATGCTTCTGTGCAGATTTTATGTGAAGATATTTGCTTTTCCACTGTACACCACAAAGCACTCCAAATATCCATTTGCAGATTCTACAAAAAGAGGGTATTAAAACTGCTCAATCAAAAGAAACGTTCAACTATGTGAGAGGAGGCACACATCACAAAGAAGAGTCTCAGAATTCTTCTGTGTAGTTTTTATGTGAAGATATTTTCCTTTCCACCAAAGGACACAAAAGGCTCCTAATACCCACTTCCAGATTCTACAAAAAGAGTCTCACAACTGCTCAATCAAAAGATAGGTTCAACTCTGTGAGTTGAATGCACACATCACAAAGAAGTTTCTCAGAATGCTACTGTGTAGTTTTTATGTGAAGATATTTCCTTTTCCACAATAGGCCGCAAAGCGCTCCAATTATCCACTTGCAGATTCTACAAAAAGGGTGCTTCAAAAATGCTTAATGAAAAGAAAGTTTCAACTCTGTGAGATGAATGCACACATCGAAAAGAAGTTTCTCAGAATTCTTCTGTGTATTTTTTATGTGAAGATATTTCCTTTACCTCCATAGGCCACAAACAGCTCCTAATAGCCATTACCAGATTCTACAAAAAGAGAGTTTCAAAACTGCTCAATCAAAAGCTAGTTTCAACGCTGTGAGTTCAATGCCCAAATAACAAAGAGGTTTCTCAGAATGCTTCTGTGTAGTTTTTTGTTCAGATATTTCGTTTTCCACCTTAGACTTCAAAGCACTCCAAATATCCACTTGCAGATCCTACAAAAAGAGTGTTTCAAAACTGCTCAATCAAAAGGAAAGTTCAACTCTGTGAGATGAATGCACACATCACAAAGAAGTTTCTCAGAATTCTTCTGTGTAGTTTTTAGGTGAAGATATTTCCTTTTCCATCATAGGCTGCAAAGGGCTCCAAATATCCACTAGCAGATTCTACAAAAAGAGATGTTCAAAACTGCTTAATTAGAAAATAGGTTCAACTCTGTGAGTTGAATGCACACATCACAAAGAAGTTTCTCAGAATGCTTCTTTGTATTTTTCATTTGAAGATATTTCCTTTTCTGCCATAAGCCTCAAAGCGCTCCAAATATCCACCTGCAGATTCTAGAAAAAGAGTGTTACCAAACTGCTCAATGAAAAGAAAGGTTCGACTATGGCAGATGAATTCACACATCACAAAGAAGTTTCTCAGAAAGCTTCTGTGTAGTTTTTATGTGAAGATATTTCCTTTTCCATCATAGGCCGCTAGGGGCTCCAAATATCCAATTGCAGGCTCTACAAATAATAGAGAGATTCAAGACTTCTCAATCAAAAGAAACGTTCAGTTCTGTGAGTTGAATGCATACATCACAAAAATTTTCTCAGAATATTTCTGTGTAGTTTTTATGTGAAGATATTTCCTTTTCCACAACAGATCTCAAAGAGCTCCAAATATCCACTTGAAGATTCTACAAAAAGTGTGTTTCCAAACTGCCCAATCAAAAGAAAAGTTCAACTCTGTGAGGTGAATGCACACATCACAAAGAAGTTTCTCAGAATGCTTCTGTGTAGTTTTTATGTGAAGATATTTCATATTCCACCATAAACCTCAGATCTCTCCAATTATCCACATGCAGATACTGCAAAAAGAGAGACTCAAAACTGCTCAATCAAAAGGTATGTTCAACTCTGTGTGTTGAATGCACACATCCCAAAGGAGTTTCTCAGAATGCTTCTGTGTAGTTTTTATGTGAAGATATTTGCTTTCCAAAATAGGCCTCAAAACGCTCAACATACCCACTTGCAGATTCTACAAAAACAGAGATTCAAAACTGCTCAATCAAAACATAAGTTCAACACAGTGAGCTGAATGCAATCATCACAAAGAAGTTTCTCAGAATGCTTCTGTGTAGTTTTTATTTGAAGATATTTCCTTTTCCACCATAGACCGCAAAGGGATACAAATATCCACTTGCATATTCTACAAAAAGAGAGATTCAAAACTGCTCAATCAAAAGATAGTTTCAACTCTGTGAGGTGAATGCATACATCACAAAGAAGTTTCTCAAAATGCTTCTGTGTACTTTTTATTTGAAGATTTTTCCTTTTCCACAAAAAGCAGACAAGGGCTCCAAATATCAACCTGCAGATTCTACAAAAAGAGATTCAAAACTGCTCAATCAAAACACAGGTTCAACTCTGAGTTGATTGCACACATCACAAAGAGGTTTCTCAGAATGCTTCTGTGTAGTTTTTGTCTGAAGATATTTCCCTTTACACCACAGGCAGCTGTGGACTCCAAATATCCACTTGCAGATTCTACAAAAAGTTAGATTCAAAACTGCTCAATGAAAAGATAGGTTGAACTCTGTGAGTCGAATGCACACATCACAGAGAAGTTTCTGAGAATGCTTCTGTGTATTTTTTATGTGAAGATATTTCCTTTTCCACGATAGGCCTCAGATCGCTCCAAATATCCACATGCAGATACTGCAAAAAGAGAGATTCAAAACTGCTCAATCAAAAGATAGGTTCAATTCTGTGAGTTGAATGCACACATAACAAAGAAGTTTCTCGGAAAGCTTCTGTGTAGTTTTTATGTGAAGATATTTCCTTTTCCACAATAGGCCTCAAAGCAATCCAAATATACACTTGCAGATTCTACAAAAAGAGAGATTCAAAATTGCTCAATGAAAAAATAGGTTCAACTCTGTGAGTTGAATGCCCATATAAAAAAGAAGTTTCTCAGAATGCTTCAGTGTAGTTTTTATTTGAAGATATTTCCTTTTCCACCATAGGCCGCAAAGGGCTGCAAATATCCACTTGCAGATTGTATAAAAAGAGAGATTCAAAACTGCTCAGTCAAAAGATAGGTTCAACTCTGTGAGTTGAATTTACTCATATAAAAGTAGTTCCTCAGAATATTTCTGTGTAGCTTTTATGTGAAGATATTTCCTTTTCCACCATAGGCCTCAATGTGCTCCAAATATCCACTTGCAGTTTCCACAAAAAAAGTGTTTCAAAACTTCTCTATCAAAAGAAAGGTTCAACTCTGTGAGTTGAATGCCCACATCACAAAGTATTTTCTCAGAATGCTTCTGGGTAGTTTTTATTTGAAGATATATCCTTTTCCACCATAGGTAGCCAAGGGCTCCAACTATCCACTTGCAGATCCTATAAAAAGAGAGATACAAAACTGCTCAATCAAAAGATAGGTTCAACTCTGTGAGGTGAATGCACACATCCTGAAGAACTTTCTCAGAATGCTTCTGTGTAGTTGTTATGAGAAGATATTTCCTGTTCCACAATAGTCCTCAGATCGCTCCAAATATCCACATGCGGACACCGCAAAAAAAGAGATTCAAAACTGCTAAATCAAAAGATAGGTTCAACTCTGCTAGATGAATGCACACATAACAAAGAAGTTTCTCAGAATACTTCTGTGTAGTTTTTAGGTGAAGAGATTCCCTTTTCCACAAAGGCCTCAGAACGCTCCCAATATCCACTTACAGATTCTACAAAAACAGTGTTTTAAAACTGCTCAATCAAAACATAACTTCAAGTTTGTGAGTCGAATGCACACATAACAAAGAATTTTCTCAGAATGCTTCGGTGTAGTTTTTATTTGAAGATATTTCCTTTTCCAACATAGGCCACAAAGGACTCCAAATATCCACTTGCAGATTCTACAAAAAGAGAGATTCAAAACTGCTCAATCAAAAGATAGGTTCAAATCTGTGAGTTGAATGCACACATCCGAAAGAAGTTTCTCAGAATGCTTCTGCATAGTTTTTATGTGAATCTGTGTAGTTTTAATGTGGAGATATTTCCTTTTCCAAAATATGCCTCAAAGCCCTCCAAATAACCCTTTGCAGATTCTAAAAAGCAGTGTTTCAAAACTGCTCAATCAAAAGAAAGGACCAACTCTGTGAGATGAGTGCACTCATCACAAAGAAGTTTCTCAGAATGCTTCTGTGTAGTTTTTCTGTGAAGATATTTCCTTTTCCACAATAGGCCTCATAGTGCTCCAAATATCCACTTGCAGATTCTACAAAAAGAGAGATTCAAAACTGCTTAATCAAAACACAGGTTCAACTGTGTGTGTTGAATGCACACATCACAAAAAGTTTCTCAGAATGCTTCTGTGTAGTTTTTATTGGAAGATATTTCCTTTTCCACCACAAGCAGCCAAGGGCTTCAAATATACACTTGCAGATTCTACAAAAAGAGAGATTCAAAACTGAACAATCAAAACATAGGTTCAGCTCAGTGAGTTGAATGCACACATTACAAAGAAGTTACTCAGAATGCTTCTGTTTAGTTTTTATTTAAAGATATATCCTTTTCCACCATAGACAGCCAAGGGCTCCAAATATCCACTTCCAGATCCTACAAAAAGAGAGATACAATACTGCTCAATCAAAAGATAGGTTCAACACTGTGAGATGAATGCACATATCCTAAAGGAGTTTCTCAAAATGATTCTGCGCAGTTTTTTGAGAAGATATTTCCTTTTCCACAAAAGGCCTCGGATCGCTCCAAATAGCCACATGCAGATACTGCAAAAAGAGACATTCAAACTACTAAATAAAAAGATAGGTTCACCTCTGGGAACTGAATGCACACATCTCAAAGAAGTTTCTCTGAATGCTTCTGGGTAGTTTTTATGTGAAGATATTTCCTTTTCCAACATAGGCCTCAAAGTGTTCCAAATATGCTCTTGCAGATTTTACAGAAAGAGTGTTTCAAACTGCTCTAATGAAAGAAAGGTTCAACACTGTGAGTTGAATACACACCTCACAAAGAAGTTCCTCAGAATGCTTCTGTCTAGTTTTTATGTGAAGACATTTCCTTTTACACCACAGGCCTCAAAGGAAACAAACTATCCAACAGCAGATTCTACAAAAAGAGTGTCTCAAATCTGCTCTATCAAAAGAAAAGATCGTCTCAGCGAGATAAATGCACACATCATGAAGAAATTTCTGAGAATGCTTCTGTTTAGTTTTTATGTGAAGATATTTCCTTTTCCACAATAGACCTCAAAGCACTAAAAATATCCGCTTGAAGATTCCACAAAAAGAGTGTTATAAATCTACTCTATCAAAAGAAAGGTTCAACTCAGTGAGTTGAATGAACACATCACAAAGAAGTTTCTGAAAATGCTTCTGCCTTTTTTTATGTGAAGATATTTCCTTTTCCACCATAGGCATCAAAGCCTTCTAAATATTGACTTGCAAATTCTACAAAAAGTGTGTTTCAAAACTGCTCTATCAAAAGCAAGGTTCAACTCTGTGAGTTGAATGCACACATCACAAAGAAGTTTCTGAGAATGCTTCTGTCTAGTTTTTGGGTGAAGATACTTCGTTTTCCACCATAGGCCTCAAAGGGAACAAAATATCCACTTGCAGATTCTACAGAAAGAGTGTTTCAAAACTGCTCTATCAAAAGCAAGGTTCAACTCTGTGAGTTGAATGCACACATCACAAAGAAGTTTTGGAGAATGCTTCTGTCTAGTTTTTATGCGAAGATATTTCCTTTTCACAATAGGCCTCAAAGTGCTCCAAATACCCACTTGCAAATTCTACAAAAAGAGTGTCTCAGAACTGCTCTATCAGAAGAAAGGTTGAACTCTGTGAGTTGAATGCACACATCACAAAGAAGTTTCTGAGAACTCTTCTGTCTAGTGTTTATGTGAAGATATTTCGTTTTCCGCCACAGGCCTCCAAGCGCTCCAAATATCCACTTGCAGATACTACAAAAAGAGTGTTTCAAAACTGCTCTATCAGAAGAAAGGTTCAACTCTGTGTGTTGAATGCACACATCACAAAGAAGTTTCTGAGAATGCTTCTACTTTTTATGTGAAGATATTTCCTTTTCCACCATAGGCCTGAAACTTCTCCAAATATCCACTTGCAGATTCCACAAAAAGAGTGTTTCAAAACTGCTCTATCAAAAGAAAGGTTCCACTCTGGGAGTTGAATGCTCACATCAAAACGAAGCTGGTGAGAATGCTTCTGTCTAGTTTTTATTTGAAGATATTTCATTTTCCAACATAGGCCTCAAAGGAAACCAAATATCCACTTGCAGATTCTTCAAAAAGAGTGTTTCAAAACTCCTCTGTCAAAAGAAACGTTAATCTCCGTGAGTTGAATGCACACATCAAAAACAAGTTTCTGAGAATGCTTCTGTTATATTTTATGTGAAGATATTTCCTTTTCCAAAATAGGCCTCAAAGGAAACAAAATATCCACTTGCAGATTCTACTAAACGAGTGTTTCAAAACTGCTATATAAAAAGAAAAGTTTAAATCGGTGAATTGAATGCAAATATCACAAAGAAGTTTCGGAGAATGCTTCTGTCTAGCTTTTATGTGAAGATATTTCCTTTTCCACCATAGGCCTCAAAGCGCTCCAAATATCCACTTGCAGATTCTACAAAAAGAATGTTTCAAAAGTGCTCTATCAAAAGAAAAGTTTAAGACTATGAGTTGAATGCACACATCAGAAAGAAATTTTAGAGAATTCTTCTGTCTAGTTTTTATGTGAATATATTTTGTTTTCCGATATAGGCCTCAAAGGGAACCAATTATCCCCTTTGAGATTCTACAAAAAGTGTGTTTCAAAACTGTTCTATCGAAAGAAAGGTTCAACCCTGTGAGTTGAATGCACACATCACAAAGAAGTTCTCGGAGAATGCTTCTGTCTAGTTTTTATGTGAAGATATTACCTTTTTCAATGTAGGCCTCCAAGCGCTCCAAATATCCACTTCCAGTTTCTACAAAAAGAGTGTTTCAAAACTGATCTATCAAAAGAAATGTGCAAATCTGTGAGTTGAATGGACACATCACAAAGAAGTTTCTGAGAATGCTTGTGTCTAGTTTTTATGTGAATATATTTTCTTTTCCACCGTAGGCCTCAAAGCACTCAAAATGCCCACTTACAGATTCTACAAAAAGAGTGTTTCAAAACTGCTCTATCAAAAGAAAGGTTGCATTCTGTGAGTTGAATGCTCACAGCACAAAGAAGTTTGTGAGAATGCTTCTGTCCATTTTTTATTTGAGGATATTTCATTTTCCAACATAGGCCTCAAAGGAAACAAAATATCCACTTGCAGACTCAACAAAAAGAGTGTTTCAAAACTGCTCTATGAAAGGAAAGTTTAATCTCTGTGAGTTGAATGCACACATCACAAAGCAGTTTTTGAGAAAGCTTCTGTCTGGTTTTCATGTGAAGATATTTCCTTTTCCACCATAGGACCCAAAGAGCTCCAAATATCCACTTGCAGAATATACAAAAGAATGTTTCAAAAGTGCTCTATCAAAAGAAAGGTTCCACTCTTTAAGTTGAATGCACACATCACAAAGAAGTTTCTGAGAATGCTTCCGTCTGGTTGTTATGCAAAGATATTACCTTTTCCAAAATAGGCCTCAACGCCCTTTAAATATCCCTTTGCAGATATTACCAAAACAGTGTTTCAAAACTGCTCAATCAAAAGATAGGTTCAACTCTGTGAGTTGAATGCACACATCATGAAGAAGTTTCTCAGAATGCTTCTGTATAGTTTTTATTTGAAGATTTTTTTTTTTCCACAACAGGCCACAATGGGCTCCAAATATCCACTTGCAGATACTACAAAAAGAGAGATTCAAAACTGTTCCATTAAAAGTTAGCTTCAACTCTGTGAGTTGAATGTACACATCCCAAAGACGTTTCTCAGAATGCTTCTGGGTAGTGTTTATTTGAGGACATTTCCTTTCCCCAATAGGCCTCAAATCGCTCCAAATATCCACATGCAGATACTGCAAAAAGAGAGATTCAAAACTGCTCAATCAAAAGATAGGTTCAACTCTGTGAGTTGAATGCACACATAACAACGAAGTTTCTCAGAATGCTTCTATGTAGTTTTTATGTGAAGATATCTCCTTTTCCAAAATAGGTCTCAAAGCCTTCCAAATATCCCTTTGCAGGTTCTAACAAACAGTGTTTCAAAACTGCACAACCAAAGGAAGGGACCAGCTCTGTGAGATGAGTGCACTCATCACAAAGAAGTTTCTCAGAATGCTTCTGTGTAGTTTTTCTGTGAATATATTCCCTTTTCCTCAATAGGCCTCAATGTGTTCCAAATATACACTTGCAGATTCTACGAAAAGAGAGATTAAAAACTGAACAATCAAAACATAGGTTCAGCTCGGTGAGTTGAATGCACACATTACAAAGAAGTTACTCAGAATGCTTCTGTTTAGTTTTTATTTAAAGATATATCCTTTTCCACCATAGGCAGCCAAGGGCTCCAAATATCCACTTCCAGATCCTACAAAAAGAGAGATACAATACTGCTCAATCAAAAGATAGGTTCAACACTGTGAGGTGAATGCACACATCCTAAAGGAGTGTCTCAAAATGATTCTGCACAGTTTTCTGAGAAGATATTTCCTTTTCCACAAAAGGCCTCGGATCACTCCAAATATCTACATGCAGATACTGCAAAAAGAGAGATTCAAACTACTAAATCAAAAGAGAGGTTCAACTCTGGGAACTGAATGCACACATCTCAAAGAAGTTTCTCTGAATGCTTCTGGGTAGCTTTTATGTGAAGATATTTCCTTTTCCACCATAGGCTTCAAAGCACTTCAAATATCCACTTGCAGAGTTTACAAAGAGTGTTTCAAAACTGCCCTAATGAAAGAAAGGTTCAGCACTGTGAGTTTAATGCACACATCACAAAGAAGTTCCTCAGAATTCTTCTGTCTAGTTTTTATGTGAAGACATTTCCTTTTACACCACAGGCCTCAAAGGAAACAAAGTACCCAACCGCAGATTCTACAAAAAGGGTGTCTCAAATCTGCTCTATCAAAAGAAAGGTTCGTCTCAGCGAGATAAATGCACACATCATGAAGAAATTTCTGAGAATGCTTCTGCTTAGTTTTTATGTGAAGATATTTCCTTTTCCACAATAGACATCAAAGTGCTCCAAATATCCACTTGCAGATTCCACAAAAAGAGTGTTATAAATCTGCTCTATCAAAAGAAAGGTTCAACTCAGTGAGTTGAAGGCACACATCATGAAGAAGTTTCTGAAAATGCTTCTGCCTCTTTTTTATGTGAAGATATTTCCTTTTCCACCATAGGCATCAAAGCATTCCAAGTATTCTCTTGCAGATTCTACAAAAAAGGTGTTTCAAAACTGCTCTATCAAAAGCAAGGTTCAACTCTGTGAGTTGAATGCACACATCACAAAGAAGTTTCTGAGAATGCTTCTGTCTAGTTTTTGGGTGAAGATACTTCATTTTCCACCATAGGCCTCAAAGGGAACAAAATATCCACTTGCAGATTCTACAGAAAGAGTGTTTCAAAACTCCTCTATCAAAAGAAAGTTTGAACTCTGTGAGTTGAATGTCCACATCACGAAGAACTTTCGGAGAATGCTTCTGTCTAGTTTTATGTGAAGATATTTCCTTTTCAAAATAGGCCTCAAAGCACTCCAAATATCCACTTGCAGATTCTACAAAAAGAGCGTCTCAGAACTGCTCTATTAGAAGAAAGGTTGAACTCTGTGAGTTGAATGCACACATCACAAAGAAGTTTCTGAGAATGCTGCTGTCTAGTTTTTATGTGAAGATATTTGCTTTTCCACTATAGGCTTCAAAGGGAACAAAATATCCACTTGCAGATTATACAAAAAGAGTGTTTCCACACTGCTCTATCAAAAGAAAGGTTCAAATCTGTGAGTTGAATGCACACATCACAAGGAAGTTTCTGAGAATCCTTCTGTGTAGTTTTCATGTGAATATATTTCCCTTTCCACCATATGCCTCAAAGGGAACAAAATATCCACTTGCAGATTCTACAAAAAGAGTGTTTCAAAACTGCTCTATCAAAAGAAAGGTTAAAGTCTGTGAATTGAATGCACACATCACAAAGTAGTTTCTGAGAATTCTTCTGTCTAGTTTTTATGTGAAGATATTTCGTTTTCCACCACAGGCCTCCAAGCGCTCCGAATATGCACTTGCAGATACTACAAAAAGAGTGTTTCAAAACTGCTCTATCAAAAGAAAGGTTCAATTCTGTGAGTTGAATGCACACATCACAAAGAAGTTTCAGAGAATGCTTCTGTCTAGTTTTTTTGTTAAGATATTTCCTTTTCCAACGTAGGCCTCCAAGCGCTCCAAGTATCCACTTGCAGGTTCTACAAAAAGAGTGTTTCAAAACTGATCTACCAAAAGAAGTGTCCAAATCTGTGAATTGAAATGACACATCACAAAGAAGTTTCTGAGCATGCTTCTGACTAGTTTTTATGTGAAGATATTTCCTTTTCCACCATAGGCATCAAAGCGCTCCAAATGTCCACTTGCAGATTCCACAAAAAAGAGTGTTTCAAAACTGCTCTATCAAAAGAAAGGTTCCACTCTGTGAGTTGAATGCTCACGTCACAAAGAAGTTTGTGAGAATGCTCTGTCTAGTTTTTATTTGAGGATATTTCATTTTCCAACATAGGCCTCAAAGGAAACAAAATATCCACTTGCAGATTGAAGAAAAAGAGTGTTTCAAAACAGCTCTATGAAAGGAAAGGTTAATCTCTGTGAGTTGAATACACACAACAAAAAGCAGTTTTTGAGAATGCTTCTGTATGGTTTTTATGTGAAGATATTTCCTTTTCCACCATAGGACCCAAAGAGCTCCAAATATCCACTTGCAGAATATACAAAAAGAAAGTTTCAAAAGTGTTGTATCAAAAGAAAGGTTCCACTCTTTGAGTTGAATGCACACATCACAAAGAAGTTTCTGAGAATGCTTCTGTGTAGTTTTTATTTGAAGATATTTTCTTTTCCACAACAGGCCACAATGGGCTCCAAAAAGAGAGATTCAAAACTGTTCCATCAAAAGATAAGTTCAATTCTGTGAGTTGAATGCACACATCCCAAAGATGTTTCTCAGAATGCTTCTGGGTAGTTTTTATGTGAGGATATTTCCTTTCCACAATAGGCCTCAAATTGCTCCAAATATCCACATGCAGATACTGCAAAAAGAGACATTCAAAGCTGCTTAAGCAAAAGATAGGTTCAAATCTGTGTTTTGAATGCACACATAACAAAGAAGTTCTCAGAATGCTTCTATGCAGTTTTTATGTGAAGATATTTTCTTTTCCAAAATAGGCCTCAAAGCCCTCCAAATATCCCTATGCAGATTCTACAAAAGCAGTGTTTCAAAACTGCTCAAAGAAAAGGACCAGCTCTGTGAGATGAGTGTTCTCATCACAAAGAAGTTTCTCAGAATGTTTCTGTGTAGTTTTTCTGTGAATATATTCCCTTTTCCTCAATAGGCCTCAATGTGCTCCAAATACACACTTGCAAATTCTACAAAAAGAGAGATTCAAAACTGCTCTATCAAAATATAGGTTCAGCTCCGTGAGTTGAATGCACACATCACAAAGAAGTTTCTCAGAATGCTTCTGTTTAGTTTTTATTTGAAGATATATCTTTTTCCACCATAGGAAGCCAAGGGCTCTAAATACCCACTTCCAGATCCTAGAAAAAGAGAGATACAATAATGCTCAATCAAAAGATAGGTTCAACATTGTGTGGTGAATTCACACAACCCAAAGAAGTTTCTCTGAATGCTTCTGGGTAGTTTTTGTGTGAAGACATTTCCTTTCCCACCATAAGCCTCAAAGCGTTCCAAATGTCCACGTTCAGATTTTCCAAAAAAAGTGTTTCAAAACTGCTCTAATGAAAGAAAGTTCAACACTGTGAGTTGAATGCACACATCACAAAGAAGTTCCTCAGAATGCTTCTGTCTAGTTTTTATGTGAAGACATTTCCTTTTACACCACAGGTCTCAAAGGAAACAAAGTATCCAGCTGCACATTCTACAAAAAGTGTGTCGCATATCTGCTCTATCAAAAGAAAGGTTCATCTCAGCGAGATAAATGCACACATCATGAAGAAATTTCTGAGAATGCTTCTGTTTAGTTTTTATGTGAAGATATTTCCTTTTCCACAATAGACCTCAAAGCTCTCCAAATATCCACTTGAAGATTCCACAAAAAGACTGTTATAAATCTGCTCTATCAAAAGAAAGGTTCAACTCAGTGAGCTGAATGCACATATCACAAAGAAGTTTCTGAAAATGCTTCTGCCTTTTTGTTTTGAGAAGATATTTCCTTTTCCACCATAGGCATCAAGGAGTTCCAAGTATCCACTTGCAGATTCTACAAAAAGTGTGTTTCAAAACTGTTCTATCAAAAGCAAGGTTCAACTCTGTGTGTTGAATTGACACATTACAAAGAAGTTTCTGAGAATGCTTCTGTCTACTTTTGGGGTGAAGATAC
Source organism: Homo sapiens (assembly GCF_000001405.40). Taxonomy (NCBI): domain Eukaryota; kingdom Metazoa; phylum Chordata; class Mammalia; order Primates; family Hominidae; genus Homo; species Homo sapiens. The sequence goes on from NC_000005.10 coordinate 46,336,134, forward strand.
TTCGTTTTCTACCATAGCCCTCAAAGGGAACAAAATATCCACTTGCAAATTCTACAGAAAGAGTGTTTCAAAACTGCTCTATGAAAAGAAAGGTTGAACTCTGTGAGTTGAATGCCCACATCACAAAGAATTTTCGGAGAATGCTTCTGTCTAGTTTTATGTGAAGATATTTCCTTTTCACAGTAGGCATCAAAGTGCTCCAAATATCCACTTGCAGAAGCTACAAAAAGAGTGTCTTAGAGAACTGCTCTATCAGAAGAAAGGTTGAACTCTGTGAGTTGAATGCACACATCACAAAGAGGTTTCTGAGAATGCTTCTGTCTGATTTTTATGTGAAGATATTTGCTTTTCCACCGTAGGCTTCAAAGGGAACAAAATATCCACTTGTAGATTGTACAAAAAGAGTGTTTCCACACTGCTCTGTCAAAAGAAAGGTTCAGATCTGTGAGTTGAATGCACACATCACAAAGAAGTTTCTGAAAATCCTTCTGTCTAGTTTTTATGTGACTGTTTCCTTTTCCACCATAGGCCTCAAAGGGAACCAAATATCCATTTGCAGATTCTACAAAAAGAGAGTTTCAAAACTGCTCCATGAGAAGGTATGTTTAACTCTCTGAGATGAATGCAATCATCACAAAGAAGTTTCTGAGAATGTTTCTGCCTAGTTTTTTGTGGAGATATTGCCGTTTCCAATGAAGGCCTCAAACCTGTCCAAATATACACTTGCAGATTCCACAAAAAGAGTGTTTCAAAACTGCTGTATCAAAAGAAAGGTTCAAGACTGTGAGGTGAATGCACACATCCCAAAGAAGTTTCTGAGAATGCTTCTGTCTAGTTTTTATGTGAAGATATTGCCTTTTCCCCATAGCCCTCAAAGCACTCCAAATGTATACTTACAGATTCTACATAAAGAGTGTTTCAAAACTGCTCTACCAAAATGAAGGTTGAACTCTGTGATTTGAATGCACACATCACAAAGAAAATTCTGAGAATGCTTCTGTCTAGTTTTTATGTGAAGATATTTCCTTTTCCATCCTATGCCTCAAAGCGTTCCAAATGTCCACTTGTAGATTCTACAAAAAGAGTGTTTCAAAGCTGCCCTATCAAAAGAGAGGTTCAACTCTGTGAGTTGAATGCACACAACACAAAGTGGTTTCTGAGAATGCTTCTGTCTAGTTTTTATATGAAGATATTTCCTTTTCTACCATAGGCCTCAAAGCACTCCAAATGTCCGCTTGTAGATTCTACAAAAAGAGTGTTCCAAAACTACTCTATCAAAAGGACAGTTCACATCGGTGAGCTGAATGCACACATCACAAAGAAGTTTCTGAGAATGCTTCTGTCTAGTTTTTATGTGAAGATATTCCCATTTCCAACGAAGGCCTCAAACTGGTCCAAACGTCGACTTGCAGATTCTAAAGAGTGTCTCAAAACTGTTCTATCAAAAGAAAGTTCAACTCGGTGAGTTCAATGCACACACCACAAAAAACTTTCTGAGAATGCTTCCATCTAGTATTTACGTGAACATATTTCCTTTACCACCATAGCCCTCAATGCACTTCAAATGTCTACTTGCAGATTCTACACAAACAGTGTTTAAAAACTGCTCTATCAAAAGGAAGGTTCAAATCTCTGAGTTGAATGCACACATCTCAAAGAAGTTTCTGAGAATGCTTCTGTCTTGTTTATATGTGAAGATATTCCTATTGCCAATGAAGGCCTCAAAGCGGGCCAAACATACACTTACAGACCCTTCAAAAAGTATGTTTGAAAGCTGCTCTATGAAAATGTATGTTCATCTCTGGGAGATGAATGCAAACGTCACAAAGAAGTTTCTGAGAATGCTTCTACCTATTTTTTATGTGAAGATATTTCCATTTCCACCATAACCTTCCAAGTGCTCCAATGTACACTTGCAGATTCTACAAAAGGAGTATTTCAGAACTGCTCTATCATAAGGAAGATTCAACTCCGTGAGTTGAATGCAAAGATCACACAGTAGTTTCTGAGAAAGCTTCTGTCTAGTTATGAGAATATATACCCGTTTCCAGTGAAGGACACAAAGCACTCCAAATATCCACTTACAGATTCTACAAAAAGAGTGTTTCAAAATGCTCTTTGAAAAGGTATGTTCAACTCTGTGAGTTGAAGGCAAACATCACAAAGAAGTTTCTGAGAAGGCTTCAGTCTAGTTTTTATGTGAAGATATTTCCTTTTCCACCATAGCCATGAAAGCGCTCGAAATGTCCACTTGCAGATTCTACAAAAAGAGGGTTTCAAAACTGCTCTATCAAAAAGAGGGTTCACCTCTGTGAGTTGAACGCACACAGAACAGAGAAGTTTCTGAGAATACTTCTATCTAGTTTTTATGTGAAGAGATTCCCGTTTCCAACCAAGGCCTCAAAGTGGTCCAAATATACACTTGCAGATTTTACAAAAAGCATCTTTCAAAGCTGCTCTATGAAAACGTATGTTCAACTCTGTGAGTTGTATGCAAACATCACACAGAAGTTTCTGAGAATACTTCTGTCTAGTTTTTATGTGAAGATACTCCCATTTCCAAAGAAGGCCTCAAAGCATTCCAAATATTCACTTGCAGATTCTACAAAAAGAATGTTTCAAATCTGCTCTATGAAAAGGTATGTTGAACTCTGTCAGTTGTATGCAAACATCACAAAGAAGTTTCTGAGAATGCTTCTATCTTTTATGTGAAGATATTTCATTTTCCACCATAACCCGCAAAGTGCTCCAAATGTACACTTGCAGATTCTACAAAAAAAGTATTTCAAAATTGCTCTATCAAATGCAAAGTTCAACTCTGTGAGTTAAACAAACAGCACAAAGTAGTTTCTGAGAATGCTTCTGTCTAGTTATCAGAATATATACCCATTTCCAACGAAGGCCACAAAGCAGTCCAAATATCCACTTGCAGATTCTACAAAAAGAGTGTTTAAAAACTGCTCTACCAAAAGGAAGCTTAAATTCTGTCAGGTGAATGCAGACATCACAAAGAAGTTTCTGAGAATGTTTCTGTCTAGTTTTTATATGTAGATATTCCCCTTTCCGATGAAGGCCTCAAACCGGTCCAAATATCCACTTTCAGATTCCACAAAAAGACTGTTTCAAAACTGCTCTATGAAAAGGCATGTTCAACTCTGTGAGTTGAATGGCAACTTCACAAAGAAGTTTCTGAGAATGCTTCTGTCTAGTTTTTATGTGAAGATATTTGATTTTCCACCACAGCCCTCAAAGTGCTCCAAATGTCCACTTGCAGATTTTACAAAAAGAGTGTTTCAAAACTGCTCTATCGAAAGGAAGTTTCAAGTCTGTGAGTTGAATGCACACAACACAAAGAAGTTTCTGAGAATGCTTCTCTCTGGTTTTTATGTGAAGATATTCCCGTTTGCAATGAAGGCCTCAAAGCAGTCCAAATATACACTTACAGATTCTACAAAAAGAGTCTTTCACAGCTGCTCTATGAAAAGGTATGCACAACTCTGTGAGTTGAATGCAAACATCACAAAGAAGTTTCTGAGAATGCTTCTATCTAGTTTTTATGTGAAAATGTTTCATTTTCCACCATAACCCTCAAAGCATTCCAAATGTACACTTGCAGATTCTACAAAAAGAGTATTTCAAAACTGCTCTATCAAAAAGTAGGTTCAACTCTGTCGGTTGAATGCGAACATCACAAAGTAGTTTCTGAGAATGCCTCTTTAAAGTTTTTATGAGAATATAATCCCGTTTCCAAGGAGGGCCACAAAGCAGTCCAAATAACCACTTGCAGATTTTACAAAAAGAGTGTTTAAAAAAAGTCCTACAAAAGGAAGGTTCAAATCTGTTAGTTAAATGCACACATCACAAAGAAGTTTCTGAGAATGCTTCTGTCTAGTTTTTATGTGAAGATATTTCCTTTTCCACCATAGGCCTCAAAGCTCTATAAATGTCCACTTGCAGATTCTACAAAAAGAATGTTTCAAAGCTGCTCTATCAAAAGAGAGGTTCAACTCTGTGAGTTGAATGCACACAACAAAATAGTTTCTGAGAAAGTTTCTGTCTCGTTTTTATACGAAGATATTTCCTTTTCTACAATAGGCCACAAAGCGCTCCAAATGTCTGCTTGCACATTCTACACGAAGAGTGTTTCAAAACTGCTCTATCAAAAGCAAGGTTCACATCTGTGAGTTGAATGCACACATCACAAAGCAGTTTCTGAGAATGATTCTGTCCAGTTTTTATGGGAAAATATTCCCGTTTCCGACGAAGATCTCAAACCGGTTCAAATATCCACTTGCAGATCCCACAAAAAGAGTGTTTCAATACTGCTCTATCAAAAGCAAAGTTCACCTCTCTGAGTTGAATGCTCACATCACCAAAAGTTTCTGTGAATCCTTCTGTCGTTTATATGAAAAGATAAGTCCTTTTCCACCATAGCCCTCAAAGCTCTCCAAATGTCCACTTGCAGATTCTGCAAATAGATTGTTTTGAAACTGCTCTATCTCCTGGAAGGTTCAACACTTTGAGTTGAATGCACACATCCCAAAGAAGTTTCTGAGAATGCTTCTGTCTAGTTTTTATGTGAAGATATTTCCTTTTCCACCTTGGCCTCAAAGTGCTCCAAATATCCACTTGGACATTCTACAAAAAGAGTGTTTCAAAACAGCTCTATCAAAAGGAAGGTTCAACTCTGTGAGGTGAATGGATACATCACAAAGTAGTTTCTGAGAATGATTCTGTCTTGTTTTTATGGGAAGATATTCCCTTTTGCAAGGAAGGCCTCAAACTGGTCCAAATATCCACTTGCAGATTCCCCAAAAAGTGTGTTTCAAAACTGCTCAATCAAAAGCAAGCTTCAACTATGTGACTTGAATGCATACATCACAAAGAAGTTTCTTAGAATGCTTCTGTCTAGATTTATGTGAAGATATTCCCGTTTCCAACGAAGGCTTCAAAGCACTCCAAATATCCACTTGCAGATTCTGCAAATAGAGTGTTTCAAAACCGCTCTATCAAAAGGAAGGTTCAACTCTGTGAGTTGAATGCACGCATCACAAAGAAGTTTCTGAGAATGCTTCTGTCAAGTTTTTATGAGAAGATATTCCCGTTTCCAACAAAGGCCACAAAGCCATCCAAATATCCACTTGCGGATTCTACAAAAATAGTGTTATAAAACTGCTCTATGAAAAGCTATGTTCAACTCTGTGAGTTGAATGCAGACATCACAAAGAAGTCTGTGAGAATGCTTCTGTTTAGTTTTTATGTGAAGATATTTTCTTTTCCCCCATAGCCCTCAAAGCGCTTCAAGTGTCCACTTGCAGATTCTACAAAAAAAGTGTTTCATAACTGCTCAATCGGAATGTCGCTTCAACTCTGTGAGTTGAATGCACACATCACAAAGAAGTTTCTGAGAATGCTTCTGCTAGTTTTTATGTGAAGATATTTCCTCTTCCACAATAACCCTCAAAGTGCTCCAAATGTCCTTTGGAGAATCCTTTCCCCATTGCTTGTTTTCTCAGGTTTGTCAAAGATCCTATAGTTGTAGATATGTGGCATTATTTCTGAGGGCTCCGTTCTGTTCCATTGATCTATATCTCTGTTTTGGTACAAGTACCATGCTGGTTTGGTTACTGTAGACTTGTAGTATAGTTTGAAGTCTGGTAGCGTGATGCCTCTAGCTTCGTTCTTTTGGCTTAGGATTGAGTTGGCAATGTGGGCTCTTTTTTGGTTCCATATGAACTTTAAAGTAGTTTTTTCCAGTTCTGTGAAGAAAGTCATTTGTAGCTTGATGGGGATGACATTGAATCTGTAAATTACCTTGGTCAGTATGGCCATTTTCACTATATTGATTCTTCCTACCCATGAGCATGGAATGTTCTTCCATTTGTTTCTATCCTCTTTTATTTCCTTGAGCAGTGGTTTGTAGTTCTCCTTGAAGAGGTCCTTCACATCCCTTGTAAGTTGTATTCCTAGGTATTTTATTCTTTCTGAAGCAATTGTGAATGAGAGTTCACTCATGATTTGGCTCTCTGTCTGTTATTGGTGTATAAGAATGCTTGTGATTTTCCTACATTGATTTTGTATCCTGAAAAAAACAAACAACCCCATCAAAAAGTGGGTGAAGGACATGAACAGACACTTCTCAAAAGAAGACATTTATGCAGCTAAGAAACACATGAAAAAAGCTCACCATCACTGGCTATCAGAGAAATGCAAATCAAAACCACAATGAGATACCATCTCACACCAGTTAGAATGGCAATCATTAAAAAGTCAGGAAACGACAGGTGCTGGAGAGGATGTGGAGAAATAGGAACACTTTTACACCGTTGGTGGGACTGTAAACTAGTTCAACCCTTGTGGAAGTCAGTGTGGCGATTCCTCAGGGATCTAGAACTAGAAATACCATTTGACCCATCCATCCCATTACTGGGTATATACCCAAAGGACTATAAATCATGCTGCTATAAAGACACATACACACGTATATTTATTGTGGCATTATTCACAATAGCAAAGACTTGGAACCAACCCAATGTCCAACAATGATATACTGGATTAAGAAAATGTGGCACATATACAACATGGAATACTATGCAGCCATAAAAAATGATGAGTTCATGTTCCTTGTAGGGACATGGATGAAATTGGAAATCATCATTCTCAGTAAACTATCGCAAGAAAAAAAAAAACAAACACTGCATATTCTCACTAATAGGTGGGAATTGAACAATGAGAACACATGGACACAGGAAGGGGAACATCATACTCTGGGGCCTGTTGTGGGGGTTTGTGAGGGGGGAGGGATAGCATTGGGAGATATACCTAATGCTAGATGATGAGTTAGTGGGTGCAGCGCACCAGCACAACATATGTATACATATGTAACTAACCTGCACATTGTGCACATGTACCCTAAAACTTAAAGTATAATAATAAAAAAATAAAAAAAATTTAAAAAAAATTTCCTTTTCCACCAAAGGCCAAAAAGTGCTCCAGCACTCCAAATATACACATGCATATTTTAGAAAAAGAGCGTTTCAAAATTGCTCTATCAAAAGAAAGGTTCAACTCTGTGAGTTGAACGCTCACATCACAAAGAAGTTTCTGAGAATGCTTCTGTCTAGATTTTATGTGAAGATATTTCCTTTTCCACCATATGTAGGCAAGCACTACAAATATCCACTTGCAGATTCTACAAAAAGAGTGTTTCAAAACTTCTCTATCAAAAGAAAAGTTCATATCTGTGAGTTGAATGCACATACCACAAAGCAGTTTCTAAGAATGCTTCTGTCTAATTTTTATGTGAAGATATTTCCTTTTCCACCATGGGAAACAAAGCACTCCAAATATCCACTAGCATATTCTACAAAAGAGTGTTTTGAAACTGCTCTATCAAAAGAAAGGTCCAACTGTGTGAGTTGAATGCTCACATCACAAAGAAGTTTCTGAGAATGCTTCTGTCTAGTTTTTATGTGAAGATATTTCCTTTTCCAACAAAGGCCTCAAAGGAAACAATCTATCCTCTGGAAGACTCTACAAAAAGAGCGTTTCAAAACTACTCTATCAAAGAAAAGGTCCAACTCTGTAATTTGAATGCACACAACACAAAGTCGTTTCTGAGAATGCTTGTTTCTAGTTTTTATGTGACGATATTTCCTTTTCCACCATAGGCCACAAAACGCTCCAAATATCCACTTGCAGATCCTACAAAAAGAGTGATTCAAAACTGCTCTATCAAAAGAAAGGTTCAACTCTGTGAGTTGAATGCACACATCACAAAGAAGTTTCGGAGAATGCTTCCCTGTGGTTTTTATGAGAAGATATTTCCTTTTAGACCATAGGCATCCAAGCGCTACAAATATCCACTTGCAGATTCTACAAAAAGAGTGTTTCAAAACTGCTCTATCAAAAGAATGGTTCAACTCTGTGAGTTAAATGCACACACCACAAAGAAGTTTCTGAGAATGCTTCTGTCTAATTTTTATGTGAAGATATTTCGTTATCCAACATAGACCTCAAAGGAAACAAAGTAGTCAAAAGAAGACCCTACAAAACGAGTGTTTCAAAACTGTTCTATCAAAAGAAAGTTTCAGCTGAGGGAGTAGAATTCATACATCACAAAGAAGTTTCTGAGAATGCTTCTGCCTAGTTTTTATTTGAAGATATTTCTTTTTCCACCACTTCCTCAAAGCGCTCCAAATATCCACTTGCAGATTCTGCAAAAAGAATTTCCAAACTCCTGTATCAAAAGGAAGATTCAACTCTGTGAGTTGAATGCACACATCACAAAGAAGTTTCTGACAATGCTTCTGTCTAGTTTTTCTTTAGATACTTCTTTTTCAAACATAGGCCTCAAAGGAAACCAAATATCCACTTGCAGATTCTAGAAAAAGATATTTCAAAACTGCTCTATCAAAAGAAATGTTCAACACTGTGAGTTTTATGCACACATCACAAAGAAATTTCGGAGACTGCTTCTGTCTAGTTTCAAGTGAGGATATTTCTTTTCCACCATAGGCCTCAAACCACTCCTAATATCCACTTGCAGATTCTACAGAAAGATTGTTTCAAAACTGCTCTACAAAAAGAAAGTTTCAACTGTGTGAGTTGAATGCACACGTCACAAAGATGTTTCTGAAAATGCTTGTGTCTGTTTTTTCTGTGAAGATATTTCCTTTTACACCATAGGCCTCAAGGGGAACTAAATGTCCACGTGCAGATTCTGTAAAAAGAGTGTTTCAAAACTGCTCTATCAACAGAAAGGTTCAACTCCGTCAGTTGAATGCACACATCACAAAGAAGTTTCAGAAAATGCTTCTGTCTAGTTTTTATGTCAAGATATTGCCTTTTCCAACATAGGCCTCCCAGCGCTCCAAATATCCGCTTGCAGATTCTACAAAAAGAATGTTTCAAACAGCTCTATGTAAGGAGTGGTTCAACTCTGTGTGTTGAATGCACACATCACAAAGTAGTTTCTGAGAATGCTTCTGTCTAGTTTTTATATGAAGATATTTTGTTTTCCAACATAGGACACAAAGGAAACCAAATATCCACTTGCAGATTCCACAAAAAGCGTGTTTCAAAACTGCTCTATCAAAAGAATGGTTCAACTCTCTGTGTTGAATGTACACATCACAAAAAAGTTTCTGAGAATGCTTCTGTCTAGTTTTTATGTGAAGATATTTCCTTTTCCACCATAAGGCTCAAAGCACTCCAAATATCCACTTGCAGATTCTTCAAAAAGAATGTTTCAAAACTGCTCTATCAAAAGAAAGCTTCAACCAAGTGGGTTGAAGGCACACATCACAAAGAAGTTTCTGAGAATTCTCGTGTCTAGTTTTCATGTGAAGATATTTCCTTTTTCACCATAGGCTTCAAGGAGAATCAAATATCCATGTGCAGATTCTGCAAAAGGAGTGTTTCAAAACTGCCCTATTGAAAGAGAAGTTCGACTCTGTGAGTTGAATGCACACCTGACAAAGGAGTTTCTGAGAATGGTTCTGTCTACTTTTTATGTGAAGATATTTCCTTTTCCACCATATGCCTCCAAGTGCTCCAAATATCCACTTATAGATGCTACAAAAAGAGTGTTCAAAATTGCTCTATCAAAAGGAAGGTTCCTATCCGAGAGTTGAATGCAAACATCACAAAGAAGTTTCTGAGAATGCTTCTGTCTAGTTTTTATGTGAAGATATTTCCTTTTCCAACATACGCCTATAAGGAAAGCAAACATCCAGCTGGAGATTCTACAAAAAGAGTGTTTCAAAACTGCTCTATCAAAAGAAAGGTTCAACTCTGTGAGTTGAATGCACACATCACAAAGTAGTTTCGGAGAACGCTTCTGTCCAGTTCTTATGTGAAGATATTTCCTTTTCCACCATAGGCCTCAAAGCGCTCCAAGTATCCACTTGCAGATTCTACATAAAGAGAGTTTCAAAGCTGCTTTATAAAAACAAAGGTTAAACTCTGTAAGTTGAATGCACACATCACAAAAGAGTTTCTGAGAATGCTTGTGTCTAGGTTTTATGAGAAGACATTTAGTTTTCAACCACAGCCCTCCAAGGGCTCCAGATATCCACTTGCAGATTCGATAAAAAGAGTGATTCAAAACTGCTCTATCAAAAGAAATTTTCAACTCTGTGAGTTGAATGCACACATCACAAAGTAGTTTCTGAGAATGCTTCTGTCTGGTGTTTACGTGAACGTATTACCTTTTCTACCACAGCACTAAAAGCGATCTAAATATCCACTTGCAGGTTCTGCAAAAAGAGTGTTTCAAAACTGCCCTATCAAAAGAAAGTTTCAACTCTGTGTGTTGAATGCACACATCACAAAGAAGTTTCTGAGAAAGCTTCTGTCTAGCTTTTATGTGAAGATATTTCCTATTTCATAATATGCCTCAAAGCGTTCCAAATGTCCACTTGCAGATTCTACAAAAAGAGTGTTTCAAAACTGCTCTATCATAAAGAAGGTTCAACTCTGTGAGTTGAATGCACACATCACAAAGAAGTTTCTGAGAATGCTTCTGTCTAGTTTTTATATGAAGATACTTCCTTTTCTACCATGGGCTTCAAAGCACTCCAAAAATCCACTTGTAGATTCTACAAAAACAGTGTTTCAAAACTGCTCTATGAAAAGGAAGGTTCAACTCTCTGTGTTGAATGTACACATCACAAAGAAGTTTCTGAGAATGCTTCTCTCTAGTTTTTATGTGAAGATATTCCCGTTTCCACCGAAGGCCCCAAAGCCCTCCAAATATCCACTTGCAGATTCTACAAAAAGAGTGTTTAAAAACTGCTCTATGAAAAGGTATATTTAACTCTCTGAGTTGAATGCAATCATCACAGAGAAGTTTCTGAGAATGCTTCTGTCTAGTTTTTATATGAAGATACTCCCTTTCCTTATGAAATCCTCAAACCAGTCTAAATATCCACTTGCAGGTTCTACAAAAAGAGTGTTTCAAAACTGCTCTTTGAAAAGGTATGTTCAACTCTGTGTGTTGAAGGCACATATCAAAAAGAAGTTTCTGAGAATGCTTCTGACTAGTTTTTATGTGAAGATATTTCGTTTGCCAACGTAGGCCTCAAAGCTATCCAACTATCCACTTGCAGATTCTACAAAAAGAGTGTTTCAAAACTGCTGTATCAAAAGAAGGGTTCAGCTCTGTGAGTTGAATGCACAAATCACAAAGAAGTTTCGGAGAATGTTTCTTTCTAGTTTTTATGTGAAGATATTTCTTTTTCCACCATAGGCCTCCAAGCGCTGCAAATATCCACATGCAGATTCTAAAAAAACAGTGTTTCAAAACTTCTCTATAAAAAGAAAATTTCAACACTGTGAGTTTAATGCACACATCAGGAAGAAGTTTCTGAGAATACTTCTGTCTAGTTTTTAGGTGAAGATAATTCCTTTTCCACCGCAGGCCTCAAAGTGCTCCAGTATTGCACTTGCAGATTAGACAAAAAGAGTGTTTCAAAACTGCTCTATCAAAAGAATGATTCAACTCTTGGAGTTGAATGCACTTATCAAAAAGAAGTTTTGGAGAATGTTTCTTTCTAGTTTTTATGTGAAGATACTTCAGTTTCCACCATAGGCCTCAAAGCGTTCCAAATATCCACCTTTAAATACTACAAAAAGATTGTTTCAAAACTGCTCTATCAATCAAAAGAAAGGTTCAACTGTGTGAGTTGAATACACACATCACAAAGTAGTTTCTGAGAATATTTGTGTCTGCTTTTTATGTAAAGATATTTCCTTTTCCACCATAGCCCTCCAAGCACTCCAAATATCCTCTTGCATATTCTACAAAAAGAGTGTTTGAAAACTGCTCTATCAAAAGAAAGTTTCAAATCTGTGAGTGGAATGCGCACATCACAAAGAAGTTTCGGAGAATGCTTCTGTCTATTTTTTATGTGAAGTTATTTCCTTTTCCACAATAGGCCTCGAAGCACTCAAAATATCCACTTACAGATTCTACATAAAGAGTGTTTCAAAACTGCTCTATCAAAACAAAATTTCAACTCTGTGAGTTGAATGCACTCATCACAAATCTGTTTGTGATAATGCTTCTGTCTAGCTTTTATCTGAAGATATTTTGTTTTCGAACATAGCCCTCAAAGGGAACAAAATATCCACTTACAGATTCTACAAAAAGAGTTTTTCAAAACTGCTCTGTCAAAAAAAAGGATCAATTCTAGGAGTTGAAGGCACACATCACAAAGAAGTTACTGAGAATCCTTGTTCTAGTCTCTATGTAAAGATATTTCCTTTTCCACACAGGCCTCTAAGGTCTCTAAATGTGCACTTGCAGATTCTAAAAAATGAGTGTTTCAAAACAGCTATATCAAAAGAAAGGTTCAACTCTGTGAGTTCAATGCATATATCACAAAGCAGTTTCTGGGAATGCTTCAGCCTAGTTTTTATGTGAAGATATTCCCGTTTCTACCAAAGGCCTCAAAGTGCTCCAATATCCACTTGCAGATTCTACAAAAAGAGTATTTCAAAACAGCTCTATGAAAAGAAATGTTCATCTCGGTGAGGTAATTGCAAATATCACAAAGAAGTTTCTGGGAATGCTTCTGTATAGTTTTTATGTTTAGATATTTCCTTTTTCACCAAATGCCTCAAAGTTCACCAAATGTCCACTTGCTGCTTCTACAAACAGGGTGTTTCAAAAGCCCTCTATGAAAAGTAATGTTTAAGTCTGTGAGTTGAATGAACACATCACAAAGAAGTTTCTGAGAATGCTTCTGTCTAGTTTTATATGAAGATATTCCCGTTTACACTGTAGACCACAAAGCACTGCAAATATCCACTTGTAGATTCTACAAAAAGAGTGTTTCAAAACTGCCTTATCAGAAGAAAGATTCAATTCTGTGATTTGAAAGCACACATCACAATGAAGTTTGTGAGAATGCTTCTGTCTAGTTTTTATGTGAAGATATACCCGTTTCCAACAAAGGTCTCAAAGTGGTCCAATTATCGAGTTGCAGATTTTACAAAAGAGTGTTTCAAAACTGCTCTATGAAAAGGAATGTTCAACTCTGTGAGTAGAATGCAAACATCACAAACAAGTTTCCAAGAATGTTTCTCTCTATTTTTTCTATGAAGATATTTCCTTTTTCATAATATGCCTCAAAGCACTCCAAATGTCTACTTGCAGATCCCACAAAAAGAGTATTTCAAAACTGCTCTATTAAAAAGAAGGTTCAACTCTGTGAGTTGAATGTACACATCACAAAGAAGTTTCTGAGAATGCTTCTGTCTAGTTTTTATATGAAGATACTTCCTTTTCTACAATAGGCCACAAAGCGCTCCAAAAATCCACTTCTAGATTCCACAAAAAGAGTGTTTCAAAACTGCTCAATGAAAAGGAAGGTTCAACTCTCTGTGTTGAATGTACACATCACAAAGAATTTTCTGAGAATACTTCTGTGTACTTTTTATGTGAAGATATTCCCGTTTCCACCGCTGGCCTCAAAGAGCTTAAAATATCCACTTGCAGATTTTCCAAAAAGAGTGTTTCAAAAATGCTCTATCGAAAGGAATGTTCAACTCCCGGTGTTGAATGCACACATCGCAAAGAAGTTTCTGAGAATGCTTCTGTCTAGTTTTTATGTGAAGATATTCCCGTTTCCACCGAAGGCCTCAAAGCGCTCCAAATATCCACCTGCAGATTACACGAAAAGAGTGTTTCAAAACTGCTATATCAAAAGAAAGGTTCAACTCTGTGAGCTGAATGCACGCATCACAAATAAATTTCTGAGAATGCTTCTGTCTATTGTTTATTTGAAGATATTTCCTTTTGCACCATAGCCCTCAAAGTGCTCAAAATGTCCTCTTGCAGATTCTACAAAAAGAGTGTTTCCAAACTGCTGTATAAAAAGTAAGCTTCAACTCTGTGAGTTGAATGCATGCATCACAAAGAGGTTTCTGAGAATGCTTCTGTCTAGTTTATATGTGAAGATATTTCCTTTACCACCATAGGCCTCAAAGCTATCCAATTGTCCACTTGCAGATTCTACAAAAAGAGTGATTCAAAACTGCTCTATCAAAAGGAGGCTTCAACTATGTGAGTTGAATGCACACATCCAAAGAAGTTTCTGAGAATGCTTCTGTCTAGTTTTTATGTGAACTGATTTCCTTTTCTACCATAGCCTTCAAAGTGCTCCAAAAGTACACTTGCAGATTCTACAAAAAGAGGTTTTCAAAACTCCTCTATGAAAAGGTGTGTTCTATTCTGTGAGTTGAATGCAAACATCACAATGAACTTTCTGAGAATGCTTCTGTCTAGTTTTTATGTGAAGATATTTCCTTTTCCACCATAGCCCTCAAAGAGCTCCAAATGTCCACTTGCAGATACTACAAAAAGAGTGTTTCAAAACTGCTCTATTGAAAGGAAGGTTCAACTCTGTGAATTGAATGCACACATCACAAAGAAGTTTCTAAGAAAGCTTCTGTCTACTTTTTATGTGAAGATATACCCGTTTCCACGGACGGCATCAAAGTTGTCCAAATAAACACTTGCTAATTCTACAAAAATTGTGTCAAAGATGATCTATGAAAAAGTATGTTCAACTCTGTGAGTTGAATGCAATCATCAGAAAGAAGTTTAAGAGAGTGCTTCTGTCTGGTTTTTATGAGAATATAAACCCGTTTCCAAAGAAGGCCCCAAATCGGTCAAAATATCCACTTGCAGATTCTACAAAAAGAGAGTTTCACACCTGCTCCACTGAAAGGAAGGTTCAACTCTGTGAGTTGAATGCACACATCACAAAAAAGTTTCTGAGAATGCTTCTGTCTAGGTTTTATGTGAAGATATTTCCTTTCCCACCATAGCCCTCAAAGCACTCCAAATATCCACTTGCAGATTCTACACAAAGAGTGTTTCAAAACGGCTCTATGAAAAGGAAGGTTCAACTCTGTGAGGTGAATGCACATATCACAAAGAAGTTTCTGAGAATGCTTCTGTCTAGTTTCCATGTGAAGGTATTCCCGTTTCCAACGAGGGCCTCAAACCTGTCCAAATATCCACTTGCAGATTCAAAAAAAGAGTTTTTCAAAACTTCTCTATCATAAGAATGGTTCAATTCTGGGTTGAATTCACACATCAATAAGAAGTTTCTGAGAATGCTTCTGTCTAGTTTTAATGTGAGGATATTCCCGTTACCAACGAAGGCCTCAAACTGTTCCAAATGTCCACTTGCAGATTCTTAAAAAAAGAGTGTTTAAAAACTGCTCTATAAAAGGAAAAGTTCACCTCGGTGAGTTGAATGCACACATCACAAAGAAGTTTCTTAGAATGCTTCTGACTAGTTTTAATGTGAAGATGTTTCCCTTTCCATGATAGTCCTCAAAGTGCTCCAAATGTCCTCTTACAGAATCTACAGAAAGAGTTTCAAAACTGCTCTATCAAAAGGAAGGTTCAACTCGTGAGTTGAATGCAACCATCACAAAGAAGTTTTTGAGAATGCTTCTGTCTAGTTTTTATGTGAAGATATTCCCCTTTCCAACGAAGGCCTCAAATCAGTCCAAATATCCACTTGCAGATTCTAAAAAAAGAGTGTTTCAAAACGGCTCTATCATAAGGAAGGTTCAACTCTATGAGTTGAATGCACACATCACAAAGAAGTTTCTGAGAATGCTTCTGTCAAGTTTCTATGTGAAGATATTTCCTTGTCTACCATCGCCCTCAAAGCCTTCAAAATGTCCACTTGCAGATTCTGCAAATAGAGTGTTTCAAAACTTTTCTATCAAAAGGAAGGTTCAAATCTGTGAGTTGAATGCACACATCATGAAGAAGTTTCTGAGAATTTTTCTATCAAGTTTTTATGAGAAGATATACCCGTTTCCAATGAAGGCCACAAACCCGTCCAAATATACACTTTCATATTCTAAAAAAAGTGTGTTTCAAAGCTACTCTATGAAAAGCTATGTTCAACTCTGTGAGTTGAATGCAACCATCACAAAAAAGTTCCTGAGAATACTTCTATCTAGTTTTTACGTGAAGATATTTCATTATCCACCATAACCCTCAAAGCTCTCCAAATGTACGCTTGCAGATTCCACACAATGAGTATTTCAAAACTGCTCTATGAAAGGGAAGCTTCAACTCTTTGAGTTGAATGCAAACATCACAAAGATGTTTCTGAGAATGCTTCCATATAATTATGAGAAGATATACCAGTTTCCAATGATGGGCACAAAGCAGTCAAAATATCCACTTGCAGTTTCTACAAAAAGAGTGTCTCAAAACTGCTCTACCAGAAGGAAGGTTCAACTCAGTGAGTTGAATAAAAGCATCAGAAAGAACTTTCTGAGAATGCTTCTATCTTGTGTTTATGTGTAGATATTTCCTTTTCCACCATAGGCCTCAAAGCTCCCCAAATGTCCATTTGCAGATTCTACAAAAAGAGTGTTTCAAAGCTGCTCTATCAAAAGAAAGGTTCAACTCTGTGAGTTGAATGCACACAACACAAAGTAGTTTCTGAGAATGCTTCTGTCTAGTTTTTATATGAAGATATTTCCTTTTCTACCATAGACCTCAAAGAGCTCCAAATGTCCGCTGGCAGATTCTACACAAACAGTGTTTCAAAACTACTCTATCAAAAGGAATGGTCACATCTGTGAGTTGAATGCACACATCATAAAGAAGTTTCTGAGTATGCTTCTGTCTAGTTTTTAAGTGAAGATATTCCCGTTTACAATGAAGGCCTCAAATGGTCCAAATATCCACTTGTAGATTCTAAAAAAAACAGTGTTTCAAAACTGCTCAATCATAAGGAAGGTTCAACTCTGTGAGCTGAATGCACACATCACAAAGAAGTTTCTGAGATGCTTCTGTCTAGTTTTTATGTGAAGATATTTCCTTTTTCACCATAGCCCTCAAAGCGTTCCAAATGTCCACTTGCAGATTCTACAAAAAGAGTGTTTCAATACTGCTCTAACAAGAAGAGTTCAACTCTGTGAGTTGAATGCATACATAACAAATAAGTTTCTGAGAATTCTTTTGTCTAGTTTCTATGAGAATATAATCCCATTTCCAATGAAGGCTGCAAAGCCGTCCAAATATCCAGTTGCAGATTCTGCAAAAAGAGTGTTTCAAAACTGCACTACCAAAAGTAAGGTTCACATCGTTGAACTGAATGCACACGTCACAAAGAAGTGTGTGAGAATGCTTCTGTCTAGTTTTTATGTGAAAATAATATCTTTTCCTAAGAAATCCTCAACGCAGTCCAAATATCCACTTGCAGATTCTAAAAACAGAGTGTTTCATAACTGCTCTATCATAAGAGAGCTTCAACTCTATGAGTTGAATGCACGCATCACAAAGAAGTTTCTGACTATGCTTCTGTCTACTGTCTATGTGAAGATATTTCCTTTTCCACCTTAGACCTCAAAGCGCACCAAATGTCCACTTGCAGATTCTACAAAAAGAGTGTTTCAAAACTGCTGTATCAAAAGGAAAGTTCAACTCCCTGAGTTGAATGCACACAATACAAAGAAGGTTCTCCCAATGCTTCTGTCTAGTTTTCATGTGAAGATATTTCCTTTTCCACCATAGCCCTCAGAGTGCTTCAAATATATACTTGCAGATTCTACAAAAAGAGTGTTTAGAAACTGCTCTATCAACAAAAAGTTCAAATATGTGAGTTGAATGCATACATAACAAAGTAGTTTCTGAGAATGCTTCTGTCAGTTTTTATGAGAATATAATCCCCTTTCCAACGAAGACCACAAAACATTCAAAATATCCATTTTCAGATTGTACAAAAAGAGTGTTTCAAAACTGCCCTATCAAAAGAAAGGTTCAACTCTGTGAGCTGAATGCACACATCACAAAATAGTTTCTGAGAAGTCTTCTGTCTAGTTTTTATGTGAAGATACTTCCTTTTCCACCATAGGCCTCAAAGTGCTCCAAATGTCCACTTGCAGAATCTACATAAAGAGTGTTTCAAAACTGCTCTATCAAAAGTAATGTTCAACTCTGTGAGATGAATGCGCACATCACAAACAAGTTTCTAAGAATGCTTCTGTCTAGTGTTTATGTGAAGATATTTCCATTTCTACCATAGGCCTCAAAGCTCTCCAAATGTCCACTTGCAGATTCTACAAAAAGAGTGTTTCAAAGCTGCTCTATCAAAAGGAAGGTTCAACTCTGTGAGTTGACTGCACACAACACAAAGTAGTTTCTGATAATGTTTCTGTCTAGATTTTATATGAACATATTTCCTTTTCTACCGTAGGACTCAAAGCGCACAAAATGTCCACTTGCACATCCTACACAAAGAGTGTTTCAAAACTACTCTAATAAAAGGAAGGGTCACCTCTGAGTTGAATGCACACATCACAAAGGAGTGTCTGAGAATGCTTCTGTCTAGTTTTTAAGTGAAGATATTCCCGTTTCCAATGAAGACCTCAAATCGGTCCAAATATCCACTTGCAGATTCTAAAAAAAGAGTGTTTCAAAACTGTCCTATCAAAAGAAAGGTTCAACTCTTTGAGTTTAAAGCACACATCACAAAGAAGTTTCTGAGAATGCTTCTCTCTAGTTTTTGTGTGAAGATATTTGCTCTCCTACCATAGCCCTAAAAGCGCTCAAAATGTCCACTTGCAGATTCTACAAATAGAGTGTTTCAAAACTGCTCTATGAAACCGAAGGTTCAACTCTGCGAGTTGAATGCACACATCACAAAGAAGTTTCTGAGAATGCTTCTGTCTAGTTTTTATGTGAAGATATTTCCATTTCCCATGAAGGCCTCAAACCGGTCCGAATATCCACTTGCAGATTCTAAAAATAGAGTGTTTCAAAACTGCTCTGTCAACAGAAAGTTTTAACTCTGTGTGTTGAATTCAAACATCACAAAGAAGTTTCTGAGAATGTTTCTGTCTAGTTTTTATGTGAAGATATTCCCGTTTCCAACAAAGGCTTCAAACCGGTCTACATATCCACTTGCAGATGCTACAAAAAGAGTGTTTCAAACCTGCTCTATGAAAAGTTGTGTTCCACTCTGAATTGAATGCAAACATCACAAAGAAGTTTCTGTTAATGCTTCTGTCTAGTTTTTATGTGGGGATATTTCCTTTTCCACCACAGCCCCCAATCACTGCAAATGTCCACTTGCTGATTCTACAAAAAGAGTGTTTCAAAACTGCTCTATCAAGAGGAAGGTTCATCTCTGTGAGTTGAATGCACACATCACAAAGAAGTTTCTGAGAATGCTTCTATCTGGTTTTTATGTGAAGATATTCCCATTTCCAAAGAAGGATTCAAAGCGGTACAAATATCCACTTGCAGATTCTACAAAAATAGTGTTTCAGTGCTGCTCTATTAAAAGGAAGGCTCAAATCTGTGAGTTGAATGCATACATCCCAAAGGAGTTTCTGAGAATGCTTCTGCTAGTTTGTATGTGAAGATATTCCCTTTTCGACAAGAGCCCACAAAGCGCTCTAAATATCCACTTGCAAATTCTACAAAAACAGTGTTTCAAAACTGCTCCATCAAAACGAATGTTCAACTGTATGAGTTGAATGCACACATCCCAAAGAAGTTTCCGAGAATGCTTCCGTCTAGTTTTTATGTGAAGATATTTCCTTTTCCCCAATAGAACGCAAAGCGCTCCAAATGTCCAGCTGCAGATCCTGCAGAAAGAGTGTTTCCAAACTGCTCTGTCAAAAGGAAGGTTCAACTCAATGAGTTGAATGCACACATCACAAAGATGTTTCTGATAATGCTTCTGTCTAGTTTTTATGTGACGGTATTTCTTTTTCCACAATAGAACTCAAAGTGCTCCAAATGTCCACTAGCAGGTTCCACAAAAAGAGAGCTTCAAAACTGCTCTATCGAAAGGAAAGTTCAACAATGTGAGTTGAATGCACACATCACAAAGAAGTTTCTGAGAATGCTTCTGTCAAGTTTTTATGTGAAGATATTCTAGTTTCCAACAAAGTCCTGAAATCGTTCCAAATATTCACTTGCAGATTCTATCGAAAGAGTGTTTCAAACTCCGTGAGCTGAATGCACACATCACAGATATGTTTCTGAGAATGCTTCTGTCTAGATTTTATGTGATGATATTTCCATTTCGAACATAGCCCTGAAAGCGCTACAAATGTCCACTTGCAGAATCCACAAAAAAGTGTTTCAAAACTGCACTATCGAAAGGAATGTTCAACTATGTGAGTTGAATGCACACATCACAAAGAAGTTTCTGAGAATGCTTCTGTCTAATTTTCAGGTGAAGATATTTCTTTATACACCATAGCCCTCAAAGATATCCAAATGTCCAATTGCAGATTCTACAAAAAGAGTGTTTGAAAACTGCTCTATCAAAGGGAGGGTTCTACTCTGTGACTTGAGTACACACAACACAAAGTAGTTTCTGAGAATTCTTCTGTCTAGTTTTTATGTGAAGATATTTCCTCTTCCATGATACTCCTCAAAGCGCTCCAAATGTCCGCTTACAGAATCTACAGAAAGAGTGTTTCAAAACTGCTCTATCAAAAGGAAGGTTCAACTCGGCGAGTTGAATGCACCCATCACAAAGAAGTTTCTGAGAATTCTTCTGTCTAGCTTTTATGTGAAGATATTTCCTTTTCTTCCATAGGCCTGAAAACACTCCAAACGTCCGCTTGCAGATTCCACAAAAAGAGTGTTTCAAAGCTGCTCTATCAAAAGGAAGGTTCAGCTCAGTGAATTGAATGAACACATCACAAAGAAGTTTCTGAGAATGCTTCTTTCTAGTTTTTACATGAAGATATTCCTTTTCCAATGAAGGCCTCAATCCCATCCCAATATCCACTTGCATATACTAAAAAAAGTGTGTTTCAAAACTGCTCTATCAAAAGCAAGGTTGAAATCTGTGAGTTGAATGCACACATCACAAAGAAGTTTCTGAGAATTCTTCTGTCTAGTTTTTATGTGAAGATATTACCGTTTCTAACGAAGGCCTCAAGCTGGTACAAAGGTCCACTTGCAGATTCTTATAAAAAGAGTGTTTCAAAACTGCTCCATCAAAGGAAAGGTTCACCTCGCTGAGTTGAATGCACTCATCACAAAGAAGTTTCTTAGAATGTTTCTGTCTAGTTTTAATGTGAAGATATTTCCTTTTCCATGGTAGTCCTCAAAGTGCTCCAAATGTCCGCTTACAGAAACTACAGAAAGAGTGTTTCAAAACTGCTCTATCAATCAGAAGGAAGGTTCAACTCTGTGAGTTGAATGCTCCCATCACAAAGAAGTTTCTGAGAATTCTTCTATCTAGTTTTTATGTGAAGGTATTTCCTTTTCTACCCTAGGCCTGAAAGCACTCCAATTGTCTGCTTGCAGATTCCACAAGAAGAGTGTTTCAAAGCTGATCTATCAAAAAGAAGGTTCAGCTCTGTGAGTTGAATGGACACATCACAAAGAAGTTTCTTAGAATGCTTCTGTCTAGTTTTAATGTGAAGATATTTCCTTTTCCATGATACTCCTCAAAGCGCTCCAAATGTCTGCTTACAGAATCTACAGAAAGAGTGTTTCAAAACTGCTCTATCAAAAGGAAGCTTCAAATCAGCGGGTTGAATGCAACCATCACAAAGAAGTTTCTGAGAATTCTTCTGTCTAGTTTTTATGTGAAGGTATTTCCTTTTCTAACATAGGCCTGAAAGCTCTCCAAATGTCCGCTTGCAGATTCCACAAAAAGAGTGTTTCAAAGCTGCTCTATAAAAAGGAAGTTTCAGCTCTGTAAGTTGAATGGACACACCACAAAGAAGCTTCTGAGAATGCTTCTGTCTAATTTTTATGTGAAGATATTCCCTTTTCCAACAAAGGTCTCAATCCGATCGAATATCCACTTGTATATACTAAAAAAACAGTGTTTCAAAACTGCTCTATCAAAAGAAAAGTTCAAGTCTGTGAGTTGAATGCACACATCACAAAGTAGTTTCTAAGAATGTTTCTGTCTAGTTTTTATATGAAGACATTTCTTTTTCTATGATAGGCCTCAAAGCACTCCAAATGTCCACTTGCAGATTCTACACAAAGAGAGTTTCAAAACTGTTCTATCAAAAGGAGTGTTCAGCTCTGTAAGTTGAACGCACACATCTCAAAGAAGTTTCTGAGAGTGCTTCTGTCTAGTTTTTATGTGAAGATATTCCCGTTTCCAAAGAAGACCTCAAACCGGTACACCTATCTACTTGCAGATTCCATAAAAAAGAGTGTTTCAAAACTGCTCTATCGAAAGCAAGCTTCAAATCTGTGAGTTGAATGCACACATCACAAAGAACTTTCTGAGAATGCTTCTGTCTAGTTTTTATGTGAAGATATTCCTCTTTCCAATGAAGGCCTCGAACCGGTCCAAATATCCATTTGCAGATTCTTAAAACAAGAGTGTTTCAAAACTGCTCTATCAAAAGGAGTGTTCAACTCTGTGAGTTGAATGCAAATATCACAAAGAAGTTTCTGAGAATGCTTCTGTATAGTTTCAATGTGAAGCTATTTCCTTTTCCATGATAGCCCTAAAGGGCTCCAAATGTCCGCTTGCAGATTCTACAAAAAGAGTGTTTCCAAACAGCTTTATCAAAAGGAAGGTTCAACACTGTGAGTTGAATGCACACACCACAAAGAAGTTTCTGAGAATGCTTCTGTCTAGTTTTAATGCGAAGGTATTTCCTTTTCTACAATACCCCTCAAAGCACTCCAAATGTCCACTTGCAGATTCCACAAAAAGAGTGTTTCAAAAGTGCTCTATCAAAAGGAAGGTTCAGCTCTGTGAGTTGAATGCACACATCACAAAGACGTTTCTGAGAATGCTTCTGTCTAGTTTTAATGTGAACATATTTCCTTTGCCATCATAACCCTCAAAGTACTCCAAATGTCCACTTGCAGTTTCTACACAAAGAGTGTTACAAAACTGCTGTATCAAAAGGAAGCTTCAACTCTGTGAATTGAATGCAAGCATCACAAAGAAGTATCTGAGAATGCTTCTGTCTAGTTTTTATGAGAATATTATCCCGTTTCCAATGAAGGCCACAGAGCATTCCAAATATCCACCTGCAGATTCTACATAGCGTGTTTCAAAACTGCTCTACCAAATGGAAGTTTCAACTCTGTGACTTGAATGCACACATCACAAAGAAGTTTCTGAAAATGCTTCTGTCTAGTGTTTATGTGTATATGTTCCCATTTCCAATGAAGGCCTCAATCCGGTCAAAATATGCACTTGCAGATATTAAAAAAAGAGTGTTTCAAAATTATTCTATCAAAAGAAAGGTTCAAATCTCTGAGTTGAATGCACACATCACAAATAACTTTCTGAGAATGCTTCTGTCTAGTTTTTCTATGAAGATATTCCCTTTCCCACCATCGCCCTCAAAATGCTCCAAATGTCCTCTTGCAGATTCTGCAGATAGAGTGTTTCAAAACTGCTCTATAAAAAGGAAGGTTCAACTCTTTGAGTTGAATGCACACATCACAAGGAAGTTTCTGATAATGCTTCTATCTAGTTTTTATCTGAAGATATTTCCTTTTCCAACATTGCCCACAAAGTGCTCCAAATGTCCACATGCAGATTCTGCAAAAGAGTGTTTCAAAACTGCTCTATCAAAATGAAGTTTCAACTCTGCGAGTTGAATGCACACATTGCAAAGAAGTTTCTAAGAATGTTTCCATCATGTTTTTATGAGATGATATTCTCATTTCCAACGAAGGTCACAGAGCAGGCCATATATCCATTTGCAGATTGTTCAAAAAGAGTGTTTCAAAACTGTTCTATGAAAAGAAAGGTTCACCTCTGTGAGTTGAATGCACACATCCCAAAGAAGATTCTGAGAATGCTTCTGTCTAGTTTTCAACTGAAGATATTTCCTTCTCCAGCATAGCACTCAACGCGCCCCAACTGTCTACTTGCAGTTTATACAAAAAGAGTGTTTCAAAAGTGCCCTATCAAAAGGAAGGTTCAACTCTGTGAGTTGAGTGCACATACCACAAAGAAGTTTCTGAGAATGCTTCTGTCTAGTTTTTATGTGAAGATATTTCCTTTTCCACCGTAGGTTTCAAAGCTCTCCAAATGTCCACTTGCAGATTCTACAAAAAGAGTGTTTCAAATCTGCTCTATCAAAAGAAAGGTTCAACTCTGTGAGTGGAATGCACACAACACAAAGTTGTTTCGGGAAAAGCTTCTGTCTAGTTTTTATATGAAGATATTTCCTTTTCTACCATAGGCCCCAAAGCACTCCAAATGTCCGCTTGCAGATTCTACACAAAGAGAGTTTCAAAACTGCTCTTTCAAAAGGAAGGTTCAGCTCTGTGAGTTGTATGCACACATCTCAAAGAAGTTTCTGAGAATGCTTCTGTCTAGTTTTTATGTGAAGATATTCCCGTTTCCAATGAAGACCTCAAACCGGTACTGATATTCACTTGCAGATTCCATAAAAAGAGTGTTTCAAAACTACTCTATCAAAAGCAAGCTTCAAGTCTGTGAGTTGAATGCACACATCACAAAGAACTTTCTGAGAATGCTTCTGTCTAGTTTTTATGTGAAGATATTTCCTTTCACACCATAACCCTCAAAGCACTACAAATGTCAAATTGCATATTCCACACAAAGAGAGTTTCAAAACTGCTCTATCAAAAGGAAGGTTCAAATCTGTGAGTTGAATGCAAACATCAGAAAGAAGTTTCTGAGAATGCTCTGTCTAGTTTTTGTGAGAATATAATCCCATTTCCAATGAAGGCCACAAAGCAGTCCAAATATCCCAAAAAGAGTGTTTCAAAACTGCTCTCCAGAAAGGAATGAAAACATCACAAAGAAGTTTCTGAGAATACTTCTGTCTAGTTTTTATGTGAAGATATTCCCGTTTCCAAAGAAGGCCTCAAAGCAGTCCATATATCCACTTGCAAATTCCACAAAAAGAATGTTTCAAAACTGCTCTATCAAAAGAAAGGTTCAAGTCTGTGAACTGAATGCACACATCACAAAGAAGTTTCTGAGTATGCTTTTATCTAGTTTTTATATGAAGATATTTCCTTTTCCACCATAACCCTCAAAGCACTCCAATGTGAACTAACATATTCTACACAAAGAGTGTTCCATAACTGCTCTGTCAAAAGGAAGGTTCAACCCTGTGAATTGAATGCGTACATCACCAAGTGGTTTCTGAGAATACTTCTATCTAGTTTTTATGAGAAGTTAATCCCGTTTCCAGCGAACGCCACAAAGCAGTCCAAATATCCGCTTGCAGATTCTGCAAAAGGAGTGGTTCAGAACTTCTCTATCAAAAAGAAGATTCAACTCTGTGAGTTTAATGCAAACATCAAAAAGAAGTTACTGAGAATGCTTCTGTCTAGTTATGACAACATATACCCGTTTCCAATGAAGGCCAAAAAGCAGTCCAAATATCCACTTGCAGATTCTACAAAAAGAGTGTTACAAACCTGCTCTATCAAAAGGAAGGTTCAACTCTGTCAGTTGAATGCAAACATCACAATGAAGTTTCTGAGAATACTGCTTTCTAGTTTTAATGTGAAGATATTCCCGTTTCCAACAAAGGCCTCAAACCAGTTTAAATATCTACTTGCAGATTCGACAAAAAGAGTGTTTCAAAACTTCTCTATGAAAAGGAATGTTCAACTCTGCTTTGAATGCAAACATCACAAAGAAGTTCCTGAGAATGCATCAGTCTAGTTTTTATATGAAGATATTTCCTTTTCCACCATAGACCTCAAAGCTCTCCAAGTGTCCACTTGCAGATTCTACAAAAGTGTTTTTCAAAGTTACTCTATCAAAAGAAAGGTTCAACTCTGTGAGTAGAATGCACACAACACAAAGTAGTTTCTGAGAATGCTTCTGTCTAGTTTTCATCGGAAGATATTTCCTTTTCTACCATAGGCGTCGACGCATTTTAAATGTCCACTTGCAGATTCTACACAAAGTGTACTTCAAAACTGCTCTATAAAAAGAAAGGTTCATCTCTGTGAGTTGAATGCACACCTCAAAAAGAAGTTTCTGAGGATGCTTCTGTCTAGATTTTTTCATAAGATATTCCCGATTCCAACGAAGGCCTAAAACCAGTCCAAATATCCACTTGCAGATTCTAAAAAAAGAGTGTTTCAAAACTGCTCTATCGTAAGAAAGGTTCAACTCTATGAGGTGAATGCACACATCAGAAAGAAGTTTCTGAGAATGCTTCTGTCTAGTTTCTATGTGAAGATAATTCCTTTTCCACCATCACCCTCAGAGCACTCCGAATGTCCACTTGCAGATTCTGCAAATAGAGTGTTTCAAAACTGCTCTATCAAAAGGAAGTTTCAACTCTGTGAGTTGAATGCACACATCACAAAGAAGTTTCTGAGAAAGCTTCTGTCAAGTTTTTATGAGAAGCTATTACCGTTTCCAATGAAGGCCACAAAGCAGTCCAAATATCCACTTGCAGATTCTAAAAAACCAGTGTTTAAAAACTGCTGTATGAAAAGGTATGTTCAAATCTGAGAGTTGAATGCACACATCACAACAAAGTTTCTGAGAATGCTTCTGTCAAATTTTTATGAGGCAATATTCCCGTTTCCAATGAAAGTCACAATGCAGTCGAAATATCCACTTGCAGATTCTACAAAAAGAGTGTTTCAAAACTGTTGTAAGAAAAGGTATGTTCAACTCTGTGAGTTGAATGCAAACAACTCAAAGAAGTTTCTGAGAATGCTTCTGTCTAGTTTTTATGTGAAGATTTTTCCTTTTCCATCTTGGCCTCAAATAGCTCCAAATATCCACTTGCAGATTCTACAAAAAGAGTGTTTCCAAACTGTTCTGTCAAAAGAAATGTTCAACTCTGTGGCTTGAATGCACACATCACACAGAAGTTTCTGAGAATGCTTCTGTATGGTTTTTATGTGAAGATATTTCCTTTTCCACCATAGCCCTCAAAACGCTCCAAATGTCCACTTGCTGATTCTTCAAAAAAAGTGTTTCATAACTTCCCTATAAAAAGGAAGTTTCAACTCTGTCAGTTGAATGCACACATCACAAAGAAGTTTCTGAGAATGCTTCTGTCTAATTTTTATGTGAAGATATTTCCTTTTCCACTGTAGACCTCAAAGCGCTCCAAATGTACACTTGCAGATTCTGCAAATAGAGTGTTTCAAAACTGCTCTATCAAAGGAAAGGTTCAAATCTGTGAGTTGAGTGCACATATCACAAAGAAGTTTCTGAGAATGCTTCTATCTAGTTTTTATGTGACGGTATCCTCGTTTCCATTGAAGGCCACCAGGCCCTCCAAATATCCACTTGCAGATTCTACGAAAAGAGCGTCTCAAAACTGCTGTGTTAAAAGGTATGTTCAAATCTGTGAGTTGAATGCACACATCACAGCGAAGTTTCTGAGAATGCTTCTGTCAAATTTTTATGAGACAATGTTCCCATTTTCCAATGAAGGCCACAAAGCTGTCAAAATATCCACTTGCAGTTTCTACAAAAAGAGGGTTTTGAAACTGCTGTACCAAAAGGAAGGTTCAACTCTACAAGTTGAATGCACACATCACAAAGAAGTTTCTGAGAAAGCTTCTGTCTAGTTTTTATTTGAATATATTTCCTTTTCCACTTTGGCATCAAAGCTCTCCAAATATCCACTTGCAGATTCTACAAAAAGGAATGTTTCAAAGCTGCTCTATCAAAGGAAAGTTTCAACTCTGTGAGTTGAATGCACATATCACAAATAAGTTTCTAAGAATGCTTCTTTCTAGTTTTTATGTGAGGATATTTCCTTTTCCACCTTGGCCTCAAAGCTTTCCAAATGTCCATTTGCAGATACTACAAAAAGACTGTTTCAAAACTTTTGATAAAGCTATCAAAAGGAAGTTTCAACTCTGTGAGTTAAATGCAAACATCACAAAGTAGTTTCTGAGAATGCTTCTGTCTAGTTTTTATTGGAAGATTTTTCCATTTCCAATGAAGGCCTCAAACCGGTCCAAATAGCCACTTGCAGATTCCACAAAAAGAGTGTTTCAAAACAGCACTGTCAAAAGCAAGGTTCAACTCAGTGAGTTGAATGCACACATCACAAAGTAGTTTCTGATAATGCTTTGGTCAAATTTTTAAGAGAAGATATTCCCATTTCCAAAGAAGGCCACAACGCATTCCAAATATCCACATGCAGATTCTACAAAAAAAGTGTGTCAAAACTGCTCTAACAAAAGGAAGGCTCAACTCTGTGAGTTGAATGCAAATATCACAAAGAATTTCTGAGAATGCATTTGTCTAGTTTTTATGTGAAGATATTTCCTTTTCCACCATAGCCCTCAAAGTGCTCCAAATGTCCACTTGCAGATTCTACAAAAAGAGTTTCAAAACTGCTGTATCAAAAGTAAAGTTCATCTCTGTTAGTTGAATGCACGCATCACAAAGAAGTTTGTGAGAATGCTTCTCTCTACTTTTTATACGAAGATATTCCCATTTCCAACGAAGGTCTCAAAGCGGTCCAAATATCCTCTTGCAGATTCTACAAAAAGAGTGTTTCAAAACTGCTCTATGAAAAGGTATGCTCAACTCTGTGAGTTGAATGCAAATATCACAAAGAAGTTTCTGAGAATGCTTCTATCTATTGTTTATGTGAAGATATTCCCTTTTCCAAAGAAGTCCTCAAACCGGTCCCAATATCCACTTGCAGATTCTTAAAAAAGAGTGTTTCAAAACTGTTCTATCAAAAGGAAGGATCAACTCTGTGAGCTGAATGCATGCATCACAAAGAAGTTTCTGAGAATGCTTCTATTTTTTTATTTTAAGATATTTCCTTTTCCACCATAGCCCTCACAGTGTTCCAAATGTCCTCTTACAGATTCTACAAAAAGATTGTTTCCAACCTGCTGTATAAAAAGGAAGATTCAACTCTTTGAGTTGAATGCACACATCACAAAGCAGTTTCTGAGAATGCTTCTGTCTAGTTTTTATCTGAAGATATTTCCGTTTCCAACGAAGGCCTCAAAGCAGTCTAAATATCCACTTGCAGATTCTATAAAACCACTGTTTCAAACTTCTGTATCAAAAGGTATGTTTAAATCTGTCAATTGAATTCAATCATCACAAAGAAGTTTCTGAGAATGCTTCTTTCTAGTTTTTATGTGAAGATATATCCTTTTCCACCATAGGCCTCAAAGCTCTCCAAATGTCCACTTGCAGATTCTACAAAAAGACTGCTTCAAACTGGTCTATCAAAAGAAAGTTTCAACTCCTTGAGTTGAATGCGGAAAACACAAGTTAGTTTCTGAGAATGCTTCTGTCTAGTTTTTATATGCAGATATTTCCTTTTCTATCATAGCCTCTTAGCACTCCAAATGTCCACTTACATGTTATACAGAAAGAGGGTTTCAAACTTCTCTATCAAAAGAAAGGTTCAACTCTGTGAGTTGAATGCACGCAACACAAAGAAGTTTCTGAGAATGTTTCTGTCTATTTTTTATGTGAAGATATTCCCGTTTCCAATGAAGGCCTTAAATTGGTCCAAATATCCACTTGCAGATTCTAGAAAATGAGTGTTTCAAAACTGCTCTATCAAAAGAAAGTTTCAATGCTGTGAGTTGAATCCACATATCCCAAAGAAGTTTCTGATTATCCTTCTGTCTAATTTTTACGTGAAGAGATTTCCTTTTACACCATTGCCCTCAAAGTGCTCAAAATGTCCACTCTCAGATTGTACAAGAAGAGTACACTTTTCATAGGGCAGTTTTGAAACACTCTTTCTGTAGGAACAGCAAGTGGATATTTGGAGCGATTTGACATCTTCTTTGGAAAGGGAATATCTTCACATAAAAACTAGAGAGAAGCATTCTTAGAAACTTCATTGTGATGTTAGCATTCATCCCACAGGGATCAACATACCTTTTCAGAGAGCAGTTTTGTAACACTCTTTTCGTGAAATTTGCAAGTGGATATTTGGACCGTTTTGAGGCCTTCGTTGGAAACGTGATTATCTTCACATAAAAATCAGACAGAAGCATTCTAAGAAAGCTTTTTGTGATGTTTGCATTCAACTCAGAGAGTTTAACAAACTATTTCATAGAGCAGTTTTGAAACACTCTTTTTATAGAATCTTCAAGTGGATACTTGGACCACTTTGAGGCCTTCGTTGGAAACGTGACTATCTTCACATAAGTACTAGACAGAAGCATTCTCAGAAACTTCTTTCTGATGTGTTCATTCAACTCACAAAGTTGCACCTTCCTTTTGATAGAGCCATTTTGAAACACTCTTTTTTAGAATCTGCAAATGGATATTTGGAGCGCTTTGAGGCCTATGGTAGAAGACGAAATAACTTCATATAGAAACTAGACAGAAGCATTCTCAGAAACCTCTTTGTGATATGTGCATTCAACTCTCAGAGTTTAACCTTTATTTTGATAGAGCAGTTTTGAAACTCTCTTTTTGTAGAATCTGCAAGTGGATATTTAGACTGCTTTGAGGTCTTCGTTGGAAACGGGAATGTCTTCACATGTAAACTAGAAGGAAGCATTCTCAGAAACTTCTTTCTCATCTGTGCATTCAACTCAAAGATTTGAACCTTCCTTCTGATAGAGCAGTTTCAAAACACTCTTTTTGTAGAATCTGCAAGTGGACATTTGGATCTCTTTGAGGGCTATGGTGGAAAAAGAAATGTCTTTACATAAAAACCAGACGGAAGCATTCTATGAAACTTCTTTGTGATGTGTTCATTCAACTGACAGATTTCAACCTTCCTTTTGATAGAGCACTTTTGAAACACACTTTTTTTAGAATCTGCAAGTGGATAATTGCACCGCTTGTAGGACTTCGTTGCAAACGGGAATATCTTCATATAAAAAGTAGACAGAAGCATTCTCAGAAAATTGTTTGCCATGTTTGCATTCAACTCACAGTGCTGAACCTTCCTTTTGAAAGAGCAGTTTTGAAATACTCTTTTTGTAGAATGTGCAAGTGGATATTTGGACCGCTATAAGGCCTTTGTTGGAAACGGGAATATCTTCACATGAAACTAGACAGAAGCATTCTCAGAAATATCATTGTGATGTGTGCATTTAGCTTACAGGGTTGAACCTTTCTTTTGATACAGAAGTTTTGAAACACTCTTTTTGTAGGATCTGGAAGTGGACATTTAGAGCTCTTTGAGGACTATGGTGGAAAAGGAAATATCTTCATATAGAAACCAGACAGAAACATTCTCAGAAATTTCTTTGTGATGTTTGCACTCAACTCACAGATTTGAACACACATTTTGTAGAGCAGTTTTGAAACTGTGTTTTTGTAGAATCTGTAAGTGGATATTTGGACTGCTTTGAGGCCTTCGTTAGAAACGGGTATATCTTCACATAAAAACTAGACAGAAGCATTCTCAGAAACTTCTTTGTGATGTGTGCATTCAAGTCACAGAATTGAACCATTGTTTCGATAGGGAAGTTTTGTAACACTCTTATTGTTGAATCTACACAGGGACGTTTTGAGCTCTTCGAGGTCTTCTGTGGGAAAGGAAGTATCTTCACATAAAAACTAGAAAGAAGCATTCTCAGAAACTTCTTTGTGATGTGTGCATTCAACTCAGCGATTTGAACCTTCCTTTTTATAGAGCAGTTTTGAAACACTCTTTTTGTAGGATCTGCAAGTGGATATTTGGAGTGCTTTGAGCTCTGTCATGGAAAAGAAAATATGTTCACAAAAAAACTAGACAGAATCTTTCTCAGAAACTTCTTTGTGATATGTGCATTCAACTCACAGAATTGAATCTTCGTTTTTGTAGAGCAGTTTTGAAACACACTTTTTTTACAATCTGAAAGTGGACATTTGGAGCTCTTTGAGGGCTCTGGTGGAATAGGAAATACCTTCACATAAAAACCAGAATGAAGCATTCTCAGAAACTTCTTTGTGATTTGTGCTTTCAACTGACAGTGTTGAACATCCCTTTGGATACAGCAGTTTTGAATCACTCGTTTTGTAGTATCTGCAAGTAGATATTTGGACCGTTTTGAGGACATCGTTGGAAATGGGAATATCTTTATATAAAAACTAGACAGAAGCATTCTCAGAAACTTAGTTGTCATGTTTGCATTCAACTCACAGAGTTGAATCTTTCTTTTGATAGAGCAGTTTAGAAATACTCCTTCTGTAGAATCTGCAAGTTGATATTTGGAGCACTTTGAGGCCTATGGTAGAAAAGGAAGTATCTTCATATAAAAACCAGACAGATCATTCTCAGAAACTCCTTTAAGATGTGAGCATTCAACTCACAGACTTTTACCTTTATTTTGATAGAGCAGTTTTGAAAAGTTCTTTTGTAGAATCTGCAAGTGGATATTTAGACTGCTTTGAGGCCTTCATTGGAAACGGGAATATCTTCACATATAAACTAGAGAGAAGCATTCTCAGAAACTTCTTCCTGATTTGTGCATTCAACTCAGAGAGTTGAACCTTCCTTTTGATAGAGAAGTTTTGAAACACTCTTTTTGTAGAATCTGTAGAATCTGCAAGTAGACATTTGGAGCGCTTTGAGGCCTATGGTAGAAAAGGAAATATCTTCATATAAAAATTAGAAGCATTCTCAGAAACTTCTTTCTGATGTGTGCATTCAACTCACAGATTTGAACCTTCCTTTTTGTAGAGCACTTTCAAAACACACTTTTTTTAGGATCTGCAAGTGGATAATTGCACCGCTTTGAGGACTTCCTTGGAAAAGGGAATATCTTTATATAAAAACTACACAGAAGCATTCTCAGAAAATTCTTTGTCATGTTTGCATTCAACTCAGAGAGTAGAAACTTCCTTTTGAAAGAGCAGTTTTGAATCACTCTTTTTGTAGAATGTGCAAGTGGATATTTGGACTGCTTTAAGGCCTTCATTGGAAACGGGAATATCTTCACATATAAACTAGACAGAAGCATTCTCAGAAACTTCTTTCTGATTTGTGCATTCAACTCACAGAGTTGAACCTTCCTTTTGATAGAGAAGTTTTGAAACACTCTTTTTGTAGAATCTGCAAGTGGATATTTGGAGCGCTTTGAGGCGTATGGTAGAAAAGGAAGTATCTTCATATAAAAACTAGACAGAATCATTTGAGACGTGAGCATTCAAATCACAGAGTTTAACCTTTATTTTGATAGAGCAGTTTTGAAACGACTATTTACAGAATCTGCAAGTGGATATTTAGACTGCTTTGAGGCCTTCGTTGGAAACGGGAATATCATCGCATATAAACTAAACAGAAGCATTCTCAGAAACTTCTTTCTGATTTGTGCATTCAGCTCAGAGAGTTGAACCTTCCTTTTGATAGAGAAGTTTTGAAACACTCTTTTTGTAGAATCTGCAAGTGGATATTTGGAGCGCTTTGAGGCCTATGGTAGAAAAAGAAATATCTTCATATAAAAACTAGACAGAAGCATTCTCAGAAACTTCTTTGTGATGTGTGCATTCAACTCACAGATTTGAACCTTCCTTTTTATAGAGCACTTTCGAAACACGCTTTTTTTAGGATCTGCAGGTGGATAATTTCACCGCTTTGAAGCCTTCATTGGAAACAGGAATATCTTCATATAAAAACTAGACAGAAGTGTTCTCAGAAAATTCTTTGTCATGTTTTCATTCAAGTCACAGAGTTGAACTTTCCTTTTGAAAGAGCAGTTTTGAAACACTCTTTTTGTAGAATCTGCAAGTGCATATTTGGACCACTTTAAGGCCTTTGTTGGAAACAGGAATATCTTCGCATAAAACTAGACAGAAGGATTCTCAGAAATTTCTTTGTGTTGTGTGCATTCAACTTACATAGTTGAACCTTTCTTTTGATAGAGCAATTTTGAAACACTCTTTTTGTAGGATCTGCAAGTGGACATTTAGAGCTCTTTGAGGGCTATGATGGAAAAGGAAATATCTTCATATAAAAATCAGACAGAAACATTCTCAGAAACTTCTTTGTGATGTTTACACTCAACTCACAGATTTGAACACACCTTTTCATAGAGCAGTTTTGAAACTCTCCTTTGTAGAATCTGTAAGTGTATATTTAGACCACTTTGAGGCCTTCTGTGGAAAAGGAAGTATCTTCACATAAAAACTAGACAGAAGCATTCTCAGACTTCTTTTTGATGTGTGCATTCAACTCACAGATTTGAACACACCTTTTTGTAGAGCAGTTTTGAAACTCTCTTTTTGTAGAATCTGCAAGTGGATATTTGGACCACTTTGAGGCCTTCATTGGAAACGGGTATATCTTCACATAAAAACTAGACAGAAGCATTCTCAGAAACATCTTTGTGATGTTTGCACTCAACTCACAGATTTGAACCCACCTTTTCATAGAGCAGTTTTGAAACTCTCTTTTTATACAATCTGTAAGTGGATATTTGGACTTCTTTGAGACCTTCATTGGAAATGGGTATATCTTCACATAAAAATTAGACAGAAGCATTCTCAGAAACTTCTTTGTGATGTGTGCATTCAACTAACAGATTTGAACCACTCTTTCAATAGGGAAGTTTTGTAACACTCTTATTGTTGATTCTACACGGGGACATTTTGAGCTCTTTGAGGCCAACTGTGGAAAAAGAATTATCTTCACATAAAACCTAGACAGAAGCATTCTCAGAAACTTCTTTGTGATATTTGCATTCAACTCACGGAGTTGAACCTTTCTTTTGATAGAGCAGTTTTGCAATGGTGTTTTTGTAGAATCTGCAAGTGGATATTTAGAGCGCTTTGAGGCCTTTTGTAGAAAAGGAAATATCTTCATATAAAAAATAGACAGAAGCATTTTCAGGAACTACTTTGTGATGTGTGCATTCAACTCACAGAGTTTAACCTCTTTTGATAGAGCAGTTTGGAAACACTCTTTTTGTAGAATCTGCAAGTGGACATTTGGAGCACTTTGAGGGCTGTGGTGGAAAAAGAAATATCTTCACATAAAAACTAGACAGAAGCATTCTCAGAAACTTCTTTGTGTCATGTGCATTCAACTCACAGTCATGAACCTTTCTTTTGATAGAACAGTTTTCAAACACTCTTTTTCTAGAATCTGCAGGTGAATAATTGGAGCGATTTGAGGCCTATGGTAGAAAAGGAAATACCTTCATATAAAAACTAGACAGAAGCATTCTCAGGAAACACTTTGTGATGTGTGTATTCAACTCACAGAGTTGAACCTTTCTTTTAATAGAGCAGTTTTGAAACGCTCTTTTTGTAGAATTTGCATGTGAACATTTGGAGCACTTTGAGGGCTATGGTGGAAAGGGAAATATCTTCACATAAAAACTAGACAGAGGGAGGAGCCAAGGTGCCTGAATAAGAACAGCTCCGGTCTACAACTCCCACTGTGAGTGAGGCAGAAGATGGGTGATTTCTGCATTTCCATCTGAGGTACCGTGTTCATCTCACTGCGGAGTGCCCGACAGTGGATGCAGTTCAGTGGGTGCGTGCACCGTGTGTGAGCTGAAACATAGTGAGGCATTGCCTCACTCAGGAAGTGCAAAGGGTCAGGGAGTTCCACTTCCTAGTCAAAGAAAGGGGTGATGGACGTCACCGGGAAAGTCGGGTCACTCCCACCCAAGTGCTGTACTTTTCCTATGGGCTTGGGGAATGGGCACCAGGAGATTATATCCTGCACATGGCTCAGAGGGTCCTACGCCCATGCAGTCTTGCTGATTGCTACCACAGCAGTATGAGATCAAACTGCAAGGCGGCAGCGAGGCTGCTGGAGGGGTGCTCACCATTGCCCAGGCTTGCCTAGGTAAACAAAGCAGCCCAGAAGCTCGAACTGGGTGGAGTCCACCACAGCTCAAGGAGGCCTGCCTGCCACTGTAGGCTCCACCTCTGCAGGCAGGGCACAGACAAACAAAAAGGCAGCAGTAACTTCTGCAGACTTAAATGTCCCTGTCTGACAGCTTTGAAGAGAGCAGCCGTTCCTCCAGCACACACCTGGAGATCTGAGAATGGGCAGACTGCCTCCTCAAGTGGGTCCCTCACCACTGACCCCCAAGAAGCCTAACTGGGAGGCACCCCCTAGCAGGGACAGACGGACACTTCACACGGCCGGGTACTCCAACCGACCTGCATCTGAGGGTCCTGTCTGTTAGAAGGAAAACTAACAAACACAAAGGACATCCACACCAAAAACCCATGTGTACATCACCATCAACAAAGACCAAAAGTAGATAAAACCACAAAGATGGGGAAAAAAACGAGCAGAAAAACTGGAAATTCTAAAAAGCTGAGTACCTCTCCTCCTCTAAAGGAACACAGTTCCCCATCAGCAACGGAGCAAAGCTGGATGGAGGATGACTTTGACGAGCTGAGAGAAGAAGGCTTCACATGATCAAATTAATCCGAGCTATAGAAGGACATTCAAACCAAAGGCAAAGAAGTTCTAAACATTTTTTAAAAATTAGAAGAATGTATAACTAGAATAACCAATATGAAGAAGTGCTTAAAGGAGCTGATGGAGCTGAAAACCAAGGCTCGAGAACTACGTGAAAAATGCAGAAGCCTCAGGAGCTGATGCAATTAACTGGAAGAAAGGGTATCAGTGATGGAAGATGAAATGAAGGAAATGAAGTGAGAAGGGAAGTTTAGAGAAAAAAGAAAAAAAAGAAATGAGCAAAGCCTCCAAGAAATATGGGACTATATGGAAAGAACAAATCTACGTCTGATTGGTGTACCTGAAAGTGATGGGGAGAATGCAACCAAGTTGGAAAACACTCTGCAGGATATTATCCAGGAGAACTTCCCCAATCTAGCAAGGCAGGCCAACATTCAGATTCAGGAAATACAGAGAACCCCACAAAGATACTCCTTGAGAAGAGCAACTCCAAGACACATAATTGTCAGGTTCACCAAAGTTGAAATGAAGGAAAAAATGCTCAGGGCAGCCAGAGAGAAAGGTTGGGTTACCCTCAAAGCGAAGCCCATCAGAATAACAGTAGATCTCTCAGCAGAATCTCTACAAGCCATAAGAGAGTGGGGGCCAATATTCAACATTCATAAAGAAAAGTATTTTCATCCCAGAATTTCATATCCAGCCAAACTAAGCTTCATAAGTGAAGGAGAAATAAAATACTTTACAGATAAGCAAATGCTGAGAGATTTTGTCACCACCAGGCCTGCCCTAAAAGAGCTCCTGAAGGAAGTGCTAAACATGGAAAGGAACAACAGGTACCAGCCGCTGCAAAATCATTACAAAATGTAAAGACCATCAAGACTAGGAAGAAACTGCATCAAATAACGAGCAAAATGACCAGTTCACATCATAATGACAAGATCAAATTCAAACATAATAATATTAACTTTAAATGTATATGGACTAAATGCTCCAATTAAAAGACACAGACTGGCAAATTGGATAAAGAATCAAGACCCATCACTGTGCTGTATTCAGGAAACCCATCTCACGTGCAGAGACACACATAGGCTCAAAATAAAAGGATGGAGGAAGATCTACCAAGCAAATGGAACACCAAAAAAGGCAGGGGTTGCAACCCTAGTCTCTGATAAAATGGACTTTAAACCAAGAAAGCTCAAAAGAGACAAAAAAGGCCATTACATAATGGTAAAGGGATCAATTCAACAAGAAGAGCTAACTATCCTAAATATATATGCACCCAATACAGGAGCACCCAGATTCATAAAGCAAGTCCTGAGTGACGTACAGAGAGACTTCGACTCCCACACATTAATAATGGGAGACTTTAACACCCCACTGTCAACATTAGACAGATCAACGAGACAGAAAGTCAACAAGGATACCTAGCAATTGAACTCAGCTCTGCACCAAGTGGACCTTATAGACATCTACAGAACTCTCCACCCCAAATCAACAGAATATACATGTTTTTCAGCACTGCACCACACCACACCTCTTCCAAAATTGACCACATACTTGGAAGTAAAGCTCTCCTCAGCAAATGTAAAAGAACAGAAATTATTACAAACTATCTCACAGACCACAGTGCAATCAAACTAGAACTCAGGATTAAGAATCTCACTCAAAACCGCTCAACTACATGGAAACTGAACAACCTGCTCCTGAATGACTAGTTGGTACATAACGAAATGAAGGCAGAAATAAAGATGTTCTTTGAAACCAACGAGAACAAAGACACAACATACCAGAATCTCTGGGATGCATTCAAAGCAGTGTGTAGAGGGAAATTTATAGCACTAAATGCCCACAAGAGAAAGCAGGAAAGATCCAAAATTGACACCCTAACATCAAAATTAAACGAACAAGAAAAGCAAGAGCAAACACATTCAAAAGCTAGCAGAAGGCAAGAAATAGCTGAAATCAGAGCAGAACTGAAGGAAATAAAGACACAGAAACCTTTTAAAAAATTAATGAATCCAGGAGCTGGTTTTTTGAAAGGATCAAGAAAACTGATATACCGCTAGCAAGACTAATAAAGAAAAAAAGAGAGAAGAATCAAATAGACACAATAAAAAATGATAAAGGCGATATCACCACCGATCCCACAGAAATACAAACTACCATCAGAGAATACTACAAATGCCTCTACGCAAATAAACTAGAAAATCTAGAAGAAATGGATAAATTCCTCAACACCTACACTCTCCTAAGACTAAACCGGGAGGAAGTGGAAACTCTGAATAGACCAATAACAGGATCTGAAACTGTGGCAAAAATCAATAGCTTACCAACGAAAAAGAGTCCAGGACCAGATGGATTCACAGCACAATTCTACCGGAGGTAAAAAGAGGAACTGGTACCATTCCTTCTGAAACTATTCCAATCAATAGAAAAAGAGAGAATCCTCCCTAACTCATTTTATGAGGCCAGCATCATCCTGATACCAAAGCCTGGCAGAGACACAACAAAAAAAGAGAATTTTAGGTCAATATCCTTGAAGAACATTGATGCAAAAATCCTCAATAAAATACTGGCAAACCGAATCCAGCAGCACATCAAAAAGCTTATCCACCATAATCAAGTGGGCTTCATCCCTGGGATGCAAGGATGGTTCCATATACACACATCAAGAAATGTAATCCAGCACATAAACAGAAATAAAGACAAAAAACACATGATTATCTCAATAGATGCAGAAAAGGTCTTTGACAAAATTCAACAACGCTTCATGCTAAAAACTCTCAATAAATTAGGTATTGATGGGACGTAATTCCAAATAATAAGAGCTATCTATGACAAACCCACAGCCAATATCATACTGAATGGGCAAAAACTGGAAGCATTCCCTTTGCAAACTGGCACATGATAGGGATGCCCTCTCTCACCACTCCTATTCAACATAGTGTTGGAAGTTCTGACCAGGGCAATTAGGCAGGAGAAGGAATTAAAGGGTATTCAATTAGGAAAACAGGAAGTCACATTGTCCCTGTTTGCAGACGACATGATTGTATGTCTAGAAAATCCCATCGTCTCAGCCCAAAATCTCCTTCAGCGGATAAGCAACTTCACCAAAGTCTCAGGATACAAAATCAATGTACAAAAATCACAAGCATTCCTATACACAAACAACAGACAAACAGAGAGCCAAATCATGAATGAACTCCCATTCGCAATTGCTTCAAAGAGAATAAAATACCTGGGAATCCAACTTACAAGGGACGTGAAGGACCTCTTCAAGGAGAACTACAAACCACTACTCAAGGAAATAAAAGAGGATACAAACAAATGGAAGAACATTTCATGCTCATGGGTAGGAAGAATCAATATCCTGAAAATGACCATACTGCCCAAGGTAATTTACAGATTCAATGCCATCCCCATCAAGCTACAAACAACTTTCTTCACAGAATTGGAGAAACCTACTTTAAAGTTCATATGGAACCAAAAAGAGCCCACATCACCAAGTCAATTCTAAGCCAAAAGAACAAAGCTGTAGGCATCACACTACCAGACTTCAAACTATACTACAAGGCTACAGTAACTAAACCAGCATGGTACTGGTACCAAAACAGAGATATAGATCAATGGAGCAGAACAGAACCCTCAGAAATAACGCCGCATATCTACAACTATCTAATCTTTGACAAACCTGAGAAAAACAAGCAATGGGGAAAGGATTCCCTATTTTAAAAAAGGTGCTGGGAAAACTGGCTAGCCATATGTAGAAAGCTGAAACTGGATCCCTTCCTTACACCTTATACAAAAATCAATTCAAGATGGATTAAAGACATAAACGTTAGACCTAAAACCATAAAAACCCTAGAAGAAAACCTAGGCATTACCATTCAGGACATAGGCATGGGCAAGGACTTCATGTCTAAAACACCAAAAGCAATGGCAACAAAAGCCAAAATTGACAAATGCGATCTAATTAAACTAAAGAGCTTCTGCACAGTAACAGAAACTACCATCAGATTGAACAGGCAACCTACAAAATGGGAGAAAATTTTCACAACTTACTAATCTGACAAAGGGCTAATATCCAGAATCTACAATGAACTCAAACAAATTTACAAGAAAAAAACAAACAACCCCATCAAAAAGTGGGCAAAGGACATGAACAGACACTTCTCAAAAGAAGACATTTATGCAGCCAAAAAACACATGAAAAAATGCTCATCATCACTGGCCATCAGAGAAATGCAAATCAAAACAACAATGAGATACCATCTCACACAAGTTAGAATGGCGATCATTAAAAAGTCAGGAAACAACAGGTGCTGGAGAGGATGTGGAGAAATAGGAAGACTTTTACACTGTTGGTGGGACTGTAAACTAGTTCAACCATTGTGGAAGTCAGTGTGGAAATTCCTCAGGGATCTAGTACTAGAAATACCGTTTGACCCAGCCGTCCCATTACTGGGTATATACCCAAAGGACTATAAGTCATGCTGCTATAAAGACACATGCACCCGTATGTTTATTGCAGCATTATTCACAATAGCAAAGACTTGGAACCAACCCAAATGTCCAACAATGATAGACTGGATTAAGAAAATGTGACATACATAAACCATGGAATACTATGCAGCCATAAAAAATGATGAGTTCAAGTCCTTTGTAGGGATATGGATGAAATTGGAAATCATCATTCTCAGTAAATTATCACAAGAACAAAAAACCAAACACCCCATATTCTCACTCATAGGTGGGAATTGAACAATGAGAACACATGGACACAGGAAGGGAAACATCACACTCTGAGGAATGTTGTGGGGTTGGGGGAGGGGAGAGGGATAGCACTGGGAGATATACCTAATGCTAGATGACGAGTTAGTGGGTGCAGCGCACCACCATGGCACATGTATACATATGTAACTAACTGGAACATTGCGCACATGTACCCTAAAACTTAAAGAATAATAATAATTTTTTAAAAAAACTATACGGAAGCATTCTCAGAAACTTCTCTATGATGTTTGCTTTCAACTCACAGAGTTGAATATAACTTTACATAGAGCAGTCTTGAAACACTCATTTGTAGAATCTGCAACTGGACATTTGGAACGCCTTGAGGCTTTCATTGGAAATGGGAATATCTTCACATAAAAACTAGGCAGAAGCATTCTGAGAAACTCCTTTGTGATGTGTGCGTTCAACTCACAGAGTAGAACATTTCTTTGGATAGAGCAGTTTCAAAACACTCTTTTTGTAGACTCTGCAAGTGGACATTTCGAGCTCTTTGAGGCCTTCGGTTGAAAAGCAAGTATCTTCAAGTAAAAACTAGACAGAAGCATTCTCAGAAAATTCTTTGTGATCTGTGCATTCAACTCACAGAGTTGAATCTTCCTTTTAAAGTGTAGTTTTGAAACAAGCTTTTTGTAGAATCTGCAGGTGAATATTTGCAGTGCTTTGAAGTCTTCATTGGAAACGGGAATATCTTCACATAAAAACTAGACGGAAGCATTCTCAGAAACTTCTTTGTGATGTGTGCATACAAATCACAGAGTTGCAATTTTCTGTAGGTAGAGCATTTTTGCAACACTCTTTATGTAGAATCTGCAAGTGGATATTTGGAGCGCTTTGAGGCCTATGGTAGAAAAGGAAGTATCTTCATATAAAAACTAGACAGAAGCATTCTCAGAAACTACTTTGTGATGTGTGCATTCAACTCACAGAGTTTAACATTTCTTTTGATAGAGCATTTTTGAAACACTCTTTTTGTAGAATCTGCAAGTGGACATTTGGAGCACTTTGTGGGCTGTGGTGGAAAAGGAAATATCTTCACTTAAAAACTACACAGAAGCATTCTCAGAAACTTCTTTGTGATGTTTGCATTTAACTCACGGAGTTGAACCTTTCTTTTGATAGAGCAGTTTTGAAACACTTTTTTTGCAAAATTCGCAAGTGGATGTTTGGACCGCTTTGAGGCCTTTGTTGGAAATGGGAATATCTTCACATAAAACTAGACAGAAGCATTCTCAGAAACTTCTTTTTGATGTGTGCATTCAACTCACAAACTTGAACCTTTTTTTGATAGAGCAGTTTTGAAACACTCTTTCTGTA
Organism: Homo sapiens; assembly: GCF_000001405.40. Classification (NCBI taxonomy): domain Eukaryota; kingdom Metazoa; phylum Chordata; class Mammalia; order Primates; family Hominidae; genus Homo; species Homo sapiens. The sequence continues at coordinate 46,378,533 of NC_000005.10, forward strand.
GAATATGCAAGTGGATATTTGGAGGGCCTTGAAGCCTTCTTTGGAAACAGGATTATCGTCACATAAAACAAGATAGAAGCATTCTCAGAAACTTCTTTTTTATGTGTGCATTCAACTCACAGTCTTGAACCATCCTTTTGATAGAGCAGTTTTGAAACACTCTTTTTGTAGAATCTGCAAGTGGATATTTGGAGCACTTTGAAGCCTTCTTTGGAAACGGGAATATCTCCACATAAAAACTATAGAGAAGCATTCTCAGAAACTTCGTTGTGATGTGCGCATTCAAATCACAGAGTTGAGCATACCTTTTCATAGAGTAATTTGGAACACTCTTTATGTAGAATCTGCAAGTGGATATTAGGAGTGCTTTGAAGCCATCTTTGGAAATGTGAATATTTTCACAGAAAAACTAGACAGAAGCATTCACAGAAACTTATTTGTGATGTGTCCATTCAAATCACAGAGTGGAACCTTCCGTTTGAAAGAGTAGCTTTGAAACACTCTTTTTGTAGAATTTGAAGGTGGATATTTGGAGTGCTTTGAAGACTTTGGGGGAAACGGAAATATCTTCACATAAAAACTAGACAGAAGCATTCTCAGAAACTTCTTTGTGATGTGTGAATTCAACACACAGAGTTGAACCTTCCTTTTGATAGAGCAGTTCTGAAACACTCTTATTGTAGAATCTGCAAAAGGATACTTGGAGCGCTTTGAGGCCTATGGTACAAAAGGAAATAACTTCATATAAAAACTAGACAGAAGCATTCCCAGAAACTAATTTGGGATGTGTGCATTCAACTTACAGAGTTGAACCTTTCTTTTGATAGAGCAGTTTTGAAACCCTCTTTTTGTAGTGTCTGCAAAAGGACACTTGGAGTGCTTTGAAGGCTTTGGTGGAAAAGAAAATATCTTCACATAAAAACCAGACAGAAGCATTCTCAGAAACTTCTTTGTGATGTTTGCATTCAACTCACGGAGTTGAACCTTTCTTTTGATAGAGCAGTTTTGAAACACTCTTTTTGTAGAATCTGCAAGTGTATATTTGGACTGCTTTGAGGCCTTCATTGGAAACGGGAATATCTTCACATAAAACTAGAGACAAGCATTCTCAGAAACTACTTTTTCATGTGTGCATTCAACTCACCGACTTGAAACTTCCTTTTGATAGAGCAGTTTTGAAACCCTCTTTTTGTAGAATCTGCAAGTGGATAATTGGAGCGCTTTGAAGCCTTTTTTGAGAACGGGAATATTTTCACATAAAAACTAGACAGAAACATTCTCAGAAACTTCCTTGTGATGTTTACATTCAATTCACAGAGTTGAACCTTCCTGTTGATAGAGCAGTTTTGAATCTGCAAGTGGATATTTGGAGCACTCTGAATTTTTGTAGAATGTGCAAGCGGATATTTGAGCGCTTTGGTGCCTGTGGTAGAAAAGTATATATCCTCATACAAAAAGTAGACAGAATCATTCTCAGAAAGTACTTTGTGATGTGTGCCTTCAACTCACAGATTTTAACCTTTCTTTTCATAGAAAAATTTGAAACATTATTTTTTTGGAATCTGCAAATGGACATTTGGAGCACTTTGCGGGCTACGGTCGAAATGGAAATTTCTTCACATAAAAAGTAAACAGAAGCATTCTCAGAAACTTCTTTGTGATGCTTGCATTCAACTCACAGAGTTGAACTTGCCATTTCATTGAGCAATTTGAAACACCCTTTTGTAGAAACTGCAAGTGGATATTTGGAGTGCTTTGAAGCCTTCATTGGAAACGGGAAAATCTTCACATAAAAACTAGACAGAAGCATTCTCAGAAACTTCTTTTAGATGTGTGCATTCAACTCACAGAGTTGTACCTTTCCTTTGATAGATCAGTTTTCAACCACTCTTTTTGTACAATCTGCAAGTGGACATCTGGCACACTTAGAGGCCAGTGGTGGAAAATTAAATATCTTCACATAAAAACTAGACAGAAGCATTCTCAGAAACTTCTTTGTGATGTGTGCATTCATCTCACTGAGTTGAACCTTCCTTTTGATAGAGCAGTTTTGAAAAACCCTTCGTAGAATCTGCAAGTGGATATTTTCAGCACTTTGAGGCATATGGTAGAAAAGGAAGTATCTTCATTTAAAAACAAGACAGAAGCATTCTCAGAAACTGCTTTGTGATGTGTGCATTCAACTCACAGAGTTGAACCTTTCTTTTGATAGAGCTGTTCTGTAACACTCTTTTTGCAGAATCTGCAAGTGGACATTTGGAGGGCTTTGGGGCCTATGGTGAAAAAGGAAATATCTTCACATAAAAAATAGACAGAAGCACTCCCACAAACTTCTTTGTGATGTTTGCATTCAACTCATAGACTTGAACACTCCTTTTCACAGAGCAGTTTGAAACACATTTTTTGTAGATTCTGCAAGAGGATAATTTGACGGCTTTGAGGCCTTCATTGGAAACGGGAATATCTTCACATAAAAACTAGACAGAAGCATTCTCAGAAAGTTCTTTGTGATGTGTGCATTCAACTCAGACAGTTGAAACTTCCTTTTGATAGAGCAGTTTTTTTTTTTGTTTTTTTTTTTTTTTTTTTTTTTTTTGAGACGGAGTCTCGCTGTGTCTCCCAGGTTGGAGTGCAGTGGCGCGATCTCGGCTCACTGCAAGCTCCGCCTCCCAGGTTCATGCCATTCTCCTGCCTCAGCCTCCCAAGTAGCTGGGACTACAGGCGCCCGCCAACACGCCCAGCTAATTTTTTGTATTTTTAGTAGAAACGGGGTTTCACCGTGTTAGCCAAGATGGTCTCGATCTCCCGACCTCGTGATCCGCCCGTCTCGGCCTCCCAAAGTGCTAGGATTACAGGCGTGAGCCACCACGCCCGGCCGATAGAGCAGTTTTGAAACAATCTTTTTATAGTATCTACAAGTGTATATTTTGTTTCCTTTGTGGCCTGTGTTGGGAAACGAAATATCTTCAGTTAAAAAGTAGACAGAATCATTCTCTGAAACTTCTTTGATATGTTTGCATTCAACTCACAGGGTTGAATATTCCTTTTCTTTTTTTTTTTCTTTTTTTCTTTTAGTATTATACTTTAAGGTTTAGGGTACATGTGCACATTGTGCCAGTTAGTTACTTATGTATACATGTGCCATCCTTTTCATAGAGGAGTTTTGAAACACTCTTCTTTTTGTAGAATCTGCAAGTGGATATTTTGAGCGCTTTGAGGTCTCTGGTGGAAAAGGGAATATCTTCCCATAAAAACTAGACAGAAGCATTCTCATAAACTTCTTTGTGATGTCTGCATTCAAATCACAGAGTTGTACATTTCTTTTGATAGAGCAGTTTTGAAATACTCTTTTTGTAGAATCTGCATGTGGACATTTGGAGTGCTTAGAGGCCTTTGGTGGAAAAGGAAATATCTTCATACAGAAACTTGACAGAAGCATTGTCAGAAACTGCTTTGTGATGTACCCACAACTAAGCAAATTGAACATTTCTTTTGATACAACAGTTTTGAAACACTCTTTTTGTAAAATCTGCATGTGGATATTTTGAGCTCTTTGAGGCCTATGGTGGAAATGGGAATATCTTCACATAAAAAATAGACAGAAGTATTCTCAGTAGCTTCTTTGTGATGTGTGCATTCAACGCAGAGAGATGAACTTTCCTTTTGATAGAGGAGTTTTGAAACACTCTTTTTTGTAGAATCTGCAAGTGGAAATTTGGAGCACTTTGAGGCCAATGGTAGAAAAGGAAATATCTTCATATAAAAACTAGACAGAAGCATTTTCAGAAATTGCTTTGTGATGTTTGCATTCAATTCACAGAGTTTAACCTTTCTTTTGATAGAGCAGTTTTGAAACAGTCTTTTTGTAAGATCTGCGAGTGGACATTAGGAGCGCTTTGAGATGTACGGTGAAAAAGGAAATATCTTCATATAAAAATAGGCAGAAGCATTATCAGAAACTGATTTCTGATGTGTGCATCAAAATTCTCAGAAACTGATTTTTGATGTGTGGAATGCGTTGAAACCTATGGTAGAAAAGGAAATATCTTCATATAAAAACTACACAGAAGCATTCTCAGAAACTTCTTTGTGATGTTTGCATTCAACTCACAGAGTTGAACATTCCTTTTCATAGAGCAGTTTTGAAACATTCTATTTCTAGAATCTGCAAGTGGATATTCGGAGTGCTTTGAGGCATTCAGTGGAAGCGGGGATATCTTCACATAAAAACTAGACAGAAGAATTCTCAGAAACTTCTTTGTCATGTGAGAATTCAACTCACAGAGTTGCACCGTTCCTTTGATAGAGCAGTTTTGAAGCACTCTTTTTGTAGAATCTGCTAGTGGACATTGGAGGGCTTTGAAGCCTGTGGTGAAAAAGGAAATATCTTCACATAAAAACTAGACAGAAGCATTCTCAGAAACTTCTTTGTGATATTTGCATTCAAATTAGAGAGTTGTACATTGCTTTTGATAGAGCAGTTTTGAAATACTCTTTTTGTAGAATCTGCATGTGTACATTTGGAGCACTTAGAGGCCTGTGGTGGAAAAGGGAATATCTTCATACAGAAACTAGACAGAAGCATTCTCAGAAACTGCTTTGTGATATGTGCATTCAACTAACAGAGTTGAACTTTTCTTTTCATAGAGCAGTTTTGAAACATTCATTTTGTTGTATCAGCAGGTGGATATTTTGAGCTCTTTGATGCCTTCGGTGGAGACGGGAATATCTTCACTTAAAAAAATAGACAGAAGCATTCTCAGAAACTTCTTTGTGTCATGTGCATTCAACTCACAGTCATGAACCTTCCTTTTGATAGAACAGTTTTCAAACACTCTTTTTCTAGAATCTGCAGGTGAATAATTGGAGCGATTTGAGGTCTATGGTTTAAAAGGAAATACCTTCATATAAAAACTAGACAGAAGCATTCTCAGGAAACACTTTGCGATGTGTGTATTCAACTCACAGAGTTGAACCTTTCTTTTAATAGAGCAGATTTGAAACACTCTTTTTGTAGAATTTGCATGTGAACATTTGGAGCACTTTGAGGGCTATGGTGGAAAGGGTAATATCTTCACAGTAAAACTAGAAAGAGGCATTTTCAGAAGCTGCTTTGTGATGGGTGCATTCAACTCACAGAGTTGAACCTTTCTTTTGATAGAGCAGTTTTGAAACACACTTTTTGTAGAATCTGCAAGTGGATATTTGGCGCGTTGGAGTGCTATGTTGGAAAAGGAAATATCTTCACATAAAAACTAGACAGAAGCATTCCAGGAAACTTCTTTGTGATGTGTGCAAAAAATTCACAGAGTTGAACCTTTCTTTTTATAGAGCAGTTTTGAAACACTCTTTTTGTAGAATCTGCAAGTGGGTATTTTGTTTTATTGAGGCCTATGGGGAAAACAAAATATCTTCTCATAAAAACTAGACAGAAGGATTCTCTGAAACTTCTTTGTGATGTGTGCATTCAACTCACAGAGCTGAACATTTCTTTTGATAGAGCAGTTTTGAGACACTGTTTTTGTAGCGTCTGCAAGTGGATATTTTGTTTTCTTTGATGCCTTTGGGGAAAACGAAATACCTTCTCATAAAATCTAGACAGAAGCATTCTCAGAAATTTCATTGTGATGTGTGCATTCAACTCACAGAGTTGAACCTTTCTTTTGACTGAGCAGTTTTGAAACACTCCTTTTGTAGTATCTGCAAATGGATATTTGGGGCACTTTATGTCCTATTGTGGAAAAGGAAATATCTTCACATAAAAACTCGACACAAGCATTCTGCGAAACTTCTTTGTGATGTGTGAATTCAACTCACAGAGTTGAACCTTTTTTTTTGATAGAGCAGTGTTGAAACACTCTTTTTGAAGAATTTGCAAGTGGGTATTTTGAGCATTTGGAGGGCTGTGGTGGAAAGCAAAATATCTTCTCACAAAAACTAGACAAAAGCATTCTCAGAAACTTCTTTGTGATGTGTGCATTCAACTCAAAGAGCTGAAAGATTCTTTTGATAGAGCAATTTTGAAACACTCTCTTTGTAGAATCTGGAAGTGGGTTTTTGGAGTGCTTGGAGGCCTATGGTGGAAAAGGTAATATATTCACATAAAAAATAGACAGAAGCATTCTCAGAAACTTATTTGGATGTGTGCATTCAACTCACAGAGTTGAACCTTTCTTTTGATAAAGCAGTTTGAAATAGTCTTTTTATAGAATTTGCAAAGGGACAGTTTGTTCCCTTTGTGGCCTATGTTGGAAAACGAAATATCCTCACATAAAAACTACACACAAGCATTCTCAGAAACTTCTTTCTGATGTGAGCATTCAACCCCAGAGGTGAAACTTTGTTTTGATAGAGAAGTTTTGAAACACTCTTTCTGTAGAATCTGCAAGTGGCTATTTTGTTTCCTTTGAGGCCTATGTTGGAAAACGTAATATCTACACATAAAAACTAGAAAGGAGCATTCACTGAAACTTCTTTTTGATGTGTGCATTCAACTCACAGAGTTTAACCTTTCTTTGAAAGAGCAGTTTTGAAACACACTTTTTGTAGAATCTGCTAGTGGATATTTTGTTTCCATTGAGGCTTATGTTCAAAAACGAAATATCTTAACATAAAAACCAGACAGAAGCATTCTCAGAGACTTCTTTATGATGTGTACATCCAGTTCAGAGGTGAACCTTTCCTTTGATTGAGCAGTTTGAAAACAATTTTTTTTATTATACTTTAAGTTTTAGGATACATGTGCACATTGTGCAGGTTAGTTACATATGTATACATGTGCCATTCTTGTGCACTGCACCCACTAACTCGTCATCTAGCATTAAGTATATCTCCCAGTGCTATCCCTCCCCTCTACCCCCACCCCACAACAGTCCCCAGAGTGTGATGTTCCCTTTCCCGTGTCCATGTGATCTCATTGTTCAATTCCCACCTATGAGTGAGAATATGCGTTGTTTGGTTTTTTGTCCTTGCGATAGTTTACTGAGAATGATGATTTCCAATTTCATCCATGTCCCTACAAAGGTCATGAACTCATCATTTTTTATGGCTGCATAGTATTCCATGGTGTATATGTGCCACATTTTCTTAATCCAGTCTATCCTTGTTGGACATTTAGGTTGGTTCCAAATCTTTGCTACTGTGAATAATGCCACAATAAATATACGTGTGCATGTGTCTTTATAGCAGCATGATTTATAGTCTTTGTGTATATACCCAGTAATGGGATGGCTGGGTCAAACGGTATTTCTAGTTCTAGATCCCTGAAGAATTGCCACACTGACTTCCACAATGGTTGAACTACTTTACAGTCCCACCAACAGTGTAAAAGTCTTCCTATTTCTCCACATCCTCTCCAGCACCTGCCATTTCCTGACTTTTTAATGATTGCCATTCTAACTGGTGTGAGATGGTATCTCATTGTTGTTTTGATTTGCATTTCTCTGATAGCCAGTAATGATGAGCATTTTTTCATGTGTTTTTGGCTGCATAAATGTCTTCTTTTGAGAAGTGTCTGTTCATGTCCTTCGCCCACTTTTTGATGGGGTTGTTTTTTTCATGTAAATTTGAGTTCATTGTAGATTCTGGATATTAGCCCTTTGTCGGATGGGTAGATTGCAAAAATTTTCTTCCACTCTGTAGGTTGCCTGTTCACTCTGATGGTAGTTTCCTTTGCTGTGCAGAAGCTCTTTAGTTTAATGAGATCCCATTTGTCAATTTTGGCTTTTGTTGCCATTGCTTTTGGTGTTTTAGAAATGAAGTCCGTGCACATGCCTATGTCCTGAATGGTAATGCCTAGGTTTTCTTCTAGGGTTTTTATGGTTTTAGGTCTAACATTTAAGTCTTTAATCCATCTTGAATTGATTTTTGTATAAGGTGTAAGGAAGGGATCCAGTTTCAGCTTTGTACATATGGCTAGCCAGTTTTCCCAGCACCATTTATTAAATAGGGAAACCGTTCCCCATTGCTTGTTTTTCTCAGGTTTGTCAAAGATCAGATAGTTGTAGATATGCGGCGTTATTTCTGAGGGCTCTGTTCTGCTCCATTGATCTATATCTCTGTTTTGGTACCAGTACCATGCTGGTGTGGTTACTGTAGCCTTGCAGTATAGTTTGAAGTCTGGTAGTGTGATGCCTCCAGGTTTGTTCTTTTGGCTTAGGATTGACTTTGCGATGCGGGCTCTTTTTTCGTTCCATATGAACTTTAAAGTAGGTTTCTCCAATTCTGTGAAGAAAGTCGTTTGTAGCTTGATGGGGATGACATTGAATCTGTAAATTACCTTGGGCAGTATGGTCATTTTCAGGATATTGATTCTTCCTACCCGTGAGCATGGAATGTTCTTCCATTTGTTTGTATCCTCTTCTATTTCCTTGAGCAGTGGTTTGTTGTTCTCCTTGAAGAGGTCCTTCACGTCCCTTGTAAATTGGATTCCTAGGTATTTTATTCTCTTTGAAGCAATTGCGAATGGGAGTTCACTCATGATTTGGCTTTCTGTTTGTCTGTTGTTTGTGTATAGGAATGCTTGTGATTTTTGTACATTGATTTTGTATCCTGAGACTTTGCTGAAGTTGCTTATCAGCTTAAGGAGATTTTGGGCTGAGACAACGGGGTTTTCTAGATATACAAACATGTCGTCTGCAAACAGGGAAAATGTGTCTTCCTCTTTTCCTAATTGAATGCCCTTTATTTCCTTCTCCTGCCTAATTGCCCTGGCCAGAACTTCCAACACTATGTTGAATAGGTGTAGTGAGAGAGGGCATCCCTGTCTTGTGCCAGTTTGCAAAGGGAATGCTTCCAGTTTTTGCCCATTCAGTATGATATTGGCTGTGGGTTTGTCTTAGATAGCTCTTATTATTTGGAAATACGTCCCATCAATACCTAATTTTTTGAGAGTTTTTAGCATGAAGGGTTGTTGAATTTTGTCAAAGGCCTTTTCTGCATCTATTGAGATAATCATGTGGTTTTTGTCTTTGATTCTGTTTATATGCTGGATTACCTTTATTGATTTGCATATATTGAACCAGCCTTGCATCCCAGGGATGAAGCCCACTTGATCATGGTGGATAAGTTTTTAATGTGCTGCTGGATTTGGTTTGCCAGTATTTTATTGAGGATTTTTGCATCAATGTTCATCAAGGATATTGGTCTAAAATTCTCTTTTTTGGTTGTGTCTCTGCTTGGCTTTGGTATCAGAATGATGCTGGCCTCATAAAATGACTTAGGGAGGATTCCCTCTTTTTCTAATGATTGGAATAGTTTCAGAAGGAATGGTACCAGTTCCTCCTTGTACCTCTGGTAGAATTGTGCTGTGAATCCATCTGGTCCTGGACTCTTTTTTGTTGGTAAACTATTGATTATTGCCACAATTTCAGATCCTGTTATTGGTCTATTCAGAGATTCAACTTCTTCCTGGTTTAGTCTTGGGAGGGTGTACGTGTCGAGGAATTTATCCATTTCTTCTAGATTTTCTAGTTTATTTGCATTGAGGTGTTTGTAGTATTCTCTGATGGTAGTTTGTATTTCTGTGGGATCAGTGGTGATATCCCCTTTATCATTTTTTATTGCGTCTATTTGATTTTTCTCTCTTTTTTTCTTTATTAGTCTTGCTAGTGGTCTATCTACTTTGTTGATCCTTTCCAAAAACCAGCTCCTGGATTCATTAATTTTTTGAAGGGTTTTTTGTATCTCTATTTCCTTCAGTTCTGCTCTGATTTCAGCTATTTCTTGCCTTCTGCTAGCTTTTGAATGTGTTTGCTCTTGCTTTTCTAGTTCTTTTAATTGTGATAGTAGGGTGTCAATTTTGGATCTTTCCTGCTTTCTCTTGTGGGTATTTAGTGTTATAAATTTCCCTCTACACACTGCTTTGAATACATCCCAGAGATTCTGGTATGTTGTGTTTGTTCTCGTTGGTTTCAAAGAACATCCTTATTTCTGCCTTCATTTCGTTATGTACCAACTAGTAATTCAGGAGCAGGTTTTCCATGTAGTTGAGCGGTTTTGAGTTAGATTTTTAATCCTGAGTTCTAGTTTGATTGCACTGTAGTCTGAGAGATAGTTTGTTACAATTTCTGTTCTTTTACATTTGCTGAGGAGAGCTTTACTTCCAAGTATGTGGTCAATTTTGGAATAGGTGTGGTGTGGTGCTGAAAAGAATGTATACTCTGTTGATTTGGTGTGGAGAGTTCTGTAGATGTCTATTAGGTCTGCTTGGTGCAGAGCTTAGTTCAATTCCTGGGTATCCATGTTGACTTTTTGTCTCGTTGATCTGTCTAATGTTGACAGTGAGGTGTTAAAGTCTCCCATTATTAATGTGTGGGGGTCTAAGTCTCTTTGTAGGTGAGCCAGGACTTGCTTTATGAATCTGGGTGCTTCTGTATTGGGTGCATGTATATTTAGGATAGTTAGCTCTTCTTGTTGAATTGATCCCTTTACCATTATGTAATGGCCTTCTTTGCCTCTTTTGATCTTTGTTGGTTTAAAGTCTGTCTTATCAGAGACTAGGATTGCAACCCCTGCCTTTTTTGTTTTCCATTTGCTTGGTAGATCTTCCTCCATCCTTTTATTTTGAGCCTGTGTGTGTCTGTGCACGTGAGACGGGTTTCCTGAATAGAGGACTCTGATGGGTCTTGCCTGTTCGTCCAATTTGCCAGTCTGTGACTTTTATTTGGAGCATTTAGTCCATTTACATTTAAAGTTAATAGGAACAGCTCCCATCTACAGCTACCAGTGTGAGCGACGCAGAAGATGGGTGATTTCTACATTTCCAGCTAAGTATGGGGTTCATCTCACTACGGAGTGCCAGACAGTGGGTGCATGTAAGTGGGTGCACACACTGTGTGTGAGCTGAAGCAGGACAAGACATTGCATCACCCAGGAAGTGCAAAGGTCAGGGATTTCCCTTTCCTACTCAAAGAAAGGGGTGACGGACAGCACCTGGGAAATCGGGTCACTCCCACCTTAATACTGAGCTTTTCTGATGGGCTTAAAAAACGGTGCACCAGGAGATTATAGCCTGCACCTGGCTCAGAGGGTCCTATGCCCACGGAGTCTCACTGATTGCTAGCACAGCAGTCTGAGATCAAACTGCAAGGTGGCAGTGAGGCTGGGGGAGGGGCACCCACCATTGCCCAGGCGTGCCTAGGTAAACAAAGCAGCCAGGAAGCTCGAACTGGATATAGCCCACCACAGCTCAAGGAGGCCTGCCTGCTTCTGTAGGCTCCACCTCTGGGTGCAGGGCACAGACAAACAAAAAGACAGCAGTAACCTCTGCAGAATTAAATGTCCCTGTCTGACAGCTTTGAAGAGAGCATTTGTTCACCCAGTATGCAGCTGGAGATCTGAGAACGGGCAGACTGCCTCCTCAAGTGGGTACCTGACCCCTGACCCCCAAGCAGCCTAACTGGGAGGCACCCGCCAGCAGGGGCAGACTGACACCTCACACAGCCGGGTACTCCAACAGACGTGCAGACAGAGAGTCCTGTCTGTTAGAAGGAAAACTAACAAACAGAAAGGACATCCACACCAAAAACCCATCTGCACATCACCATCATCAAAGAGCAAAAGTAGATAAAACCACAAAGATGGCGAAAAAAATGAGCAGAAAAACTGGAAACTCTAAAAAGCCGAGTGCCTCTCCTCCTCGAAAGGAACACAGTTCCTCACCAGAAAAGGAACAAACCTGGACTGAGAATGACTTTGACGAGCTGAGAGAAGAAGAAAGCTTCAGACAATCAAATTACTCCGAGCTATGGGAGGAGATTCAAACCAAAGGCAAAGAGTTGAAAACTTTGAAAAAAGTTTAGAAGAATGTATAAGTAGAATAACCAATACAGAGAAGTGCTTAAAGGAGCTGATGGAGCTGAAAACCAATGCTTGAGAACTACGTGAAGAATGCAGAAGCCTCAGGAGCTGATGAAATCAACTGGAAGAAAGGGTATCAGCGATGGAAGATGAAGTGAATGAAATGAAGTGAGAAGGGAAGTTTAGAGAAAAAAAAAAGAAATGAGCAAAGCTTCCAAGAAATATGGGACTATGTGAAAAGACCAAATCTACGTCTGATTGGTGTACCTGAAAGTGATGGGGAGAATGGAACCAAGTTGGAAAACACTCTGCAGGATATTATCCAGGAGAACTTCCCCAATCTAGCAAGGCAGGCCAACATTCAGATTCAGGAAATACAGAGAATGACACAAAGATACTCCTCAAGAAGAGCAGCTCCAAGACACATAATTGTCAGGTTCGCCAAATTTGAAATGAAGGAAAAAATGTTCAGGGCAGCCAGAGAGAAAGGTCGGGTTACCCTCAAAAGGAAGCCCATCAGACTAACAGCAGATCTCTCCGCAGAAACCCTACAAGCCAGAAGAGAGTGGGGGCCAATATTCAACAATCTTAAAGAAAAGAATTTTCAACCCACAATTTCATATCTGGCCAAACTAAGCTTCATAAGTGAAGGAGAAATAAAATACTTTACAGAGAAGCAAATGCTGAGAGATTTTGTCACCACCAGGCCTGCCCTAAAAGAGCTCCTGAAGGAAGCGCTAAAGATGGAAAAGAACAACTGATACCAGCCACTGTAAAATCATGCCAAAATTTAAAGACCATCGAGACTAGGAAGAAACTGCATCAACTAACAAGCCAAATAACCCATTAACATCATAATGACAGGATCAAATTCATACATAACAATATTAACTTTAAATGTAAATAAATGGAATCTTTCTTTTGATCGAATAGTTTTGAAACATTCCTTTTGTAGAATCTGGAAGTGGACACTTGGAGCGCTTGGAGGGCTATGGTGGAAAAGGAAATATCTTCACATAAAAACTAGACAGAATCATTCTCCCACACTTCTTTGTGATGTATGCATTCAACTCACAGAGTTGAACCTTTCTTCTGATGATAGAGAAGTTTTGAAACACACTTTTTGTAGAATCTGCAAGTGGATATTTGGTTCCCTTTGAGGCCTACGGTGAAAAAGGAAATATTTTCACATAAAAACTAGACAGAAGCATTCTCAGAAACTTCTTTGTGATGTGTGCATTCAACTCACAGAGTTGAACCTTTCTATTGATAGAGCAGTTTTGAAACACTCTTTTTGTAGAATCTGCAAATGGATATTTGGAGCACTTGGAGGGCTATGGTTGAAAAGGAAATATCGTCACAAAAAAAAAATGACAGAAGCATTCTCAGAAACTTCTTTGTGATGTGTGCATTCAACTCAAAGAGTTTAAGCTCTCTTTTCATAGAGAAGTTTTGAAACATTCTTTTTGCAGAATCTACAAGTGGATATTTCGTTCCCTTTGAGGACTATGGTGAAAAGGGAAATATCTTAACATAAAAACTACACAGAAGCATTCTCGGAAACTTCTTTGGATGTGTGCCTTCAACTAACAGAGTAGAACCTTTCTTTGATAGGGCAGTTTTGAAACACTGTTTTTGCAGATTTTACAAGGGGATATTTTGTTTCCTTTGTTGCCTATGTTGGAAAACGAACTATCTTCACATAAAAACTAGACACAAGCATTCTCAGAAACTTCTTTGTGATGTGTGCATTCAACTCACAGAGTTGAACATTTCCTTTGATAGAGAAGTTTTGAAACACTCTTTTTGTAGAATCTGCATGTGGATACTAGGAGCGCTTTGACGCCTATGGTGTAAAAGGAAATATCTTCACATAAAAAGTGGACAGAAGCATTCTCAGAAACTTCTTTGCGATGTGTGCATTCAACTCACAGAGTTGAAACTTTGTTTTGAAGCAGAAGTTTTGAAATACTCTTTTTTAAGAATCTGCAAGTTGATATTTGGAGCGCTTGGAAACCTATGGTGGAAAACGAAATATCTTCACATAAAAACTAGACAGAAGCATTCTCGGAAACTTCTGTGGATGTGTGCATTCAACTCACAGAGTTGAAACTTTCTGTTGATAGAGCAGTTTTGAAACTCTCTTTTTGTAGAATTTGCAAGGGGATATTTGTTTCCCTTTGTGGCAAATGTTGGAAAACAAAATATCTTCACATAAAAATTAGACACAAGTATTCTGAGAAACTTCTTTGTGATGAGCGCATTCAACTAACAGAGTTGAACGTTTCTTTTGATAGAGCAGTTTTGAAACACTCCTTTTGTAGAATCTGCTTGTGGATCTTTGGAGCTCTTTGAGGCCTTCGTTGGAAACGGGTTTATCTTCACATAAAAACTAGACTGAAGTATTCTCAGAAACTGCTTTGTGATGTGTGTATTCAACTCACAGATTTGAACCTTTCTTTTGATAGAGCACTTTTGAAACAGTCTTTTTGTAGAATCTGCAAGTGTTCATTTGGAACACGTTGAGGCCTATGGTGGAAAAGGAAATATCTTCACATAAAAACGAGACAGAAGCATTCTCAGAAACTTCTTTGTCATGTTTGCTTTCATCTCATAGATTTGAACCTTCTTTTTCATAGAACAGTTTTGAAACAGTCACCTTTCTTTTGATACAGCAGTATTGATACACTCTTCTTGTAGCATTCGAAAGGGGTTATTTGTTTCCCTTTGTGGCAAATGTTGGAAAACAAAATATCTTCACGTAAAAATTAGACACAAGCATTCTGAGAAACTTTTTTGTGATGTGTGCATTTAACTCACAGAGTTGAACCCTCCTTTTCATAGAGCAGTTTTGAAACAGTCACCTTTTTTTCATACAGCAGTTTTGAAACACTCTTTTTGTAGAATTTGAAAGGGGATATTTGTTTCCCTTTGTGGCAGATGTTGGAAAACAAAATATCTTCACTTAAAAATTAGACACAAGCATTCTGAGAAACTTCTTTGTGATGTGTGCATTTAACTCACAGAGTTGAACATTTCTTTTGATAGAGCAGTTTTGAAACACTTTTTTTGTAGTACCTGCAAGGGGATATTTTGCTTCCTTTGAGGCCTATGTTGGAAAACAAGATATCTTCATATAAAAACTAGACAGAAACGTTCTCAGAAACTACTTTGTGATGTGTGCATTCAATTCACAGTGTTGAACCATTCTTTTGATAGAACACTTTTGGAACACACTTTTTCTACAATCCGCAAGTGGATATTTGGAGTGCATTGATGCTTATGTCGGAAAATGAAATATCTACCCATAAAAACTAGACAGAAGCATTCTTAGAAAATACTTTGTGATGTGTGCATTCATCTGACAGAGTTGAAACTTTCCTTTGATAAAACAGTTTTGAAAGACTATTTTGTAGAATCTTCAAGTGAATATTTGGAGAACATTGAGGCCAGCGGTGGAAAAGGAAATATCTTCACATAAAAACAAGACAGAAGGATTCTCAGAAACTTCTTTGTGATATGTCCATTCAACTTACAGGGTTGAACCTTCCTTTTGATAGAGCAGGTTTGAAACACTCTTTTTGTAGACTCTGCAAGTGGATATTTGGAGTTCTTTGTGGCCTTCTTTGGAAAGGTTTATATCTTCTCATAACTCGACAGAAGCATTCTCAGCAACTTCTTTGTGATGTTTGGATTCAACTCACAGAGTTGAACATTCCTATTGATAGAACAGTTTTGAAATACTCTTTTCGTAGAATTTGTAAGTGTGCATTTGCAGCACTTTGAGGTCTATGTTGGAAAAGAAAATATCTTCACATAAAAACAAGACAGAAGCATTCTCAGAAACTTCCTTGGATGTTTGCATTCAACTCACAGAGGAGAACATACCTTTTCATAAAACAGTTTTGAAACACTCTTTTTGTAGAATCTGCAAGGGGATATTTGGACTGCTTTGTGGCCTTTGTTGGAAACTTGTATATCTTCTAATAAAAACTTGACAGGAGAATTCTCAGAAACTTCTTTGAGATGTGTGCATTCAACTCACAGAGGTGAAACTTCCTTATGATAGAGCAGTTTTGAAACACTCTTTTTTTAGAATCTGCAAGTGGATATTTGGACCTGTTTGAGGACTTCGTTGGAAACGAGAATATCTTCACATAAAAGCTAGACAGAAGCATTCTCAGAAACTTCTTTTGATGTGTGCATTCAAATTACAGACGTGAATCTTCCTTTTGATAGAGTAGTTTTTCAACACTCTTTGTGTAGAATCTGAAAGTGGACATTTGGAGCACTATGAGGCTTATGGTAAGAAAGGAAATATCTTCATATAAAAACTAGACAGAAGTATTCTCAGAAAATACTTTGCGTTGTGTTCATTCAAATCAAAGTGTTGAACATTTCTTTTGATAGTGGAGCCTTGAAACACTCTTTTTGTAGAATTTGCAAGTGGACATTTGGAGACCTTTGAGGCCTACGGTGGAAAAGAAAAGATCTTCACAAAAGAACTAGACAGAAGAATTCTCAGAAACTTCTTTGCAATGATTGAATTTAACTCACAGAGTTGAGCATATCTTTTGATACAGAAGTTCTGAAACACTATTTTTGTAGAATCTGCAAGTGGATATTTGGAGCATTTTGAGGCCTATAGTTGAAACCGGAATAACTTCACATGAAACCCAGACAGAAGCATTCTCAGAAACTTGTATGTGATGTGTGCACTTAACTCAAAGAGGTGAACCTTCGTTTTCATAGAGCAGTTTTGAAACACTATTTGTGTAAATTCTGTAAGTGGACATTCGGAGGGCTTTGAGGGCTATGGTGCAACTGGAAATATCTTCACATCAAAACTATATAGAAGCATTTTCAGAAAGTTCTTTGTGATGTGTGCATTGAACTCAGAGTTGAACATTTCTTTGGATAGAGCAGTTTTATAACTCTTTTTGTGGAATCCAAAAGTGGATATTTGGACCAATTTGAGCCCTTTGTAGTAAATGGGAATATCTTTACATCAAAACTAGACAGTAGAATTCTCAGAAACTTCTTTGTGATGTGTGCATTCAACTCACAGATTTGAACCTTCCTTTTGATAGAGCAGTTTTGAAACACTCTTTTTGTAGAAACTTCAACTGGATATTTGGACAGATTTGTAACAATCGCTGGAAACGGGATTATATTCTCATAAAAGCTAGACAGAAGCATTCTCAGAAACTACTTTCTGATGTATGCATTCAACTCCCAGAGTTGAACCTTCCTTTTGATAGAGCAGTTTTGAAACACTCTTTTTGTAGGATCTCCAAGTGGACATTTGGAGCGCTTTGAGGGCTATGGTGGAAAAAGAAATATCTTCACATAAAAACTAGACAGAAGCATTCCCAGAAACTTCTTTGTGATGTTTGCATTCAACTCACAGAGTTGAACAGACCTTTTCATAGAGCAGTTTTGCAGCACTCTTTTTGTAGAACCTGCAAGTGGACATTTGAAGCTCTTTGTGGGCTATTGTAATAAAGGAAATATCTTCACATAAAAACTAGACAGAAGCATTCTCAGAAACTCCTTTGTGATGTGTGCATTCAACTCACAGAGTTGAATCTTCCTTTTCATAGAGCAGTTTTGAAACAGTCTTTGTGTAAAATCTGCAAGTGGACATTTGGAGCGCTTTGAGGGCTATGGTGGAAAAGGAATTATCTTCACATAAAAATTAGACAGAAGCATTCTCAGAAACTTCTTTTTGATGTGTGCATTCAACTCACAGTGTTGAACCCTCGTTTTGATGGAGTAGTTTGGAAACACTCTTTTTGTAGGATCTGCAAGGGGACACTTGGAGAGCTTTGAGACCTATGTTGGAAAAGGAAATATCTTCACATAAAAACTAGACAGAAGCATTCCCGGAAACTTCTTTGTGATGTGTGCATTCTACTCACAGAGTTGAACCCTCCTTTGATAGAGCTGTTTTGAAACAAACTTTTTGCAGAATCTGCAAATAGACATTTGGACCGCTGTGAGGCCGTCATTGGAATCGGGAATATCTTCACGTAAAAACTAGACAGAAACATTCTCAGAAACTTCTTTGTGATGTGTGCATTCTACTCACAGAAGTGAACTTTCCTTTCGACACAGCAGTTTTCAAACACTATTTTTGTAGAATCTGCAAGTGGACATTTGGAGGACTTAGTGGGCTATGGTGGAAAAGGAAATATCTTCACATAAAAACTAGACAGAAGCATTGTCAGAAACGTCTTTGTGATGTGTGCATTCAACTCACCAAGTTGAAACTTTCTTTTCATAGAGCAGTTTTGAAACTCTTTTTGTAGAATCTCAAGTGGATATTTAGACTGCTTTGTGGCCTTCACTGGAAATGGGAATATCTTCTCATAAAGACTTGACAGAAGCATTCTCAGAAACTTCTTTGTGATGTGTGCATTCAACTCACAGAGGTGAACCTTCCTTTTGATAGAGAAGTCTTGGAACACTCTTTGTGTAGAATCTGCAAGCAGACATTTGCTGTGCTTTGAGGCCTATAGTAGAAAAGGAAAAAATATCTTCCTGTGAAAACTAGACAAAAGCATTCTCAGAAAGTACTTTGTGTTGTATGCATTCAGACTCACAGAATTGAGCCTTTCCTTTGATAGAGCAGCTTTGAACCACTCTTTTTGTAGAATATGCAAGTGGACATTTGGAAAGCTTTGAGTCCTGTGGTGGAAAGGGAAATATCTTCACATAAAAACTAGAGAGAAGCATTCTCAGAAACTTCTTTGTGATGTGTACATTCAACTCACATATTTGAACCTTCTTTTTAATAGAGCAGTTTTGAAACACTCTTTTTGTAGTATCTGCAAGTGGACATTTGGAGCTCGTTGAGGGCTACTTTGGAAAAGGAAATATCTTCACATAAAAACTAGACAGAAGCACTCTCAGAAACTTCTTTGTGATGTGTGCATTCAACTCACAGACTTGAACCTTCCTTTTGATAGGTTAGTTTTGTAACAATCTTTGTGTAGAATATGCAAGCGTACATTTGGAGTGATTTGAAGCCTACGGTAGAAAAGAAAATATCTTCCTATAAAATCTAGACAGAAGGATTCTCAGAAACTACTTTGTGTTGTGTTCATTCAACTCACAGTGTTGAACACTTCCTTTGATAATCAAGCTTTGAAACACTCTTTTTGTAGAATCTGTAAGTGGACATTTGGAGAGCTTTGAGGCCTATGGTGGAAAAAGTAATATCCTCACATAAAAACTAGACAGTAGTATTCTCAGAAACTACTTTGTGATGTGTCCTTTCAACTAACAGAGTTGAACTTTGCTTTTGATAGAGCAATTTTGAAATACTCTTTTTGTGGGATCTGAAGTGTATATATCGACCGGTTTGAGGCCTTCATTGGAAACGGGAATATCTTCCCTTAAAAACTAGACAGAAGCATTCTCAGAAACTATTTTGTGATGTATGCCTTCAATTCACTGAGTTGAACCTTTCTTTTGATAGAGCAGTTTTGAAACAGTCTTTGTGTAGAATCTGCAAGTGGACATTTGGAGAGCTTTGAGGCCAAGGTGGAAAAGGAAATATCTTCACATAAAAACTAGACAGAAGCATTCTCAGAAACTGCTTTGTGATGTGTGCATTAAACTCACGGAGTTGAACCTTTCTTTTCATAGAGCAGTTTTCAAATACTCTCTTTGTAGTGTCTGCAAGTGGATATTTGGACGGCTTTGAGGGCTATGGTAGAAAATGAAATATCTTCACATAAAATCTAGACAGAAGAATTCTCAGAAACTTCTGATGTGTGCATTCAGCTTACAGAGTTGAATATTCCTATTCACAGAGCAGTTTTGAAACACCTTTGTTGTAGAATCTGCAAGTGGATATTTGAACTACTTGGTGGCCTTCGTTGGAAACTGGTGCATCTTCTCATAACTAGACGGAAGTATTCTCAGAAACTACTTTTTGAAGTTTGCATTCATGTCACAGAGTTGAACCTTCCTTTGGGTAAGCAGTTTTGAAATACTCTTTTTGTAGAATCTTCAAGTGAACATTTGGAGTGCTTTGAGGGTTATGGTGGAAAATGAAATATCTTCACATACAAACTAGACAGAAGAATTCTCAAATCTTCTTTGTGATGTTTGCATTCAACTCACAGAGTTGAATATACCTTTTCATAGAGCAGCTTTGAAACATGCCTTTTGTAGGATCTGCAAGTGTATATTTAGACCGCTTTGAGGCCGTCGTTGGAAACGGGAATATCTTCACATAAAAACTAGACAGAAGCATTCTCAGAAACTTCTTTGTGATTCTGCATTCAACTCAAAGTGTTGAACCCTGCTTTTGATAGAGCTGTTCTGAAACACTCTTTTTGTAGAATCTGCAAGTAGACATTTGGAGCGCTTTGAGGGCTATGGTGGAAAAGGATAGATCTTCACATAGAAAGTAGACAGAAGCATTCTCAGAAACTTCTCTGTGATGTTTACATTCAACTAACAGAGTTGTACATACCTTTCATAGCGCCTTTTTGAAACACTCTTTTTGTAGAATCTGCAACTGGATATTGGGACTGCTTTGTGGCCTTCGTTGGAAACGGGAATATCTTTTCATAAAAACTTGACAGAAGAATTCTCAGAAACTTCTTTATGATGTGTGCATTCAACTCACATAGTTGAACCTTTCCTTCGATAGAGGAGTTTTGAGACACTCATTATGTAGGACCTGAGAGTGGACCTTTCAAGCGTTTTGAGTGCTATGGTGGGAAAGAAAATATGTTCACATAAAAACTAGACAGAAGCATTATCAGAAACTTCTTTGGATGTTTGCATTCAGCCCCATTGTTGAACCTACGTTTTCATAGAGTAGTTTTGAAACACTCTTTTTGTAGAATCTGCAAGTGTACTTTTGGAGCGCTTTGAGGGCTATGGTGGAAAAGGAAATATCTTCACAGAAAAACTAGACAGAAGTATTCTCAAGACATCTTTGGATGTTTGCATTCAACTCAAAGATTTGAACATACCTTTTTATAGAGCAGTTTTGAAATACTCTTTTTGTAGAATCTGCAAGTGGACATTTGGAGCTCTTTGATGCCTATGGTGGAATATGAAATATCTTCACATAAAAACTACACCGAAGGATTCTCAGAAACTTCTTTGTGATGTTTGCATTCAAATCACATTGTTGAACATAACTTTTCATAGAGCAGCTTTGAAACAGTCTTTTTGTGTTATCTGCAAGTGGATATTTGGACCGATTTGTGGCCTTCGTTGGAAATGGAAATATCTTCTCATAAAAACTATACAGAAGCATTCTCGGAAACTTCTTTGTGATGTGTTCATTCAACTCAGAGTGTTGAACCTTGATTTTGATAGAGCAGTTTTGAAACTCTTTGTGTAGAATATGCAAGCGGACATTTGTAGTGCTTTGAGGCCTATGGAATAAATGGAAATATCTTCATATAAAAGGTAAACAGAAGCATTCTCAGAAACTGCTTTGCATTGTGTGCATTCAACTCACAGTTGAACCTCTCTTTTGATAGAGTAGCTTTGACACACTCTTTTTCTAGAATCTGCAAGTTGAAATTTGGAGAGCTTTAAGGCCTATTGTGGAAAAGGAAATATCTTCACATAAAAACTAGACAGAAACATTCTCAGACACTTCTTTGTGATTTGTGCATTCAACTCACAGAGTTGAACATTCCATTTGATAGAGCACTTTTGAAACACTCTTTGTGTTGTATCTGCAAGTGGACATTTGGAGCGCTTTGAGGCCTGTGTTGGAAAAGGAAATATCTTCACATAAAAACTAGACAGAAGCATTCACAGAAACTTCTATGTGATGGGTGCATTCAACTCACAGATTCGAACCTTCCTTTCAATAGAGCAGTTTTGAAACACTCTTTTTGTAGAATCTGCAAGTGGACATTTTGACAGATTTGAGGCCTTCGTTGGAAACGGGAATATCTTCCCATAAAAACTAGACAGAAGCATTCTCAGAAGCTTCTTTATGATATCTGCATTCAACTCACAGTGTTGAACCTTCCTTTTGGTAGAGCAGTTTTTAAACACTCTTTTTGTAGAATCTGCAAGTGGATTTTTGGACTGCTTTATGGCCTTCGTTGGAAACGGGTTTATATTCTCATAAAAACTAGACAGAAGCATTTTCAGAAACTACTTTGTGATGCATGCATTCAACTCACCGAGTTGAACCTTCCTTTTAATAGAGTAGATTTGAAACGATCTTTGTGTAGAATCTGCAAGTGGATATTTGGAGCGCTTTGACGCCTATTGTAGAAAAGGAAATATCTTCATATAAAAACTATACAGAAACATTCTCAGAAGCAACTTTGTGTTGTGTGCCTTCAACTCACAGAGTCGAACATTTCTTTTGAAAGTGCAGCCGTGAAACACTCTTTTTGTAGAATTTGCAAGTGAACATTTGGAGACCTTTGAGGCCAATGGTGGAAAAGGAAATATCTTCACTTAAGAACTAGACAGAAGCTTTCTCAGAAACTTCTTTACGATGATTGAATACAACTCACAGAGTTGAGCATCACTTTTCATAGAGCAATTTTGGAACAATCTTTTTGTAGAATCTGCTAGTGGATATTTGGAGCGTTTTGAGGCCTATGGTTGAAACAGGAATATCTTCACATGAAACCCAGACAGAATCATTCTCAGAAACTCCTTTGTGATGTGTGCATTCAACTCACAGAGTTGAACCTTCCTTTTCATTGAGCAGTTTTGAAACACTATTTGCATAAAATCTGCAAGTGCACATTTGGAGTGCTTTGATGGCTGTGGTGGAAAAGGAAATATCTTCACATAAAAACTATACAGAAGTATTCTCAGAAAGTTCTTTATTGAACTTTTCTTTGGATAGAGCAGTTTTATAACACTCTTTTTGTGGAATCTGCAAGTGGATATTTGGACGGTTTTGAGGTCTTCATTGGAAATGGGAATATCTTCACATAAAAACTAGACAGAAGAATTCTCAGAAACTTCTTTGGATGTGTGCATTCACCTCACAGCTTTGAACCTTCCTTTTGATAGTGCAGTTTTGTAATGCTCTTTTTGTAGAATCTGCAAGTGGATATTTGGACTGATTTGTGGCCTTCGCTGGAAACGGGATTATATTCTCATAAAAAATAGACAGAAGAATTATCAGAAGCTTCTTTGTGATGTGTGCATACAACTCCCAGAGTTGAAACATCCTTTTGATAGTGCAAGTTTGAAACACTCTTTTTGTAGAATCTGCAAGTGGATATTTGGAGTGCATTGTGGACTTCGTTGGAAACAGGTATATATTCTCATAACTAGACAGAAGAATTATCAGAAACTTCTTTGTAATGTTTGCATTCAACTCCCAGAGTTGAACCTTCCTTTTGATAGAGCAGTTTTGAAATACACTTTTCGTAGAATCTGCAAGTGTACATTTGGAGCGCTTTGAGGGTTATGGTGGAAAATGAATTATCTTCACATAAAAACTAGAAATAAGCATTCTCAGAAACTTCTTTGTGGTGTTTGCATTCAACTCACAGAGTTGAACATACCTTTTCATAGAGCAGCTTTGAAACACTCTTTTTGTAGAATCCACAAGTGTATATTTGGACCACTTTGAGGCCGTCGTTGGAAACGGGTATATCTTCACATAAAAAGTAGACAGAAACATTCTTAGAAACTTATTTGTGATGTGTGCATTCAACTCACAGATTTGAACTTTCCTTTCGATAAAGGAGTTTTGAAACACTCTTTTTGTAGGGTCTGCAAGTGGACGTTTGGAGGGCTTTGAGGGCTATGGTGGAAAAGAAAATATCTTCTAACAAAAACTAGACAGAGGCATTATCAGAAAGTTCTTTGTGATGTTTACATTCAACTCACATAGTTGAACATACCTTTTCATAGAGCAGATTTGAAACACTCTTTTCGTATAATCTGCAAGTGTACTTTTAGAGCGCTTTGAGGGCAATGGTGGAAAAGGAAATATCTTCACAGTAAAACTACAGAGAAGCATTCTCAAAACATCTTTGGATATTTGCATTCAACTCACAGAGTTGAACATACCTTTTTACAGTGCAGTTTTCAAACACTCTTTTTGTAGGATCTGCAAATGGACATTTGGAACTCTTAGAGGGCTACGTTGAAAAAGGAAATATCATCATTCTCAGTAAACTATTGCAAGAACAGAGAACTAAACACAGTATATTCTCACTCATAGGTGGGAATTGAACATTGAAAACACATGGACACAGGAAGGGAAACATCACAGTCTGGGGACTGTTGTGCGGTAGGGGGAGGTTGGAGGGATAGCATTGCTAGATATACCTAATGCCAGATGACGAGTTAGTGGGTGCTGCGCACCAGCATGGCATCTGTATACGTATATAGCTAAACTGCACATTGTGCACATGTACCCTAAAGCGTAAAGAATAATAATAATAATAAATACATAAAATAAAATAAAAAGGAAATATCTTCACATAAAAACTAGGCAGAAGCATTCTCAGAAATTTCTTCGGGATGTGTGCATTCAACTCACAGAGTTGAACCTTCGTTTTGATGGAGCAGTTTTGAAACACTCTTTTTTGTAGAATCTGCAAGTGGACATTAGGAGCGCTTTGAGGGCTATGGTGGAAATGGAAATATCTTCACATAAAAACTAGACAGAAGCATTCTCAGAACCTATATTGTGATGTGTGCATTCAGCTCACAGTGTTGAACACACCTTTTCATAGAGCAGTTTATAAACACTCTTTTTGTGGAATCTGCAAGTGGATATTTGGACTGCTTTGTGGCCTTTCTTGGAAATGGGTATATCTTCTTATAAGTAGACAGAAGCTTTTTCAGAAACTACTTTGTGATGTTTGCATTCAACACACAGAGTTGGACTTTCCTTTTGACAGAGCAGTTTTGAAACACTCTTTTTGTAGAATCTGCAAGTGGACATTTGGAGTGCTTTGAGGTCTATTCTAGAAAAGATAATATCTTCACATAAAAACTAGACTGAAACATTCTCAGAAACTTCTTTGTGTTGTGTGAATTCAACTCACCGAGTTGAAACTTTCTTTTGATAGAGTAGTTTTGAAACACTCTTTTTTTAGATTCTGCAGGTGGATATTTGGACCGGTTTGAGGCCTTCGTTGGAAATGGGAATACTTCTCATAAAAACTTGAC
Source organism: Homo sapiens (assembly GCF_000001405.40). NCBI lineage: Eukaryota > Metazoa > Chordata > Mammalia > Primates > Hominidae > Homo > Homo sapiens. The sequence goes on from NC_000005.10 coordinate 46,403,481, forward strand.
AGAAGCATTATCAGAAACTTCTTTGTTAAGCGTGCATTCTCTTCACCGAGGTGAATTTTTCTTTTGATAGAGCAGTTTTGAAACACTCTGCTTTTAGTATCTGCAAGCAGACATCATAGTGCTTTGAGACCTTCGTTGGAAACGGGAATATCTTCTCATAAAAAACTTGACAGAAGCATTTTCAGAAACTGCTTTACGATGTGTGCATTCGAGTTACAGAATTGAACCTTTCTTTTGATAGAGCAGTTTTGAAACACTCTATTTGCAGAATCAGCAAGTGAAAATTTGGAGAGCTTTGAGGCCTATGGTGGAAAAGAAAATATCTTCACATAAAAACTAGACAGAAGCATTTTCAGGAACTTCTTTGTGATGTCTGCATTCAACTCACAGAGTTGAACCTTCCTTCTGATAGAGCAGTTTTGAAACACCCTTTTTGTAGAATATGCAAGTGGACATTTGGAGCGCTTTGAGGGCTATGGTGGAAAAGTCAATATCTTCACATAGAAACTACACAGAACCATTCTCAGAAACTTCTTTGAGATGTGCGTGTGCATTCAACTCACAGAGTTCAACCTTCCTTTCGATAGAGCAGTTTTGATACACTTTTTTTGTAGAATGTGCATGTGAACATTTGGAGCTCTTTGAGGACTATTGTGGAAAAGGAAATATCTTCACATAAAAACTAGACAGAATAATTCTCAGAAACTTCTTTGTGATGTGTGCATTCAACTCACAGAGTTGAAACCTTCTTTTGATAGAGTAGTTTTGTAACAGTCTTTCTCTGGAAACTGCAAGTCGATATTTGGACAGGTATGAGGCCTTCATTGGAAACGGGAATAGCTTCACATAAAAATTAGACAGAAGCATTCTCAGAAACTTATTTGTGATGTGTGCACTCAGTTCACAGAGTTGAACCTTCCTTTTGGTAGAGGAGTTTTTACAGACTCTTTTTGTAGAATCTGCAAATACATATTTGGACTGCTTTGTGGCCTTCGTTGTAAACGATATTATATTCTCATAAAAACTAGACAGAAGCATTTTCAGAAACTTCTTTGTGATGTGTGCATTCAACTTAGAGAGTTGAACCTTCCTTCTGATAGAGCAGTTATGACTCTTTTTGTAGAATCTGCAAGTGGACATTTGGAGTGCTTTGTGGGCTATAGTGGAAAAGGAAATATCTTCACATAAAAACTAGACAGAAGCATTCTTAGAAACTTCTTTGTAATGTGTGCATTCAACTCACCGAGTTGAACATTTCTTTTGATAGAGCAGTTTTGAAACACTCTTTTTATAGAAACTGCCAGTGGATATTTGGACAGGTTTGAGGCCTTAATTGGAAATGGGAGTATCTTCACATAAAAACTAGGCAGAAGCATTCTCAGAAACTTCTTTGTGATGTGTGCATTCACCTCACAGAGTTGAACCTTCCTTTTGATAGAGCAGTGTTGAAACACTCTTTGAGTAGAATCTACAAGCGGACATTTGGAGTGCTTTGAGGCCTGTGGTAGAAAAGGAAATATCTTCATATGAAAACTAGACAAAGCATTCTCAGTAACTGGGTTGTGTTGTGTGCATTCAACTTACAGAGTTCAACCTTTTCTTTGCTAGAACAGCCTTGAAATACTCTTTTTGTAGAATCTGCAAGTGGATAATTGGAGCGCTTTGAGAGCTATCTTTGAAAAGCAAATGTCTACACATAAAAACTAGACAGAAGCATTCTCAGAAACTTCTTTGGGATGTGTGCATTCAACTCACAGATTTGAGCCTTTCTTTTGATAGGGCAGTTTTGAAGCACTCTTTTTGTAGAATTTTCAAGTGGACATTTGGAACACTTTGAGGTCTATTCTGGAAAAGGAAATATCTTCACATAAAAACTAGACAGAAGCATTCTCAGAAACTTCTTTTTGATGTGTCCATTCAACTCACAGAGTTGAACCTATGTTTTGATTGACCAGTTTTGAATAACTCTTTTTGTAGAATCTGCAAGTGTATATTTGGAGCGCTTTGAGGGCTATTCTGGAAAAGAAAATATCTTCACATAAAAACTAGACAGAAGCTTGCTGAGAAGCTTCTTTGTGATGTTTGCCTTCTGCTCAAAGTGTTGAACTTTGCTTTTCATAGAGCAGTTTCAAAAGACTGTTTTTCTAGAATCTGCAAGTGGATATTTAGACCGATTTGAGGCCTTCTTTGGAAACGGAAATATCTTCACATAAAAACTAGACAGAAGTATTCTCAGAAAATTCTCTGTGATGTTTGCATTCAACTCACACAGGTGAACATACCGTTTCTTACAGCAGTTTTGAAACACTCTATTTTTAGAATCTGCAAGTGGATATTTGGACTGCTTTGTGGCCTTCACTGGAAACGGGAATATATTCTCATAAAAACTTGACAGAAGTATACTCAGAAACTTCTTTGAGATGTGTGCATTCAGTTGAGAGAGAGGAAAGTTCCTTTTGATAGAGCAATTTTGAAACTCTCTATTTGCAGAATCTGCGAGTGGACATTTGGATCGCTTTGAGTGCTAAGGTGGAAAAGGAAATATCTTCACATAAAAACTAGACAGAAGCATTCTCAGAAACTTCGTAGTGATGTGTGCATTCAACTCACATATTTGAAACTTCCTTTTGACAGAGCAGTTTTGAAACACTCTTTGTGTGGAATCTGCATGTAGACTTTTGGAGCGCTTTGAGGGCTACGTTTGGAAAGGAAAGATCTTCAGAAAAAAATTAGAAAGAAGCATTCTCAGAAACTACTTTGGGATGTGTGCATTCAACCCACAGAGTTGAACCTTCCTTTTAATAGAGCAGTTTTGAAACACTCTTTTTGTAGAATCTGCAAGTGGACATTTCGATCGCTTTGAGCGCTATGGTGAAAATGGAAACATCTTCACATAGAAACTAGACAGAAGCATTCTCAGAAACTTCTTTGTGATGTGTGCATTCATCTCCCAGAGTTGAACATACCTTTTCGTAGAGCAGTTTTGAAACAGTCTTTTTGTAGAATCTGTAAGTGAATATTTGGACTGCTTTGCGGCCTTCGTTGGAAAAGGGTTATATCCTCTCACAACTAGACAGAAGCATTCTAGGAAATTACTTTGTGATATTTGCATTCACTTCAGAGACTTGAACCTTTCTTTTGATAGAGCAGTTTTGAAATACTCTTTTCGTAGATTCTGCATGTGTACTTTGGGAGCGCTTTGAGGGTTATGGTGGAAAATGAAATATCTTCACATAAAAACTAGATAGAAGCATCCTCAGAAACTTGTTTCTGATGTTTGCATGCAACTCACTGACTTGAACATACCTTTTCATAGAGCAGCTTTGAAACGCTCTTTTTGTAGACTGTGCAAGTGTATATTTGGACCAGTTTGTGGCCTTCATTGGAAACGGGAATATCTTCACATAAAAACTAGACAAAAGCATTCACAGAAACTTCTTGGTGATGTGTGCCTTCAACTCACAGATTTGAAACTTCCTTTAGATAGAGCAGTTTTGAAACAATTTTTTTTTTTGGATTTGCAAGTGGACATTTGGAGTGCTTTGACGGCTTTGGTGGAAATGGGAATATCTTCACATAAAAACTAGACAGAAGCATTCTCAGAAACTTCTTTGTGATGTGTGCATTCAGCTCAGAGAGTTGAAAATAACTTTTCATAGAGCAATTTGGAAACACTCATTTTGTAGAATCTGCAAGTGTATATTTGGACTGCTTTGTGGCCTTCTTAGGAAACGGGTATATCTTCTCATAACTAGAGAGAAGCATTCTCAGAAACTAATTTGTGATGTTTGCATTGAACTCACAGAGTTAAACCTTCCTTTTTGGTAGAACAGTTTTCAAATACTCTTTTTGTAGAATCTGCAAGTGTACATTTGGAGCTCTTTGCGGGTTATGGTGTAAAATGAAATATCTTCACATAGAACTTGAAAGAAGCATTCTCAGAAACTTCTTTGTGATGTTTGCTTTCAACTCACAGAGTTGAACATGACTTTTCATAGTGCAGCTTTGAAATACTCTTTTTGTAGAATCTGCAAGTTTATATTTGGAGCGATTTGAGGCCTTCATTGGAAATGGGAATATCTTCACATAAAAAGAAGACAGAAGCATTCTCAGAAACTTCTTTGTGATAGGTGCATTCAACTCACACAGTTGAACCTTCCTTTAGATAGAGCAGTTTTGAAACACTCTTTTTGTGGAATCTGCAAGTGGATATTTGGACTGGTTTGCGGCCTTTGTTGGAAACGGGAATATCTTCCCATGAAAATTAGACTGAACTATTCTCAGAAACTTCTTTGTGATATTTGCATTCATCTCACGGATTTGAAAATACCTCTTCATAGAGCAGCTTTGAAACACTGTTTTTGTACATTCCGCAAGTGTATATTTTGACCTCTTTGAGGCCTTCGTTGGAAAAGGGAATATCTTCACATAAATAACTAGACAGAAGGTTTCTCAGAAACTTCTTTGTGAAGATTGCATTCAACTCACAGAACTTAACCTTCCTTTCTGTAGAGCAGTTTTGAAACAGTCTTTTTGTAAAATCTGCAAGTGGACATTTGGACTGCATTGAGGGCTACGGGGAAAGGAAATATTTTCACATAAAAACTAGACAGAAACATTCTCAGAAACTATTTTGGGAGGTGTGCATCAACTCACAGAGTTGAACTTTCCTTTTGATACAGCATTTTTGAAACACTCTTTTTGTAGAATCTGCAAGTGGATATTTGGATTGCTTAGTGGCCTTCGTTGGAAACGGGAATATCATCTCATAAAAACTTGACAGAAGCATTCTCAGAAACTTCTTTGTGATGTGTGCATTTACCTCACAGAGTTCAACCTTCCTTTTCGTAGAGCAGTTTTGAAACACTCTTTTTGCAGGATCTGCAAGTGGACATTTGGAGCGCTTTTTGGGCGATGATGGAAAAGGAAATATCTCCTCATAAAAAATAGACAGAAGCGATCTCAGAAACCTCTTTGTGATGTTTGCATTGAACTCACAGAGTTGAACATATCTTTTCATAGTGCAGTTTTGAAACACTCTTTTAGTATAATCTACAAGTGGATATTTAGACTGGTTTGAGGCCATCGTTGGAAACGGGAATATCTTCACATGAAAGCTAGACAGAAGCATTCTCAGAAACCACTTTGTGAGGTTTGCATTCTACTCACAGAGTTGATCCTTCCTTTTGATAGACCAGTTTTGAAACACTCTTTGTGTAGTATTTGCAAGTGGACATTTGGGGCCCTTTGAAAGTTATGGTGGAAAAGGAAATATCTTCACAATGAAGCTAGACAGAAGCATTCTCAAAAACTACTTTGTGATGTGTGCATTGACCACATAGAGTTTAAGCTTTCTTATGATAGAGCAGTTTTGAAATACTCTTTTTTTAGAATCTGCAAATGGAAATTTTAGCCGGTTTGAGGCCTTCATTGGAAACGGGAATATCTTCACAAAAAACCTGGAGAGAAGCATTCTCAGAACTTCTTTGTGATGTGTGCATTCAAGTCACAGACGTGAAACTTCCTTTTGAGAGAGCAGTTTTGAAACGCACTTTGTGTTGAATCTGTAAGCGGACATTTGGACCACTTTGTGGCCTATAGCAGAAAAGGAAACATCTTCATACAAAAACTAGACAGAAGTATTATCAGAAAGTGTTTTGTGTTGTTTGCATTCAACTCACAGATTGAAGATTTCCTTTGATAGAGCGGCTTTGAAACACTCTTTTTGTAGAATCTGCAATGGACATTTGGAGTGCTTTGAGGCCAAGATGGAAAAGGAAATATCTTCACATAAAAACTAGACAGAAGCATTCCCAAAAACTGTTTTGTGATGTGTGAATTCAAGTCACAGAGTTGAAACTTTCTTTTGGTAGAGCCGTTTTGAAACACTCTTTTTGTAGAATCTGCAAGTGGATATTTAGACTGCTTTGTGGCCTTCGTTGGAAACGGGATTACACTCTAATAAAAACTAGACAGACGCATACTCAGAAACTACGTTGTGATGTTGGCAATCAACTCACAGAATTGAACACTCCTTTTGATAGATCAGTTTTGAAATACTATTTTTGTGGAATCTGGAAGTGGATATTAGGACCGGTTTGAGGCCGTCATTGGAAACGGGAATATCTTCCCATGAAAACTAGGCAGAAGCATTCTCAGAAACTTCTTTGTGATGCTGCATTCAACTCACAGAGTTGAACATTCTTTTTGGTAGAGCAGTTTTGAAACACTCTTTTTGTAGTATCAGCAAGTGGATATTTGGACTGCTTTGTGGCCTTCATTGGACACGGATATATCTTCTCATAACTATACAGAAACATTCTCAGAAACATCTTTGTGATGTTTGCATTCAACTCACAAAGATGAACCTTCCTTTTGATAGAGCAGTTTTGAAATACTCTTTTTGTACAATCTGCAGGTGTACTTTTGGAGCGCTTTGAGGGTTATGGTGGAAAATGAAATATCTTCACATCAAATCTAGACAGAAGCATTCTCAGAAACTTCTTTGTGATGTTTGCATTCAACCCAAAGAGTTGAACATAGCTTTTCATAGAGTAGCTTTGAAACTCTCTTTTTGTAGAATCTGCAGGTTTATATTTGGACTGCTTTGAGCCCTTCGTGGAAACGGGAATATCTTCACATAAAATCTAGAGAGAAGCATTCTCAGAAATTACTTTGTGACGTGTGCATTCAACTCACAGAGTTGAACCTTCCTTTCAATAGAGCAGTTTTGAAGCACTCTTTTTGTGGAATCTGCAAGTTAACATTTGGAGCACATTGAGGTCTATGGTGGAAAAGGAAATATCTTCACATAAAAACCACACAGAAGCATTCTCAGAAACATGTTTCAGATGTGTGCATTCAACTCACACAGTTTAAACTTCCTTTCAATAGAGCAGTTTTGAAACACTCTTTTTGTATTATCTGCTAGTGGATATTTGGAATGATTTGTGGCCTTCGTTGGAAACTGGAAAATCATCTCGTAAATAATTGACAGAAGCATTCTCAGAAACTTCTTTGTGATATGTGCATTTAACTCACATAGTTCAACCTTCCTTTTGATAGAGCAGTATTGAAACGCTCTATTTGGAGAATCTGCCAGCAGAAATTAGGAGCACTTTGAGGGCTATGGTGGAAAAGGAAATGTCTTCACAGAAAACGAGACAGAAGCATTCTCAGAAACTTCTTTGTGATGTGTGCATTCAACTCATAGAGTTGACCCTTTCTTATGATAGAGCAGTTGTGAAACTCTCTTTTTTTAGAATCTGCAAGTGGATATTTGGACCAGTATGAGGCCTTCGTTGCAAACGGGAATATCTTGTCATAGAAACTAGACAGAAGCATTCTCAGAAACTTCTTTGTGATGTGTGCATTCAACTCACAGAGGTGAAACTTCCTTTTGATAGAGGAGTTTCGAAACACTCTTGCTGTAGAATCTGTAAGCAGACGTTTGGAGCGCTTTGAGGCCTATGGTAGAAAAGGAAATATCTTCATATAAAAACTAGAAGGAAGCAGTCTCAGAAACTACTTTGTGTTGTGTGCATTCAACTCACAGATTTGAGCCTGCCTTTTTATAGAGCAGTTTTGAAACACTCTATTTGCAGAATATGCAAGTGGACATTTGGAGCGCTTTGAGGCCAACGTGGAAAAGAAATTATCTTCAAAAAAATACTAGACAGAAGCATTCTCAGAAACTACCTTGTGATGTGTGCATTCAACTCACAGAGTTGAAACTTTCTTTTTATGGTGTAGTTTGGAAACACTCTTTTTGTGGAATCTGTAAGTGTATATTTGGAGCAGTTTGAGGCCTTCATTGGAAACGGGAATATCTTCCCATAAAAAGTAGACAGAAGCATTCTCAGAAATTTCTTTGTGATGTTTGCATTCAACTCACAGAGATGAACCTTCCTTTTGGTAGAGCAGTTTACAAGCACTCTTTTTGTAGTATCTGCAATTGGATATTTGGAGTACTTTCTGGCCTTCATTGGAAACGGGATTATCATCCCATAAAAACAAGACAGAAGCATTCTCAGAAACAACTTTTTGATGTATGCATTCAATTCATAGAGTTGAACCCTCCTTTTGATAGAGCAGTTTTGAAACACTCTTTTTGCACAATCTGCAAGTGGATTTTTGGATCGCATTGAGAGCTTCAGTGGAAATGGAAATATCTTCACATAAAAACTCGACAGAAACTTTCTCAGAAACTTCTTTGTGATATGTACATTCAACTTACAGAGTTCAGCCTTCTTTTTATAGAGCAGTTTTGAAACACTCTATTTGCAGAATCTGCAAGTGTACATTTGGAGCGCTTTGAGGCCAAGATGGAAAAGGAAGTATCTTCAAAAAAAAAACTAGACAGAAGCATTCTCAGAAACTGCTTTGCGATGTGTGCATTCAACTCACAGCATTGAATGTTTCTTTTGATAGAGTAGTTTTGAAACATTCTTTTTGTGGGATCTGCAAGTAGATATTTGGACCAGTTTGAGGCCTTCTTTGGAAACGGGAATATGTTCACATAAAAAGTAGACAGAAGAATTCTCAGAAACTTCTTTGTGATGTGTGCATTCAACTCACAGAGTTGAACCTTCCTTTTGATAGAGCAGTTATGAAACACTCTGCTTTTAGTACCTGCAAGTGGACATTATAGCGCTTTGATTCCTTCATTGGAAACGGGAATATCTTCTCATAAAAACTAGACAGAAGCATTCTCAGAAACTTCTTTATGATGTGTGCATTCAAGTCACAGAGTTGAACCCTTCTTTTCTTAGAGCAGTTTTGAAACATTCTTTTTGTAGGATCTGCAAGTGGACATTTGGAGCGCTTTGAGAGCTATGGTGGAAAAGGAAATATCTTCACATAAAAACTAGACAGAAGCATGCTGAGAAACTACTTTGTGATGTTTGCCCTCTACTTAGAGTTGAACATACTTTTTCTTAGAGTAGTTTCAGAAGAATCTTTTTGTAGAATCTGCAAGTGGATATTTAGACCGGTTTGAGGCCTTTGTTGGAAACGGGAATATCTTCACATAAAAACTAGACAGAAGCATTCTCAGAAAATTCTTTGTGATGTTTGCATTCAACTCACAGAGTTGAACATACCGTTTTATACAGCAGTTTTGAAACACTCTTTTTTTAGAATCTGCAAGTGGATAATTGGACTGCTTTGTGGCCTTCTTTGGCAACGGGAATATCTTATAAAAATTTGACAGAAGTATACTCAGAAACTTCTTTGTGATGTGTGCATTCAACTCACAGAGATGAAACTTCCTTTTGATAGAGCAGTATTGAACCACTCTTTTTGTAGAATCTGCAAGTTGCCATTTGGAGCGATATGAGGGCTATCACGGAAAAGGAAATATCTTCACATAAAAACTAGACAGAAGCATTCTAAGAAACTTCCTTGGGATGTGTGTACTCAGCTCACAGAGTTGATCCTTCCTTTTGATCGGGCAGTTTTGAAACACTCTTTTTGTAGAATCTGCAAGAGGATATTTGGACTGCTTTATGGTCTTTGTTGGAAACAGGAATATCACCTCATAAAAACTTGACAGAAGCAATCTCAGAATCTTCTTTGTGATGTGTGCATTCAACTCACAGTGTTGAACCTTTCTTTTGATAGAGCAGTTTTGAAACACTCTTCTTGTAGAATCTGCAAGTGGATATTTGGACTGATTTGTGGCCTTCGTTGGAAATGGGAATATCATCTCATAAAAACTTGACAGAAGCATTCTCAGAAACTTCTTTGTGATGCTTGCATTTAACTCACAGAGTTCAACCTTTCTTTTGGTAGAGCAGTTTTGAAACACTGTATTTGCAGAATCTGCAAGTGGACATTTGTAGGGCTTTGTGGGCAGTTATGGAAAAGGACATATCTTCAAATGAAAACTAGACAGAAGAATTCTCAGAAACCTCTTTGTGATGTTTGCATTCAACTCACGGACTTGAACATACCTTTTCATAGAGCAGTTTTGAAACACTCTTCTTGAATAATCCGCAAGTGGATATTTAGACCGGTTTGAGGCCTTCATTGGAAACGGGAATATCTTCACATGAAAACTAGACAGAAGGATTCTCAGAAACCTTTTTGTGATGTCTGCATTCAACTCACAGAGTTAATCCTTCCTTTTGATAGAGCAGTTTTGAAACACTCTTTTTGTAGAATCTGCAAGTGGATATTTGGACTGCTTTGTGGCCTTTGTTGAAAACGGATATATATTTTCATAACTATACAGAAGCATTCTCAGAAACACCTTTGTGATGTTTGCATTCAACTGACAGAGTTGAACCTTTCTTTTTATAGGGCAGTTTTGAAATACTCTTTTTGTAGAATCTGCAAGTGTAATTTTGGAGCACTTTGAAGGATTATGGTGGAAAATGAAATATCTTCACATAAAAAGTAGACAGAAGCATTCTCAGAAACTTCTTTGTGAAGTATGCTGTCAACTCACAAAGTTGAATATAGCTTCTCCTAGAGTAGTTTTGAAAAAATCTTTTTGTAGAATCTGCAAGTGTATATTTGGACCGCTTTGAGCCCTTCGCTGGAAACGGGAATATCTTCTCATAAAAACTAGACAGAAGCATTCTCAGAAACTTCTTTGTGATGTGTGCATTCAACTCACAGAGTTGAAACTTCCTTTTGATAGAGCAGTTTTGAAACACTCTTTTTGTAGAATCTGCAAGTGGATATTTGGACTGATTTGTGGCCTTCATTGGAAATGGGAATTTCATCTCATAAAGACTTGACAGAAGCATTCTCAGAAACTTCTTTGTGATGCGCGCATTTAACTCACAGAGTTCAACCTTCCTTTTCATAGAGCAGTTTTGAAACACTCTATTTGCAGAATCTGCATGTGGACATTTGCAGCGCTTTGTGGGCGGTTATGGAAAAGGAAATATCTTCACATGAAAACTAGACAGAAGCATTCTCAGAAACCTCTTTGTGATGCTTGCATTCAACTCACAGAGTTGAATATACGTTTTCATAGAGCAGTTTTGAAACAGTCTTTTTGTGTAATCTGCAAGTGGATATTTAGAGCGGTTTGAGGCCTTCGTTGGAAACGGGAATATCTTCACATGAAAACTAGACAGAAGCATTCTCAGAAACTTCTTTGTGATGTGGGCATTCAACTCAGAGAGTTCAAAACTCTTTTTAGTAGGGAGGTTTTTAAAGACTCTTTTTATAGTATCTGCAAGTGGATATTTGGACTGCTTTGTGGCCTTCATTGGAAACGGATATATCTTCTCATAACTAAACAGAAGTATTCTTAGAAACATCTTTGTGATGTTTGCATTCAACTCACAGAGTTGAACCTTCCTTTTGATAGAGCTGTTTGAAACACTCTATTTGCAGAATCTGCAAGTGGAAATTTGGAGCGCTTTGACGGCTACGTAGAAAAGGAAATATCTTCATATGAAAACCAGACAGAAGCATTCTCAGAAACTATTTTGTGTCGTGTGCATTCAACACTCAGAGTTGAACCTTTCCTTTGATAGAGCAGGTATGAAACACTTTTTATGTAGAATCTGCAAGTGGACATTTGGAGGGGTTTGAGGCCTACGGTGGAAAAGAAAATATCTTCACCTAAAAACTAGACAGAAGCATTCTGAGAAACTTCTTTGTGATGTGTGTTTTCAGCTCCCAGAGTTGAACCTTTCTTTTGATAGAGCAGTTTTTAAACGCCCTATTTGCAGAATATGCAAGTGGACATTTGGAGCACTTGAGGGCAATGGTGGGAAAGGAAATATCTTCACATAAAAACTAGACAGAAGCATTTCCAGAAACTCCTTGGTGATGTGTGTATTCAACTCACAGAGTTCAACCTTTCTTTCAATAGAGTAGTTTTGAAACAATCTTTATGTAGAATCTGCAAGTTGATATTTGGAGCACTTTGATGGCTATGGTGGAAAATGAAATATCTTTACATAAAAACTAGACAGAAGCATTATCAGATACTTCTTTGTGATGCATGCATTCAACTCACAGAGTTGAATCTTTCTTTTGATAAAGCGGTTTTGAAACAGTCTTTGTGTAGAATCTGTAAGCAGACATTTGGAGTGCTTGGAGGCCTATGGTAGAAAAGGAAATAACTTCGTAGAAAAACTAGACAGAAGCATTCTCAGAAAGTACTTCATGTTGTGTGCATTCAACTCACAGAGTTGAACCTTTCTTTTGATAGATCAGCTTTGAAACACTTTTTGTGGAATCTGCAAATGGACATTTGGAGAGCTTTGTGGCCTGTGGTAGAAAAGGAAATGTCTTCACATAAAAGCTAGACAGAAACATTCTCAGAAACTACTTCTTGTTGTGTACATTCAATTCACAGAGTTCAACCTTTCTTTTGATAAGCAGCTTTGAACCACTCTTTCTGTAGAATCTGCAAGAAGACATTTGGAGAGCTTTGAGGCCTGTGGTAGAAAAGGAAATATATTCACATAAAAACTAGACAGAAGCATTCTCAGAAACTTCTTTGTGATGTGTGCATTCAACTCAGAGACTTGAACCTTCCTTTTGATAGAGCAGTTTCGAAACACTCTTTTTGTAGAATCTGCAAGTGGACATTTGGAGCGCTTGGAGGGCTATGCTGGAAAAGGAAATATCTTCACATAAAAACTATAGAGAAGCATTCTCGGAAAGTTCCTTGTGATGTATGCATATATCTCACAGAGTTGAACCTATATTTTGATGGAGAAATTTTGAAACACTTTTTGTGGAATCTGCAAGTTTATATTTGGACCGGTTTGAGGCACTGGTTGGAAACGGGATTATATTCTCATAAAAGCTTGACAGAAACATTCTCGAAACTACTTTGAGATGTATCCATTCCACTAACAGAGGTGAACGTTTCTTTGATAGAGCAGTTTTGAAACACTCTTTTTGTAGAATCTTCAATTTTACCTTTGGAGCGCTTTGAGGGCTATGGTAGAAATGGAAATATCTTCACATAAAAACTAGACAGAAGTATTCTCAGAAACTTCCTTGTGGTGTGTGCATTCAGCTCACAGAGTTGAACATACTTTTTCATAGAGCAGTTTTGAAACAGTCTTTTTGTAGAATCTGCAAGTGGATATTTAGACAGCTTTGAGGCTTTCGTTGGAAATGGGAATATCTTCACATAAAAACTAGACAGAAGGATTCTCAGAATCTTCTTTGTGATGTGTGCATTCAACTCCCAGAAATGAACCTTCCTTTTGATAGAGCAGTTTTGAAACACTCTTGTGTTTCAAAACTGCTCTATCAAAAGAAAGTTAAACTCTGTGAGGTGAATGCAAACGTCACAAATTAGTTTCTGAGAACACGTTTGTCTAGTTTAAAAAGGAAAATACTTACTTTTCTACCGTAGGCATAAACGCCTTCCAAATATCCACTTGCAGATTCTAACAAAAGTTGTCTCAAAACTACTCCAACAAAAGAAAGGTTCAACACCGTGAGTTGAATGCACACGTCAGAAAGAAGTTTCTCATAATGTTACTGTCTAGTTTTTATATGAAGATATTTCCTTTTCCACCATAGCCCTCAAAGCACTCCAAGTGTCCACTTGAAGATTATACAAAGGATTGTTTCAAGACTCCTGTATGAAAAGGTATGTTCAACTCTGTGATTTGAATGCAAACATCACAAAGATGTTTCTGAGAATGCTTCTGTCTAGTTTTAATGTGAAGATATTTCCTTTTCCAACATAGCCCTTAACGCGCTCCAAATGTCTACCTGCAGATGCCACAAAAAGGGTGTTCAAAACAGCTCTATAAAACGACAGGTTCTACACTGTGAGGTGAATGCATACATCACAAAGTAGTTTCTGAGAATGCTTCTGTCTAGTTTTTATATGAAGATATTTCATTTTCTGCCATAGGCCTCAAAGCGCTTCAAATATCCACTTGTAGATTCTACAGAAAGAGTGTTTCAAAACTGCTGTATCAAAAGGAAGGTGCAACTCTCTGAGTTGAAAGCACACATCACAAAGAAGTTTCTGAGAATCCTTCTGTCTAGTTTTTATGTGAAGATATTCACGTTTCCTTCGAAGGACTCAATGCGATCCAAGTATCCACTTGCAGATTCTATGAAAAGAGTGTTTCAAAACTGCTCTATTAAATGATGTTAAACCCTGTGAGTTGAATGCAAACCTCACAAAGAAGTTTCTGAGAATGCTTCTGTCTAGTTTTTATGTTTAGATATTCACGTTTCCAACGAATAACTCAAAGTGCTCCAAATAATATCCACTTGCAGATTCTACAAATAGAGTGTTGCAAATCTGTTCTATCAAAACGAAAATTCAATTCTGTGAGCTGAATGCAAACATGAAAAAGAAGTTTCTGAGAATGCTTCTGTCTTGTTTTTATGTGAATATTCGTTTTCCACCACAAGCCTCAAATCTTTCCAAATATCGACTTGCAGATTCTGCCAAAAGAGTGTTTCAGACCTGCTGTAGGAAAAGGTATGTTCAACTCTGTGAGTTGCATGCAAACATTGAAAAGAAGTTTCTGAGAATGCTTCTGTCTAGTTTTTGTTTAAAGATATTTCCTTTTCCAACATAGCCCTCAAAGTGCTCCAAATGTCCACTTGCAGATTCTACAAAAAGAGTGTTTCAAAACAGCTCTATCAAAAGAAAGGTTGAACCCTGTGAGTTGAATGCACACATCACAAAGAAGTTTCTGAGAATGCTTCTGTCTAGTTTATATACGAAGATATTCCCTTTTCCACCATAGGCCTCAATGCGCTCCAAATATCCACTTGCAGATTCTACAAAGACTGTTTCAAAACTGCTCTAGCAAAACGAAGGTTCACCTCTGTGAATTGAATGCACACATCACAAAGAAGTTTCTGAGAATGCTTCTATCTAGTTTTTATGTATAGTTATTCCCGCTTCCAACGAATGCCTCAAAGCAATCCAAATATGAACTTGCTGATTCTACAAAAAGTGTGTTTCAAAACGGCAGTATTAAAAGGTATGTTCAACTCTGTGAGTTGAATGCAAACATCACATAAAAGTTTCTGATAATGCTTCTGTCTAGTTTTATATGAACATATTTCTTTTCCACCACAGACCTCAAAGTGCTTCAAATGTCCACTTACGGATTCTACAAAAAGAGAGTATCAAAACTGCTCTATCAAAACGCAGGTTCAACTCTATGAGTTGAATGCACACATAACAAATGAGTTAATGAGAATGCTTCTGTCTAGTTTTTATGTGAAGATATTTCCTTTTCCACCATAGCCCTCAAAGCGTTCCAAATATCCACTTGCAGATTCTACAAAAAGAGTGTTTCAAAACTGCTCTAGGAAGAGGTATGTTAAACTCTGTGTGTTGAATGCAATCATCACAAAGAAATTTCTGAGAATGCTTCTGTCTCGTTTTTATGTGCAGATATTTCCTTTTCCAACATAGCCTTCAAAGCTCTCCAAATGTCCACTCGCAGATTGTACAAAAAGACTTTTTCAAAACAGCTCTATAAAAAGAAGGTTCAACACTGTGAGTTGAATGCACACATCACAAAGTAGTTTCTGAGAATGCTTCTGTCTAGTTTTTATATGAAGATATTTCCTTTTCTACCATAGGCCTCAATGCGCTCCAAGTATCCACTTGCAGGTGTTACAAAAAGAGTGTTGCAAAACTGCTCTATTAAAAGGAGGTGCAACTCTGTGAGTTGAAAGCACACATCACAAAGAAGTTTCTGAGAATGCTTCTGTCTCGTTTTTATGTGAAGATATTCACGTTTCCAACGAAGGCCTCAAAGCGGTCCAAGTATCTACTTGCAGATCCTATAAAAAGATTGTTTCAAAACTGCTCTATGAAAAGGTATGTTCAACTCTGTGAGATGAATGCCAACATCACAAAGAAGTTTGTGAGAATGCTTCTGTCTAGTTTTTATGTGAAGATATTCACGTTTCCAATGAAGGCCTCAAAGCGGCCCAAACATCCAATTGCAGATTGCACAAAAAGAGTGTCACAAAACTGCTCTATGAAAAGGTGTTCTAAACTCTGTGGGTTGAATGCAAACATCACAAAGAAGTTTCTGAGAGTATTTCTGTCTGGTTTTTATGTGAAGATATTCCTGTTTCCAACGAAGACCTCACATTGCTCCAAATATCCACTTGCAGATTCTACAAAAAGAGTGTTTCAAAACTCCTCTATCAAAATGACGGTTCAACACAGTGAGTTGAATGCACACATCACAAAAAAGTTTCTGAGAATGCTTCAGTCTAATTTTTAAGTGAAGTTATTCCCGTTTCCAATGAAGGCTTCAAAGCTTTCCAAATATCAACTTGCAGATCCTACAAAAAGAATGTTTCAAAACTGCTCTATTAAAAGGAATGTTCAAATCTGTGATTTGATTGCACACATCACAAAGAAGTTTCTAAGAATGATTCCATCTTGTTTTTTTAATTAAAACAATCAGAATCTATAGCAAATAGTAATTATTATTATTATTATAATACTTTACATTTTAGGGTACATGTGCACAACGTGCAGGTTAGTAACATGTATACATGTGCCATGCTGGTGCGCAGCACCCAGTAACTCGTCATCTAGCATTAGGTATATCTCCCAATGCTATCTCTCCCCACTGCCTGCAACCCACAACAGTCCCCAGAGTGTGATGTTCCCCTTCCTGTGTGCATGTGTGCTCATTGTTCAATTCCCACCTATGAGTGAGAATATGCGGTGCTTGGTTTGTTGTTCTTGCGATAGTTCACTGAGAATGATGATTTCCAATTTCATCCATGTCCCCACAAAGGACATGAACTCATCATTTTTATGGCAGCATAGTATTCCATGGTGTATATGTGCCACATTTTCTTAATCCAGTCTATCATTGTTGGACATTTGGGTTGGTTCCAAGTCTTTGCTATTGTGAATAATGCTGCATTAAACATACATGTGCATATGTCTTTATAGCAGCGTGATTTATAGTCCCTTGGTTATATACCCAGTAATGGGATGGCTGGGTCAAATGGTATTTCCAGTTCTAGATCCCTGAGGAATCGCCACACTGATTTCCACAATGGTTGAACTAGTTTACAGTCCCACCAACAGTGTAAAAGTGTTCCTATTTCTCCACATCCTCTCCAGCACCTGTTGTTTCCTGACTTTTCAATGATTGCCATTCTAACTGGTATGAGATGGTATCTTATTTTGGTTTTGATTTGCATTTCTCTGATGGCCAGTGATGATGAGCATTTTTTCATGTGTTTTTTGGCTGCATAAATGTCTTCCTTTGAGAAGTGTCTGTTCATGTCCTTTGCCTACTTTTCGATGGGGTTGTTTGTTTTTTTCTTGTAAATTTGTTTGGGTTCATTGTAGAATCTCGATATTAAACCTTTGCCAGATGAGTAGGTTGTGAAAATTTTCTCCCATTTTGTAGGTTGCCTGTTCACTCCGATGGTAGTTTCTTTTGCTGTGCAGAAGCTCTTTAGTTTAATTAGATCCATTTGTCAATTTTGGCTTTTGTTGTCATTGCTTTTTGTGTTTTAGACATGAAGTCTTTGCCCATGCCTCTGTCCTGAATGGTAATGCCAAAGAGCTATCTATGACAAACCCACAGCCAATATCATACTGAATGGGCAAAAGCTGGAAGCATTCCCTTTGAAAACTGGCACAAGACAGTGATGTCCTCTCTCGCCACTCCTATTCAACATAATGTTGGAAGTTCTGGCCAGGGCAATCAGGCAGGAGAAGGAAATAAAGGGTATTCAATTAGGAAAAGAGGAAGTCAAATTGTCCCTGTTTGCAGAAGACATGATTGTATATCTAGAAAACTCCATATTCTCAGCCCAAAATCTCCTTAAGCTGATAAGCAACTTCAGCAAAGTCTCAGGATACAAAATCAATGTACAAACATCACAAGCATTCTTATACACCAACGACGGATAAACAGAGAGCCAAATCATGAGTGAACTCCCATTCACAATTGCTTCAAAGAGAATAAAATACCTAGGAATCCAACTTACAAGTGATGTGAAGGACCTCTTCAAGGAGAACTACAAACCACTGCTCAAGGAAATAAAAGAGGATAAACAAATGGAAGAATATTCCATGCTCATGGGTAGGAAGAACTAATATCGTGAAAATTGCCATATTGCCCAAGGTAATTTACTGACTGAATGTCATCCCCATCAAGCTACCAATGACTTTCTTTACAGAATTGGAAAAAAAAACTACTTTAAAGTTCATATGGAACCAAAAAAGAGCCTGCATCGTCAAGTCAAACTTAAGCCTAAAGAACAAAGCTGGAGACATCACACTACCTGACTTCAAACTATACTCCAAGGCTACAGTTACCAACACAGCATGGTACTGGTACCAAAACAGACATATAGATCAATGGAACAGAACATAGCCCTCAGAAATAATGCCAAATATCTACAACTATCTGATCTTTGACAAACTTGAGAAAAACAAGCAATGGGGAAAGGATTCCCTATTTAATAAGTGGTGCTTGGAAAACTGGCTAACTATATGTAGGAAGCTGTAACTGGATCCCTTCCTTACACCTTATACAAAAATCAATTCAAGATGTATTAAAGACTTAAACGTCAGACCTAAAACCATAAAAAGCCTAGAAGCTTCTGTCTAGTGTTTAAGCAAAGATACTTCCTTTTCCAACGGAGGCCTCAAAGAGCTCAAAATGTCCCCTTGCAAATTCTACAAAAAGAGTGTAACAAAACTTCTTTATCCAAAAAAAGGTTCAATTCCGTGGGTTGAATGGACAGATCACAAAGAAGTTTATCAGAATGCTTCTGTCTAGTTTTTATGTGAAGATGTACCCGTTTCTAACAAAGGCCCCAAAGCGGTCCAAATATGCACTTTCAGATTCTGCAAAAAGAATGTTTCATAACTGTTCTATGAATACGTATGTTAAACCGTGTGAGTTGAATGCAAACATCACAAATAAGTTTCTGAGAATGTTTCTGTCTTCTTTTTACGTGAATATAATTACTTTTCCATCACAGACCTGAAATGGGTTCAAATATCCACTTGCAGATCCTACGAAAAGAGTGCTCCTAAACTGCTCTATCAAAAGGAAATTTCAACTCTGTGAGTTGAATGCACACATGAAAAGGAGTTTTTGAGAATGCTTCTGTCTATTTTTTATATGAAGATATTCCCGTTTCCAAAGAAGTCCTCAAAGGGGTACAAATATCCACTTGCAGATTCTACAAAAAGAGTGTTTCAAAACTGCTCTATCAAAAAGAAAGTTTAACTCTGTCAGTTGAATGCACATATCACAGTGAAGTTTCTGGGAATGCTTCTGTCTGCTTTTTATGTGAAGATATTTCATATTCCACCATAGCCCTCAAAGAGCTCCAAATGTCCACTTGCAGATTCTACAAAAAGAGTGCTTCAAATCTGCTCTATCAAAGGAAAGGTTCAACTCTGTGAGTTGAATGCACACAACAAAAATTATTTTCTGAAAATTCTTCTGTCTGGTTTTTATGTGAAGATATTTCCTTTTCTACCATATGCCTCAAAGTGCCCCAAATTTCCGCTTGCAGATTCTACACAAAGAGTGTTTCAAAACGGCTCTATCAAAAGAAACGTTCAACTCCGTGAGTTGAATGTAAACATCACAAAGAAGTTTCTGACAATGCTTCTGTCTAGTTTTTATGTGAAGATATTTCCTTTTCCCCCACAACCCTCAAAGTGCTCCAAGTTTCCACTTGCAGATTCTACAAAAAGAGTGTGTCAAAACTGCTCTATCAAAAGAAAAATTAAACTCTCTGAGTTTAATGCACACATTACAAAGTAGTTTCTGAGGATCCTTCTGTCTAGTTTTTATATGAAGATACTTCCTTTTCTACCATAGGCCTCAAAGTGCTCCGAATAGCCACTTGCAGATTGTACAAATAGAGTGTTGCAAAACTGCTCTATCAAAGGGAATGTTCAAACCTGTGAGTTGAATGCAATCATCACAAAGAAGTTTCTGAGAAGGCTTCTGCCTAGTTTTTATGTGATGATATTTCCGTTTCCAACGAAGGCTTCAAAGCACTCCAATTATCCACCTGCAGATTCTACAAAAAGAGTGTTTCAAAGCTACTCTTTCAAACGGAAGGTTCAACTCTGTGAGTTGAATGTACCCATCACAAAGAAGTTTCTGAGAATGCTTCTTTCTAGTTTTTATGTGAATATAATTCCTTTTCCACCGCAGGCCTCACAGCGGTCCAAATATCCACTTGCAGATTCTACAAAAAGAGTGTTTCAAAACTGCTCTATGAAAAGCAATGTTCCACTTTGTGACTTGAATGCAAACATCTAAAAGAAGTTTCTGAGAATGCTTCTGTCTAGTTTTTCTGTGAAGATATTTCCTTTTCCAACACAGTCCAGTAATGGGATGGCTGGGTCAAATGGTATTTCTAGTTCTAGATCCCTGAGGAATCGCCACACTGACTTCCACAATGGTTGAACTAGTTTACAGTCCCACCAACAGTGTAAAAGTGTTCCTATTTCTCCACATCCTCTCCAGCACCTATTGTTTCCTGACTTTTTAATGATTGCCATTCTAACTGGTGTGAGATGATATCTCATAGTGGTTTTGATTTGCATTTCTCTGTTGGCCAGTGATGGTGAGCATTTTTTCATGTGTTTTTTGGCTGCATAAATGTCTTCTTTTGAGAAGTGTCTGTTCGTGTCCTTCGCCCACTTTTTGATGGGGTTGTTTGTTTTTTTCTTGTAAATTTGTTTGAGTTCATTGTAGATTCTGGATATTAGCTCTTTGTCAGATGAGTAGGTTGTGAAAATTTTCTCCCATGTTGTAGGTATACCATTTGACCCAGCCATCCCATTACTGGGATATACCCAAAGGACTATAAATCATGCTGCTATAAAGACACATGAACATGTATGTTTATTGCGGCATTATTCACAATAGCAAAGACTTGGAACCAACCCAAATGTCCAACAATGATAGACTGGATTAAGAAAATGTGGCACATATACACCATGGAATACTATGCAGCCATAAAAAATGATGAGTTCATGTCCTTTGTAGGGACATGGATGAAACTGGAAACCATCATTCTCAGTAAACTATCGGAAGAACAAAAAACCAAACACCACATATTCTCACTCATAGGTGGGAATTGAACAATGAGATCACCTGGACACAGGAAGGGGAATATCACACTCTGGGGACTGTGGTGGGGTGGGGGGAGGGGGGAGGGATAGCATTGGGAGATATACCTAATGCTAGATGATGAGTTAGTGGGTGCAGTGCACCAGCATGGCACATGTATACATATGTAACTAACCTGCACAATGTGCACATGTACCCTAAAACTTAAAGTATAATAAAAAAAAAAGCCCTCCAAGCGCTCAAAATGTCCACTTGCAGATTCTACAAAAAGAGTGTTGCAAAACAGCTCTATCAAAAGATAGTTTCAACCCTGTGAGTTGAACACACACATGACAAAGAACTTTCTCAGAATGATTCTGTGTAGTTTTTATTTGAGGATATTTGCTGTTCCACCATAGGCCTCAAAGCGCTCCAAATATCCACTTTCAGACTCTACAAAAAGAGGGTTTCCAAGTTTCTCAATCATAAGAATGGTTCAAATCTGTGAGATGAATATACACATCACAAAGTAGTTTCTCAGAATGCTTCTGTCCAGTTTTTATGTGAAGATATTTCCTTTTCCACCATAGGCCTTAAAGCTCTCCAAATATCCACTTGCAGATACTACAAAAAGAGTGTTTCAATACGGCTCAATCAAAAGAAATGTTCACCTCTGTGATTTTAATCTACACATCCAAAAGAAGTTTCTCAGAACGCTTCTGTCTAGTTTTTATGAGAAGATATTTTCTTTTCCTCCATAGACCTCAAAGTGCTCCAAATATCCCCTTGCAGAGTCTTCAAAAAGAGTGTTTCCAAACAGCTTAATCGAAAGAGAGGTTCAACTCTGTGAGAGGAATGCACACATCACAAAGAAGTTTCTCAGAATGCTTCTGTGTAGTTTTTATATGAAGATATTTCCTTTCTCACTGTAGGCCGTAAAGGGCTCCAAATATCCACTTGCAGATTCTACAAAAAGAGAGTTTCAAAACTGATCAATCAAAATACAGGTTCAACTCTCTGAGCTGAATGCACACAAACAAAGAAGTTTCTCAGAATTCTTCTGTCTACTTTTTATGTAAGGATATTTCCTTTTCCACCAAAGGCCTCAAATCACTCCAAATATCCACTTACAGATTCAACAAAAAGAGTGTTTTCAAACTGCTCAATCAAAAGAAAGGTTGGACTCTGTGACTTCAACCCACACATCACAAAGAAGTTTCTCAGAATGCTTCTGTCCAGTTTTTATGTGAAGATATAGTTTTTCCACATTGACCTCAAAATGCTTGAAATATCCACTTGCAGATTCTACAAAAAGTGTTTCAAAACTGCTCAATGAAAACAAAATTTCAACTCTGTGAGATGAATGCACACATCAGAATGAAGTTTGTCACAATTCTTCTATGTTTTATGTGAAGTTATTTCTTTTTCCACAACAGGCCTCAAAGTGCTCTAAATTGCAGAATCTACAAATTGTGTTTCAAAAATACTCAATCAAAAGAAAGGTTCAACCCTGTGAGTTGAATGCACACATCACAACGAAGTTTCTCAGAACGCTTCTGTGTAGTTTTTATGTGAGGATATTTTCTTTCCCACCATAGGCCTCCAAGGGCTCCAAATAGCCACCTGCAGATTCTTCAAAAAGAGTGTTTCAAAACTGCTCAATGAAACCAAAGTTTCAGCTCTGTGAGATGAATGGACTCATCAGAAAGAAGTTTCTCAAAATGCTTCTGTCTATTTACTATGGGAAGATATTTCCTTTTCAAACATAGGCCTAAATGTGCTCCAAATATTCACTTGCAGAGTCTACAAAAATTGTGTTTCAAAACTGCTTAATGAAAACAAAGGGTCATATCTGTGAAATGAATGCACACATCAGACAGAAGTTTGTCAATATGCTTCTGTCTAGTTTTTATGTGAAGATATTTCCTTTTCCACCACAGGACTCAAAGATTCTACAAAAGAGTGGTTCAAAACTGCTCAATCAAAAGAAAGGTTCAACCCTGTGAGTTGAATCCACCCATCCCAAAGAAGTTTCTCTGAATGTTTCTTTGTAGTTTTTATGTGAGGCTATTTCCTTTTCTACCATATGCCTCAAAGTGCTCTAAATATCCACTTGCAGATGGGACAAAAGAGTGTTTGAAAACTGCTCAATCAAAAGAAAGGTACTACTCTGTGAGACGAATGCACACATAACAAAGAAGTTTCTCAGAATGCTTCTGTCTAGTTTTTATGTGAAGATATTTCCTTTTCCCACAATAGGTCTCAAAACCCTCCAAATATCCACTTGTAGATTCTCCAAAAAGAGGGTTTCAAAACGGCTCAACGTAAAGAAATTTTCAACTCAGTGAGTTGAATGCACCCACCACAAAGAAGTTTCTCAAAATGCTTCTGTCTAGTTTTTATGTAAAGATATTTCCTTTCCACTAAAGGCTGCAAAGGGCTCCAAATATCCACTTGCAGTTTCTACAAAAAGAGAGTTTGAAAACTGCTCAATCAAAAGAAAGGTTCAACCCTGTGAGTTGAACGCACACATCACAAAGAGGTTTCTCAGAGTGCTCCACTGCAGTTTTTATGTGAAGATATTTCCTTTTCCACCATAGACCTTCAAGCGCTCCAAATGTACACTTGCAGAATCTACAAAAAGTGTGTTTAAAACTCCTCAATGTAAACAAAGGTTCAGCTCTGTGAGATGAATGGACACATCAGAAAGAAGTTTCTCAAAATGCTTCCATCTAGTTATTATGTGAAGTTATTTCCTTTTCCACCATAGGACTAAAAGCACTCCAAATATTTACTTGTAGTATCTACAAAAAGTGTGTTTCAAAACTGCTCAATCAAAAGAAAGTTTCAACTCTGTGAGTTGAATGCACACATCACAAAGAAGTTTCTCAGAATGCTTCTGTGAAGTTTTTATGTGAAGATATATTCTTTTCCACCATAGGCTGCAAAGCTCTCAAATATCCACTTGTAGATTCTCCAAAATGAATGTTTCAGTACTGCTGAATCAAAAGAAATGTTCAACTCTGTGAGTTGAACAAACACATCGCAAAGAAGTTTTTCAGAATGCTTCAGTGAAGTTTTCATAGGAAGATATTTCCTTTTGCACCATAGGCCTCAAAGCGCTCCAAATATACATTTGCAGATTCTACAAAAACAGTGTTTCCAAACTACTCACTCAAAAGAAAGGTACAACTCTGTGAGTTGAAAGCACACATCACAAAGAAGTTTGTCAGAATTCTTCCGTTTATTTTTTATGTGAAGATATTTCCTTTTCAACAAAAGGCCTCAAAGTGCTCCAAATATCCACTTGCAAAATCTGCAAAAATAGTGTTTCAAAACTGATCAATCTAAAGAAAAGTTGAACTCTGTGAGATGAAGGCACACATCACAAAGAAGCTTCTCAGAATGCTTCTGTGTAGTTTTTATGTGAAGATATTTCCTTTCCCACCATAGGACGAAAAGGGCCCCAAATATCCAATTGCAGTTTCTCCAAAAGGAGAGTTTCAAAACTGCTCAAACAAAATATAGGTTCAAATCTGTGAGTTGAACGCGCACATCACAGAGAAGTTTCTCAGAATGCTTCTGTGTAGTTTTTATGTGAAGATATTTCCTTTTCCATTATTGGCCTCAGAGCACTCCAAATATCCACTTTCAGATTCTACAAAAAGAGTGTTTCAAAACTGCTCAATGAAAACAAAAGTTCAACTCTGTGAGATGAATGAACACATCAGAAAGAAGTTTATGAGAATTGTTCTCTCTAGTTTTTATGTGAAGATATTTCCTTTTCCACAATAGGCCTCGAAGAGCTCCAAATATCCACTTGCAGATTCTACAAAAAAGGGTTTCAAGACTGCTCAATCAAAAGAAAGTTTCAACTCTGTAAGCTGAATGCTCACATCACAAAGAAGTTTCTCAGAATGCTTCTGTCTAGTTTGTAGGTGAAGATATTTCATTTTCCACATTAGCCCTCAAAGCGCTCCAGATATCCACTTGTAGTTTCTACAAAATACACGAAATATCCACTTGCAGTTCCTACAGAAAGAGTGTTACAAAACTGCTCAATGGAAAGAAAGTTTCAACTCTGTGAGATGAATGCACATATCACAAAGGACTTTCTCAAAATGCCTCTGTGTAGTTTTTATGTAAAGATATTTCCGTTTCCACCAATGGCCTCAAAATTCCAAATATCCATTTGCAGATAGCACGAAAACAGTTTCCAAAGTGCGAAATCAAAATAAAAATTCCAATATCTGAGTAAAGTGCACAAGTCACGATGAAGTTTCTCAGAATGCTTCTGTATAGTTTTCATGTGAAGGTATTTCCTTTTCCACAATAGGCTTCAAAACACTCCAAATATCCACTTGGAGATACTAGAAAGAGAAAGTTTCAAAACCACTCAATCAAAAGAATTGTTCAACTCTGTGAGATGAATGCACACATCACAAAGAAGTTTCTCACAACGCTTCTGTCTAGTTTTTATATGAAGTTATTTCCTTTTGCACTATAGGCTGCCAAGTGCTCCTAATATCCACATGCAGATTCTCCAAAAAGAGTGTTTCAAAACTCCTCAATCAAAAGAAAGTTTAACCTCTGTGAGTTGAATGCACACATCACAAAGTGGTTTCTCAGAATGCTTCTGTTTAGTTTTTATGTGAAGATATTTCCATTCCCCCCATAGGCCCCAAAGTGCTCCAAATATCCATTTGGAGCTTCTTCAAAAAGAGTGCTTCAAAACTGCTCAATGAAAAGAAAGTCTCAACACTGTGAGATGAATGCACACATCACAAAGAAGTTTCTCAGAATGCTTCTGTGAAGTTTTTAATGAAGATATCCCCTTTTCCACCATGGGCCTCAAAGCGCTCCAAATATCCAATTGCAGATTCTACAGAAAGGGTGTTTACAAACTGCTCAATCCAAAGAAAGGTTCGACTCTGTGAGATGAATGCACACATCACAAAGAAATTCCTCAGAATACTTCTGTCTAGTTTTTATTTGAAGATATTTCCTTTTCAACCATAGGCCTCAAAGCGCTCCAAATTTTCACTTGCAGATCCTTCAAAAAGACTGTTTCAAAACTGCTCAATGAAAAGAAAGGTTCAACTCTGTGAGATGAATGCACACATCACAAAGAAGTTTCTCAGAATGCTTCTGTATAGTTTTTTGAGAAGATATTCCCTTTTCCACTTTAGGTCTCAAATTGCTCCAATTGTCCACTTGGAGATTCTACAAAAAGAGACTTTCAAAACTGCTAAATGCTAAGAAAGATGCAACTCTGTGAGATGAATGCACGCATCACAGAGAAGTTTATCAGAATGCTTCTGTCTAGTTTTTAGGTAAAATTATTTCCTTCTCCACCATAGGCCTCAATCCTCTCCAAATATCCATTTGCAGATACCACAAAAACACTGTTTCCAAAGTGCGCAATCAAAACAAAGGTTCAATTCTGTGAGTTAAATGCACACATAACAAGGAAGTTTCTCAGAATGCTTCCGTGTAGATTTTATATGATGATATTTTCTTTTCCACAATAGGCTTCAAAGTGATCCAAATATCCTCTTGGTGATTCAGCAAAAAGAATGTTTCAAGACTGCTCAATCAAAACAAATGTTCAACTCTGTGAGATGAATGCACACATTACAAAGCAGTTTCTCATAATGCTTCTGTATAGTTTCTATGTGAAGATATTTCCTTTTCCACAAAAGACCTCCAAACACTCCAAATATCCACTGCAGATTCTACAAAAAGAGTGTTTCAAAACTGCTCCATCAAAAGAAAGTTTCAACTTTGTGAGATATATGCACACATCACAAAGAAGTTTCTCAGAATGCTTCTCTCTAGTTTTTATGTGAAGGTATTTCCTTTTGCACTATAGGCCGCAAATCTCTTCAAATATCCACATGCAGATTTCACAAAAAGAGTGTTTCAAAAATGCTCAATCAAAAGAAAGTTTCAACTCTGTGAGTTGAAAGCAAAAATCACAAAGAAGATTCTCATAATGCTTCCGTGTACTTTTTATGAGAAGATATTTCCTTTTCTACCATAGGCCTGAAAGTGCCCAAAATATCCACTTGCAGATTCTACAGAGAGTGTTTCAAAACTGCTCAATGAAAAGAAAGTTTCAAATCTGTGAGATGAATGCACACATCACAAAGAAGTTTCACATAATGCTTCTATATGGTTTTAATGTGAAGATCTTTCCTTTTCCACCAAAGGCATCAAACCTCTCCAAATATCAATTTGCTGACACCACAAAAACATGGTTTCCAAACTGCGCAATCAAAAGAGAGTTTCAAATATGTGAGATGGATGCACACATCACAAAGAAGTTTCTCAGAATGCTTCTTTGTTTTTTTGTATGAAGATATTTCCTTATCCACCATAGGCAGAAAAGGGCTCAAAATATCCACTTGCAGATTCTACAAAAAGAGAGTTTCAAAACTGCTCAATCAAAAGGTAGGTTCAACTCTGTGATTTGAATGCACACATCACAAAGAAGTTTCTCAAAATGCTTCTGTGCAGTTTTTTTTGTGAAGGTATTTCCTTTTCCATCGTAGGACACCAAGCGCTCGAAATATCCACTTGCAGATTCTACAAAAAGAGTGTTTCAAAACTGAAGAATCAAAAGAAATATTCAACTCTGTGAGATGAATGCATAAATCACAAAGAAGTTTTACAGAATGCTTCTGTCTAGTTTTTATGTGAAGATATTTCCTCTTACACAACAGGCCTCAAAGCGCTCAAAATATGCCCTTGCAAATTCTACAAAAAGAGTGTTTCAAAACTGCTCCATGAAAAGAAAGTTTCAACTCTGTGACAAGAATGCACACATCACCAAGAAGTTTCTCAGAATGCTTCTGTGTAATTTTTATGTGAAGATATTTCGTTTTCCACCAAAGGCCTCAAAGCGCTCCAAATATCCACTTGAAGATTCCACAAAAAGAGTGTTTCCAAACCGCTCAATCAAAAGAAAGGTTCAACTCTGTGAGATTAATGCACACATAACAAAGAAGTTTCTCAGAATCCTTCGTCTAGTTTTTAGGAAAACATATTTCCTTTTCTACCATAGGCCACAAAGCACCCAAAATATCCACCTGCAGATTCTACAAAAACCGTGTTTGAAACCTGCTCAATGAAAAGAAAGTTTAAACTGTATGAGGTTAATGCAAACATCACAGAGAAGTTTCTCAGAATGCTGCTGTCTAGTTTTTATGTGAAGATATTTCCTTTTCCACCATAGGCCTGAAATCTGTCCAAATATGGACTTGCAGATTCTACAAAAAGAGTGTTTCAAAAGTGATCAATCAAAACAATTTTCAACTCTGTGAGGTGAATGCACACATCACAAAGAGGATTCTTAGAATGCTTCTGTCTAGTTTATATGTGAAGAGATTTCCGTTTCCTCCATAGGCCTCAAATCGCTTCAAATATCCACTTGCAGATTCCACAAAAAAAGTGTTTCAAAACTGTTCAATCAAAAGTAAGATTCCAATCTGTGAGATGAATGCACACATCACAAAGCGCTTTCTCAGAATGTTTCTGTCTAGTTTTTATGTGAAGATATTTCTTTTTGCACTATAGGCCAAAAAGGGCTCCAAATATCTACATGCAGATTCCACAAAAAGAGTGTTTCAAAAATACTTAATCAAAAGAAATGTTCAAATCTTTCAGTTGAATGCACACATCACAAAGAAGTTTCACAGAATGCTTCTGTCTAGTATTAAGGCGAAGATATTTCCTTTTCCACCATAGGCATCAAAGTGCTCTGTATATCCACTTGCAGATTTGACAAAAAGAGTGACTCAAAACTGCTAAATCAAAAGAAAAGTTCAACTCTTTGAGTTAAATGTACACATCACAAAAAAGTTTCTCAAAATGCTTCTCGGTAGTTTTTATGTGAAGATATTTCCTTTTTCACAATAGGCCTCAAAGTGCTCAAAACATCTCCTTGCAGATTCTAAAAAGAGAGTTTCAAAACTGTTAAATCAAAATAAAGGTTCAACTCTGTGGGATGAATGTACACATCACAAAGATGTTTCTCAGAATGCTTCTGTGTAGTTTTTATGTGAAGGTATTTCCTTTTCCAGTATATGTCGCAAAGGGCTCCAAATATCCACTTGCAGATTCTACAAAAAGAGTGTTTCAAAACTGATGAATCAAAAGAAATGTTCAACTCTGTGAGATGAATGCACACATCACAAAGTAGTTTCTCCGAATGCTTCTGTCTAGTTTTTATTTGAAGACATTTCCTTTTCCACCACAGGCCATAAATCGGTCGAAATATCCACTTGCAGATTCCACAGAAAGAGTGTTTTAAAACTGCTTAATCAAAAGAAATGTTCAACTCTGTGAGTTGAATGCGCACATCACAAAGAAATTTCACAGAATGCTTCTGTGTAGTTTTTATGTGAAGATATTTCCTTTTCTACCATATGCCCCAAAGAGCTCCCAATATTCACTTGCAGATTCTACAAAAAGAGGGTTTCAAAACTGCTCAATCAAATGACAATTTCAACTCTGTGAGAGGAATGCACACGTCTCACAAAAGTTTCTCAGAATGCTTCTGTCTAGTTTTTATGTGAAGATACTTCCTTTTCCTACAGAGGCGGCAAAGTGCTCCAAATATCCACTTGCAGATGCTACAAAAACAGTGTTTCAAAACTACTCAATGAAAAGAAAGCTTTAACTCTGTGAGATGAATGCACACATCACAAAGAAATTCGTCAGAATACTACACTCTAGTTTTCATGTGAAGTTATTTCGTTTTCCACAACAGGCCTCAAAGCGCCTGTTTTATGTGAAGACATTTCCTTTCCCATCATGTCTAGTTTGTATGTGAAGATGTTTCCTTTTCCATCATAGGCCTCAAATCGCTCCAAATATCCAATTGTAGATAATTCAAAAATACCGTTTCAACACTACTCTCTCCAATGGAAGGTTCAACTCTGTGAGTTGAATGCACACATCAGAAAGTAGTTTCTGAGAAAGCTTCTGTCTAGTTAGAATGTGAAGATATCCCGTTTACAACGAATTCCTCCGAGAGCTCTAAATATCTGGAAGCAGATTCTACAAAAGCAGTGCTTCAAACCTGCTCTATCAAAAGAAAGGTTCAGTTCTGGGAATTGAACACAAACATCACAAAGGAGTTTCTGAGAATGCTTCTGTCTAGTGTTTCTATGAAGATAATTCTTCTTCTACCATAGGCAACAATACGCTGCAAATGAACACTTGCAGATTTCACAAAAACTGTGTTTTAACACTGCTGTATCAAAACAAATCTCCAAGTCTGTGAGTAGATTGCACACATCACAAATCAGTTTCTGAGAATGATTCTGTCTACATTTTTAAGTAACGATATTTTCTTTCCACCATAGAGAACAAAGCACACGGAATGAAAACTTGCAGATTTTACAAAAAGTGTGTTTCAACACTGCTCTCTCCAAATAAAGGTTCGAGACCGTGAGTTGAACACACACAACAGAAAGCAGTTTCTGAGGATGCTTCTGACTGGTTTGTATGTGAAGTCATTTCCTTTTCCATCTAAATCGCCTCAAATCACTAAAAGATCCACTTGCAGATACTACAAAAAGACTTTCAAAACTGCTCTCTCAAAAGGAAGTTTCAACTGTGTGAGTTGAATACACACATCACATAGCAGTTTCTGAGAATGCTTCTGTCTAGTCTGTATATGAAGGTATTCCATTTACAACGAATTCCTCAAAGAGCTCCAAATATCCACAAGCAGATTCTACAAAAGCAGTGTTTTAAAACTGATCTATCAATAGAAAGGTTCTACTCTGTTAATTGAACTCACACATCCAAAGGGGTTTCTGAGAATCCTTCTGTCTAACTTTTATTTCAAGATATTTCTTTTTCCACCATAGACAACAAAGCGCTCCAAAGGAACTCTTGCAGGTTGTACAAAAAGCGTGTTTCTACACTGCTCTATCAAAAGAAAGTTTCAAGTCTGTGAGTTGAATGCACACATCCCAGTGAACTTTCGGAGAATGCATGGGTCTACTTTTCATGTGAAGATACCCGTTTGCAACGAATTCTTCAAAGTGTTCGAAATATCCACATGCAGATTCTACAAAAAGGAGTGTTTAAATGCTGGTCTATCTAAAGACAGATTCAACTCTGTTAGTTAAATGCACACAACTCAGTGAAGTTCCTGAGAATGCTTCTTTCTAGTTTTTATGTGAATATATCTCCTTTTCCACCATAGGCTTCAAAGCGCTCCAAATGAGAACTGGCAGATCCTCATAAAAGACTGCCTCAAAACCGCTCTATCAAAAGAAGGGTTCCACTCCAAGAGGTGAATTCACACACCACGAAGAAGTTTCTGAGAATGCTTCTGTCCAATTTTTATGTGAAGATATTCCCTTTTCCATCATAGGACTCAAGTCACTCTAAATATCCAATTTCAGATACTACAAAAAGACTGTTTCAAAACTGCTCTCTCAAAAGGAAGGTTCAACACCGTGAGTTGAATGCACACATCACAAAGCAGTTCCAGAGATTGCTTCTGTCTAGTTTGTATCTGAAGATATTTCCTTTTCCATCATAGGCCTCAAATCGTTCCAAATATTCACTTGCAAATACTACAAAATGATTGTTTCAAAACTTCACTCTCAAAAGGAAGGTTCAACTCTGTGAGTTGAATGCACACATCACAAGGCAGTTTCTGAAAATGCTTCCATCTAGTTTTTTATTTGAAGGTATTTCCTTTTCTTTCTTCGGCCTCAAATCACTGCAAATATCCACTTGCAGACACTACAAAAAGACTGTTTCAAAACCGGACTCTCAAAAGGAGGTTCAACTCTGTGAGTTGAATGCACACATCACAAGGCAGTTTCTGAAAATGCTTCCGTCTAGTTTTTTATCTGAAGCTATTTCCTTTTCCATCTTAGCCCTCAAATCACTACAAATATGCACTTGCAGATAGATACTGTAAAAAGACTGTTTCAAAACCTCTCTCTCAAAAGGAAAACTAAAATCTGCGAGTTGAATGCACACATCATAAAGCAGTTCCTGAGACTGCTTCTGTCTAATTTGTATGTGAAGTTATTTCCTTTTCCATCATAGGACTCAATTCGCTCCAAATATGCATTTGCAGATACTACAAAAAGACTGTTTCAAAAGTTCTCTCTCAAAAGGAAGGTTCAATTCTGTGAGTTGAATGCACACGTCACAAGGCAATTTCTGAAAATGCTTCCGTCTAGTTTTTTATTTGAAGGTATTTCCTTTTCCTTCTTCGGCCTCAAATCACTGCAAATATCCACTTTCAGATACTACAAAAAGACTGTTTCAAAACTGCTCTCTCAAAGAAAGGTTCAACTCTGTGAGTTGAATGCACACGTTGCAAAGCATTGT